>NC_000023.11:109962542-110587542 GCF_000001405.40 Homo sapiens
TCTGTCTCTGTCACATTTTATTTATTTATGTATTTATTTATTTTAGAGACAGAATCTTGCGCTGCTGCCCAGGCTGGAGTGCATTGGTGTGATCATAGCTCACGGTAACCACTCCTAGGCTCAAGCAACGCTCCTGCCTCAGCCTCCTGCGTAGGTAGGTAGGTAGGACTACAGACATGCACGACCACGCCCTGCCAATATATATATATATTTTTTTTTTGTAGTGATGGGGTCTCGTTGCCCAGGCTGGTCTCAAACTGTCACCTTTTATTCATTGTGGAGGGAAGGTAGAATGGTGTTAAAGTAACTCTCATCAATCTCAAAGCTTTCCAAATCCTTTTATAGCAACTTCAACCTTGTTTTCAGTATCTCAGCCAAATAAAGGGGAAGTTTTTTGTTTTGTTTTTTTAACTAGGTTAATCATTTTACGGGGTATTGTGCAAACAGGACGATGGTTTGTTTGTTATGCTTATTTCTGATCTCAGAAGGAGCAAATATCCTAGCTGAAGAGTTCTAGACAGGTACCAAGGGAGCCTGGGATTTTGAGCTGCAAGGGCTGTGTGCAGCAGTCAGAGGAGATGCATCCTTTATGCCATTATCAGCCACTCTACAGTTCTAATTTTGATGAGAACAAGACAATTGTTAAGCGAAGTGCTCCTTACTTAACAGTTTAATCAACCATAGCAGAAACAGCCTCCCCTTTTTCTGGTCAGCAATCACTTGTGTCTCCTGAGAGAGGGGAGAGGAAGAGAGAACCTTCAGAAAATAGCGGGTAAAAGCAGCTGAAGGAAATTAAATTTGTACTTAACAAAAAATCTCTGAAGCATGTATAGTCTAATAGAATCAAGAGAGTCTACAGCTGGGGGCCCTGCACCACTATCACCCACTGCCATTTCCAAGGGAGGGGATGAACTAGGATTTTTTCAGTCTCATAGTGTTCAGCCAAGGACTGCTAGGTTGTTAAAATCATCTAACATCCTTCCACCGCGTCTTATATATACATCCTAGGATACTAGGCCACTGTTTCTCAAAGTATAGTCTTTGGGACACATCTATCAGAACCACCTGGAAAATTTGTTTTAAAACTGAAACAGAATTGCTGACAGTGGGACCAAGGGCATCTGCATTTTCCTTAATTTGACTAGGTAAATCTATCACATCCTAAAAGACAAGAACTGCTGCCCTTATGAGGATCCTTTGTTTGTCAGTCCCTGCTCCTTCTGTTCAGATGGTTCCCATGTTGTACACACATATTTTGATATTTTTAGGAAGGGCATGTATTGTTGGTCTCTAATAATGCCAAGTATATAAATAAAGAGGACATCCTCCCTGGATGGCAAGGGAGTAGGAATTCTTAACCCCAATTCAATGTATAGTCTTGGACAAGTCCTTTCTTCCTCTCTGGGTCTCATCTGAAATGAGAACCTAGAACTGGACAATAGATAAAGACCTTTCTATCTCTAAACATTTAGAGGAAAACACCCAAAGTAGCCAACCTTCCGGAGCAATCTTCCCACTAGTTGCCTATTAGTTAGTTATATGTTCAAGTGCTCTAATAAGGGATCCCACAATATCTTATTAGATAGGTGATTCAGGGCTGGTATAAGGGTTTGAAGACGTTAAGAACACAGGCATCTTCTATCTCATTGCTCCCCATCTTGTCAACATTCCAACCTGTGGAAGGGGGGAGCTTGGGCAGAAGGAGGCATGCTTCTTTTAAGGGCACAGATTAGAGGTTACACGTATCACTTCTACTTATGTCCTACTGGCCAGGACCTAGCCACATGGCCACACCTATCTGCAAGGGATGTTGGAAAATGCAGTCTTTACCTGGGCTGTCCTATGCAGCTAAAATTCCTATTACAGTGGAAAATGTGAGAGTAGATATGGTGGGCAGTCAAATTACCGTGCTTGTCTCTTTCTCCTCAAAGACCCCTCAGTTCACTGGTTTGTTCCTCACTGGCTGTAACTAAGTAAGGAGGTTCTTGATGAAGTGATTAGGACAGAGTCCCATGGCCTGGTATGGAATGGGCTACAGGCCAGCCTCAAGTGGACTTTGCCTCCTGGAGGGGCAGAATATCTTTCCTTCAAAAAAAAGGCTACTGTCATCTGTGAGGTCTGATTAAGTAGCTGGATTGGGTCACCGATATATTTGAATGAATTTTATTTTTCTACTGAACTCAAACTATAGGCATAATTTCTGGGATATTGGTAAGAACTGATTGCTGTTTTCCTTTATTGTCCATCCATTTGTATCAACATGCATGTTATTTATCAGTATGGAGTATTATAAAGAACATGTGTGTGGGAATCAGATCAATGTGACTTTGAGCAAATTTTAACCACTCTGAGTTTTAGTTTCTTCATTTGTTAAAAGGCAGTAAAATCATCTAATTCACTAATTCATGTGTCAGAATCTTTGAACACACTCAGAATATTGCACATAGTAGGCATTCAATGAATATTCTTTTTATTAATACCAACAATAACATGGATACTTTATTTATAAGTGTCTATTATGTATGTACTAGGCATTGTGCTGGCTTCTACATAAATTTCTGGGTTGGCACATACATTTTTTAGTGTCTAGGAGTTATGGAAAACTCCTTTACAAATAGCTGCTTAATTAGGGCTTTGTGAACGAATGTGGGTTATTGCTTTCACTTAGTAGAGAGCAGAAACTTGCTCTGTGTCTAGGACAGGACTTGGACAGGTAAGGGTGCCAGGGGAGAGTCAACCAGTGACCCTCATTCGATGATAGTTTCCATTTATTTATTTGCTCAATAAAATTCAGTTTACTGTGCTTTCCCTTCTTTTTTGATACTTCACCTGTTGGCTCTATCAGAACCATCTGATAATCTCAGAAACGTAAGTCTTAAGAATCACATGTACCCCATAAATATATAAAACTATTATTTTCCCAAAATAATTTAAGCTTTAAAAAATCTTTAGCATTCTCCCTGTCTCTGAATCATGCTGACTTTGAGACTAATCATAGTTTAAATGCCATCCAGCCATTTACTGGCTGAGGGACCTTGGGTAACTCACGTCCATCTTCTGACCTCCAATTTCCTCATTTATGAAGTGAGTATATTAACAAAACCCACTTCATAGGTTTGTTGTGAAGACCAAATGAGATAATGCATGCAAACTGCTTACCATGGTGCCTGGCACATAGTAATCAACAAATGTTGGCTGTTTTCATTCATGCATTAATTCATTCATTCACCAGGTAGTTGTTATGTGTTGGGAAATGATCTAGGAATGAACTAGAAATGAGCTAGGCCCCGTACCTTCCAAAATCTTAAAATCTCATCTCACTGGGAAGCCAAGGCAAGATATAACCTATGAAATGTTCAACATAAGGCTGAATGTGATCCATGACAAAACAAGCTCATGGGAGAAAGTGATCATTGTGGCCCACAGCAGTGCTTTAAAAACTTTCCTGGCTTGAGTCTCGCTTTCCCCAAACCTCAGAGCCTTTTTTTGGACTACAATTTGAAAATCAGTGGACTAGAGTGAATAAAACTTTGTTAGAGGGGAAGAGACAGGTGGGGCTGAAGCTGTGGACATATGTAAGGCAATAATGGAAGAAGAGCAGGCTGGGATGGGTTGCGGAGGGTTGAAATGGTCAGACAGATAATTTGGTCTTGATTGCTTTACCTCAGAACTTCCTAACCAGTGTGCCAGGATTACAGAAAAACCCCCAGCCTGCAAGCAACCTATTCATCTGTTTCTCACAGTGTGCTATACCAGCATTACCATTTGCTATGCCTGCCATGCCCTGCAAAGGGAAGCACTACTTTAGATTTCCCAGAAGCCACATTGTTGGGATGGGATTTTGAAGCATGCCCTGTAGCCAAAGGTAAAGATTAGGACATGGAGAGTTGCCTAATCCCTGAGTCATACTGGGGAAGATCCAAATCCAGGGTTGCTCTGCTTTTTTCCCCCACTACCCATCTATGGCAAAGAGCCACTGCCAACTCTCACTCTCTGTAAGCCCAACATCATTATTGACAAGAGAAAGGAAAAAGTTCAATGCCCACTCACACAACCCAGTCCTGGAAGGAAAACCTTTGAAAATAGGATCATAGTTCGTGCATGTGGAGCGAACTGGAAGGCTCTATATTTTGCTGAACATACTTTCTTTTCTCCTGGCCCTATGTAACAGGACCCCAGGGTTTCATGTCAGTGGTTTTATAAATTATTAAACAAAATAGATATTTGGTTCCTGCTTGATTGTGGTTTGGTGGGCTTTCCAGAATTTTCTCTTCATTAACTCTTTCTTTCTTTTCTGTATTTTCTTTTACATGACACCCACTCATATGGTATCTTCTCTGTATTCCCAAGGCTCTTGATTATAAACAGCAGAAACTACTAATAGCTAACCTAATCAAAACAAACCAAATTTGTTTAAAGGATGTTGGGGGTGGTGGATGGCTCCCAGAATCAAGGGGAGGTTGGGGGGCCAGGCTTCGAAGATGACATGAACCAAAGGGATTTCAGAGGCCACCAGGAAGCACACGGCCTTCTTCTAGCAGGAACAATCTGGCCAGGATACTACAGCTGAAGATGAGCATTGCCCAAAGTATAATGACTAGATGCTAATCATCCCTGTCTCTCTGACAGTCATTCCAGATTTATCGTTTCAGGAGTGGGGGAAGAGGGAGGATAAGGATCTTTATCCTACAACTCCTGTAGTTGAGGCCAGGTGCTGTGCCCCACCAATATCTTACATCTTAGGAGATCGCTTTCAAATAGGAAGAGGATGAGTGGTGGATGACTAACAAGTAAACCAACAAACAAAGCAATGTTCCTTATAAGCTCCACACAGTGTTTTTCAAACTGCAGTTGATGACATATTATTGCAGATGATGCCATGTAATTGCATTGCAAGATGAATTATGCAAGTGTCTGATTAGCTTTTTGTTTTAATTTTAACAGTTTTATTGAAGTATAATAGACACAATTTCACAGTTTAAAGTTTGATACATTTTAACGTGAGTAGACCTGTGAAAGCATCAACATAATCAAAATGATGAATATACAAATCACTCCCCAAAATTTCCTCAAGATTCTTGGTAATCTCTTGCCTCTGCCCCACCCTGCCTTCTATCCTGTCCCTGTCTTCAGGCAACCATTCATCTGCTTTCTGTCACTATAGATTAATTTACACTTGCTGGCATTTTATGTAAAGGGAATAATATAGTGTGTACTCTTTGTATGGGTTATTTCACTCAGCATAATTATTTTGAGATTCATCATTGTTGTTATCTACAGTTCATTCCCTTTTGTTGATGAATTGTAGTTCATTGTATGGATACAGTACAATTTGTCTATTCATCCACCTTTTGATGGATATTTGGGTGTGTGATGGTCCGTTTTAGATGTCAAACTTGGCTAGGCTATAGTCCCAAATTATTTGATTAAACATGAATCTAGGTGTTGCAATACAAGTATTTTGTAAATGTGATTAATATTCACAATCAGTGGACTTTGGGTAAAGGAGATCATCCTAGATCATCTGGGTGGCCCTGATTCAGTCAGTTGAAAGGCCCTGAGAACAAAACTGAGGCTTCCCTGAAGAAGAAATTCCACTTGTGGACTGCAACTTCAGCTATTGCCCGGAGTTTCAGCCTGCCCTTCCCAATGGCCTGCTCTGTGGATTTGGGACTTACCTATCCAGCCCCACAATTACATAAGTTGATTACTATGATAAATCCCTTAATATACTGTATGTGCCCTACTGGTTCTGTTTCTTTAGTTGAATGCTAACTGATAGCATGTTGTTTCCAGTTTTTAGGTATTACAAATCAAACTCATGTGAACATTTGTGTACATGTCTTTGTATGGAAGTACATCTCCTTTCTTGTGGATAAATACTTCAGAGTAGAATAGCTGAATTATATGGTATGTATTTATATTTTTAAGGCAATGATAAACTTTTTCCTGAATTGGTTCCATTTTACGTTTTTATCAGCAATGTATAAATCTTCCGTTTTCTTCACATCCTCGCCAACACTTGGCATGGTCAGTCTTTTAATTTTAGACATTCTAATATGTGAGGGGTGGTTTCTCATTGTGATTTTAATTTGCATTCCCTTAATGACTGATAATGGTGAGCATCTTTTCATGCACTTGTTTGCCAGATGTATATCATCTTTGGTGATGTGTCTATTCAAATCTTATTCCCACTTTAAAAATTGGATTAGGTTCTTATTATGGATTTTGAGAGATTTTATATGTTCTAGATACAAATTCTTTATCAGACATATTATTTGCAAATATTTTTCCCATCTGTCAATTGTTTTTCCATTCTTTTAACAGTATCTTTAGATGAGCAGAAGTTTTTAATTTTGGTGAAATCAAATTTTTCAATTTTTTTCTCTGATGAATCATTTTTTCATGTCATACCTAAGAAATCATTCCCTAATCCAAAGTCACAAATATTTTCTCCTATGTTTTCTTCTAGAACTTTTAGTTTTAGGTTTTCTCTTTTACATTTAGGTCTATGATCCATTTTTAGTTAATTTTTATATACATAGTGGGATATGAATCAAAGTTTATTTTTATGCATTTGGATAGCTAACTTTTTCAGTACCATTTGTTGAAAAGACTACACTTTTTCCACTGAAATGCTTTTGCAGCTTTGTCAAAAATCAGTTGTTGCTATCTTGGTGCAGTGGTGTGTACCTGTAATCCCAGCTACTCAGGAGGCTGAGGCAGGAGGATTGTCTGAGGCCAGGAGTTTGAAACCAGCCTGGGCAATGGGCAACATAGCAAGACCCCATCTCTCAAAAAAATCAGTTGTTCATATATGTGTAGGTCTATCTCTGGTCTCTCTATTCTGTCCCGTTGATTTATTTGTCTATCTTTATGCCAGTACCACACTGTCTGAATTACTGTAGCCTTATAAGAAGCCTTAAAATCAGATAGTGTTAGTCTTTCACCTTTGTTCTTTTCAAAATTGTTATGGCTATTCTAGGTACTTTGCATTTCTATGTGATTTTTAGAGTCATATTGTCAAATGCCATAAGAAAGCCTTCTGAAATTTTTATTGAAATTATGGTAAATATGTTGAAAAAATGAAAGACAATTGACCTCTTAACAATATTTAGTCTTCCAACCCATGAACAAAATGTAATTACAATTTATTTAGATCTCCTTAATTCCTCTCCCTAATGCTTTGTAGTTTTCAGTGTATAGGGCTTACACATCTTTTGTCAGATTTATTGCTAAGTATTTCATATTTTTGATGTTATTATAAATGCTATTTTTAAATGTAGATTTCTGGTTGTTGATTGCTAGTGTAATAGAAATATACTATACAATTAATACATTATACAAGAAATAAAATTGCTTTTTCTATATAGATCTTATGTCTTTCAACCTTGCTAACCTCACGTATTAGTTTTAGTAGCTGTTTTGTACATTCCGTCAGATTTTCTACATAGACTTTTATGTCATCTGTAAATAAAATCAGTTTTACTTTTCTCTTTCTAATACGCATGCCTTTGTTTCTTTTGTTGGCTAACTGCTCTGGCTAGAACTTCCAGTATAACATTGAATAGAAGTAGTAAGGGTGGATATCTATGTCTTGTTCCTTATCTTAGTGGGGAAAGCATTCAATCTTTCACATAAACAGTGAAAGATTTCACAGTGATATTATCGTAGGTGCCCTTTATCAAATTGAGGTTTCCTTTGATCCCTAGTTTGCTTTGAGTGTTTATCAGAAATGGATGTTGGATTTTTTTCTGCATCTATTGAGATGATCATATAGTTTTTCATCTTTGTTAATATGGTGAATTACATTGGTTGATTTTCAGATATTAAACAATCTTACATTACTGATACAAACCCCAATTTGTCATAATGCATTATCCTGTTTTTCATATTATTGGATTTAATTTGCTAAAATTTTGTTTAGAATCTTTGCATCTAAGTTCATGAGGGATATTGGTCTGTAGTTTTCTTCGCTTATACCAACTTTGTCTGGTTTTGGTATCAGGGTCATGCTTTTCTCATAGAATGAGCTTGGAAAGATTTCCTCCTCTTCAATTTTCTGGAAGGGTTTGGGTAGCATTGTTCATATTTCTTCCTTAAATGTTTGGCAGAATTCACAAGCAAGGAAATCTGGGTCAAGAGTTTCCGTGGGAGAAGAGTTTTAACTATTAATTCAATTTCTATAACAAATATAGTGTTATAAAGTTATCTACTTCTTGAGTGAGCTTTCATAGATTGTGTCCTTCAAGGAATGTGTACATTTAATCTAGATGTTTATTTATTTATTTACTTATTTGTTTATTTATGACAGTGTCTTGCTCTTTGTCACCCAGGCTGCAGTGCAGTGGTGCAATCATGGCTCACTTCAGCCTTGACCTCCCAGGCTCAAGTGATCCTCCTGCCTCAGCCTGTCAAGTAGCTGGGACTACAGGTGCATGCCACCACACCTGGATAATTTAAAAAATTTTTTTGTAGAGATGGGGTCTTGCTATGCTGCCCAGGCTGGTCTCAAACTTCTAGGCTCAAGTGTTCCTCCTGCCTTGGCTTCCAAAATTGTCTGGATAGGCCGGGCACGGTGGCTCATGCATGTAACCCCAGCACTTTGGGAGGCTGAGGCGGGCAGATCATGAGGTCAAGAGATCAAGACCATCCTGGTCAACATGGTGAAACCCCGTCTGTACTAAAAATACAAAAATTAGCTGGGCATGGTGGCATGCACCTGTAGTCCCAGCTGCTTGGGAGGCTGAGGCAGGAGAATTGCTTGAACCAGGGAGGCGGAGGTTGCAGTGAGCCGAGATTGTGTTACTGCACTCTAGCCTGGTGATAGAGTGAGACTCCGTCTGAGAAAAAAAAAAAAAGTGTCTGGATTACAGGCATGAGCCACAGCTCCCAGCCAGGTGTGGACTTTTTAGGAATCAGTTGTTTATAATATTCCTTTATTATCTTTTTAATATCTGTACTAGATATTATCTCTTCTTTTTTTCCCTGATCAGTCTGAATAGAAGTTTATCTTTTTGTTTTGTTTTGGTTTTGTTTTTTTTTTGATCCTCTGAAAATACCAGCTTTTTGGCTGGGCTTGGTGGCTCACGCCTGTAATCTCAGCACTTTGGGAGGTGCGGGAGGGTCACATGAGGCCAGGAGTTTGAGACCAGCCTGACCAATATAGTGAAAGCCTGTCTCTACTAAAAATACAAAAAAATTAGCCTGGCATGGTGGTGGGAGCCTGTAATCCTAGCTACTCAGGAGGCTGAGGCAGGAGAATCACTTGAACAGGGAGGCAGAGATTGCACTGATCCGAGATCATGCCACTGCACTCCAGCCTGGACCACAGAGCAAGACTCCATCCCCTCACTCACCCCCGCACCAACCCAGCTTTTGTTTTCATTAATATTCTACATCCCTTTTCTGTTTTCTACTTCGTTTTTTTTTTACTGGTTCAGTCTTAAGTATTTCATTTCTTCTGCTTCATTTAGATTTCATGTTCTCTTATTTTTCTAATTTCTTGTGTTTTTTGTTTTGTTTTGGCTGTGTGTGGGGGGTTAGGGGGGCGGGCAGGGTCTCTACTGCCTAGTCTAGAGTGCAGTGGCACAATCATGACACACTGCAACCTCAAACTCTTGGGCTCAAGTGATCCTCCTGCCTTAGCCTCCTGAATAGCTAGGACTACAGGTATGTGCCAACATGCCTGGCTGATTTTTTAAATTTTTTGTAGAGATGAGGTCTTTCTATGTTTCCTAGGCTGGTCTTGAACTTTGGGACTCAAGTGATCCTCCTGCCTTTGCCTCCCAAAGTGCTGGCATTACAAGTGTGAGCCACTGTGCCCAGCCTCTTTTTCTAGTTTCTTAAGGAGGAAGCTGATATCATTGATTTGATACTTTTTTCTTCTTTTCTAGTATAAATGTTTAGTACTATAAATTTCTCCCTTGATACTGCTTTGGCAACATCCCACACATTTTGATACATTGTGTTTTTATTTTTATTTTGCTCAGAACATTTTCTAATTACCCTTTGATTTTTTCTTTGGCTGATTAGTTATATAAAAAATGTGTTATTCAATTTTCAAATATGTGGAAATTTTCCTAGATTTCTTTTTTATTGATGTCTCATATAATTCCACAGTGGTCAGAGAATACATTTTCTATGACTTAAATTTCTTTAAATGATTGAAACTTATTTTATGGCCCAGAATATGGTCTATCTTGATAAACATTCCATGTGTACTTGAAAAGGATATGCATTCTGCTGTTGTGGGATGGAACATGTTGTAAGTGTCAATTAGATTCAGTTGATTGATGATGAATTCAACTATGTCCTTGCCGATGTTCTGTCTGCTTGTTCTATGAATTATTAAGGGTGGGTATTGAAATATCCCACTAGAATTGTGTAATAACCTAATTATCCTTGAAATTTGAATAGTTTTTGCTTCATATGTTTTGAAGCTCTGTTATTAGGTGCTCTGAGGCTCTGTTTATTTTTTTTTCCAGTATATTTTCTTTCTGTTGTTCAAATTGGGTAATTTCTCTTTTTCTAGCTTCCAGTTTGCAGATTCTTTCTCTGTCCTCTCCATTCTGTTGTCGAACTTATCCATTGAGGGTTTCTTAATTTTCGTTATTATATTTTTTAGTTCTAAAATATCAATTTGGTTCTTTTTTGTATCTTCTATTTCTTTTCTGAAACTTTCTATTTTTTCATTTGTTTTAATCATGTTTATAATTGCTTATTGAAGCATTTTTATGATTACTGCTCCAAACTCCTTGTCAGATAATTCTGACACATCTGTCAAATTGGTGTGGGCATCTATTGATGGTTTGTTTTTTGTTTTTTACATTCAATTTGAGATATTCCTAACTTGGTATGGTAAGCAATTTCTGAAGGAAACTTGGATACTTTAGATATTATGAGACCGACTATCTTTAAACTTCTGTTTTAGCTGGCTTTTTTCAGAAAATGAAGGGTTGTGTTCTGCCATATTACCGCCATGTAGGGGTAGTAGTCCAAGTCCCCTACTCAACCTCTGTTGACAGCAAGAGTGGGGGCTACGTATTAGTGGTGGGTAGAAATGATAATTCCTGCTCCCTAATAGGTCTCAACTGATGCTTCCCTGGCTGAGAGGCATAAGAGTGCCTTTTTAATACTGTCCACATGGCCTCCATTGACACCACAAGGAGGAGGTGACCTTGTTACCACTCATTGTCATCCTAACTTTCCAATAGGCCTCCTTTCACACTACCTTAGAGGATGAAGAGGCACATTTTACTGCTGGGCAGAGTAGAAACCCAGACTCCCCAAATAGTCCCCACTGACACTGTGTGTGTATCGGGGGTTGGATTATTATAATCCAGCAGGAATGAAAGTCCTAGGTGGCTACTCTGACACCTCTCCAGCAGGGGGTTGGGACACCTCATTATAGCCCCATGAAACTGGAAGTCTAGGGTTACCACTTCAGTCTCTGCTGGTATAGGCGGGGAAGGTATCATATTTTTTCAGTGGCATTTGGTTGGAGTTGAGTGGTTATTACATAAAAGTTTACTGTCTTGCTAGGCTGCCCATTTCCTGGTCCCTTACCTAGAGGGAGCAGGAATTTTTCTCTGAACTTGTAAGTATGTCTGGGTTGCAGGCTTCTTCAACTCCAAGTCCAGGATATATGAAGCAAAACGGAAACCCAAGGAACTCACCACTTTGTGGTTCCTTGGGTCCCCAGGTCCCTAGCCAGTCTGCCATCTTCTTTCTACTTTTTCAGATTTTTTTTTTTTTTTTGTATATAAAGTCCAGGTCTTTTAGTTGTACTTGGCAGCAGGATCAGGGAAAAATACATCAACTCCATCTTCCCTAAAGCAGAAGTGCCACTATCCTCTGCTTTCATTTTTGAAACATATTTTCGGCCGGGCACGGTGGCTCATGCCTGTAATCCCAGCACTTTGGGAGGCCGAGGCGGGTGGATCACGAGGTCAGGAGATCCAGCCCATCCTGGCTAACACAGTGAAACCCCATCTCTACTAAAAATACAAAAAATTAGCCGGGAGAGGTGGCGGGCGCCTGTAGTCCCAGCTACTCGGGAGGCTGAGGCAGGAGAATGGCGTGAACTCGGGAGGCGGAGCTTGCAGTGAGCCGAGATCACACCACTGCACTCCAGCCTGGGCGACAGAGCGAGACTCCGTCTCAAAAAAAAAGAAAAAAAAAAAAAAAAGAAACATATTTTCACTTGGTATGGAATTCCAACCTGACACTTTATAGATGTTGCTTCACTGTCCTCTCATTTGCATCGTTTCTTATGAAAAATCTGTTGTCATCCTTATTTTTGTTTTTCTATAAAGAACATATCACAGTTCCCTGGCTGTGTTTGATATTTTCTTTTTATCACTGTTTTTCCCCCCTGTGATCTAAGAAGTTAGGAAGCCACCCTTCTGAAAGTTAATGTTGTATGGTAGAAAGAGCATAGAGCTCAAGAAATCTGGTTTCTGTTGTTAGCTCTGCTATGAGCTTGCTGGTGACCTGGAGCTATCCCCAGCTTCTCTCTGGATCTCAGACTGTTTTCTTGTAAATGAGAAGTTTAGACTCTCACATCACTTCCAGCTCATTCTTGCTGCACCAACAGCAACAACAGTAATGACTAAAACCTATCAAACACTAACAAAGTGCCCAGCACTGTTCCAAGCTCTTTATGTGCATTGAGTAATTTAATTTTCACTACAACTTTGTGATGTAGGTTATTTTTTTATTATCCCTAGTTATAGGTGAGACAGCTGAGGCCCAGAGAAGTTAAGTGGCAGAACTGGATATTGGACTCATGTTTTTCTGGCTATAGAGGCCATGCTGTTAACCAGTATTGCTCCTGGTGTACAGCTTCAAGTCAGCAGGGCCACACTGCCTTTCTGGCTTGTTTTGAAGGAAAGATGTCAGGCTCTTTTGGTCTGTCTGTTCAGTGAGTTTCCAGGAACTTGGGGCTTAGTCATCCTTCTTTGCAAAGTTCACTTGGTGCACACTAATGTGCAGAGTGGCGTGATATTTGCAGTGTTAGATTCTGGATTCCTTGGGTTCCTCCAGCATTTCTCTTTATCTCCTTAGGGATGTAGTTTGTAAATAGCAGATTCATTTTGTCTTCTTTTGTCAGTCTCTTCCATCAGTCTACTCTCAACAGATCTCTCTGCCATCTCTTCTTTCCCAATATTAGTTTAATATTCTTCATATCCAAGTGCTTTTCAGCCTGACAGATAAAAGAGAAATCAGTGGCTTTTTTTTTCCATTATTTCTGGCCAATCATCAATATGAAATTTCCCCCCTTTTTGGACCATGCCATTCAAAACAAAGTCTAATACACTTTATGCCTCTTTGTGAGTTCCAAGAATTCCTGATAGGAGCAGTGTAGAATCTGCTTGGTCCCCTGTCCCCAAAACCCCTTTATTCGTAGAATCAAATCCCCTTCATAGATCTCCCTTGGGGCCACTTGATCCCAATCTATGGGTGCAGTGAGCTCTACCCCATCTCTGGAGCCAATCCTCTCTTCCAGCAAGAAGAATATAAGGGCTTTCAGTTCAATGCTCAGGTTCAAGAAAAGTTTTGTTATGACACCATAGTGATGACTTCAACCTTGATCCTGAATCCAAGCCCCTATCTTATAGCTCTGTTCTGATTCTGGCCTTTTGTTCCTGGGCATCTGTTTGGGCCCTGATAGTCTCCTATAACTAAGAGTCTCCCTTATTCTTTCTAGTGCTTTTTCTACCTCTCCCCAGATATTAGATTTTTTCCAGTGTGTGTGGCCATGCAGCCTTGTGGCTAACTTCCCTGATCCTGCCTGCCCTGCTGAATCTCTGAACACCAGCTGCTTCTAGAATTTCCAACACCTTGTTTAACACACCTGTCAGGATATCCCAAGTCTTGGTCCCCTGAAATTTGCTTGACTTGCTGTAATTTACCTTTCTGTCTAGACTGTGTTATATGAAAGGATTGGGGCCAAGGAGATGTTTCTGTTTCCTTGATAGTATATTTTGCACTAGCACCTTGTCCAAAGTGTGGTCCCTGAACCAGCAGAACTAGCAATGCCTGGGAGCTTTTTAGAAATGCATAAAATTGGGCCCTACCCCAGACCTATTGGATCAGGAGCTGCCTTTAAAAGGTATCTGTTCTAGGGCTATCCGCTGATCCATTACCAAGTCAATGAAACTACACTTAAGTGTCTTGCTTATAAGATCATTTACTCCATTGCAATTTAAGTTCCCTGAAGGACAGACAATTCATGCATCTTGTTCACTGCTGTATTTGCAGTACCCAGAACTGTTCATGGCAGATGATAAGTGCTTAATAAATATTTGTTGAAGGGTGGTCTTGGAAATTTCTTAAAATCTCTGTGCCTCATCACTTTCCTTACCTGTAAAATAAGGATTTATATCCCGACTTCCACGTATAAGGATCAGACATTAAAAAAAAAAAAAGAGAGAGAGATGCAGAATTGTCAATATTTATTCTAACACATCTCTTCACTGAGATGTGTATCTGTTTGTTTTGGGGTGAGCTGAGCTTTTTAGCTACTTTGCCTAAGTATTACCGAAGACTTGTTTTATAGACACTACCTGTTTGGAGGGGTCTTTGTAGAGAGATTTGTTCATCCATTCACTCATTAATTTAGCAAATATTAATTGAATATTACATGCCAGGCACTATTCTAAGTGCTAATGAATACAGAGTCTTCTTTATGGAATTGGTTAACCCCTTTATTAATCCCTCTCTTGCTTGTATGTCTTATATTAAAATTTGGACCCTGTATACTCAATACTACAACTCGAATTGTTTCTTCTCGCCTAGAAGTAATCAAACTCCAAATGGTGCTGCATACTGAACCACCCATGGACAAGCCATTCTTCTGAGGACCCTTAAATCTACCCCAGGAGGAGCCCTAGCTGCTGATCGCCATTTGACACCCCTTTTCAGCAGGAAGTAGCCAGAAAGAGTCATAGCCCAAAACCCCCTAACAGCAGTTAGTGTGATATCTCCACAGGGGGGAATGTGATAGGAGTTATTCAGAAATTATTTTAGGCAGATAGAGAGGAAAAGGGGTCCTTGGGAAGTTTTCATTTTTTAAAGCATCTCTGGAAAAGCTTCTTGTGAAGCCCTGGCTCTTAGAGCCAGGCCGGCAACATTTAATGTGCAAATGCCAGCCGTTAGAAACTGGGTCCACCCAACATGACGATTCCTGTGGCCTTCTTACCTCTGCCCCACATGTTCCTGGCCGCCCCTACATATCTCTACGTCTGTAGAACATCATGGCGCCCTGCATTTGGATATTAAAAGGCTAAGGTGGGAGAGCCAGCCTTTTCCGCAGGCTACGTGAATGACATGCCTAGTCAAACCAATCCCCTGAGCCCTATGCAAATCAGACACTGCCTCCTCCAGCGTCCGTATGTATACCTGGCTGGTATCTGTGGCAGGTGAGGTTCCCTCTTTCAGCCTTGGAGCCTCCCTGCCTCCATCTCTGTACAGGGGAGCTTCTTCATTCTGTCCTCCTCCCTTCTTTCTTGCCTATTAAACTCTGCTCCTTAAAACTAAAAATAAATAAATAAATAAGTGCTGGTGAGTAGAGCAGTGAATAAAGCAAAGTCTTGCTAGAAGTTTACATTCTAGGAGGAAGAGACAGAAATTAATCAAATAAAATAATAAGATAGCAGATGGTGATTTTTTTTCAAGGGAAACAATAAAGTGGGTAAGGGGAGAAAGGAGTGTTGGGGTGTGTGGATGTAGAAGGATAATCAGAGAAGGACTCTCTGAGGAGAGGGCATCTGGGCAGAGACCGGCAGGAAGCCAAGGGGCAATTCATATGGATATCCAGGGGCAGAGCTTTCCAGGCAGAGGAAAAGCCAGTGCAATGGCTCCAAAGTGGGAACATGTGGGATGTTTAAGGAACAGCAAGGAGACCAGAGTGACTGGAGCAGCTTGGGAAAGCAGTATGAACAATGCGGCTGCTAAATCAGGTATTGCTTTGCGGGTCATTATTTGGGTGCTGGCTTTTACTATGAGTGAAATTGAGAGCCTTGGAAGATATTCAGTGAGGAATGATGTAATCTAACTTAAATTTTAAATGGGTCACTCCAGTTGCCATGTTAAGTAAGAATAGGCTTTAAGAGAGTAAAAGCAGAAACAAAGAGATCAGCTGGAAGGCTGTTGGGGTAATCCAGGTGAGAGAGGACAGTGGTGTGAATCAAGTTGGTGGTAATTGAGGTGGGAAGAACTGGTCAGATTCTGATTTTTTTTTTTTAAGATACTCTGTCTCACTTGTTGCCCAGGCTGGACTTGAACTCCTGGGCTCAGGCGATCCTCCTGCCTCAGCCTCCTGAGTAGCAGAGACTACAGGTGCATGCAACTGTGCCCAGCACTGATGGTGTTTTGAAGAAAAGTCTAACATGTTTTGCAGATATCTTGGGTATGCAGTGTGAGAGAAAAAGGAGTCAAGGATGACTCCAAGGTTTTTAGTTTCAGCAGCTGAAAGGATAGAGCTGCCATCAGGAGAAATGGGCAAGATATGGAGGAGAATCAGGTTTGTAGAGAGGACCATCATGGATTCTCTTTAAACATTGTCTAAGTCTGTTTGTGCTGCTATAACAAAATACCTGAGACTGGATAATTTATAAATAATTGCAATTTATTTCTTGCAGTTCTAGAGTCTGGGAAGTTCAAGATAAAGGCATTGGAAGGGTTGGTGTCTGGTGAGGACCCTTTCTCTGCTTCCAATGAATGTTGCATTCTCACATGGCAGAAGAGATGCAAGGGCACAGAAAAGTGGGGAGGCAGCTCTCTGAAGCCTCTACTATAAGGGCACTAATTCCATTCATTAGTCATGAGGGTGGAGCCCTCATGACTTAATCACCTTCCAGAAGCACCACCTCCTAATACCATCACCTTGGTGATTAGTTTCAATGTACGAATTTTGGAGGGACACATATATTCAAACTATGGCAAACATGTTACATTTAAGATGCCTATTAGATTTCCAAGAGGAAATGTTGAGTAGACAGTTGGATAGATTCATCTGGAGTTGAGAGAAGTCTGAAGTGCGGATATAAATTTGGAAATCTTCAATGTACATGTGGTAGTTAAAGCTATGAGACTGGGTGAGATCATCCAGGGAAAGAGTAGAGCTGCACCTCTTTATCCATGGAGGATATGTTCTAAGACTCCCAGTGGATGCCTGAAACCTCACATAGTTTGAAACCCTATATACACTATGTTTTTTCCTCTACATATCTATGATAAGTTAAATTTATAGCTCTTCTGAATCTTCTTGTGGCAAAAAAGAAAAATAGTTTAATTTATAAATTAAAATTTAAATTGATAAATTAGGCATAGTAAGAGATTAACAATAACTAATAATAAAATGGAACAATTAAAAAATATACTCTAATAAGAGTTATGTGAATGTGGTCTCTATCTCTCTCTCAAAATACTTTTTTGTACTGTATTCACTTTTCTTGTGATGGTGTGAGATGATAAAAATGCCTACATGATGAGATGTAATGAGGTAAATGACATAGGAATTATGATGTAGCATTAGGCTATGAAACTTGAAGACTAATTTTAAATTTGTAAATTATTTCTGGAGTTTCCTATTTAATACTTTCATACTACAGTTAACTGTGAGTGACTGAAATCGTGGAAAGTGAAACCATGGATAAGGGGAGAGTACTGTATAAAGAAGAGAAACAAAGCAAGATCTGAATTGTGGGGCACACTAATGGTTACAGGTCAGGAATGAGAGGAGAAATCAACAAAGGGCACAGAATATGGACAGCCAGTAAGGTACCTGGTGAGAAAATGGTATTCTAATAGCCATGGGGTATAGTGTTTCAAGGAGGGAGGTTTGAACTTTTTAGAATGCTGCTGAAATGGTAAGCACAAGAGGACTAAAAATTGACCATTTGATTCGACAACACAGAGGTTCATTTGCGACTATTGCGGAAAGAGCTATTTTAGTGGAGTGATACAGGCAGAGGCCTCACTGGAGATAATATAAGAGAGAAACAGAAGAATTGGAAGCCATAAGTATAGACAGCTCTTTCAAGGAATTTTACTATAACAGGGAGAAGAGAAATGAACAGAAGCTGGAGGAGGATGTGAGGTGAATGGAGGACTTTATTTTTTAAAATAGTAGATATTATAGCATGTAGAGAGGAAGAAATTACTGATGCAAGACAAAGGTGGGAATACCAGGAGCTATGTTCTTAAGTGGGTAAAAGGAGATGGGAATAAGGGCACAAGTGGAGCTAGTAAGGGAAGAAGCCAGGATTTGAACCAAATCTCCCTTACTTCAAAGCCTCTTACTCTCAACTACCATGCTACAGTGCTACTCAGACAATATTCATTAAGAATCTCCAGAAATTCACATACCCTAAAAAGAACCAAGAGGCCAGGGGCACTAAGTGGAGGAGAGTGAGAGATAGATTTCCCTACCAATGGTAGGGATTAAAGAGGGATTTAGAGAAGTATCATAGAGGACAACGAGGCTATGGGAGAGATTTGGGGTTTTATTTGGAGTAAGGTGGGAGTCATTGTTGAGTTTAGAGCAGAGGAGGGACGTGGACTGACTTAACACTGTGAAAGGAATGACGTTGGCTTCTATGGGCAGAACTAACCATTATAGGCACAGGTGCAGGCAGGGAGACCAGTAAGGAAACTGTTGAAATAACCTTGCAGGAAATGATGGCTCTGGCTAGGTGGTAGCTGAGGAGATGGACATGGTGATAATTTGTGAGCTTTTGAATATATACGAAAGGTAAAAACAATGAAAAAGAGAGGAGTTCAGGATAATTCTAAGATTTAAGACAGGGTAACTGGGAGAATCTACTTGACATTTATGAATAAGACGGAGAAATGAAGAGTTAGTAGTAGAAGTGGTTAGATGAAGAGTTCAATTTTATATATGTTTACCTTGAGATGGTCACCAAAGAAATGAATACAGAAAAAGAAAACTATAGAGGGTTGAGCCTTGCAGCCCTACAGTAGTTAGAAGTGGCTCACAATTGTAATCCCAGCACTTTGGGAAGCTAAGACGGGTGGATCGCTTGAGCCCAGAAGTTCGAGACCAGCCTAGGTAACATGGCAAAACCCCATCTCTACAAAAAAATACAAAAAGTGCCTGGGCATGGTGGTGTGCACCTGTGGTCCCAGCTACTTGGGAGGCTGAGGTGGGAGGATCATCTGAGCCTGGGAGGTGAAGGCTGCAGTGAGCCAAGATCGTGCCACTGCACTCTAGCCTGAGACACTATCTCAAGAATAAAAAAGTAGGGAAGATGAGGAAGCTTTATCAAATAACTTGAGAAGGAGCCAAAAGGAAGATCAGATGAGATTACATACTTCATTTGTTCATCTGTGTTTTCTGATTTATTAATAAGTATGTCTCGCTTTTGTAATTAAAAAAATACTCCCCAGCACTTTGGCAGGCCGAGGCGGGCAGATCAAGAGGTCAGGCAATCGAGGCCAACAAGGTGAAACCCCGTTTCTACTAAAAATACAAAAAAAAAAAAAAAGCTGGGTGTGCTGGCGCATTCCTGTAATCCCAGCTACTTAGGAGGCTGAGGCAGGAGAATCGCTTGAACCCGGGAGGCAGAGATTGCAGTGAGCCGAGATCACGCCACTGCACTCCAGCCTGGCGACAGAGCAAGACTCCATCTCAAAAAAAATGAAAACAAAAACAAAACAAAAACAAAAAACTCAGAAAACATTGTTTCAAAGCATGGAAAAGCAAATAATAATAATAATAAAAAGGCAGAAACAAAATAAGATGCCATAAAAGCATATATGAATATGTTAATATATAAGATGTTTACAAAATCTTCATATTGCATTTCCTCACTTCATTCACATCTGTCCTCAAGTGTCCTCTTCTCTGAGGGACTTCCTTACTACCGTATCTACAACAATCCTGGTGTCCTATTACTCTTTATTCTTTTACTCTGCTTTATTTCCTTTTTGTATGGAACCTGATACATATTTATGTATTTATTTCCTATCTCCGACACTAGACAAGACAGGGACAGTATCTTGTTCATAGATGTATCCTCAACACCAAGAATAGTCCCTGGCATGAAGTGCCTTCAAAAATTATTTGTTGGGCCAGGCATGGTGGCTCACACCTCTAATCCCAGCACTTTAGGAGGCAGGTGGATAGCTTGAGCTGAGGAGTTTGAGACCAGCATGGGTAACATGGCAAAACCCTGTCTCTACAAAAAGTACAAAAATCAGCTGGACATGGTCTTGTGCACCTGTAGTCCCAGCTACTCAGGAGGCTGAGGTGGGAGGATGGCTTGAGCCCGGGAGGCAGAGGTTGCATTGAGCTGAGATCGCACCACTGCATACCAGCCTGGGTGACAGAGCCAGACGCTGTCTCAAAAAAAAAAAAAAAAATTGTGGAACAACAAAAAAACAAACACCTCAATTAAAAAATGGGCAAAGGACTTGAATAGACATTTCTCAAAAGATATACAAACAGCCAATAAGCACTGAAAAGATGTTCAACATCACTAGTCATTAGGGAAACACAAATCAAAACCACAATGAGATACCAATTTATACCCATAAAGATGGCTATTATAAACAACAATAACATAAACCCAGAAAAAAAAATGTTAACATGGATGTGAAGAAATTGGAACCCTGTGCATTGCTGGTGGAAATGTAAAATGGTGCAGTCACTGTGGAAAATAGTATGGTGGTTCCTGAAAAATGAAACGTAGAATTACCTTTTAATCCAGCAATTCTACTCTGAGTATATACACAAATCAACTGAAAACAGAAATTCGGTCAGGCACAGTGGCTCATGCGTGTAATCCCAGAACCTTGGGAAGCAGAGGTGGGTGGATCACTTGAACTCCTGAGTTCCTAACCAGCCTGGGCAACATGGCAAAACTCTGTTTCTACAAAAAAAAAAAAAAAGAAAGAAAGAAAAAAGAAAAATTGGCCGGGTGCAGTGGCTCACGCCTGTAATCCCAGCACTTTTGGAGTCTGAGGTGGGCGGATCACCTGAGGTCAGGAGTTCGAGACCAGCCTGGCCAACATGGTGAAACCCTGTCTCTACTAAAAATACAAAAATTAGCCGGGTATGGTGGTGCACGCCTACAGTCTCAGCTACTCAGGAGGCTGAGGCAGGAGGATCGCTTGAACCCGGGAGGCAGAGGTTGCAGTGAGCCGAGATAGTGCCACTGAACTCCAGCCTGGGATACAGAGCAAGACTCCATCTCAAAAAAAAAAAGAAAAGAAAGGAAAGGAAGGAAGGAAGGAAGGAAAGAAAGAAAGAAAGAAAGAAAGAAAGAAAGAAAGAAAGAAAGAAAGACAGAAAGAAAGAAAAAAAAAGAAAGAAAGAAAAGAAGGAAAGGAAGGGAGAGAAAAAGAAAAGAAAAATAAAAATTAGCTGGGTTAGCTGGGTGTGGTAGTGCATACCTGTTGTCCCAGCTACTCAGAAGGCTGAGGTTGGAGGATGGCTTGAGCCTGGGTGGTGGAGGTTGCAGTGTGCTGAGATTGCACCACTGCACTCCAACCTGGGCGATAGAGCCAGATATTGTCTCAGAAAATAAAATAAAATAAAATAAAATAAAATAAAATAAAATAAAATAAAATAAAATACAGCGATTCAAATAGATATTTGTATACCAACATTCGTAGCAGCATTATTTACCATAGCCAAAAAGTAGAAGCAACCCAAGTATCCTGATGAATGGATAAGCAACTGATGAATGAATAAGGATGCTATACATGTACAGGGGAATATTATTCAGCTTTAAAAAGGAAAAATTCTGACACATGCTACAACACGGATGAACCTTGAAGACTTTATGCTAAGTGAAATAAGCCAGACACAAAAGACAAATATAGTATGATTACACATACATGAGGTACCTAGAGTAGTCAAATGCATAGAGTCAGAAAGTAGAACAGTGGTTGCCAGGGACTAGGGGAAGGGGGTAAAGGGAAGTTTTTGTTTAAGTGGGTTCAGAGTTAATTCAGTTGGGCATGATGAAAAAGTTCTGGAGATGGATAGCAGTGATGGTTACACAACAATGTGAAGGTAGTTAACACCACTGAATTGTACACTTAAAAAGGCTAAAATGGTAAATTTTATGTTATGTATATTTTACCTCATTTAAAAATATAAAATTTTAAAAAAGAAGCTCCGGGCACTTGGCACTACACTTTCCATCACATAATCAGCCAATGGCCTACTTGGAATTGAGACTTCCAATTCCACTTGCCTTTTGATTGGGAGAAGAATTAAATCTATGAAACATGGCTCCATCTTATCTTCTAAATGCCTGTCTTCCCCTTTTTGATTTCACTTGTCACTATAGGAAGAAAGAGGACTCCATAAGAGAGGCCAGTGACTGCTTGGGTTTTTTTGCAATACTGACCCAATGGGCAGAGACCATTATTTCTCTCCCTTCCATTTTTCCTCTTCCATCCTCTAAAGATCTCTAGTGTTGCTTTGCTGGTTGTTATAGTGATCTTTGAAGCAATAGTCACTTTTGCAGCTGTTTTTTCTGTTTTCTTTTTTTTTTTTTAATTATACTTTAAGTTCTAGGGTACATGTGCACAACATGCAGGTTTGTTACATAGGTATACATGTGCCATGTTGGTTTGCTGCACACATTAACTCATCATTTAAATTAGGTATTTCTCCTAATGCTATCCCTCCCCCAGCACCCCACCCCACAACAGGCCCCGGTGTGTGATGTTCCCTGCTCTGTGTCCAAGTGTTCTCATTGTTCAATTCCCACCTATGAGTGAGAACATATGGTGTTTGGTTTTCTGTCCTTGTGATAGCTTGCTGAGAATGATGGTTTCCAGCTTCATCCATGTCCCTGCAAAGGACATGAACTCATCTTTTTTATGGCTGCATAGTATTCCATGGTGTATATGTGCCACGTTTTCTTAATCCAGTCTATCAATCATTGATGGACATTTGGGTTGGTTCCAAGTCTTTGCTATTGTGAATAGTGCCACAACAAACATACGTGTGCATGTGTTTTTGTTTTTATGGTTCTTTTTTTTTTTTTTGAGATGGCATCTCACACTTTCGCCCAGGCTGGAGTGCAGTGGTGCGATCTCGGCTCACTGCAAGCTCTGCCTCCTGGGTTCACGCCATTCTCCTGCCTCAGCCTCCTGAGTAGCTGGGACTACAGGCACCCACCACCAAGCCTGGCTAATTTTTTGTATTTTTAGTAGAGACGGGGTTTCACCTTGTTAGCCAGGATGGTCTCGATCTCCTGACCTCGTGATCCGCCCATCTCGGCCTCCCAAAGTGCTGGGATTACAGGCATGAGCCACCACACCCAGCCGTGCATGTATTTTTATAGTAGCATGATTTATAATCCTTTGGGTTATAAATCAGTAATGGGATCACTGGGTCAAATGGTATTTTTTTTTCTAGATGCTTGAGGAATCTCCACAGTGCCTTCCACAATGGTTGAGCTAATTTACACTCCCACCAACAGTGTAAAAGCATTCCTATTTCTCCACATCCTCTCCAGCATCTGTTGTTTCCTGACTTTTTAATGATCGCCATTCTAACTGGTGTGAGATGGTATCTCATTCTGGTTTTGATTTGCATTTCTCTGATGGCCAGTGATGATGAGCATTTTTCATGTGTCTGTTGGCTGCATAAATGTCTTCTTTTGAGAAGTGTCTGTTCATATCCTTTGCCCACTTTTTGATGGGGTTGTTTGATTTTTTCTTGTAAATTTGTTTAAGTTCTTTGTAGATTCTGGATATTAGCCCTTTGTCAGATGGGTAGATTGAAAAATTTTCTCCCATTCTGTAGGTTGCCTGTTCACTGTGATGGTAGTTTCTTTTGCTGTGCAGAAGCTCTTTAGTTTAATTAGATCCCATTTGTCAATTTTGGCTTTTGTTGCCATTGCTTTTGGTGTTTTAGTCATGAAGTCCTTGCCCATGCCTGTGTCCTGAATGGTATTGCCTAGGTTTTCTTCTAGGGTTTTTATGGTTTCAGGTCTAACATTTAAGTCTTCAATCCATCTTGAATTAATTTTTGTATAAGGTGTAAGGAAGGGATCCAGTTTCAGCTTTCTACATATGGCTAGCCAGTTTTCCCAGCACCATTTATTAAATAGGGAATCCTTTCCCCATTTCTTGTTTTTGTCAGGTTTGTCAAAGATCAGATAGTTGTAGATAAGCGGCATTATTTCTGAGGACTCTGTTCTGTTCCATTGGTCTATATATCTGCTTTGGTACCAGTACCATGCTGTTTTGGTTACTGTAGCCTTGTAGTATAATTTGAAGTCAGGCAGCATGATGCCTCCAGCTTTGTTCTTTTTGCTTAGGATTGTCTTGGTAATGCGGGCTCTTTTTTGGTTCCATATGAACTTTAAAGAAGTTTTTTCCAATTCTGTGAAGAAAGTCATTGGTAGCTTGATGGGGATGGCATTGAATCTATAAATTACCTTGGGCAGTATGGCCATTTTCACGATATTGATTCTTCCTATCTATGAGCATGGAATGGTCTTCCATTTGTTTGTATCCTCTTTTATTTCATTGAGCAGTGGTTTGTAGTTCTCCCTGAAGAGGTCCTTCACATCCCTTGTAAGTTGGATTCCTAGGTATTTTATTCTCTTTGTAGAAATTGTGAATGGGAGTTCACTCATGATTTGGCTGTCTGTTTGTCTGTAGGAATGCTTGTGATTTTTGCACATTGATTTTGTATCCTGAGACTTTGCTGAAGTTGCTTATCAGCTTAAGGAGATTTTGGGCTGAGACGATGGGGTTTTCTAAATATACAATCATGTCATCTGCTATCTACAAGCCAGCCAGATTTAGATGTGTTACTCTAGGACACCTGGAAAAACTTATGGGCCCTTTGGGGGTGGCTGGGATGTCTAACCCCAGAGATGTGAGCGGACCCAGAGAGCTGAGCCAATGATGGGAGATTGACAAAAATACCTGCAAAGTTTCTCAGTCAGGTAGGAGTATTCGAAAACATTGTTAAGCTGTGTTTGAAAGTAAATATAGTTCTCTGGGCCAGAAGAATGGAGAAATGGAAGGAGACAGGGTGGGAAGAGACAGAAGATAAAAGTGAGAAGGAAGGAGCAGAGAAAGACATTTGGAAGGACATCAGAATGAAACAGGAAGAGAAAACCTAGGCTTTTCCTGCCTAATGCTAGATATTTGGCCCCTTTACTCACAGGTGCTAGCTATAACAAAATAGCATTTCTGCCCACCCCACCTCCATTTTGCACAAATACACACTTCAATGTGAAACTTACAACTTCGAATGTTTACATCAGACCAAGAAGAAAAAACAGAAGTTATTTTTCTGCTATAAATGTAAGTTATTCCTCTTGTCCTCTTCCTTGGTTTGCAGGGCCTGTGAATAGTTAGTATAGTACTCAGCATCTGCTTCTAAGAACCACCTTGGCCAGCTCCATTAAAAATGTCATATATTAAGAGAGCTCATATAGTGCAATTGGAGCATAGTATTGTTAGTTGTTTCTTAATCTAATCCACTGTCTTTAGATGCTAGGAATGAGAATTAGTCAGAGTCTAATCTCTCCAAGGATGTTTTCTTTCCAGGCAAGCCTGGTTTGTCTCCAGTAGAAAAATGGATGAAATCCAATCGTGGCGTGATATGACAGGAAAGGAAAGGAAAAGAAAGGCCAACAGGGTTGAGAGAGGCTCAGAGGATGCAAATGGTCATAGAATGTTGAGAAATCCTTTTTTTCTAGAATCACCAGAAAATGGGGAGCTCCTTTCTGTTTAGAGTCGACATGACCAATCCCAATCAGTTGATGTGGCTGGGCTAAAATAAGCCTCAATGATTGCAGGGGACCCAACTGAGGAGAAAAACTGTTGAATGCAAAAAGAAGAATAAACAATGCCATGAGAAAGATCTCATCCCTGTGCGTTATTTTACTTTTTTTTTTTTTTTTGACAGGCTCTCACTCTGTCACCCAGGATGGAGTGCAGGGGTGCGGTCATGGCTCACTACAGCCTCGACCTCCTGGCCTTAAGTGATCCACCCAGTTCAGCCTCCCAAGTAGCTGGGACTACAGACACTCACTACCACGCCAGCTAATTTTTTGTATTTTTCGTAGAGGTGAGGTTTCACCATGTTGCCCAGGCTGGTCTCGAACTCCTAGGCTCAAGCACTCCTCCTGCTTCAGCTGCCCAAAGTGCTAGGATTACAGGCGTGAGCCACCATGCCCAGCCAGCTTCTTTTACTTTAAAACAATTGAATATTAGTCAGGGCATATACTCAGAATCAGAATTTCTGCACTCAGAATTCTTTTGACTTTTACTTTTCGCACCCAGTTATCCACTGATCTCTTTCCCTTAGAAGCTCCACACTAAGTCCTATATATAAAGATCTAGGCTAGGTGCAGTGGCTTGCACCTGTAATCTCAGCACTCTGGGAAGCTGAGGCAGGAGGATTGCTTAAGCCCAGGAGTTTGAGGTCAGCCTGGACAACATAATGAGACCCTGTCTTGACAAAAAAAAAAAAAAAAAAAAAAATTAGCTGAATGGATGTGGTGGTGCTCCCTTGTAGTACCAGCTACTTGGAAGGCTGAGGGAGGAGGATGGCTTGAGCCCAGAAGGTTGAAGCTGCAGTGAGACATGATCGCACCCCTGCACTCCAGCCCAGGTCACAGAGTGAGACCTTGTCTCAAAAAACAAACAAACAAAACAGATCTAGCCTGGGCAACAAAATGAGACTCCATCTCTACAAAAAAGAAAAAAATAAAATACAAAAGTCTAGCGCTATTATAAAAAATTACCCATTCCAAAGGAGAAAACAGAAAGCTTCTCTCTGAGTCTCATGTAGCCACTGCAGCTCATTATTCACCTGCCTTAATGACAAATTGTATCTTTGTCTACATAGAGTTCCTGCAAACACTTCTAAGCCAGAGTAAAGAAAATATCAAATATAGACAGGAATGGAATCTATAATTGTACTGTGGACTGATAGCATATCACGAGCTGTGTGGGTCACAGGCACACCATGCTGTGTATCCCTCACAGGGGAAGGAGGGCATCTGGGGATGAAATCTGGAGGAAAGAACAGATGGAGGGTTGATGAAGAGAAGAGATGGAGGAAGGCAGCAGGAAGTGGCCCTGAAGTTAAGGCTCTGCCACAAAGAATAGCACAAACTGGGGGAGGCTCTGGAAAGTGGCTTGGATGCATGGAGATAAACTAAGAATCTGAGTATAAAATGTTCATTTTTGGAACCCCTGGTGTATATATGTAATTAGCATGCTAAGGGCCAATCTGAGGGCAAAATAGGGCCTCCTGTCTCTTATTCTTCTGTTCTTTTTGCCTCTGTTTCCTTAGAAACAAATCCATCAATATCTGAGAACCCCATCCAAGAGAGAACCGCTTTGAAGATATTCAATTCCCAAGTGTTTTGAAGGCAGATGCCAGCTATGCCAAATGAGTCCTTGAAAGACCTAAATCATTTCCTGATTTAAAGCAGTACGTAAAAAGCCTACCCATCTTTCATGGTAGGATGAGGTATAATCAAGTGCTCAGATGATTCAAATCTTGTGACAATGAGACTGAGGTTCTGGGCTCAAACCCCCTGTGGCCTGTTTGATTCTCTCCTCCCCAGTTCCAAGCAGTAGAGACTGTGCTCCTGTCCACAAATTGGTCCTCCTGACCTAGATGGTTATCATGCAAGAACAAGCCACAGATCATATGAGATTCCGGGCAAGGGTCACAGTCATATAGGGCTTAGTTGGTCAGGCGCTGCATTTAGACAGATCTGTGTTGAAAATTTGTCCTTCTACTCATTACTAGGGGCACCTTAATCGAATTACCCTCTAAGCCTCAGTTTCCACCCCCCATGGTTAAGATAATTTAGCACATAACTACTCAATCCATCATACCCGTTACTATTCTTATCATTGTTAATAATGGGTACAGATTGAGATCTAAGTGTAAATTTGGAAGCTGATCGCTACTGCCATGCTCCCCTCAAGAATTCTCAGAATGGTGGCACATGCCCATAGTCCCAACTACTCGGGAGGCTGAGGTGGGAGTATTGCTTGAGCCTAGCAGTCTGAGACCAGCCTGGGCAACATAGCAAGACCCCCTTTCTATTTTTAAAATTCTCAGAAGCGATGCAAATTCACCTGACCCAGGGACAACCTTTAATGCACCTCAAGAGGGGATGTGATTATCAATACTACTTAGTCATCTCAAGTCAGATGAAATCTATCTCCTTTCCCCAGCTGACTGCACCACTGGAACAAAGATCAAAGCTCTTGGCCTGTCGATGAGGTTGATAGCTTTATCTTCACATGTAACATGGAAGAGATAGTACCAGGTTAGGGTAGGGGACTTGTCTAAATCTAGAATGGATGTGGCCAATAGCTCTCAGAATTTTCCAGGGGTTCCCCAGCTAGCTTTCCAAAACTGCTTTCAGCATATTGATTCCTGACAGCATTGCACTTCAAGAAAAGAGCAACTACAAACTGCCAGCTTGCCCGCATCTCAAAATCAATCACACATGTAGCAGATGCTTGGGTTTCTCTCTTTCTTTTCCTCTTCCTCCCCTGCAGGAAAGTGTGTGGTTTCTAATAACACTCCTGCTATGTTGTGGCAGGACAGGATGTCAGTTGCACCTGAGGCTACAGAAGTAAAAGGGTATTCAACAGAAAATTGGCCTACTTAACCCACTTGGGGTAGATTTGATTTCTGCCTTAGTATTAAAACATGAATATCTGTAATTGAAAATGGGCATATCCCTAAAGCAAACAATTACTGAGTGACTTACTTGCCAGACAGGGTACTAGCTAGTCTCCACACAAAGCACTTCACTGATTTTCACAACCACCCTCCAAGGTGGATACATGAAAGAACATATCACATATGAGGAAAAAGGCTCTGAGAGGTGAAGTCACTTGCCTCGGATTACAAGAGTTTATCATTGGCAAGGATTTGAACCTGCACCTCTCTGATTTCAGATCCAATCTGTTCATTTACTTTGTTATTCAAATATTGATTCATGAAATAAACTTGATATTTACTTTATGTAAATTTCACCCTCAGGGACTTAAAATATTTCTTGCAACATCCAACTTCTGCAAAAACAAGGGATTTGCATTTATGCATCCTAATGCTTGAAATATATGTTGTCTGTGAAATTTTAGCTATAAAATACCTGTTTGTACATATTACCTAGCAGACAGTGGCACTCAATACATGTTTATTAAAACAACAACAACAACAACAAGGGAATGTGAAGAAATGCAGGCATTGGAAATGAGTCTTCCTCAGGAAGATGCTGGGTCTTCTATCTTCCATGCATCTGTGACTAGCTTAGCCTGGAATGAATAGGTTTATGTCTCGATTCAGTGGAGCAATTCCTTCATTACTGTATCATGGCCTAGACAGAAAGGAGGAAAAATGAGCAAGGAATCCAAGATTCTAAAGCACAGCCTGAATTTGTAAGGCCAGTTTTTCACATCAACATTCCCAGTTGAAAGGAATATTAAAGCTAGAAAGGGCAAGGCACGGTGGCTCACACTTGTAATCCCAGCACTTTGGGAGGCCAGGCAGGAGGATTGCGTGAGGCCAGGAGTTTGAGACCTGGAGTATGCAAAGCCTGGTCAATATGGTGAGACCCTGTCTCTTCTTATTAAAGAAAATATAAACAAAGAAAAAATATAATAAAGCTGGAAGGGGACTTAGAGGTGAGTGACTGAAATCCTTTCATATTCTAAAAGACAAAACTGAGGCCCAAAGAGTGACTTGCTCAAGCTAGTCAAATCCAACCCAGGTGTTCTGGTCACCATTTCCCTCATGTACTTTCAACTACATGATACTGCCACCCAGCCAAGTTTTTCCAGGCTGTGTCAAGGGCAAGGCCAGCAGCCTGAGTCCTGAAGAGTTCTCTGGCTTGCCCAGTATGCCACGGCAAGTTTTTGGCTCTGCCTGAGACCATGACATTTAACCACAGACCTTTCTTGGAACCCCTGGAATAAAGACTGCAGCCTGACTCCTTCATGATTTAAATAGCCAAATAATGCCAAGTTGAGTTTTTTATGATAAGGTAAGTGGCAGTTTAGGATTACAAGTCAAGAAAACATTTATCCGATGATAGTCAATTAATAGAATTAAGGGAAGGTTTAAATTTGGAAGCCTGAGGAGTAATTTGTTAGTCTTGAACTTTGTTTCAACTTGGCTTGGGCTTTCTAGATTATAAGTAAATGTTTAATAATGTCAATATCTGTTTAAATGTTTAATAATGTCAATATCTTTAAAAAAAGACTTTTTTGTGCTGTCACTCAAGTTTTTTTCTTACTATGTACTTGATTGTACATATATGTACACATATACACATATGTGTGTGTGTGTGTGTATATATATATATATATGGCTTCCCTGTGAAAGCATGCTTTTCTCATTACTGTCTTATTAAGATTTAATGATAGCAATCACCTTTTGAGTTGATATATCGGCAATATTGCAAAGAGCACTCATGTATACAATATTATTTGTCCTGGGGATATCCTTGTGAAGCAAGGAGAGTTTGGGATGTGTATTTTTCTGCCAAATATGAGGAAAACGAAGCAGGAAGTGGGTTAGACAGCAAGTCAAGGACCCAAGGTTAGAACTTAGTTTGTTTCTCCTAGCACAGTGTTTTTTTAACCATTAGGTCAGGTCTCTTATCAAGTGATACAGTGGGGAGCAAGTGAAAATTGCTGATAGAGGGATCAAGTAGGTTAGAAGTTGGAGATCCAAACAATGAAGTAAACTGTCAAACAAAACTAATCCACCAGATACTAGGGAACCATATGGAAAAGTTAGCTTGATATCTAGAGACTATGGGAGACTTACAAATAAAGTTCAAATGTTGAAGGACAGAGTTATAGAAAGGAAATACAATTAAACCAAGAAATAAAAGGCAGGGATGGTGATTCTCTACCCATCAAAGCTTGATTAAAGAATTCTGCACAGTGGGGGAACTCAAGTTATTGTTGCCTCATGCTGGAGACTCTGAATGGAGAGAGACAGTAAAGCTGCATCTATATGACTAGACTCATCTAAAATGGTTGTATGGTTTCTATTATGGGGAGAAGAGCTAGCATGTAGCAATGGACTTAGAAAAATTCAGAAATTTGGAATTGCCCTTAAAAATAAAATAGCTGGCAGGCTGGGCGCAGTGGCTCATGCCTGTAATCCCAGTACTTTCGGAGGCTGAGGTGGGCAGATCACCAGGTCAGGAGATCGAGACTATCCTGGCCAACATGGTGAAACCTCATCTCTACTAAAAATACAAAAATTAGCCAGGGCTGGTGGCAGGCTCCTGTAATCCCAGCTACTTGGTAGGCTGGGACAGGAGAATCACTTGAACGCAGGAGGCAGAGGTTGCAATGAGCCAGGATCAAACCACTGCACTGCAGCCTGGGCGACAGTGTGAGACTCCATCTCAAAAAATGAATAAATAAATAAAATAAATTAAATTAAATTAAATTTAAAAATAAAATAGCAAGGAAAAGGAGAGCAGCTGTGTCCAGTTTGTGTTATTTTGGGGTCAGCCATGGCATTCTGGGCTCAGTTCTGATGGGGAGTACAGGGGAGTATGAGGACTTTACTGAACTTTCACAAAGTAGGGTTGCACCAGGAGTGCCCTCCCCGCCACTCACACCCCTCACCTGCCAAGTATTAATCATGTTCTTTGGGATCATTCTGAAACTGGGAGGATCAGAATGCTTCCCATGCTCCTGGAGTCTAGAGGCTGAACTTACTGCAGCACACACTTTCCTCTTATTCCAGGAAGCTGGGTTCTGTTGCTTCCCAGATTGTGTGAGGTTGATGTATTCCAAGTGTCTTGAACAATTCTGTAGACATACGCTATGGGGACCCCATTGTTAATATCAGCTGTGGGATCACCACTGGAGTTATGGTGCCAGGGGTGGAGAAGGGCTTCTTGGCAACAGCGGTTCCCAGCTCTGCAATTAAAGACCTGAGCTTTGTCCTGAGTCTGATTGGTTTAGCATCTTCTACATTCTTAGCATTCATTTCCTGACATAAGAAGTGATCTGATGAGCCTCACAGACAGAATGCTGAGCAAAATAAGCCAGACACAATGAATTAAATGCTGCACAATTCCATTTATATGGCATTCAAGAGTAAGCAAAGTGAATCTATGGTGATAAAAATCAGAACAATGGTTACCTCTGGGGGTAGGGATTGACAGGGAGGTGGGCATGAAGATCTGGGTGGTGATTACAGTGGTGTATACATTTGTCAAACTCATGGAGCTGTACACTTAAAACTAATAATGCATCTTAGTGTATGTAAATTAAACCTCAAGAAAAAAGAGAAATAAATTAGGCCAAGCACAGTGGCTCACACCTGTAATCCCAGCACTGTGGGAGGCCAAGGCAAGTGGGTGTGAGCTCAGGAGTTCAAGACCAGCCTGGGCAACATGGTGAAACCCCATCTCTATTAAAAAAAAAAGTACAAAAATTAGCTGGGCTTGGTGGCACAAGCCTGTAGTCCCAGCTACTTGGGAGGATGGCTTGAGCCAGGAAGGTGGAGGTTGCAGTGAGCTGAGATTGCCTGGGAGACAGACCCAGACCCTGTCTGATAAATAAATAAATAAGTAAATAAATAAAAAAGAAAGAAAGAAAGAAATTGAAAGCAGTGATGTCTTAATGGACAGTCAGCTCATCTACCAAGAGCAGTATTGTGTATGGGTTCGGGTTACTGGCTTTGGAGCTAGCAGATCTGGGATAAAATCCCAGCTTTGGCACATACAAGCAGTATGACTTAAGCATACATTTTCACATCCATAAAATGGGGATTAAAACAATAGTACCTATTGTTCCAGGCTGTTTGTCATAAGGCTTAAATGAGATACTGTATGCAAAGCACTCAACCATTTAATGGTGTTTGCTCACCCTTAGTTAGATTTTCTTGCTTTATTGACTAGACCCATGGTAGTTCCCAATCTTAGTTTAAAAAAAAATATCCATACTGGCTGGGCGTGGTGGCTCATGCCTGTAATCCCAACACTTTGGGAGGCTGAGGCGGGCAGATCACCTGAGGTTAGGAGTTCAAGACCAGCCTAACATGGTGAAACCCCTTCTCTACTAGAAAATACAAAAATCAGCCGGGTGTAGTGGTGGGTGCCTGTAATCCCAGCTACTCAGGAGGCTGAGGCAGGAGAATCGCTTGAACCCAGGAGGTGGAGGTTGCAGTGAGCCAAGATCATGCCACTGCACTCCAGCCTGGGTGACAGAGCGAGACTCTGTCTCAAAAAAAAAAAAAAAAATTCATACTAAGGGTCTACTACCAAAGCTTCTGATTGTATTGGTCTGGAGTGGGGCCCCCAAAATCAGTATTTTTAAAAAACTGGCCAAATGACTCTAAAACAGCAGTCCCCAACGTTTTTGGCACCAGGGACTGGTTTTGTGGAAGACAATTTTTCCAAGGACTGGTTGTGGGGGAGCAGGGTTAGGGGGCGTGGTTTCAGTATGTTTCAAGAGGGTTACATTTATTGTGCACTTTATTTCTATTATTATTACACTGTAATAGATAATGAAACAGTTTATACAACTCACCATAATATAGAATCAGTGAGAGCCCTGAGCTTGTTTTCCTGCAACTGGATGGTCCCATCTGGAGGTGATGGGAGACAGTGACAGATCATCAGGCATTAGATTCTCATAAGGAGTGCGCAACCTAGATCCATCACATGCACAGTTCACAGTAGGGTTCATGCTCCTATGAGAATCTAATGCTGCCACTGATTTGACAGGAGGCGGATCTCAGGCAGTAATGTGAGTGATGGGGAGCTACTGTAAATACAGAAGAAGTTTCGCTTGCTTGCCCACCACTCATCTCCTGCTGTGCTGCCCAGTTCCTAACAGGCCACAGACTGGTATGGGTGTGTAGTCCAGGGGTTTGAGACCCCTGCTCTAAAGTGCTGGAGCCAGAGCTAACATCCAGTAGGTTAGATTTATTACATCCCCAATCAAACGTTGCCTCTTCCTCTATGAACATGTTCCTGGCAATTCCTGCTCCTGGTGTTTTCCCTCTTTTCTGAACTTTTTTTTTTTAATTGAGGCATTACTGACATACAGTAAAACGTACAACTCTAAAGTGTGCACGCTATGTAGGTTTACATATGTATACATCCATGTAACGTCACCCAGATCAAGACACAGAGCATTGCTGGCATTCCAGGAGGCTTCCTTCTTTTCCCTTCCCGTCAGTGTCTCTAGGGTATCTGCCATGCTGACCTTTCTCCCCATAGATGGCTTTACTTGGTGTTGAACTATGCCTGAATTCTTCTCACTCTCCTTGTTGGTAAAACTCACTTGACACATACAAGACTTGTTTTTGTGGTAGCAGCTCATATTTTCTTGGCTTGTGTTTATACTTCCCTTATTTATTGTTTTCTAACCTCCCTTGTTTGTGAGTATCTCCCTAGCTGAATTTTAAGCTCCTTGAGAGCAGACATTGCTCACAGGCAATAGAGCATTCCTATGAACATAATAGAGACTCAGAAAGTACTTACGGAATGAATGCTGGTGTCGAATGTTTTGCATGGTGGCAGAAGCAGTAAGCAGACAGTCAAATTAAGACAAAGACTTCTCCATCCTCCGTACATATGCAGTTTATTTTTACTGCTAACACTTCATATAATGTTGGGAGTGTGCATTGTTTTTTGCTTGTGAAAGATCATGTATGCATTCGACTCTCAGGTTCCATTGTGGACAGAGTGGTAGGAGTTGATTCAAAGAATAAAGTGCAGGAGGAGAAAAGGTAAGATGATGAAGTCAAAGGAACGAGCTTGCTCTGGCTCCTACTGTTGAAAGATCACTGGACCGGGAGTTAGAACCTCAAGTTCTAGTCCTCACTCTGCCACTAACTTGTGTGACCTTAGGCAAGTCACTTCACTTGTCTGAACCTCAGTTTGTCTGTGGTACAACAGAGGTAATAATTTCTGACACTTTGCACTCCACAGTAGGTCAGCTGTGTTCATAGCTGGGAGGCACTTTGGCCAAAAGAATTTAGAGCATTGTCTCCCCAGACTCCCCAGATCTCCAAGTCAGGTAGGTAGATTATCTTTCTGCTTTAAGATTCAAACCAGACTGGGATAAAAAGGTGGGAAGGTTGAGTTCGTAGAATCATAGAAGATTAATGCCAGCAGGTATTTTAGAGACCATTCTAGTCCAACCCTCTCATTTTGCTTCTGAGTACACAGAAGCACAGAGAGATTATTTTCCCCAAGGTTTCACTGAACCAAGCCTGGATTCTGGGTTCCGTTTTCACTGTTGTGCTTCAAGGATCTACTTAAAAAGCAAAGTTGATTTGCTCTTGTTACTGGTTGGCGACAAGAAAGCTCTGGCCTGTATCCCAGCAAAGATATGATCAGGACTTTTGCCTGCAGCTTTTGCAGTTCTAAATTCAACATACCATTTCACCTCAATTATTACCTGCCTTTTACTTATGGGGACAACAATCTCCTAGTGCTTATTTAGTGCCTACTAGGAGTTTGCCACTCTGCTAGGTGCTGTGGGTGGGGTTTAGAAAAGATTAAGATCCATTCCCAGCTCTCAAAGAGCCTGGTGTGGGAGACAAGAGTCACAATGAGAGAACAATGGAAGGCAGTATGTGATTCAGAATAAAATGAGTAGTGCAGGCAATAAATGCTGTACAAGTTCAGAGGAGGAAGAGAGCTCCAGGAGCTGAGGGAGGGGGATTGGGGGGAGTGAAATTTTACGTGGGCTTTGAAGGATGGTAGGATTGTTTATGCAAATGTGGGGGAGGGCGCTGAATTTGAGGTTGTGTGTGCGTGCACGTGCTTGGGTGTGTGTACACATGCAAATGCAGGGATGGGTAATAATAGGGAGCACTTAGTGAACACTCTCTATGCACCAGACACCACCTTATGGTCCCCAACATTCAGCTCATTTGACTGTGCATAACCTCATCAATTTGATAATAGTATCTTTCAATTAATAGATGAGGCAATTGAGGCACAGGGAGGTTGAGAGTAAATTGTCCAAGGTGACACAGCAAGTAAATAATATAAATGGGGTTAGATTCGAATCCATATCCTAAAAACACTTTGTTATTCTACTTGTAAACCCAGAATAAAATTTTAAGCCCCCTAAATGACTGAACAGACACACCCCCCAACACACACCCCCTACCTTGGCTAAGAGGACCTGGAAAGAAAACTTGAAAAACTAGCTCAGGCTGGCCAGATGCGGTGGCTCATGCCTATAATCCCAGCAGTTTGGGAGGCTGAGGAGGGCAGATTACCTGAGGTCAGGAGTTCAAGACCAGCCTGGCCAAAATGGTGGAACCCAGTCTCTACTAAAAATACAAAAATTAGCAAGGCATGGTGGCACATGCCAGTAGTCCCACCTACTCGGGAGGCTGAGGCAGGAGAATCACTTGAACCTCGGAGGCGGAGGTTGCAGTAAGCCGAGATTGCACCACTGCACTCCTGTCTAGGGGATAGAGTGAGACTCTGTCTCATGGAGGTTGGACTTTTTTTTTTTTTTTTTTTTTTGCTTAATGGGTATAGGAATTCTATTTGGGGTGATGAAAACTTTCAGAAATAGAGTAGTGATGGTTGCACATTGTGAATGTGATTAAAGTCATTAAATTGTACAATTAAAAATCGTTAAAACAACTAGGCGCAGTGGTTCACGCTTGTAATCCCAGCACTTTGGGAGGACGAGGTGGGTGGATCACTTCAGGCCAGGAGTTGGAGATCAGCCTGGCCAACATGGTGAAACACTGTTTCTACTGAAAATTCAAAAACTAGCTGGACATGGTGCATGCCTGTAATCCCAGCTACTTGGGAGGCTGAGACAGGAGAATTGCTTGTACCCAGGAGGCAGAGGTTGCAGTGAGCCAAGATGGCACCACTGCACTTCAGCCTGAGCAATAGAGCGAGACTCCATTTCAAAAAAAAGAAAAGAAAAAAATAGTTAAAACAACAAATTTTATATTTTACCACAATAAAAAATCATTAGAAACCTTGACAGAAACCATCACAAAATTTCCCATGTTCAAAAAACCTCAAGGACATTCTTCATTATACCCCCTCTCTTTGGAGTTTATGCACAATTGATCAGCATTCACATTAAAATAGAGATCATAAGACTGACAAAACAGACTCTTCGTGACAATAAAATACCAAATTCTAACCTGACCCTGGTATAGCACCACATGACAGAAAGCAGGCCCTGAAGGAAATCAAAGTATTTTACCCCAAAATACATTTCTTTGACATATGTTGAAATGGCCTTGCAAAGCTATCTCTTGTGGAGAAAATCTACATTCTATAGAGAATCTCCTTCCCTTTCCAGGTCCTTTCATGATCCAGGAGAGATTTAACTAAGAGTCGGACACGTTTTAAGGTCCAATAAGAGATTTTACATCTATTCTCTCTGAAGGTTGCTACCTGTAGGCTTCATCTACATAGCAAGAATCTTGGCTTCCACAATACCCGTTATCTTAAGCATTTCTTTCTGCTGACTTCAACTCTTTACTTTAAATAAAGCTTAACTTTTTCGACCAGTTGCTAGTCAGAAGTCTTTGAATCCACCTATGACTGTGAGCTTCCCCCAACCACCTGAGATGTCCCGCCTTTCCAGGCTGAGACCAATGTATACCTTACATGTATTGATTTATATCTTTGCCTGTAACTCCTGTCTCTCTAAAATGTATAAAACCAAGCTGTAATCCGACCACCTCGGGCACAGGATCTCAGGACCTTCTGAGGCTGTGTCACATGTCATGGTCCTCACATTTGGTGCAGAATAAATCTCAAATATTTTACAGAGTTTGGCTTTTTTCTTCAACATGCCTGTGAAAAAGGAATTTATGGCTCAATTTAGAAAACTGGCCTGGCTACAGTCATTATTAACCATAGTCATTGTTGCAAACTCGGGACAGTCTAGGCCAAATTCTCAACAGAAGCTCAGCATGGAAATTGGAGGGATTACTGAAGCCATTGGCTAAGTGCTATATCCTAATTCTTGCTTCCTTGAAGATAGCAACTTGAGGTTTTGGGATGCTGTATTCCATTGCTAGGTGCTCCCCAGCTTTGTCCTTAATGTTCCTTGGTTATGTTGCTGAGGATTTAACAAAACACTTAAGGAGAATGAACTAGTGAGCCTCTGAATCAAGCCTTGTTTGTTGTTGTTTATTAATTGGCACTTGTATTACTGGAAAGTGGTCTGGATGCAGACCCCAAGAGAGGGTTCTTGGACCTCTAGCAAGAATTCGGGGCAAGAAAGAATTTGGAGTAAAGTCAAAGCAAGTCTATTAAGAAAGTAAAGGAATAAAGAATGGCTACTCCATAGGCAGAGTAGCAGCTTGGGCTGCTCAACTGATAATTCTTATGGTTATTTCTTGATTATATGCTAAACAAGGGGTGGATTATTCATGAGTTTTCTGGGAAAGGGGTGGGCAATTCTCAGAACTGAGGGTTCCTCCCCCTTTCAGACCATATAGGGTAACTTCTGGACGCTGGTGGGAGTGACTTTTAGCATGCTAATGCGTTATAATTTGCATATAATGAGCAGTGGGGACGACCAGAGGTAACTGTCATCACCTTTTTGGTTTTAGTGGGGTTTGGCCGGCTTCTTTACTGCATCCTGTTTTATCAGCAAGGTCTTTGTGACCTATAATCTTGTGCCGACCTCCTATCTCATCCCGTGACTTGGAATGCCTAACTTTTTGGGAATGCAGCTCAGTAGGTCTCAGCGTCATTTTATCCAGGCCCTGTTCAAGATGGAGTCGCTCTGGTTCTAACGCCTCTGACACTTGGAGAACATCAGGCCTATGGTAGATGTTGTACAAAACTTGGAGTCAGACAAGGCTACCTGGCTGTACTTGTTCGGAAAACCAGACTTGGAAAAAACGGGAGGGCGATGGCCTGATAATACAGTAGATTGCATTTTATGTTTTGAGCCTGGCTTGCAGCCAACATCCAAAAGTGTTTCCTAGGCAAGGTGCCTAACTGTGTTTTTCTGGATATTCTTCTAACTCATCGTGAGTCTTCAATAAATATTAAATAAACATGAGGAAGGTCCTGAGAAGGTCCTTTTACTGACCCTTGTCTCAAGAAAAGCAAATAGCCGATCGGTAAAAAGCAGCAGGTAGGAAGAGGGGATTTTATTTCCGTCAGTTGCCCTTATCCAGGTTTTGGGCTTAGTGCTGCTCCTCCACACTCATATAGTCCTGGCTGGCTTTTCCACGCATAGGTTAGGAAGCAACTGCTCTGGGGAGGGGGAAGGGGGGAAGAGGGGGAGGGAAAGAGGTCACGGGAAGCCTCCCTTCCTCCCACTGGCCTACCATTGAAGGCCTGTCAGGAGAAAGGAGAGAAGTGGGAGAGGGAGAGGGTGTGGCAGGGGTGGTCTGTGTGGCAAGAGGTAGAGAGAAAATAGTGGATCAGAGCAGGAGGGGGAGGAGCAGGGAAATGAAGCTCCTGTCCTAGGCACTGAAGTGTGGAGTGGGGCTGTGGCTAGAAAGGGGAGAGAAGATGCCTTTCTGGCCTTGCATGAGTCGTGGCAGAAAGGAGGAATCGCGAAGAGGAGCCGGCCATACCCAGCACACACCCCGAAGCCAAGCTGCTCATTACTAGAAAGGCTTATTCCCCCACAAGAAGTTAGTGCGGGCCAGCTAAGTGCCTACTATGTGTGCAGTATAGAAAGAAGTGCCCTGGAGAACCAGGTCGCGGGAGGCGGAGCCAGTCAACAGGGCTTCACCGAGGGGGCGAATTCTGTACACGGTTGTGAAGGAGGGTGGCTGTGCACGCGTGCAGGCTCCGAGTGCAGAAGACGAGGCAGGCCAGGGAGGAGGCGGAAGGAGGCGGAGCCTGAGCCGGAGGAGGGAGGAGGAGGGAGGAGGAGGAGGGAGAGCCGAAGCCGCGGAGGGTGGGAGGTGTGAATGGTGGACGGGTGAGGGGAGTGCCAGAGGCAGAAAAGGGAAGGAGGCGAGGAGGAGTAGTCGTGGCCCGAGGGCGTGTGGTGGGGCGAGAGCTGAACTGGACGGGAGGAGGGAGGCAGTGGCGGTGGCAGCGGGGAGGGGGAGGAGAGAGGGAGGGGAAGAAGGAGGAAGCGAGCGCGGCTGCTGCAGGGGGAGGAAGACGGGGAGGAGGAGCCGTGCGCCGCGGCGGCGGCCGCCAGGGGAACCGAGCGCCCGGCGCGGAGAGCGCGGGAGCGGAGCAGTAGCCCGATCCGGGGCCGCGGGCCGAGCTGCCGGTGAGTGAAGCCCCGAGGGGCGCGGCGGCCGGTCCCCGGGGCTGGGCGGGAGGCGCGGGAGGTTGCGGCGCCGGGGAGGAGGGAGGGGGGCCGGCTTTAGTCCAGGGGCCGGCTTTAGTCCAGCCCCCGGCTGGCCCGGCCTCCCGCCTTCCCTCTGGCTTCCTCCCTCCGCTGCCTGCGCGAGGGGGGCAGGTCCCGGGCGGGCCGCGGGCTGGGGGTGGTGCTGCCCGGAGGGCGGGCGTCTAGGGCCGGAGGGTGGAGCTGGGGGTTCGGGGGTGTACCCGGGGGCGGGAGGCTGGACAAGGACGGCTCTAAATTGGCTGGAGGGGCCCGTCGGCGGCGAAGTTGCTAGCTGGGGGCAGAGACGGCCACGCGGTTGCAGGAGTAAGAGATCCCTCTGTGGCGAGTGCGTGAGACGAGGAGTCCGGCGTCCCTGCCATCCCCGTCGCCCTCCCCGCCTGCTCGGCCCCGCTAGCTCCTCTCCTTGCCTCCGCGTGTCCCCTAGCTCTGACCCCTTTTGGCTCCCGGTTCGCTGCCGCAGCACTGCCGGGTCTCCTTGGCCCCCGCCCTGACCCTTTCGGCCTCCGGCTTCCCCTGACCCCTGCTTGCTTCGCCACTGCCCCGTTCCCGTTTTCTTCCCTCGCTAGTTACCCCTCCCGCTTCCTAATTCCCGGTGCAATTGCCTCTTTGAGACCTCTTTTTTTTTTTTTTCCTCTCCTTCCTTTTAGATTGGCCAACGGCTCCTTTCAACCCTGCCTCGTTGGTGGCCACTGGAGAAGCGCGGGGGGCTCCCCCAGACAGCCGTGGGGACAAGTTAGAGCCAGCACTTTACCCCGGGCCTTGCGTGTAGCTTCCCCTCCCCTACTCTCGGTGCCCTGGTGTCTGGAGGGGGGTTGTGGGGGTGTGCCCGCCTTACATGGTCCACCACCCGGGCAACCCTCTGGGCTTGTGTTCCATCTCACTCTTGCTTCCTGTACTGTGGTCAAGGGGAACCACTGCATCATGTCCCGGTATAGCTACCAGAGTCTCCTGGACTGGCTCTATGGGGGCGTGGACCCCAGTTTTGCAGGCAATGGGGGCCCCGACTGTGCTGCCTTCCTCTCTTGGCAGCAGCGGCTGCTGGAAAGTGTGGTGGTCCTGACCCTGGCTCTGTTGGAGATCCTGGTGGCCCTGCGGCACATCCTGAGGCAGACGAAGGAGGACGGTAGGGGTAGCCCTGGCAGCCAGCCAGAGCAGGTGACCCAGCGGCCAGAGGAAGGCAAGGAGAGCCTGAGCAAGAATCTGCTCTTAGTAGCCCTGTGCCTGACCTTCGGGGTGGAGGTGGGCTTTAAGTTCGCCACCAAGACCGTCATCTACCTGCTCAACCCCTGTCACCTGGTCACCATGATGCATGTGAGTCTGTTGACTTTTTCCTGGGCATCCTAAGTGATAAGAGTCATTTATGTGCTCAGGACACTCCATAGTGTACAGCACCTCATCCCGGCGGGCAGGGGGACCTTTAAAAATGATTTTCCAACGAGTGGCTGCCTTTGTGCCGATTTCAGGTTTGGCTTTCTTTCACCTTTGCACAGTGCGTCAGCCCCACAGTGGAGGTGAGGAACCTTGTGCCTGAACCCTAGGAACGACTGGCACTCACCCTGGCTGCCCCTCCCTTCCAGCCCAGCCCAACCCTGCCGTGCCCTGGGCTTTCACAAGCAGGAATTCCAGCCCCAGCCAGGTGCCCTTTCTGAATCACATCAGTGGACCATGACCCAGCTCCCTTGCCTTCTGTGGTAGTTAATTTCCCAGGGGCCTGGTGACACTCTTTCCTGGAGGTGGTCGCATAAACTTTCTCATCTACACTGTGGTACTTTGGGGAAATACTTTTACAGGTTTCTCTTAATGACTCTTTCATTTGGGAGTGTATGCTCTTAGAGTGAGGTCTGCCTTTGCATTTTGAGGCATTGGAGCAGCACCAAGCTCCTACTAAATGAGTTCTGAAGCAGGTCCCCAGGCTGACATGTGTACTTTGGGCTGGTGATCACTATGGTGAGAGGGTATTTCTTTTTTTGCAAACCTCTCCATCCTATTACTGTCATTCTGTCTCCTATGGTCATAGTCCAAGGGTGCTTAGGAAGCTGATTTCTTTACCTCATCGACTTCCACCCATTAGCGGTGCTAAGGAAAACAAATGGGATTGAAAAGGCAAGTTGCCAGATACATAAAAATAATCTGGGTGAGGACCAAGAGTGAGACTGTCTGTATTCAGCCTGTGTGGAGAGATGTTCTAAAGCTATAAAATCATGGAGGAGGAGGAAGAGGAGACTGGGAGAGCAATCAGTCTTTTTTAGATTTCAGGCTGTGGAAAACCGGGTGTGTTTTATTCAGGGGCAGTTTTGAAACCTGTCATTAGCATCTTTACTGCCTTTATGTTTGTAGAAGGTTATTCTTTGGAGACTTGTGACAGCCTAGCTTGGGGCAGGAGGTTGAGATTATTATCTCCATTTTACAGGCCTGGAGGGGTTTAGGAATGGCAGGTCATTTGCTTGCAGCCAGAAGATGAATTAGTGCCTGGGTTAGAAAGCAAACTCATCCACCTTGAGGTTGCAAGCTGTCAACCCCAAAGTGAGGGTGGCAGTGGGTGGTGGGGCAGTCCTGTGGGAAGACTCAGGCAGATGAGCACCACACTGTCTACCCATGGCTTGGATACTTGCTTGCACTGTGTTCCTAGGAACTCATTTGATTGCAGGCTTCTGGATGTGGTGAATGACCCCAGCCCCTTCCCTTCTTGCAGATATGGTAAGAAGGTATGGATAACTTTGGAATAAAGTGGCTGTTTTTGATTGGGTGGCTGTAAGCATCGGGGCTGGAGTGGGCAGCATTTTTTAAGAGAGGGCTTCTTGGGAAGTGATGCCATTCACAGGAAGTCCAGGGCTGTCCCAGCTAGACCTTCTGTGTAAATTTGAGCCAGTCTTCTTTCTTTCTTTTTTTATGAATGGGCTTTTTGTTAATGATAGGAAACAACGCATCTCAGCCGATGCTGTGTGAGGCTGTCGGGACAGGAGTGCTTTTTTAGGATGGCAGGTGGTGAGGGTCAAAGGGTGCATCTTCTACAAAGTGGTCTTGAGGCCTCTGGCAATCACATATCTAGAAGGTCGACAAAGGACTAAATTCAGCCTGACTGGAGCTGCGGCTGATGTGATGACGTCAAGACTGGCAACACCATGGTTTTTAGAAGCAAGATTTTTAGAGGCTCTCAGAAGACTCTGGAGACCTAGTGCTAGCATTAATTCATTGTATGACTTTGGAGAAAGTACTCTTCCTGGGCCTCAGTTTGCCTACCTTGTGAAATGAGGCAGAGTTGCCCTCCTAGCTCTTGACAGTCTATGTGATTCTTGTCTCCATAAGTCGTAGATGGGTATGCAACAGAGAGCTATTCTGAAATGCTTTTGACCTCCTGTGTGGAAAAAAAGGAAGCTAGTTTCTTCTCTGTGGAAGTCAGGTGGCCAGTTCCCATTCATTGTTTTCTCCCTGTGTCTTCCCAGTAAAGTAAACTCAACTGGGCCATGCTTGGGAACTCATGCAGAGGATGATGGCACTTTAGGACTCTGAAGCCTTAGGATGGGGGCATGGAACAGAGCCATGCCGAGGAGTTCTTGAGCTCCATCAGAATTATGCTTCTTTGCCCTTTTCCCCTAAATCACTGCTTTGTATCATTTAAATAGTAACCCCTGGCATACCAGGAGACCTAGCCTCTGATTAATCCAACTTTCTATACCCTCCATATGGCTTTTCCTGGGAAGCAGGAATGTATGGATTTTTAAAAGTTGATGAGTCCTAAAAAAAAAAAAATTAACAGCAGATGGTTGGAAATAATTTTCTGTCTTGGTTGCAGCAATGACCAATGATAGTATGTATACCCAGAATACCATAATACCTTGCATTTATCTAACAATTACTGTTTATAAGATACTTTCATATACATTGTTACTTTTAGCTTAGGCCTGGAGAAAGGGATGTTAAAATGTTTCCTGCAACAGTGTATATTCCAAAGAGGAGATACTATGTACAAAGAAATGTTTGGCAAGTGAACTAGCTGAATTAGGCTATGTTGTAGTGGCAAATTCTGTGGAATTTAGAAGTCCTAGCAAGGAAAGAGAGATATTAGCTGAAGTGAAAGGGATAGCTTAGCAGAGACATGTCTGATATGTGTCTCTCAACAGGATGACTCAGTTTTGGCTTTATAAAAAGGCCTTCTTCCTCAGAGAGTCAGTGTAAGTTTGTAACAAGGGAGGTATTGCTTTAGGCCAGGAAATAGATAAGTTGGAGGGAAATTGGTTAGTCTCCGCATCTCTCATTTTTCAGTCTGCAACATATTCATTCCCAAGGCCTTGTTACACAGGCTCTCATCATAGCCATGCTGCCTTTGAGTGACTGCCAACTGTAGTAGCATAAGGAAGGGCAGTACTTGTGTCCAAGTTCTGTTATTGATTAATATTCGTCCTGTCAGATTTCATTTTGGCCTTGTCTGATTTCTCAAACGTGTCCTGGGACTGTAGACTGATACAGGCATGTATGGTTGACCTAGCACTGTCTCACAGCTAAGCCTCCAGCCAGAGATATTTGAGTGTTCTCAAGATCAGCAAGCACCAAGGTTACCACATGGTTGCTAAACCCCTTGCTAAATATCACTGGTGTCTATCAATTATACCAATAAGTATTTCTTCAAGCATGGCCAGTCCCTTTTTGCTTATGATTTTGGCAGGTATGGGTGACAGGGAGTGAATTTATGGAGTGACTGTACTGTTTACCAAAAATCACCCAGTAAGTTAGTGGCACAGGTGGCTTTAGAACTGAGCTGCCACAGTGGGAATCTGGCTTAGCAGGAAGAGATTCTCATAGCTATTTAAGTCTTAAAAATCTACAGTTTCTCAGCAGAAGGGTTAAAATGCTAGATAGTTTGACTGATTGTTGTAAAGACTGGTGGTCTTAATTTAGTGGCCCTTTACCCTCCTTGAGTCCAGTTATATTTGTCTTAGAAACTTAAGAAAAAGATCCCATTTGGGATGTCTTGTTTAATTGTCCAATTCCTGTTGGTTCTGTATGTGTCTGTGCCAACATCTCCTGATTAGGCACAGAACTTAGTGGGGTGAAGCATATGCAGTTTAACCCTCCATGTCTATGCGCATAAGGCAGGCTGTATCCAGGCTGGATATTTGGCAAAGAATAATTGGTGCTGTTGACCCCTTAGTCCCAAGCTGTTGGTTTTTAGTGAGTAACACTGAATCCCATCCTTTTTTAGAGTTGCTGTAGCTATTTGATTTTTTGTCTTCTTTACAATATATTAGAAATCTAACTTCAACCAAATATGGCTTACCCGCTTTTGGTTCACTGTTTGATTTTCTTACTTCCTCTCTCCTTGCTAAAAGTGTAGAATGACACACACTCAGAAAGTCCTGAGCTTTTTGTGAAACCCCTTGCAACTCACTGAATACACACTGTTGCATTCCGGTTGTTATGTGATGAATTTGTTTTAGAGAAGACCTGATGGATTTGAGAAACTTGGCTTTCTGTTTTCCCCCTTGACTTCACACCAGACACACCTCCTCATTCTCCATCTGTTGTCTGGAGCACTGATTATCATTCCTGCTTGGAATTGAAGTTGGTGGGTAATGGGTACAATAAGGGATCCAGCCATCTGCTGACAGCTTATCAGATGGACTGCGTCCTGTGTCATCAGTCCAGGGGGATACAAGGGGATGATGTTTATATGGGCCTCACTAGTGAGGCATGACATTCCTTTTTAGTTTGTTTCTCCCCCCAAGGAAATTTGCAGAGAATTTTTCCATCTTTCATTGTTACAGTCATTGGGGGTGTCCATATAAAGAGAGGTGCTGTGGATTGGTGAATTAAACAACCCACAGGCAGCCCCAGGATTTAAAATTATGATGCTAGTTTTGCTCATGGCTTGCTACAGGAACCTCAGCAAACTATTTAACCTTTTCCTATCTCAGTCTTCTCTGTGAAACGGGCCACATGGAAATGAAGCATTTGAATTCTCTGAATAATTATGTGGTCACTTAAACAGAGAAGCTGGGCAAAGCTGGTCAAAGATGGCAGATGACCAATACAGTTTCAACTTCAGACTCAGAAACCGACAAAGCTCAACTCCTTATACCTTTCTTGATAGCTTCTAGAAGGCATTCCTCTAATCATTTTTGTTACTTTTCTCTGGATCCTTGCCTGTGTCTGGATACCTTTCTGATGCATGGCATATAAAACTGGACACTAACTCTTACCAGAGGTCCAGCCTACACCAAGCAGAGAGGAAGTATTTTTTTCCCAGTCTTTTCATGCCTTGCACCTGTTAATACAACTCAGCTTGCTTTTAAATAACAGTATGTTGCTGGCCCCTACTCAGTGGATGATCCACAAGCTCACAGAATTTTTATTCCTTTGCCACAGATGGGCCACCTTCTTCTCAGTCTTTGTGAGACTTGTTTTTAGTTTCCTCCCCCTCTGTAAATACTCCCCTGAAGATTCTCCTCTACGAAACCTTTCCATAGGAGCCTGACCTGACTCCAGTAACACTTTTTGTCCTTTCCCAGCCGTCTGAATACATGTCAGAATGTTGGGCTCTTTAATGAATACCTTTGTATGCATGTAGGTAATCTGGTGTTTGGCCAGATCATTTTTTTTTGTTTGTTTGTTTTTTGTTTTTTGTTTTTGCATGTTTCTTTAATGTTTCTCCACCATTAGTGGGAACACTTTTTTAAAGTAAAGGAGTAGTGGATTTTTCCTTTGTAACTCCTTGCAGAGCTGAATATAATACTGTATATGCACATTAATTGTTTAATGTGTACCTGGATAATGGTGACTGAATGATTGATGGAACTGACTTTTTGCTTTCCTTTTTTCTTTCTCCACTGGTGGCCCTATGTTCCTATTAAGAGAATCTTCCAGCCAGGCATGGTGGCACACGCCTGTAATCCCAGACTTTGGGAGGCTGAGGCAGGCAGATCACGAGGTCAGGAGATTGAGACCATCTTGGCTAACACGGTGAAACCCTCTCTCTACTAAAAATACAAAAAATTAGCCAGGTGTGGTGGCACGCGCCTGTAGTCCCAGCTACTCGGGAGGCTGAGGCAGGAGAATCGCTTGAACCGAGGAGGCAGAGGTTGCAGTGAGCCGAGATCCCGCCACTGCACTCCAGCCTGGGTGACAGAGCAAGACTCTGTCTCAAAAAAAAAAAAAAAATCTTTCTGCCTGTTTTTTGAAATAGCCACAGGAGTGAGGCAATCTCAGCTCCTGCTCACACATCTTTTTGTAGAATTTCCATCACAAAGAATGGTTATTAGAATCTCTACTCTTGGCCCAAAGTGTCTGTTTGCTTTTCTCCCAATCAGGAAATCACACTGTTGGATCTTGATCTTAATCTCTTGGACATGCCAACTTTCTTGCTTCTTAATATCATATAAATAAAAAATGTTATTAAGCCAGAGACTTACTTTTCCTTTTTCTCCCCTCTTCTCTTTTTCAGTGGATACCTCATTGTTATGCCTCATTGAAATGAAGAGCTAGGTTTCTCTGCTTCTCCTGGTCTTTCATATATTTTGTTAAATTGAGAATGTCTTGTCTCACGTGCTCCTCTCCTGCCAGGAACTGGCTGAGTGAATGCGAAGAGACTCTGGATGTGGAAAGCGGTGATTGTCAAACTTTATTTGTAAAAGAGTCTCTTGGAAGCTTGTTATAATGCGGATACCTTGTTCTCTACATGGTGATTCTGAGCAGGTCTAGGGTGAGGATTGGAATCTGCATTTATACTCGCTCTTGGGTGATTCTAATGCTGGTCAGCCTTGGACCCCACTTTTAGAGACATTATCTAGTGGCTGAAGTAATTAGGTGGGAAGTTGGTTTCAGTGCCCATCCTAATTGAGCATGAGTCTGGGTGATCTGTGGGCAAGGCATTAAGTGTTCTGGCACCATCTCAATACCTGTTAAATAGTGTGATTCAGATTAGAGGATGAGGGCCCCAAGTTATTGTGAAGAGGGTTTTAAGGTAGCTGTAGAGTTCCACTGGCTTGTTTGGTGACTGTTAGTTATGTCAATGGAGTATTTCAACCAGGCCACCTTTATTACCTTCCAGTGATATATGGAATATATCCCTCCAGTCCTTCTATATCCCCCCGCTTTCCAGTCTCTAAGATCTGCAGGGACTAACAAGAGGGAATGTTGACACATGGTTTGTTGTATGCTAACTCTCTGTTTGCAGGACTGTTGTTTTAGATGTTCGTGGGAGTTTATTCTTTCTTGCGTTCACTCAACAGATATTTATCGAATGCCTATTGTGTGCCAAACATTGGTGCCAGGTATTGGAGATTCAAAGAGAAATAAGAAGCAGTCATTGTTGATGTACTTTCAAAAACAAAACCAAAAACAAAAAAAAAAGAAGAAGTAGCCTTTGCCTTCATTTTGTTCACAGTTTTGATGAGATGGACAAGGAAATAGATCAACTAAATTACAACATTACATGTATAGTAACAGATTTGAACAAAGCATAGGGGACAGGGGTCTTTTTTTTTCCTAATGCAATTAAGGAAAGCTTCCTAGAAGAGGTGGCATTTGAGCTGGCTCATGTTAGCTCCATGAAAGCAAGGACCCTTGGTTTTTGTTCTCTTAGTGCCTAGAACAGGGACTGGCTCTAGTAGGTGCTCAATAAATGTATTTGAATGCGTAGGAATTCATTGGGTGATGGAGGAAGGAAAGCAATTCTAGGCATAAGAAACAATAAGTGCAAAGGCTATGTGCTATCTCCCCATTTCTCCTATTTAATATCTATTCACTTACCCAGGGTTCAAGTAGACAGGAAGAGGATGGATGTGGAGAGCAGTGATTATCAAACTTTATTTGTGAAAGAATCCCTTGGAAGCTTGTTATAATGTAGATGTCTAGCTCTCTTCATAGCAATTCTGAGCAGGTCTAGGATGAGGATGGGAATCTGCATTTATAAGAAACTCCCAGATGATTCTAATGCCTGTGAGCCTTTGACCTCACTTTGAGAGATCCTACCATAAGTTCGCAGAGTTGCTTCCTCCTTCACAGAAAAGTGTCTCAACTGTAACCTGGAATTATTTGCTTATTATTATCAGGGGTAGATGTCTTACTTCTCCCTTGGCCAACTAAGTGAAACTCTAGGAATGCTCTGTCATTTCTAGGCTGTTGATAAACGACCTGCAGATGCCCTTGAATCCTCGATAGGGGATGAGATAGAAAATTGTGTTCTCTGTGCTGTCCCAAGGAGGGCCCACACTGTCAACAACAGAGGCACACAACATTGGGGTAAGTGAACAGACATTAAATGTGAGAAATAAGGAGATAGCAGGCATCCCACCTGCAACCAGTAGATGCTTTTTAGTGGCTTGTGGATGGTTGCTGCTCTAAAGTCCACAGCAGCACTAATGAAGTGTGGTGCCATCTTTCTACCTTTCTTTTTCATATCTCTTCTTCCCTGTTTCCAAGTCTGTCCACCTGATCCACCCCACACAAGTTCCAAAACAATCCTTTCTATAATTCAAAATGCCCATCTCATCAGAGGAGATGATAGCCATGGGGGATTAGGAAGAAAGCAGTTTTATTTCAGAGGTTCATACTGAAATGTGAGTGGACAGACTCCACTGGGCGTCAGGGAGAGGATGAGTTTTAAAAAAGGGCCTTGTTACCCTAACATTATATCTAATTGGTAGACTGTGTCTAGTGTTTTTAAGCAGATGTCCTTTCTCATGTGCCTTGCTCAGGTTTTGGCCTCTTCTCTCCCGCTAAAGCCCCTGATCAGGAGAACTGGAGTTATCCATGCCTTGCCACCCTACATGCTGACCCCCAGGGTTTCATATTAATGTAAATCTCCCTCCACAGTGCTTGGATGCAGCAGTTAATCTGAAGGCCTGGCGAGGACCCCTCTTCTGGGCACCAGTCAGTCCTCTGTGTTTACTCAGCTCTTTCCTGGCTACACAGGGCAGCGCTTGCACATCTGTCAGTTCATGGGCATCAAGGCACTTGGACCTGTTACCAGCATGAGATCCTGAAGGGAAGGGTTTGGGGGATCTCTTGATTGGTTTTGGTTCCCGTCTAGTAGCTGCTGGAGGAAATGGCAGAGGGAGGAAGGATAATATGAGTTTTATTCTGAGCTGGGTGGTGTTGAGGGAAGGGAATGGATTGCAGGAGCCAGGAGGTCAGACAGGATTGGCCTGTTTGGCGAAAACAGTGCAAGCTCTGCCCTGTGGCCATGTGTTTAGGTGGGTAGGAGAGGGAGGAGTGAGATCATCTGGAGGGGAAAGGAAGCATGGTACCATCCTAATTCTAGCCCAGTGCCTTCAGTCTCCTCATGTCCATCACATGCCAGTATTGGTATAAAGTCAGGGTGTATTTTGCCTGTGAATTGAATTGTCTTTGCCAATCGACCAGCTGTGTTTGCAGAAAGACTCTGACTGACTGTGTTCTGGCTGTTGCTAGCAAAGAGACATTTCATTCAGGTGCTGATTAAATAAGGTGCAGAGCCAGATTGCACATTAAGGCCCTTAACTATGGCTCTGGGAGTCCTGGGTAAACACTTATTAGATGTTCTGGGCAGAGCACAAAAAGGCTGGTAGTCAGGTGTTCTCTTCAGAAATCAGGTTGAAGGAAAATGGGGTAAAGAGAGACTTCTATAAAGAGTTTTGATCTTCTTTTCTTAACATTAATCAGATCTGAGTGGCTGGTGTGTACACATCAGGGCCAGATAAGTTTCCTCATTGGCATTTACTTGCCAAATTCTTGCTGGGACATTGTAGGCTTGGACTGGGATACAGCGGGGATCCTGACTTAAGTAGGGCAGTAGGAATGCTTCATTTTCCTAATGCAAGTTCAGCTTGGTGGATAGAGCCTTTGGACCATATTTCCTGGGTTTGGGTTTGAGCTCCATCACCATGTAACCTTAGGCATGTTACTTAGCTGCATCTGTAAAATGGGAATAATAATAGGGTTGTTGTGAGGGTTAAATAAAATAATTTAAATCAAGTATTTAGCAGAATTTCTGGCTTATTGTGTGCACTAAATAAATGTTAGCAGTTTTTAATAGTAATAGTATTACTTAACATTTCAAGATCATAGTGGTGTATTGGGTAAGAGTACAGGCTCTAGGGTGGTAAAAGCCTAGATTCAAATTCTACCACTAGCTCTGTAACCGTGGGCAAATTACTTAACCTCTCTGAGCCTGTGTTCCCACATTCATAAAATGATATGATCAAACTTGAACATTACCAGAGTTGTTGTGAGGATTAAGTGAGAAAAATGAGAAAATATTAATAAAGCATTTAAGATAGTATCTGGCACATAAGACACATTCAATACATTTAAATGATGATGATGATGATGACGATGATGTCGGCAACTAAGATGGTGAGGGTGATGATGACAGTCATCATCATTCTCACTATGGCTGCTGCTTCGAGCCTGGGTGCCTGTTGTTGCAATAAGATGGTAGGGATTTGATACAGGAAAGCTTTTCCAAGAAAATCTTCCCTGGCATCATAATTTCATGCAGTGGGCAAAGGTATTGGTTCCATGAAGTTAGCACCCATGTAATAATTTCTGCGGGACAGGGTTGTTTGGCTGTTTGAGGCTTAAGGACGTGTTTGTGGGTAATGTGAAGGTACTTTAAATTATCCAGTCCTTTCTGGGTGACTGGGTGATTCTGTTTAAAATGGCAACTCTTCTTACATCTCTAAGATTTAAAGAATTTAGAAGGTGGCTCTCATTGTTAGGAAGCTTAGCTTTCCGGGGACCTATTGGCTTAATTATTATTGCTCTTTATCAATGGGCTGGCTCCATGGTGCAAACTCTCTTGAGATTGGTAGTCTAGGAAACCAGTGAGTTTGTGACAGAAGTATGAAAGGAGTGAGCTTGGGGGAATGGGGTGGGCATAGACTGGTGAATGGGTTTTTTTTTTTGGTTGTTTCTTTTTTTTTTTTTTTTTTTTTTTACTTTTTCATTTATTTCTTTTGATTAAGGGGAGTGCAACTTTCTCCAGTGCCAACTATTACCAGAGCTGGGTAACTGTTGGAAGAGAAAGGGCCACCCCCAGAGCTCCTGGGTGAAAGGCAGGTTCAAGTGAACAAGTATCTTAGCTGAAGGAGAAGCACAGTATAGTGGAAACTGTGCTGCTTTCAGGAGAAGACTTCACTGTGCCTTGGCTTTTTGCATCAGCAAATGGACAGAAAAAAACCAATTATTCTTACATCTCCGGGATATGGTAATCCTCTCTCCTTAAGACCAGCTCTCCTCCTTTTCAAGACTTTGCTCTGGGGCCTCGTTTTCAAGACTGAGGTCTGGGGCCTAAGCCACCAATCACTAGAGAAGGATCCCCTTAAGAGCAGCCTTCTGGGGCCTAGACCTTGATCATGTGATTTCAGGCCTTGGGATGTGGGGGGTGTGCTGTATCCTGCCAAGGCCATTGGAAGGCCTCTGGGCATATTCCCAAGCATTGTGGGTAAGAAGGCTGTTTCTTAGTCTTGGAGGTGGGAGAATTGAGAAAGCTAAGGTCATGTTTTCTATAACCTGGTTCCTGGAAGAGGAGCTGGTTTAGAGGGCATTTCTAAACAAACAGCAACCCAAATAAACAGCAGCGCTTGGAAATTAGTTATGAAAGTTCACACATTCTAAGACCTAGGGAAGATTGTAACAAAGGGTCCTCTTCATATCAGCACTTGTTCATTGTTGGTTTGCATTTGTTAAGAGTTTCCTTTTTTAAGTTCCAGGAACTTGAGTGTGTGTGTGTGTGTGTGTGTGTGTGTGTGCGCGCCTGTCACTTTATTCTCTGCACCCTGCAGGAATGTTGCTCAGAGTCATGTGCACAAGTGCCTCATTATCAGCAGCGCTTTCACACTTGGTCCCTTGGGCTGCCACTGCTACTGGCTGCTGCTTCATGTGGGTATTTCTACCTATTTCCTGGAGCCCCAGCCCCACAGGGAATGTTGGCACCCTGAGGAAAGGGACCGCCTCTACATTTGGATCTCCCTTCTGCTGCAGGGCAGCTGACTTTACTCTGCTTTCAAGTTCACCTTTCCTCAGAATAGCCCTGCAAGCTAGCACCAAGCCAAGGTTATGTTTCCTTGCTTGCATGTGGGGTTTCTGGCCAGTCAGCCAAGTGAACTGATTGACCCCCAGCCCTGTGGGGAATTTCAGGGGGGTATTGTCTTGGTCATCGGAGTCAGGGGTGGCCTTTAGGCCAAGGCTGCATTAGCTTTGTGGAGAAGAATGTGAAGCCCGCCGTGTCACAGGGTCTGCTGACCGGCTGGGTAGTGTTTGGCCATATCTCACAGCCAGTGCTGTGTTTGCTCAGATGGACGCACATGGAAACCAGGCTAGGATCATCTTCCCAAATGTCTTACTCCCTGCTTTGGGTCTGTCCTGAAAAACAATTTGCAAAGTACATTGTGGTCTGCACCTGTTGTTTTTTCATCCCCCTTTTCCACAGTCAGTTTGCAGTGAATGGAGGATTAATCCTGGCTCTTGCCACTTGTATTTTCTCTTTCCCTTCTTTCCTTGACGTTGGGTTCTTGCTTTTCAGTTATAACTGTCTGTGGACATTAAGGACAGCTGGTGCCCCTGATCATTTAGGACCTCCCTTAGGCCTTTAAAACGCTGGAAATGTGTAACAGGGCCGGATGGGCAAAAAAGAGTCGAATTTAGGAGAAAACTCACTATAATTTCTGGTTATCTTTGTACACTCTCAGAAAAGTGAGGAGTGGTAGTAATAACACTTGTAACATTTTTGAATACACGTTAATTATGCTTTAGGCATGGTGCTTAGTCTACTGCCTGTGTATTACCTCATTTGCAGCCTTCCAGAAAGGTTGTTTTTTGTTTCATGTAATTTTTTGTTTTTTTGAAACAACGTCTTGCTCTGTTGCTCAGGCTGGAGTGTAGTGGTATGAATATGGCTCACTGCAGCCTTGACCCCTTGGGCTCAAGCGATCCTCTTGACTCAGCCTCCCAAGTAGCTGGAACCACAGGCACGCATCACCACGCCCAGCTAATGTTTTTGTTTTTTGTAGAGATGGGGTCTTGCCATGTTGCTTAGGCTGGTCTTGAATTCCTGGGCTCAAGCGATTCTTCTGCATCAGCCTCCCAAAGTGCTGGGATTATAGGAGTGAGCCACCACACCTGGCCTGTTTTATCTAATTCTTCTTTTCTTTGCTTCTAGCTGATTTCCCCTTTGGTAGACTATAGGCACTGGATGTTCTAGCTGTACTTTCTCAGGTTGTTAAAATGGCAGAGTGATACCAAATCAGAGCTGAAAGAAACCTCTGAGAACAACTAATTTGTTTCTTTTTCATCCCTTGTTTTCCAGATGAGCAAACTGAGACCCAGAGAGGTGAAGTGATTTGCCCAAAGTCACACAGCTAAATAGAAGCAGAGCTGAGTCTCCTGACTCCCATTTCAATATCTCTCTATAATACCACACATGGCCTCCTTCTATCCTTAACCTTCCAGCATGAAAGGAACTAGACTTTTCTTCTTGCTCACTATTAGAGAAATGGAAATCTTGTGCTTTTTGAGCATCATTGTTTATTGCCTTCTTGAAAGTGAGGATCTCCTGGCTGCAGGCCACCTCCTTCCTTTCTTTCTTTCTTTCTTTCTTTCTTTCTTTCTTTCTTTCTCTCTCTCTCTCTCTCTTTCTTTCCTTCCCTCCCTCCCTCCCTCCCTCCCTCCCTCCCTCCCTCCCTCCTTCCTTCCTTCCTTCCTTCCTTCCTTCCTTCCTTCCTTCCTTCCTTTCTTTCTTTCATTTTTTTTTTTTTTGAGACGGAGTTTCACTCTTGTTGCCCAGGCTGGAGTACAATGGCATGATCTTGGCTCACCGCAATCTCCGCCTCCTGGGTTCAAGCGATTCTCCTGCCTCAGCCTCCCGAGTAGCTGGGATTACAGGCATGCCCCACCATGCCCGGCTAATTTTGTATTTTTAGTAGAGATGGGGTTTTTCAATGTTGGTCAGGCTGGTCTCGAACTCCTGACCTCAGGTGATCTGTCTGCCTCCACCTCCCAAAGTGCTGGGATTACAGGCGTGAGCCACTGCGCCCGGCCTGCAGGCCACCTCTTTACCTGGCTGGTATAGCAACTGTTTTTTTCAATTTACTTTCCTGCCCTTGCTTCCTGTCTTCCACAGAGGAGTCTGGCCCTGGTGTCACCATTACTTGCTGTTTGCCCTGGACAGACAGTTCACAGGGATGTGTGTGCTCACTGAGCCTGCATGTAGAGCCAGTATGGGTTGCTTGCAGATGTTGGTTGTTTGGAAATGGGACCCACTCAGCTGCGGATATAACTGAGGCCATCATTTCCTGCCTCCAAATAGAGGCCTGCATCTAATCCTAGTAAACAGTTGTATGGGGCTCCAGGGCAAGGGATCAAAATTAGAACCTTAGTCTAGCAGAGGTGACAAAGGCCAAAGAAGAAAAACGTCAGAATAATCTGTCAGCCCAGTAGTAGAGGTTAGTTCATCTTGGTTGAGTAGTAGAAACAGCACTGGATTAAGGGTTAGCCAGACCTGGGTCCTGGTTGTAGGTTCATCACTAGCTGGTTGACAAAACTGAGTAATTTTGGCCATTCAGGTAGCCTCTCTGTGCCTCAGTCTTCTTATATAATAAGAAATAGAGTGTGGTAGTTAAAAGTGCAGGCTCTGGAGCCAGACTAGTCAGGTTCAAATCCCAGTTCTGCTGCTTTCTAGCTGTGCAACTCTGGGAAAGTTAATTGACATATCTAGGCATGGTTTTTGATTTGTTTTGTTTTATTTTGTTTGAGGTCTTCCAAGTTCATTATTTTTCTTGTTTATTGCTAGACCAGTATACCTAAAGCCTCTGGGTCTGTTTTCTTATCTGCAAAATGGGGATTAATAGTAGTATCTACTTTATGGGGTTCTTGTAAGAATTAAATGCATGACTACATGTGAAGTGTTTAGAATAGTGGTGCATGGCAAGTGTTTAATAAATATGAGTATGGCTGTTATCATCTGTAAGACAGAGATGATCTTTGCCCTTCTTACCTTATAGGGTAAATATGAGAATCAAGTCAAATAAGGTATGTGAATGTGCTGTGAATATATGAATGTGCTGTGAATATAAGAAAGTGCTATCAAAATGAGAACAATCATCATGTCTTGAGAGCAGGAACATTTAAACATTCCCTAGGCCACCTGTTTCTAGAATCAGATATTGATGTTATTTCCTTGGTAGCCTGGCAAAAGGGAGAAAGGTAGGTTTGTATGTAGGGTTATATAAATGCTGGGGCCATCAAGCAATGTAGATCCTGCTTTTTTCTTCCCAGTGTACTCAAGAGGGCTTGAAAGCCATGCATCCTAAGTAAAGTGGTTGGGGGATTTGGAATGAAACAGTATCATCTGCCATGATACTGTTCCTTCAGTACTCTTATCTTATTTAACAGCATCACAATCCATCCAGTGACCCAGGTTAAATCCCTAGAAACCTTGATACATCTCAATTCCACCCTCTTCCTCCTTTTCATCATCATAGTCTCAGTCATCTTGATTCTGCCTTTCATGATCTCTTCCATTTCTCTTCCTTTTCTTCTTTGATTCCCCTGCCCTGGTTCATGTTGTTGTTTATCACTGTCATCATCATCACCTGTCTTGTTAGAGCAGCCTTGTGATTGATCTTCTCTCCTCTATCCTTTACACTACTCTATCCTTTACTCTATCTACTACTCGACCCTTTACACTACTGCCAGAATGATACAAGTAAAATACATGTTGGATCATGCCATTCCCTTCCTCCAAAACCTTTGATAACTCCTTAATGCCTTCATCAGGGATGGTAAACACATAGATGCATACACTTTATATTGTCCCTGGCCGACTGTGCTAATCAATCATAGGCACGCTTTCCCAGGGAGAGTCCAAGTAGATTTAAAATCTGTTTAGCATAGCATTCTAGGTAGCCACTTATCAATCAGTCAGAGCTGGTATTAATATATAGACTAGGGATGGCACATAGATAAAGCCTGTAGAGAAATCTTAATCTCCTTATGATAGGATTCGGTATCTTCTGTGATTTTGGTCCCAACCTTTTTTTTCAGCCTTGTTATTTAGTATATTCTTCCATGTGTTCTCTGATCCAGCCACCAGCACCATGCACTTCCATTCTTCTCTGAGTTTATACTTTGTTTATGCTGCACTGTTAGACAGAAATATTCTTTCTTTTCTCTTCCTGTTGAAATGCTAGTTATCATTCAAGGCTCAGCCCAAACACTCCCTCTTGTGAAGCTGTCTTCAAGCCTCTAAGCCGGATTTAGCCTCTCTTGTCTATTTTAGCATGTTATTCTGCCTTGTATTATGTAATTGTTTGTGTATCTTCCCTACTCCTTAGATTGTATGTTCCCAAATGTAAGGTCTATGTTTTTATTAATTTTTGTATCCCCCGCACAGCTTCTGGTACATTCTAGATTCCTAATTTTTTAAAAATTAAGTCTAGTCCAATCCCTTTGTTTTCCAGATGAGGAAACTGTGGCTTAGAGGAAAAGGTCATTAGTTCATTTTGGGATTTGTTGATTTTCAGATGTTTGAGATGTTGAGGATGGATTGTCCAGCAGGCTATTAAGATGTGGTGAAGGCTAGAAATGTTGATTTAGGAGGTATTGCCTTCGAGAAGATAAAGGAGGAGAAGAGGAGAGCATCATGCAAGCTAGAGAAGAGAAAGAAGAAAAGTATTCTGGGGAATGTCTCCTTTGGGAGCAGAAAGAAGACTCTGACGGAGCAGCCATCCAGGAAGTGGAATGAGATCCAGGAGAGGAAGGAGTTTCAGAAGGCAGGAGCTGGTCCTCTATGTCATGAAATGTAGAGGGTGAGGCCAAGGAGGACCTGAGAGAAGGTAATTAGATTTGGTGTTTACAGGCTGGTCCCTGTGGCCAGCCACCCCACCCACTTTAAAATATTTACTCTACAAATGTTAATGTGTGAAGAGTTGCATGCCAGAATATTTATGGCATCAGTGTTGGTGGATACAGAACATTGGGAAACAACCCATTAATAGCAGAATGGTAAATCTGGCCAGTGAATAGTATAGCTTTTTAAAAGGAGGCTGATGTCTGAATTCACTTTCAAAGTTGTTCACAATGTATTGCTAAAATACAAAAATGTTGCAGAACCATATGTATGAGAGAAACCCCTTTTTCTAAAAAAAAAAAAAAAAAAAAAAAAAAAGCCCAAGCAGCCTCTTTATATGTGCATGTTTATGAGCACATTTTAAAAATCTGGAAGAATGTATACTAAATAGCACTTACTCCTGAGTGATTAGGGAAAGAGGGGAATTCTCATTTTTTAATGACCACATTTCTGTATTATTTGAATTTGGTTTAAGTGTAGATTCCTTTAGTAATTAAGAGAAATACTTATTTAAATAAAGAAAGGATGATTGGCAGCCTGTGAGAATAGCTTTACTAAAAAAGATTCAATGGACAAAGGAAGCCAACTCACGAGAGAACATTTGGCAACTGAGAAAACATCATGTGTTTTGGAGGCTGTGCCACAGGTGCCTTGCTGTCTGTGTGGCTGGTGGGGGTGAGGCAGGGGGCATGGAGAGATTATGGCTGGAATGAGGCAGTTACCCCATTGCCAGGAAGTTCAGTGGAAAGGGAGGGGATAAGTAGAAGAGTAGCTAAGTGGCCAAGAGGCAGGCAGGGGCTGATTAAGAAGGAATTAAAAAAGCAAATCTGTGTGTGTGTGTTTGTATGTGTGTGTGTGTGTCAGACAGTCAGATTCAGTGCTGAGCTGCAGAGGGAGAAGGAAGGGGACACTCATTGCTATGAGGAAACATCAGTGTGAAGCGGGGAGCAGGGTAGTTGAGAAGGGACAAATGGAATACCAATTTTAGTAGTAGGGAAGCTTCCAGAAAAGCATGAGATCTCAGGCCAATTAAGCCTCTGATACATGTAATGGTTGGGGACTAGGCTGGACTAGCTAATCGCCTTCTCTAACGGTAGGTTAAGAAAGCTCCTTTTTGTTTATGTTTTGGTTACAAAAAATGTTTTGGCAGTAGCAGACTTATTGTACTGGCTCAGAGAATAGTCTGGTGAGTGACTGAAATGGAATTTTTGTGAGCCCTTGAAGGCCTTTAAGTCATCTGGACCTGCTAAAGTTTGGGACTAGAAGTGGAGATGGAGAACAGTGGAGGTCAGAGTCCTCAACCCTGGCTGCATCTCTCAGTCACCTAGGGCAGCAGATAATAAAACACAAACCAATGCCTGCTCCCACACCCTGTTCTTAGATAATTGATTACACTTGGGGCCTGGACATAGGCATTTAAGAAAAAACTCCTCAAGTGATTCTAATCTGTAGCCAGGGTTAGGAATCAATAGTTGAGAAGACTGGATTAAATGTGTTCTGAGCCTAAACTGACCACTAGAAATGTGTGTGTGTGTGTGTGTGTATTGAGTGATATCTCAATATAGTTATTTCCTCCTCTTTATTCCCAAAGCCTTGGGAGTGGACTGCTTGTAAAGTGTTGGTCCCATAGCCTGCTAGTTAGTTGTTTACTTGTCAAGAGAGATCTAAGATGTAAGATTCTCAATAATAGTAACTACCTTTATTGGGCCTTTTCAGGGATAGGTTTTCAGACTTACTCTGAATCATACAGCTTGTAGGATGGGTGCCAGCACTAGGACCCATATCTGCCCCTTTTGAGCAGAGTGCCTGGCATATAGGTATTTGATCATTGTCACATGATGTGACAAGGAGCTTTGTTTCTTTGTGCAATGCTTCTTTTTATTAAAAAACCCAGCGGTGGTAAAATCTGACGTATTTGAAAAGTCTGGTGGGAGAGAGGTTTGAGGAGAACTGCCTGGCATTCAAAAAGCTTATGATATGTTAGATAGTGTGTGGTGAATCTAGATCACATAACATGTATTAAGCAATTACTCCAGGCCTAGTCGTACTAGAGAGATACAAAAGTATTAGATGTGGTTTCTGCCCCCAGGGAACTTATTATCAAGGCTCATTAACAGTCTGACTACTGTATTTTCAGGTGGCAAGTATGTACAGAATTTATGACCAGAAAATGCTAGAGATCAGAGAGGCTTTCAAGTTCCTGAAGTTCAAGCCCGTCGTTTTGCAGATAGAGAAAGAAGCCCAGAGCAGAAAGCTGCTTGCTGAAGGTCACACCACTTGGGAATGGCAGAGCCAGGGCTGGTGTATATGGCCTTACCCTTTGAGGTCCTATTACACTCTGTTCTGTCGCCCTTGAAGGACAGGTGAACCTAATGGCCTGTGTTAAAACTTTAACGATATGCTTTATGCCTCCAGGCCTCCTTATGGTTTGGGGGAGGGGAGGTTAAATTTTAGTCTTTCTTAAAACCTTGAGTGGGAAGGGCCAGCACTGGTTACCTCTGGCTCAAGCCCAAGAGTTCTAAAGATGGCTAATTTTCCCTTTACTGAGACAACCACTGATTCTAGTCTAATTAGGGCACTTTCCTACTCCTCCTAAGGGTCTTTCCCAAGCTCAGTGTGTTTATGACTTTTCTACTTCAGTTCCTCATTTTTTTTTTTCCTTTTTGTGAAACTCACCTTAAAGACAAGAGGTGCCTGTCCTTATGGGTGGGCCTGAGAGTTAGAGGAGTGGGGCCAGTTCCTAGTGATACTAGCATCAGGCTGGTTCTTTTGGCCTTGTCCCCTGCTACTTCCCAAGCCAGAAATTTAGATCCAAGTTTGGGGCTTTCTCAGAAGGTTCAGGTATAATTCAAGGTAGAGGTATTCTTCCTTCCAGACCCCTCTCCCCACACAGTTAGTATTAGGGTATAATTCTAGTCACCACTAACATCTATTGAACGCTTACCAAGTGCCAGGCATCCTGTGGAATAGATGCTATTATTTGCATTCCCATTTTATAGATAAGAAAAATAAGGGTCAGGGAGGTTACGTAACATACCCAAGGTCACACAGCTAGAAAGTGACCAAGCTGGTATGGATGTGTAGATCTGGCTGACTCGTTACTGTTAGGCTAATGGAGCCTAACATGAAAATAAGTTACTAATTATATTTTTGTATTGACGAAGAACCATTTGCCAATTTTCTGCAAGCCAATTTAAAGAACTGGTTGAAAGAGAAGCATCCTACCTATAGTTCTGTTCCACTGTGGGGTGGACTGTATCAAGAGGCTTGCCAGTCACCTGCATTTGTCAAGTAAGTCCCTTCCCTTCTCTGAGATTCAGTTTCTGCCTCTGTAAATGAGAGGGTCAGACCAGATGGTATCTAAGACCTTTTCTGGCTTCATTTGCTACTTCCTGGTAGAATGGAAAAATTGTAGAATTGGATGAAGGACACAATGCATTAGAAACACAAATGTGGAGAGAATACATAGTTCATCACGGATGGGTTAGTTAGCCAGTTACACACTGTTTCTGTTTTCCCTTGTGAATTTATAATGAAACATTTTTTTTTTCTTTTCAGTGAGCTTCTTGCTAACATCAGAAAGTACTAGCTTTCCTTTTTTGTTGTTTGGTTCTTTTGTTTGTTGGAGACAGGGTCTTGTTCTATCACTCAGGCTAGATGCAGTGGTGTAATTACAGCTCAACTGTAACCTCGAACTCTTGGACTCAAGAGTTCTTCCACCTCAGCCTCTCGAGTAACTAGGACCACAGGCACATGCCATCGCACCTGGCTGATTTTTAAATTTTTTGTAGAGACAGGGTCTCACTGTGTTGCCCAGGCTGGTCTCGAACTTCTAGCCTCACGTGATCCTCCTGCCAAAGTCCTGGGATTACTGTTGTGAGCCACTGTGCCTGTCCTCTAGCTTTCTTAAAGGAGCTGTTATTTAATTTCAGGGCTTGTAGTCTCTAAAACTGTTGGTAAACGTTGAATAAAGGCTGAAGGGTAACAGGGCACTTAAATACGAGATGCCATGTTTTATGGCTCTGTGTGAGAATTAGTAAAATTTGTGTTCTGTTTTACAAGAGGGCCTTGGGAGATGATGGTTTCTAGAAGAGAAGCAATTGAAACAACAGATTGTACATGTAACTTTTATCTCCTTGCAGGGTTTAAGAGCAGGCAGATACATAACTAGGTCTAGTGTATGGTATCATTCATTTATCTGTGTGTCGTGAAAAGATCTTGTATTCAGGAACACTAGGTTAATAATCTACAAAATCTAATACTATTAGAATGGTAGGCTTGATCTTAAAATTTTTATGTTGTTGTTATTGTTGGGTGTGTGTGTGTGTGTGTGTGTGTGTGTTGGCATATGTGTTCTTGAACCCAGTGGCCTTTATTTTGGATGGTTTGTATATCAGCTTGCATCAGGGAAGGCTCTGAGGGCTTGTCCCCAAAGCCAGGCTCTTTCCTCCTCTCCTGCTGGCTCACGTATGTCTCCAGGTTCTTATAAGGCAGAATAGACTAGGTACTGCTATTAGAAGGAACAAAATTATTTACCTTGGGACAGGAAGGAGAAGCCCTAACAGGTGGGCTCTGATGGCAGTGCTGCTTGGCATACAGTCAGTGCTACACAAATGTTAAGCATTCTGCTCACTGGTCCTAGGTCAAAGCCCTTGGGATGCTCATCACTTGTGGGCTCAGGTATCAGGGCAGCTGAGTTAGAAAGCCCAACAATATTGCTATACAGAGGGAGTTAAAAACCAGATGGCATCAAAACCCAAGCTGCACACACATCTTGTTCTTCAGCTGCCAACTCTGCACCTCAATCTGATTTTACCTTATTCTCACCTAGGTCTGGGTAAGTTCATGTAATTGCATGTTCCTGCCATGAATATCCTGGTTTTCAGAAAAAGAGTGAGTGAGATGAGGCCACAGTGTGGCAGTATTTGTTTTGTTTGTTTGTTTTTGTTTTTAATGTTGCTCAGTCATGCCACGAAATGGGTACCTCCTAAACACTAACTTGGATACCCTGCTGGTTTGCTGCCTTTCAGTTTTCTATTCACATAATTATTGTTTGCATTCCCATTCTAATTTTGGCCTCTGGTCTCAGTAAGAAGGAGAATTGAAATACTCAGTGTCACACTCATTACACCCACGACCCTCATTCATTTCACAAACTAACCTCCTGTATTTCTTCTCTTCTTCTGGCTTGGCATAGGGCTTTTGACTTAGATCTGAGCTCAAAGCTAATTTCTATTACTCATGAGCTGTGTGCCTTTAGGCAAGTCACCCAATCACTGTCATTATGTTTTTCATTTGTAAAATGGAGCTAAAAATTCTATCTACCTCTTCAAGTTATTTAGAGAATTATGTGAGTTAATATTTCTAAAGCTCTGGGAACACTGTGTGGTACATATTAGGTATTCAAAAAATATTAGTTACAGTCTTCCTCCTTGCTCCCCAAGAAATAGAGCCAGTAACAACAACCTTTCTTCTAATACCTCATGAACTTCTCCTGGCATTAGCTGTCTGAAGGGGCTGAGGTTTGCCTTTTCTTTTGACGATGGAGATTAGTCATTAGAAACTCTGGATTTCATCCTCACAGGAAACTTGAAGTTGTTGACTTTTGTTCCTTGTTAAAGAGTTGGTACGACTGGGGCGGAAATCTCCAGAGAAAAGGGCGTGTTCCTCTACTAATTACTCTGTAGACGGCAGAGGGTGTGTGAGTAATGAGCTGTATGCTGGGTGTGGGAGTTCAGTGCCCAGCCTTCGGGAAAACATGGGTAGGTTTCATTGGCTCTTATAGCAGTTTGTGGCTCCCTGACTCTATCTACCCTGGAGATGTATTGGAGTCCAATAGTTAGAACCTCAGAGCCGTGGGTAATAGGCCTATTACCTACTTCTTCACAGTAATGATAACAGCTCACATTTATTTTGCCCTTACTTTGTGCCAGGCATTGTCCTAAGTGCCTTATGCGCATGAACTCATTTAATCCTCACAAGAATTCTAAAAGGTAGGGTGCAGAGCAACTAAATAGCTTGCCTACAGTCACACAGCTAGTGGGGTGGAGCTCGGATTAGAAATTAGGCAGTTCAGAGACCATAAACTTAACCAACTGCTTGGTTGAGTCTCTAGTCCTTTGGTTTCCTTTTTTAACTTAACATGTTATAATTTTGTAACTGCTGGTCTTTAGAAATGCAGCTGATCTTTGTGCATCATTTTTGTATCCAGCAACCTTGCTAAATGCTTTTAAGTTAATTATAATTAATACATCTGAGGATTCTTTGGGTTCTCTATCTTGGCAATCGTACATAATCTGCAAATAATGAGAACTTTGTCTCTTCCTTTGTGGCCATTATTTTTTTTAATATCTTTTTCTCAACTTACTGTTTTAGTTGAGACCTCCCGTATAGTGCTTAATACAAGTGACAATGTTGAGCAACTCTTATCTTGTTTTCTGCCTTAAAGGATATGCTTTCAGTGTTTCATCATAAAGTATGATCCTTACTATAATTTTTTTGTTGGTATTATTTATTAGATTATAGAAGTTCCCTCCTATTCTAAGTTTGCTAAGATTTTTTAAAAATCATGAATGGATGTTGCATTTTATCAGAAGCTTTTTCTTCTGTTGAGATGATCATATTGCTTTTGTTCTTTAGTCTTTCAGTGTGGTCAATTATACTGATTGATTTTCTAATATTAAATTGTCTCTGTACTTCCCAGAATCAAGTCACCTTGATCATGATATATTATCTTTTTTATTGTTCCTGGATATGGTTTGCTAGTATTTTACATGGTATTCTTAAACACTGTGAGTGGGCTGGGCGCAGTGGCTCACATGCCTGTAATCCTAGCACTTTGGGAGGCCAAGGCGGGTGGATCACCTGAGGTCAGGAGTTCGAGACCAGCCTGACCAATATGGTGAAACCCCATCTCTACTAAAAATACAAAAATTAGCTGGGCGTGGTGGTGTGTACCTGTAGTCCTAGCTACTCGGGAGGCTGAGACAGGAGAATTGCTTGAATCCGGGAGGTGGAGATTGCAGTGAGCCGAGGTCATGCCACTGCACTCCAGCCTGGGCGACAGAGCAAGACTCCGTCTCAAAAAAAATAAAAATAAAAATAAATAAATAAATAAAATAAAATAAATCTGTGAGTGAATCTGGCTCTAGTTTTCACTTTTCATACTGCCTTTGTCAGGTTTTCTTATTAAGTTTGTGCTAGCTTCATAAAATGGATTGGCCAATGCTGCTTCCTCTTCTTCTAAGCTTTGGAAAAGTTTGCATGAGATCAGAGTGATTTGTTTCTTAAAGGTTTGTTAGAACTTGCCTATAAAACTATCTGGGCTTTGATATTGTCTTTGTGGGAAGATTATGGACTACTGATTCAATTTCTTTAATGGTTATAGGAATTTTCAGACATTGTATTTTTCTTTAGTCAGTGTCTTTAATTTATGTTTTGCTAGGAATTTGACCATTTTGTCTAAATTTTCAAATTTATTGGTTTAAAATTGTTAATAGCGTCTTAACTATAAACACTACAGATATTTAAAAGATTTCTTCCTTTTCTCTCATACTATTATTTGCTACTAAAAAATCAATCTCACTAGTAGTTTGTAAGTTTTATTTATCTTTTATAGGAAATAATTGAGACTTTGTTGATGGAACTGTTACATGTTTGTTTTCTATTTTGTTAATTGCTGCTTATTTTAAAAATCTGTTTTCTCCTTCATATTTTCTTTGGAGTTATGTCTCTTGTTCTTTTCCTAACTTAGGTGGGATGCTTAGCTTATTTATTTTTAGACTTTCTTATTTGACTATATGAATTAAAAGGTTAATAATTTTTGCTACCTACTGTTTAGCTACATTCCACTAATTTTGATATAACATTTTGTTATTGCTCAGTTCCAAGTATTTTGGAATTTCCATTGTGCTTTCTTAACTCATGGGTTGTTTAGAAGGATTAACAGTTTTTTCCTAAATGTTTTAAAAGTCATCTTTTTGTTGCTGATTTCTAACTTAATAACATTGTGATCAGAGAATGTGATCTGTATGTTCTGTTTCTTTGAATTTTGTTGAGATTTGTTTTGTGGCCCAGTATGATACAGTGTCCACTAGATCAACCTTGTTAATTTTGCTGCTCTTCAATCACCTTACCTTATTTTTTCTCTGCTTAATCTATCAGTTACTGGGAGATTTTTTAAAGTTTACCACCACAGAGGTAGATTTGTCTATTTCTTCTTTTAGTACTGTTAACCTTTACTTTATATATTTTTGAGGTTGTGTTATTAGGTATAGTATGTTAATTTTTGCATTTATTGTTACATCTATTGATCAAAATGTTCAATATAGGGGTCCCGTGGCAACTTAGAGTGTGGATAGATCTACATGCTATAAGGGTGGCTTGGTAATGGTGAAAGCATCCCTCTGGGTGGGCTGGGTAAATTGGATTTTCAGCTCCAGGGAAGAAACACCCTTAAAATCAAAATTGCACCTTCTTGAAGAGTTCTTAAATTTGACATTGCCAAACAAAATTAACACCCTCATATCCTCAAGTGCCAGAGGCTTTTGTCGTTATTGAAAACACTCTTAAAAGCTGCATTCCTTCTGGGATGCATGAGGGGTTGGGAAGGAAAGCTTTATTTTTCATGGGCCTTACAGACATTACTTCTGGTTGGTCAGACATGTTTCAGACCCTTGGACTTTCTTCTTCTTACTGCCTAGTATTTTCTATGAGACTTGAGCCAAATCCTGTTACCTCTCTGCCTTTTAGGTTCAATGACTGGTTCCCTTTTCCCCTGACAGAAGTGAGGTGTGGAGAAATTGAAATAATAGTTGCATAGGGATTCTAAATAATTTATTAGTTCCCTCACTTGCTCTGCAGGAAACAAAAATAAAGTCTATAGAAGACAGTGTTCACGAGGATCAAGCAACAGAAATGATGTCAGCTATTCCCCCTTTTATTAGATTTTCGAATGGAATCAGACTATGTGAAGCTGGAAGGCATACAGAGAGACAAATTACATTTGGTCACATATGGGTGGGAATGGAACTTTTCAGTCCAGCTCTTGAGCCTATGTGGTGCTGTGAAATCTTATTTTCATGCTCTGTTAGGGCAGCAGCTCCTGATTCTGATTGCGTTTCCTAAATAAGCACTCTGAGCTAGTCCTCTTTGCTAGCCCTTCCTTGCTACTCAGAGAGTTTCAATGAAGGGGGAGCAGGTGACCCAGTTAGGGTCCCTTGTTTCAGGTGTTCTTTCATTTGAATGTAACAATACTTCTCTGTCTCTTTTTTTAAAAAAAACTTTATTTTTTGATTATAGAAGTAGCATATGATCATAAATTAAGAAATTAGAAATATAGAAATATAGAAAACAAAAGTGAAAGTTTCTGGTAATCTGTCTCCCTGACCTGTTCTCTTCTCTCCCTTTTTCTCTCTCTTTTTCTCTGTCTGTTTTTTTTTTTTTTTTTTTTTTTTTTTTTGAGGCTGGGTCTCACTCTGTCACCCAGGCTGGAGTGCAGTGGCATGATCATGGCTCACTGTAGCCTTGACTTCCCTGGGCTCAGGTGATCCTCCTGCCTTAGCCTCCCGAGTAGCTGAGATTACAGGTACATGCCACCACACCTGGCTAATTTTTGTATTTTTTGTAGAGACAGGGTTTCACTGCGTTGCCGAGGCTAGTTTGAACTCCTGGGCTTAAGCAATCCTTCCATCTCTGCCTCCCAAAGTGATGGGATTATGGGCATGAGCCATCGCATTCGGCCTCTTTTTTTTTTTTTTTAACATTTTTTTTCGTGTTTTTAAATGTGGGTTTTATTATTGTTCAGATGTGAAAAGGCCAACGGATCAAGAGACAGTTGCCATTTAAAAGATAGTACATTCACTGGGTGCAGTGGCTCACACCTGTAATCCCAGCACTTTTGGAGGCCGAGGCGGGCAGATCACAGGATTTTGAGACTAGCCTGACCAAAATGGCGAAACCCCATCTCTACTAAAAATACAAAAATTAGCCAGGTGTGGTGGTGGGCGCCTGTAATCCCAGATACTAGGGAGGCTGAGGCAGTAGAATTGCTTGAACCCAGGGGACGGAGGTTGCAGTGAGCTGAGATCGCGCCACTGCACTCCAGCCTGGGCGACAGAGCAAGACTCTGTCTCAAAAAAAAAAAAAAAGAAAAAGAAAAAAGAAAAGGTAGTACATTCTTTTCAAAAGGAACTATTATGATACATTGTGTCTTATAATTTTTAAAAATTTTAAAATTTTTTATTATACTTTCAGTTCTGGGATACATGTGCAGAACGTGTAGGTTTGTTACATAGGTATACATGTGCCATGGTGGTTTGCTGCACCCATCAACCCTTTGTCTACATTAAGTATTTCTCCTAATGTTATCCCTCCTCTTCCCCTGCAACTGCCGACAGGCCCCGGCATGTGATGTTCCCTTCCCTGTGCCCATATGTTCTCATTGTTTGACTCCCACTTATGAGTGAGAACATGAGGTGTTCGGTTTTCTGTTCCTATGTTAATTTGCTGAGAATGATGGTTTCCAGCTTCATCCATGTCCCTGTAAAGGACATTAACTGATTGTTTTTTATGGCTGCATAGTATTCCATGGTGTATATGTGCCACATTTTCTTTATCCAGTCTATCATTGATGGGCATTTGGGTTTTAACATTTTTTAAAGAGTTGAGGTCTCACTCTATCACTCAGGCTTGAGTGCAGCAGCACGATCAGGGCTCACTGCAGCCTCAAACTCTGGTGCTCAAGCTATCTACCCACTTCAGCTTTCCAAGTAGCTGGGACTACAGATGCACACCACTATGTCCAGCTAATGTTTTATATATTTTTTAAGAGATGGGGGTCTCACTATGTTGCCCAGGCTGGTCTCAAACTCCTGGCCTTAAGTGATCCTCCTGCCTCAACCTCCCAAAGTGCTAGAATTACAGGCATGAGCTGCAGTGCCCTTCCCTAGTCCTCCTTTTTATAATAATTTTAAAAAGGTTTTTTTGCTTATTGTTATTATTTTTAATTAATCCATAATATTTTATATATTTTTGAAGTACAGTGTGAGATTTTGATACACGTATCCATTAACCAATGTCTCCCTAATCCCTCCTTTCCCCCTACCTTTCCCCACCTCTAGTAACTACTACTGTACTCTCTACTTCTATGAGATCAACTTTTTTAGTCCTGCTCTTTTTTTTTCTTTTTATTATTATTATTATTATCATTATACTTTAAGTTTTAGGATACATGTGCACAATGTGCAGGTTTGTTACATATATAAAGACCTCGGCTAATGTGAAAGAATATCTCCTTCTCACTCTCTGATCTTTTCCTTTAAATTTGCATTTCTCACAAAAGTGTAGTGTGAAAAAAAATCCAGCTTGATGGGGGAGAGGGCTCCAGATTTTACAGAATATGGCTGCATGAAGTAAAGGTCAGGGGTTGAAGGAACTGGAATTAAAAATGCCAATTACTCATCTTTATTTAAAAATGGGTAAATATAAGGCAGAAAATAATATTTTAGGTACACACATCCTGATCTAGCTATGTTTATGTGTGTTGGGGTGATGGATGGACAAGAGGTATAGTTCAAATGAGATCATTTTTGTGAAATGGCTTTGTAAACTGTAACATGCCCTATAAATATGAGATTAGCTTTAATACTGGCCCTGACTCTCCAGTGTGGCTTTGTGTGTTTGTCTAAACACTTAGTTAATATCTGTCAGTGGTCCATTGCACAAGGAACTGACACAATGGTATCCTGTGCCTCTGTTGTTGTTGTTGTTGTTTTTTTTTGCAGTTCTAAAAGCTTAGTTAATTGCCTTCATTAGCTTAATATATACCACGTGAAAAGCATAGAAAAGCAGAACTCAAAACTCAGAGAATAAAGGACAGAACATAACTAACTACTGATGTGCACCTTAGTTACCTGATGCAGGGAATTGAAGCATATAAGCTTCATCTAGTACTACCTCAAATACAGTAAAGTGGATGACAGCACTCGATAAACTGTAAAGCTGAATAATAATGCCAAGGATTGTTGTCATCATGACTACTTAGATTGGCTGTCACCCAGTGACTTAGCTGTGATATGCTTCCAGGCAGTTCCTGAGAGGTCCTGCAAGCCCCTTTCCTGTACAGGTGCTAGAAAGTGCCATAGAAATACAGTCTCCTGATGACTGTAAAAGCCAGGCAGCTAAATTTAATAAGACATTTGTCAAGGAGATGGAAGATTATGGCCAATTTTGGTAGACAGATAGTTGCCGGCTAAAACAAAGCATGTATTGAACTGTTTTGGAGTAGGAAGAAGCATTGCTATGACAACAAATTACTTATATTTGATTTAGAAGAAGGAGAGCAGTGTAGCTTAATGGTTTAGAAAGCTCATGAGAACAATTGTTGGCACGGGTTTATGTTAAAATATAAAATGTTAAGTAGGATCTGTTAAATAATTGAGCACCTCAGTGCATTCTGTCTCTTCTCTCACTGTCTCTAACCAATAGAAGACAATATAAATAAATTCAAAGAAAAAAAAGCTAGCAGAATTACATGCAAATTGTTCCATTTTATAAGGTGCCCAAATGAAATTCACAGCCAAAATTTGCTGGAATGCAAAAAATGTCGTTTCTTTACAGGAAAAAAAGAACCCAGAGACCTATTCACTGTGTTTTCATGCCATCCAAACCTGATGATGGTAGTTTGGAGTTTCTCATTCTGTAGGTGATTAATCTTCTTTGTGATTGGTAGTATGTTTTATTTGAAAAGAAACTACACTTCAGACCATTTCTATCCTTTGGCTGTGTTCATGCCTGAGAGAATGAGTAAACAGTCATTTGTATGAACTGGTTATTTGTAGTTCCCCTGGGGAAGTAGGTATCAGGCAGGTAGCAAAGGCATCTAGCATCTGGAGGAAGCTTGTGGATATAGAGGCTTTCTCTTAGAAAGATAGCTCTTTCCTTTTCCTAAAGGTAAAACCAAACAGATGGCCCATATTCACTGGGGATAGGTCTCAGGGTCTTCTTCATCGGGTTCTGAGGGTGGGTAGATCTAAGGACTCCTTGAGGGCTCTTGAGGCAGAGAATCAGATACTTTCTAATCTCTCCTTTTTTGCTTTTCCCTGATCCCCACTTTTACCCAGTACCATCTTCCTGTTTTCCCCTTATACTTCCAGAACAGTACAGTAAAGTAGGAAACAGGGAAAAGCTTGGAAAATGGAGGACTGACTCCAAGAGGACAGGAATAACTACCCTCAGCTTTTAAACTGCCTCTGCAGGCAAAACTCACAAATTTGTATTCCCCCCCGCCCCACCGCCCACCCAACTTCTTTGGAGGGAAAAATTCCATTGGTCATTAATACTGGGAGGAGGCCATGTCATAGAGTTCATTCAGAGGCGGAAGACTGAAAATAATAAGCCAGATCTTAGGCTAACCTTCTCCTGTAACAGAGAAGTGACCCAGAATCACAGCTGTTTGATGAATAATAGAATTTGCCTGGCATATAGTTTAAATTTCACCTTCTTATGTGACTTGGTGTTCTGTGTTTTACTAGTTGGCATCATGTCAGATCATGTTCTACCCTCCTCGGAAACTTCTAGTGCTCTCAGTTACTTACAAAATAAAATCCAGAATTGGTGAGCTGTTCCTTAAGGCTCTTCATGATGTGGAAATAGACCTCTTAGAAAAAGGTTGCAAAAGCAATGCATACTCATTATAGAAAATTTGGAAACTAAAGAATTTGGCAAACTTTTTCTGTAAAGGGCCAGATAGTAAATGTTTTAGGCTTTGTGAACCATGCTGTGTCTGCCACAACTACTCAACTCTGCTATTGAAGCACAAAAGCAGCTACAGATAATGCCAGTATGTGAGTGAATGTGTGTGGCAGTGTTCTACTAAAACTATATACAAATCAGTCAGTGGGCCACGTTTGGTTCGCGGGTTATTGTTTGCTGAACACTGCTATAGAAAATAAAACTAGTTCAACCATTGTGGAAGTCAGTGTGGCGATTCCTCAGGGATCTAGAACTAGAAATACCATTTGACCCAGCCATCCCATTACTGGGTATATACCCAAAGGACTATAAATCATGCTGCTATAAAGACACATGCACACGTATGTTTATTGCGGCACTATTCACAATAGCAAAGACTTGGAACCAACCCAAATGTCCAACAATGATAGACTGGATTAAGAAAATGTGGCACATATACACCATGGAATACTATGTAGCCATAAAAAATGATGAGTTCATGTCCTTTGTAGGGACATGGATGAAATTGGAAATCATCATTCTCAGTAAACTATCGCAAGAACAAAAAACCAAACACCGCATATTCTCACTCATTGGTGGGAATTGAACAATGAGAACACATGAACACAGGAAGGGGAACATCACACTCTGGGGACTGTTGTGGGGTGGGGGGAGGGGGGAGGGATAGCATTAGTAGATATACCTAATGCTAAATGACGAGTTAATGGGTGCAGCACACCAGCATGGCACATGTATACATATGTAACTAACATGCACGTTGTGCACATGTACCCTAAAACTTAAAGTATAATAATAATAAAATAAAATTAAAAAAAGAAATGAAAAAAATAAATAAAAATCACTCATAGTCTTGCCACAAAAATGTTAACATTTTTGCTTATTCTCCTTCTTCTCTTCACATTATTTTACATGCTTGTGTCTATACTGTATATTGCCAATTTTATACCTGATTTTTTTCACTAAGCATCCTCATAAACGTTTCCTGTGTTATTTAAAACTTGTTGGCATAACTCTTAATGCCTATGTGGTACTCCATCCTGTATGTAACTGGATCATAATTTACCTAGCCATTTCCTTTTTTTTTTTTTAGGGGGGATGGATTCTTGCTCTGTCACCCAGGCTGGAGTGCAGTGGCACGATCTCAGCTCACTGCAACCTCTGCTTCCCAGGTTCAAGCAATTCTTGTGCCTCAGCCTCCCAAGTAGCTGGGACTACAGGCTACCATCACCGCGGCCAGCTAATTTTTGTATTTTTTAGTAGAGATGGGGTTTTACCATGTTGTCCAGGCTGGTCTCGAACTCCTGATCTCAAGTGATCCGCCCACTTCGGCCTCCCAATGTGCTCCTATTTTTTTTTTTTTGCAGTTATAAACTTTAAAAAGTTTACTCTTGTACAAATCTTTGTGTTTCACATTATTTTGTAGGTCACTTTCCTTGAAGTGGAGTTACCAGGACAGGGGTATGGATGTTTTTAAGGAGCTTAATATCTCTTTTTTTGTTGTTTTTTTTTAAAAAAGGTAGTGCTTATGTACATTCCTACTAGCAGTGGGGACAGAGAGAGCCTCTTCCAACTCATCCTCACCAACATCAGATATTGTCACTAAAGCAAAATCTTTTTTTTAAAGCAAATTTTAAAAAAATGGCATCTAAGTTAATGTGTAATTCTTTGTTAAGGTGATTGGAGAAAAAGTTTCAAATGATTGTTGAATGATGAATGGGATCACATAGTTCTTCTTTGGCTCAGTTTTTCATAAATGTACCTTGGGCCCTAACTTGCTTCTCCTTTTCCTCATGCAGTTACCCCCTTTCATCTTTCTGGCTCCTTCTGTTAAAATTCTACTTATTCTTTAGGGCTCAATCCTATCTGTATTCATGTACCTGTCTGTGGAGTCCTCCCTAGTTCCTCCTACTCGATATGATCTCTTGCCTTTGAATCCCTGTAGCACTGTGTACCTCTCTTGTGGTATTTATGTCTTTCTGCCCCTTTTTTTGGTTATCTCTGTACTGGCTTTATGCCTATGGCATGGACACTGGGTAATGTTATCTTTGCATTGACTCCCAGAGCCTAGTAGAGAGCTTAGTGTACAATGGGCTGATTAGCCTATCAGAGCTATGTTGAAAGGTGCCTAAGGTCTGCTGCAGATGACCTTTCAAAATATTCGATGTTGCAATTACCTGTGATGTTTACAGAACGGATTGGGATCACTGATAAGAGATGCTTTGCTGGTTACTTAAGATGGGCTGTATCTATAAGTCCTAGTCACTCTTTTTTGTGAAATTTGAATCATCAAATTTTCCAAGTAGTGATAAAAAACAATTTTAGCATATGTTAGGCTATTCTCTTGTGTATCTGGTAGAAGTTTATGTGATGATGGAAATGTTTTATATCTGCACTGTCTGATATGGTAGTCAGTGGCCACATGTGGCTATTGTGCACTGTATATGTGGTTACTGCAAATGAGGAACTGATTTTTTTTTTCATTTTACTAATTTTAAATACTTTAAATAGCCACATGTAGCTAGTGGTAACCATATGGGACAGTGCAGGATAATGTAGAATATTTAAAGTTATGGTCTCTTTTTTATGGCCAAAAGAAGCTGGGTATGTATAGTGACCCACAGTAACATTGACATTGTAGTTTTCTGGAATTTTGGAGAGGCAGTCTAGACCCTGGTAGAGCCGTAGAGAGAGAGAGAGAGAGGGGAAGCCATAAGTTTGGTTCAAAATGGAAACTGATTCCAGCGGGAGGTGTATGTTGTGAGAAAAGGGAGATGATGCCAGATTGGTAGGATAAAGGCAGAGTACAATAAGCTGGAATACCTAGAGGAGACATATGGACATGATACGATTGGTGATAGGGAACCATTAAAGATTCATGAAAAGAGGAGTGATAGATGAGTGTGGTGTTGCAAGGTCACCTTTGCCAGGCGTATGAAGCTGCTGGGAAAGGATGTGAGTTATTGGCCCCTCCTTCAGTGGATAGGGTTGGGCAGTAGTGATTCACAAACTCCATCAAAACCCAGCCACATCAGAAAACACAAATGATTTATTTTTGCATTAGCTTCCAGTTATTGTGTGCCTTCCTGTGGTTCAGATATACACCACCATATATTGTGGAGGGCTTGTAGCTGGGGGGCTGTGGAGAATGGCCGCCTATGTGACAGGAGGCAGGCCAGTCACCTCTGCTTAGCCACAGGCAAAATTGCCATCTGTGACCCTGGTACCTTGAAAGGTGTGTCTTGAATGGCTCTTTGACTCTTCAGAAACAATCTGGGAGCCCATTCATTCTGTTCTCACTTGCCTGCTTCCTTTAAGGGCCGATAGCAAATTTCTAATTTTACTGTTAGGAGAATATTTTCAATCTCATTTTTTAACCTTTAAATTAAGTTGAACCTTTCAATTAAGTTGAATTAATATTTCTTCCCACTACCTACTCCTTACTGCCCTCACTCCGTCCTTTATTAGATTGCTTATATTTCCATAACTGCATCGTGACCTTAGCACATGGACTTAATCATTAACTATCGTATTCCTAAAGAACAGCCTTTGGACTCATTTTTTTTTTTTTTTTTTTTTTTTGAGACGGAGTCTCGCTCTGTCGCCCAGGCTGGAGTGCAGTGGCAGGATCTCGGCTCACTGCAAGCTCCGCCTCCCGGGTTCACGCCATTCTCCTGCCTCAGCCTCCCAAGTAGCTGGGACTACAGGCGCCCGCCACTACGCCCGGCTAATTTTTTGTATTTTTAGTAGAGAACGGGGTTTCACCGTTTTAGCCGGGATGGTCTCGATCTCCTGACCTCGTGATCCGCCCGCCTCGGCCTCCCAAAGTGCTGGGATTACAGGCGTGAGCCACCGCGCCCGGCCTGGACTCATTTTTAAGAAAAAGAAAAACACTATTAAAGGGATTCTCTCTCTTCTCACACTCTCCCACATGCCCAGCTAACCCAGCCACCCTCATTCTCTACCCTACCTGTACTCCCACCCTCCATGCCCACTTTGGCTCAGGGAGATGGTCCAGCTGAGGAACAGCCTCCCTTTTGGGAAAACATGCTCCATTTAAATCATACGTAGTAAGTCTTCAGAAACCCTGACCCTGGAGGGGCTTTGGGACACAACTGACAATTAAATCTCCTGGTGTCAGGAGATCTTGCAACTGAGAACTGAGTGCCCCTTCCACCTCACTCATAATTGACAGGGGCCAGTGCCTTGTGTGGGCCTCACCTCACCTGGCATCACCACTCCTCACCCAACCTTACCTCACCTTACCCCACCTTACCCCACCATACCTCACCTCACCTTCTCTCCTGCTCTTGAGAGACAACTAGGTAACTGTGAGTAGCACTTCTCCCTTGGCATAGTGAAGCAGCTTCCTCACTGATGCTCAATTCAAGGAAAGAGAAAAGTTCTTGTCTTGAGTTACCATGGGGCGGGGGGGAAGGGGAATTTTTTTTAAAAAACTACTTTGAGCTTCACACTTAAGATTTTTACAAAAATCAATTATATTTGGTTTCTCTTTTGATCATGAAGGTGGTATAGTTTAAGGGTTGAGGCATGGATACTACTGGAATCAGACACTAGTGGACTAGAATTTTGGTTCTATCACTTGCTAGCTGTTTGAACTTGGGGAAGTTTCTTAATTTCTTTGAACCTCAGTTTACTTGTCTGTAAAATGGGGATAATAATGCTTGCCTTGCATGGTTGTTGTAAAGATTAGAGAGTGTCTGTACAGCATGATTCCTGGGACCCAGTAAGGACTCAATAAAAGGTAGTTGTTATTATTAAAGCAGGTCATTTATGTTTGTAACAACCACAGGGTTAAGCTCATTGTCCCAATATCCTTTTATCTCATCCCTCAGCATGCTTGCTTTTGCCTTCCTGAAGCTGAAGATATTTATCCTCAGGGCAAGAGACATTGGGTGTGAGGGATTTAAGGAGACAGATTTTCTTGACAGAGGGATTCTTAGGTCAAGATGAGTAAGGAAAACTCGAGAGCTGGATGAGTAAGGAAAACTCGAGAGCGGCCTTTGCCAAGGAAATCTAAAGCAATTGCCACCCTGTTGGAGAGGTTTCTGTCCTGTCTGAAGGTAGGAATGGGGGATAGATGGATGAATGGATGACAGCCTTCTGCTAGCCTTTTGAAGAGTACATTCCCAGGAAAATAGCCTCTACTTTCTGCAGTGTGGGAGTGAGGGCGGGGGATGGATATTGTTTTTGAGTGAAGGAAACCTTGTGTTCCATACTTAAGCATCATGTTCCCCCACCCTGGGATGCTCTGTTGGCCTGATTTAAGGAAAGCTTTCCAGTTGATCTTTTAATCTTCAGAAATAACACCAGAAATCAGTTATGCCATCACTTTCCTTATAAAACTAACTAGCTTTCATTTAGCAGATTTTGTTCTAGGGATTCAGTGTGTCTGGATATTGAATTTTTGTACTGCCGGGGCAAGGTTTTCTGAGAGTGGTATGTTTGATGTGTGTGGATAAGGGGTTGGGGGTGGCTCAGAGGGTGAGGGTGTGGAGCATTGTCTTCAAAATCCCTGAGCAAGGCTGAGGGTGTTTCCATGTCTACTGCCCTAATGAGGATTCTAGCGAATAGGGGCAGTGCTGGCTCATTCATAGATATTAAAATAAAATGTTAAGTGGGCTTCCTTCTAAGAGTCAACTCTAAGGCATTCTCTCCAAATTTACTTGTCTCTGTTGCTATCTCTTTTGTTAGAATGAGAAGATACTCTTGAAAAACTGTTTATGATACAAATCTATATGTTAAATCCTACTTTTAGTGCAGAGAGGCAGCTTGCAAAAAGTACATTCCACGGAGAGCCTTTTAGACAAACTCCTTTGGTAATGTGAATTGTAGCCTTTGAATTTCTTGGTTGTTAAATCTTGATTTTTATGTATAGGTTTGCTTCAAGCAGTTTACCTATTTTTTACATTTTAGTAGAACGACTGGGTATGTTCCTTTTATAAAATACTCAGGGAAATGGAACCAGTGTCATGGTCTCCCTTGATCTAAGTTCCCAGAGACTTAAGACCTCAGAGCTGTAGCAGCAACTCAGCGAGTTCCATCAGCATACCGGTTCCCAGCAGCTTTTCTTTATCTGTATTTTAAGGAGTTGTATACAGAGTCACTTTTCATGATGACAAGATGCAGGGTAATATGATTTGAAAAAAGAACTGAATGAATCTTTTTTTTCCCCTCTGTATTTTAATGGAGGCAAACTGAATGAATTCTTTCCTTAGTCTCTTCTGCTGGTCTTTGCCTTGGTTGAAACCTCCTTTTCCCTTTGCTCAGCCACCCTCTGGGGTTACCTGCTGCTTGGGCTGAAGTCCTAAGGCTTAGCGACAAGTAACCATGTCATGTTGCCTCTGAGGCTAGTGGGCACAGCTGAACACTAATATTTGGGCCCTAACTTTCAGCTTGATTTGAAGAAATGCCACTGCTAAATGTCATCTTTTTTTGTGGATCCCTATTTGACTGACTCTTTGGATAAAACAGGTGGGCAGGCAACAAATTAAGTGGGAAATGTTTCTGTGAAACAAATCCGTTTAATAGTGTTACCTCATAAATAAGTAACAAACACAACTCTACCCCCTAACCCGCACTAGCCCATATAGCCAGAATGGAAAAGTAGATTGTTTCTTTGTCGCTTCTGTTATGGTTTTACTTAAATGAATTATCAGATCAGACCCCTGTTTGTACAGAAGTTTCAAAAATGTTTGTTGTAAATTGATCTGAGCCAATTTGATTTTCCACAGTTAATTAGATTCTATTCTGGTAGGTATCATTAATCTCCAATAGTCAGAGGTAGGTAAGTGCTATAGGTTTTTCCCCCACAACCAGTAGATTACAGTGAAAGGAATTCTGATTAAATTCTGCCACGTAACTTTATTAATAATCAGGCACAAGACAGTTATACAGCCTGACCTGTACACCCAGAGACATTCCAGTACTTTTTTTGCAAACCACCATACTGTGTGAAGGGTTCACCGGAGATAGATGTGACGATATTTTAGCAGTAGGACTCAGCTTACCTTCTAATTAGAGGGCACATCTGAGTCCTCCATTAAGTGTCTGGACATAAGATTTGTTGGGACTCCTGAGCCTAAGGTGTCATTTTAAAGGGGTGAAGAATGTTGGGCTAACCAGAGTCTTATATCCAATTCATGCAAAAGTGGGAGCAACTGAATATTTCTAAATGATATACCTGTCCTGAACACTAGCCAGTTTCCCTAATGAAATATTTCTAGTATCCATTGTTGTAACGAACAAACGATCAGAAGTACTTCAGAGCTGAGGCATGTAAGTGTGACTTTTTTCCCCATTAGAAAAAAGTTAAGGTATATTTAACATACAGTAAAATTCACCCTTCTAATGGTACAGTTCTGTGAGTTTTGACAAATGCATACAGTTCTATGAACACTCCAGTCAAGATAGAGAATATTTCCACCACCCCCAAAGATTCCGCTGTGCCTTGATTGTGGGATTTTTTAAGAGCAGCTTTACTGAGATGTAATTCATATACCATAAAATTCACCTACTTAAAGTGTGTAATTCAGTGGTTTTCATATACTACATTTAAAAAAATTAGTTAAATATATACATATAACATACAAAATTTGCCATTTTAAGCATATTTAAGTGTACACTTCGGTAGCATTAATTTCATTTGGGATGTTATGCAACCACCACTCCTATTTCTAGCACTTTTTTTTTTTTTTAAATCACACCAAACAGCAGCTCTGTACACATTAAGCAATAACTTCCAATTCTTACCTTCCCCAGGCCCTGGTAACCACTGTTCTACTTTCTGTCTCTATAAATGTGCCTATTCTAGGAACCTGTTATCGGTGGAATCATATAATATTTGTCCTTTTATGTCTGGCTTGTTTTACTTAGCAAAATGTTTTCAAGGTTGTAGCATGTATCAGAACTTTGTTCCTTTTTTAAGGGTGAGTAATATTATATTGTATGTATAGATCACATTTTATTTATCTGTCAGTGGACATTTAGGTTGTTTCTACCTTTTGGCTATTGTGAATAATGCTGCAGTGAATGTTAGCATACAAGTATTTGTTTGAGTCCTTGTTTTCAGTTCTTTTGGGTATGTATATACCTAGGAGTGGAATTGCTGGGTCATATGGTAATTCTATGTTTAGCTTTTTGAGGAACTGCCAAACTGTTTTCCACAGCAACTGGCCACTTTACATTCCCACCAGTAATGTACAAGGGTTCCAATTTCTACATATCCTCACCAGCACTTGTTATTTTCTATTTTTAAAATTATAGCCATCCTAGCAGTATGAAGTGGTATATCATTGTGGTTTTGTTTTGCATTTCCCTGATGACTAATGATGTTGAAGTTTATTTCATGTGCTTATTAGCCATTTGTATATCTTCTTTGGAGAAATGTTTGTTCAAGTTCTTTGCCCATTTTTTGAAAAAACTGGGTTTTTGTTGCTGAGTTGCAGGAATTCTTGATTGTAGGCTTTGATTAGAAATTTCAGTTGCTAACTAATATCACCCCTGGAGTTTGTATTCTCAATTAGGGGTCTTCAGATGTTAACAATGGTGTGTGGTAAATGTTTAAAGCTCTGATTTATGGCATTTGCCAATTTCCATGGTCAATTCCAAGCTACCAGTCTGACCCCTCACTAAGGTAGCAAAGGAGTTGGGAAGAGATGTACACAATCAACTCTTTCTAGCCAGTGCTATTGGGCTTCCAGCATGCAACAGAATGTTAACTCACCACCCTATGGTGTAGAATAAAACTAACACAGAGGCATATTTATCACAGTGTCTACACTGAAACTATTTAAATTAAATTAGACATAACTAAATAATTTTCAATTACAACACTTTAGCTCCTTCAATAAAAGCAAGAATAATTATTTGTTGAGCACATCATATGCTAGATGTGCTCCAAGTATTAATAGATATTATTAGTAAATAGAGGAGGAAATGTAGAATAAGTTAGTAGTAGGCTGGGACTTGAAGTCAGACTCCAAAGCCCATGTGTTTGATCTCTTTACTGCACTGTCTTCTATCCCATTAGTGGAATTTACTTACTGAATGTTGACTACTATAAACAGAGTAGACTACTTTCTTCTAACCCCAGGGATGCTTCTGTGTTACTTTGTACCCTCCAGCCTCTCTAAATCCTGTTCAAATTGGAATTGAAAACTAAAGCTGTGGTGGTACCACATATCAAAGAACTGTAAGGGGTTAAAAATATCCTTTTCCTCGTTGCAAAAAAAGCATGTGTTGTAAGAAAAATTTAAGCAAGCGAGAAATGGCAAAAATAGAAAGTGAAAGTCCCCCATAAACCCATCTGCCAGAGATAATCATTATTAACAACTAGCATTTATTCTTTCAGAGCTTTTTCTTTACACATTTTTTTTAAAATAACAATGGGATGATTCCTTATAATCTGAGTCTCTTTTCACTTGATAATATAGTTAGGCTATTTTCCATGCCAGTGTGTATAGCTCTACTTTATTCATTTTAACAGCTTTGCTTCATTCATTTTAACAGCTACATAATATCCCTTGTGTGAAGGAAATGTAAGGGATTTTGAAGGGCTATTTTGAAGAAGTGATGATAGGTGGCACATGGGACAAAAAGGTTGAAAACTACTGTTGGGTACCAACAATAGAGGCACTATACTTTCCATTTCTCCCCCCAGAGGCTACTATAACTTACCTGAAACCATAAGACGAAAATCCATGAGCACTGGGAAGAGTTACAGGAAAACTCAAACTAAGCTAGTCAGGGATAATTGAGAGATAAGACTACATATCAAATTCCTTCACATGTCTTTAGGGCTTTACAGCCCTGGTCTTTGAAACTCTATTTGGAATCTTTCTTAATCTCCAGTAGGCCCTGCTTTGAGTTTGGGAAACATTGTTTTCCAGGAAATACAACCTTTTAATTTCCCCTCATCTGTTCCTCATCTTGAGAGATGGCCACCATCATGTTTTCTTGCTGTGATAATCTGTCAGGTTTTTTTTTTGTTGTTGTTGTTGTTTGTTTTTGAGACAAGGTCTTGTTCTGTCACCCAGGCTGGAGTGCAGTGGCGTGATCATAGCTCACTGCAACCATGAACTCCTAGGCTGAAGCAATCCTCCCACCACAGCCTCCTGAGTAGCGGGGACTGCCACCATTCCTTGCTTTTTTTTTTTTTTTTTTTTTTTTTTTTTACTTTTTTTCTACAGATGGGGTCTCACTATATTGCCCAGGCTATTTTGGAACTCCTGGGCTCACATGATCGTCCTGCCTTGGCCTCCCAAAGTGCTGGACTTACAGGCATGAGCTGACATGCCTGGCCTGATATGTCAGTTTTCAGTGGTTGTCAGTGTTTCTTTGTTTTCTCCTCTGTCCTAGGCACTTGTCACTAGGAAAGTGCCTAATGACTCCATCAGGTGTGGCATTTATTATTGTTGCAACAGGGAATTGATAAGAGAAAAGAAGGCTATCTGGGGGATGAGTTAGCCAAGAAGTGGAAGAAGACAGCTGTTATTAGGTTGCTGTCAAAATAGCTTGCTTTACTCTCTGGCATGTATCACTCCAGGGAATGAAATAATCCAAGAATGATAAGCTCTCAATTGCCATCTGTTGGTTTGTGATGCTGCTTGCCTTGTTCTAGTTAACATTGAACACTGACCTCACATGGCACTTGGAGAAACTTAGAGGAGGATAAGATGATCATAGGGTGTAAAGCAAACTGACTGAACGCTTGCAGAGAGATGGGCTAAAGGCCAGTGGTATCAGTTTATCAGGATTTGTCTGCCTTACACTCTCTTATCCTTCCCTCTTTACCCCAGGGAGCTGGCAGAATGGTGTTTCCTCTGTAATATGACATATTTAGATTCTTTTACCAGTTTAAAGAAGTTAATTTAATGGGGGTAAAGGGGGCTAAGTTTTTAGGGTTGGGGTCAGGTACTATCCTTTATAAGAAAGATTATGGGTGTTTGAAGCTCATGAATGGACATGTCATTATCTTTCAAATTACATGCTAAGGATCAGGTTTGTATCGTATGTATTTTACTATGCCTTCTGGTCCATATCTCAGACAAACCACTCTGTGCCAGCTGTGCTAGGTGCCAGCAGCCATGAACTGTGCCAGAGACCCTGCCTCCCTGGCTTAGGTTGATTGGACTGAGTGGCCACCTGTCACCAAGACAGCCCATCTGTCACCTAGCAGGTAACATGGGCTTGACGAGCTGAGAGCTGGGCCTTTTGTATTCCTCTCTTAGGAAATTAGAATTGGGAAGCTGAGAGCCTAAGGCAGTTTGTAACGGAAAAGAGCCAAAAGATGATGGGGAGTGGAGCAGTCATGACAGTTCATGTCCTAGCTAGTTTTTTGAAGGGACAGAAACCATGAGCAAACAGAGGGACCTTGCAAGGGAGGAACAGAGATGCCTTGAGAGACAGAAGAGCTGTTTCCTACAGACACCATGAACCCAGAACCACTTTCCAGTTCTCCTGAGGCCCAGCTTTATCCTACCCTAGGATTCAAATGGGATACCTGTATTCTTTCCACAAACCTCCCTTTTCTTGAGCCAGCTTGAATGAGACTCTGTTTTCCCACAATGGAAATTATCAGACCAGATCTAGGCTCCTACCTTTACAATCGACTTCTGGGTTGAGTCAACAACAGTTGGTTTACATTTAAGGCTGACATGAAGTGCTGAAGACTATTCTAGGTATTACGGGGAACAGTGGAAAAACACAGATACCTGATTATTTCTGTCAAGCTCAGTGCTGACGTTATGGGCTTTGAATCCGTGTTCCTGGCAAACAGTGAGAATGAAAAGAGGCAGGGATCCTGACTGTTCATTTATCACTTCACAGCTCTCAACCAACAGGGGGCCTTCTTTATCCTATTTAACCTCTCAGTAGAGTATTTGCCTTTTGCTTATTCCTCTTTCCAGTCAACTCTTGATTATTCATGTAATAGAGGAAAGCATTAATGTGAATGATAGAAGACTGCCCCACCTTGGCCTCTCTTCTCTGCCACAGCAGCATCCAGTCACAGAAATGGAAACAACTAGCAGGAGAGGTAAGGAGGCTGAAAAAAGGTGGGATGGGGCCAAGCAAATTAACATTGTTTCTTCTACTTTTATACCTTCTTTCTGTTAATAAATGCTGCCTGTTTGAGTTTCTCTTCTGGTGTCACTAGGAGATTGCTGGAACAGCAATGCCATTTGCTTGATTTAAGTCAAAATATGGGATCTTTTAAAAAACTAAAATAGAGTTGGGGGCAATTGACTAGGCTGTTAGTTTCCTCTCCCATCTATTGTACCCCCTTTTGTCAGTGCCACCCAGCTTTCTTGTTGGCTGAGTTTAATGTTGGGCCACTAGCAACCATTCTTTGTTCAGGATTTGGGACTCAGCTAGCCAAAATATCCACAATAGCATTTCTCAAAGTATGGTTCTTGACCCACTTGCATCAGAGTCACCATGTGTGCTTTTTAAAAATGCTGATTCCTTCCACCTTGAATCCATTGAAGGAAAAATGCTAATTCCTGGGCCCTATCCCAGAACTATTGAGTCCGGATATTGGAGTGGGGGACAGAAATGGCTTGGCTTGGAAATATGAATTTTAACTCACCCACCTCCAGGTGATATTTATGTGCTCTCAACTTTGAGAAAGGCTACTCTGTAAAATGGCCTGAGGGGATTTGGAGGGTAGCTCTGGGAAATTATCAACCCTTCTCTTTCACTCACTATTTGTAGAGCAAGTGAGTGGGTGGGGAGAGGAAAGTGGGGCATTCCAGGTGTCAGAAGGTATTTTTCAAAGTGCAGATAGTTAAAGGCTGTCTACTGAAAGGAAAGTGAAGAAAAATAGAGATGCCAGCATGCTAAATTAGATGACACTTAACACTCAAACATTTGTTGAATTAATGCCTGAATAATTAAGAGTTGATTGGGCAGAGACACAGGAAGATTGTGTTTAAGTTACAGACTTGGCTTGCATCCGTGTTTCCTTCTAAAGAGACCACCTTCTCCATTTCTGCATTGTCTTTCTTTAGAGTGAAAATAGCTAGTCATCCCCAACATATTTGGGGTTTTGTGGTAATTTAAATATCTAATAGGCACTGCATAATGCCATTCAATGGTTGTACCTAAATATAACCCTACTAATCAAAATGAGGATATTGTGTTTAAGAGTCTGGCTATATAGTCTCTGGTCTGATTATAGTGTTGAGTCTTTTTTCAAAAACTGTCTCTATGGAGTAAAGCAGGGTCCTGTGTTTCATTGCTTTCCAGACATTCCCCAACAAGTGCTGAATGGATTTTGTTGCAAAAGTTTCTTTGGAAGTCTATTTAGAATTCAGATTGCATTTTCCCAAGGACACAATATTCTTCTTGTGGTTCAGGTTCCCAGACCAGCTGGCAAAAGCCTATTTAATGTGAAGTAGAGTAGAAGTCCAACCCCACCAGCCCCTTACCAGAATGCCTAAAAATATTTTTGATGGGGAAAAGCCTCAGGGTTCAGACCTGTGATCCTAGGCATACATCCCAGCTTCATTCTCTGAGCAGCATCATAGGGATTTATTGTTGGAGGGAACAATTCAAACTCCTTTTCTAGGTCTCCTAGGCTTTGTGTGAGCTGACCTTTCTGCTCATCTCTCCAGTATCATTTCTTACCATGTTTCCTCTGGCACTCTATACTATCCAGGCAAAAGGAACTACTTTAAGTTCCCTGAACGCATCTTTGTAACCTCTATACTATCCAGGCAAAAGGAACTACTTTAAGTTCCCTGAACGCATCTTTGTAACCTCTGGGTCATTTAAGCCTTTAGCTATGCTCTTCCCTCTGCCTGGAGCCTTCTCCTCTTGCCTATCCCTTCTCACTGGTGTTTTGTGTTACAGCTCTCAAAGCTCTGATCATCGTTTTTATTATAGAGTGATTTGTATGCTTTATGTCATTTATCTTCCCTTCTGCCAGACTGAATACTCCACAGAAACAAAGACCATGTCTGTGTTACTCACTGTAGTATGCCCAGCACTTAGCATAGTGCCTGGCAAGTAGTAGGTTCTTAATAATGATATGGCCGGTAAATGAATGATGTTGTCCAGGGGTTCCCGCCCTCTTTTACAGATGTGGACCCTGAGATTTAGAGGGGCCAAGTTTTTTTTTTTTTCCAAGTCCATAGCAGCTGTTTTGGAATTAGAACTTAGGCCTTCTGACTTCCAGGCAATGGTATTTTCTTCCAGAGGTATACATTTCTGTAAATAAAGTCTGAATGCATTGGAATAACTTACCCTGGGGGTTATTTGTAGCAGTCTCAAATCATTTGATCAGGGTCACTACTGGTGATATATAGAGGGAAATAGGAGAGTGAAGTAATGCAGAACATACCTTCTGTAATTTAGATTTGGATCATTTTTGCTGGGCCTGGAGAGGAGGAGCTAGGGGAGTACAGCTTACCCATGGCGCTGCTTACGGAATTTAGACATAAGAGATGGCTGTTCATTATTCTGGGATTCCACATCTGTACAGAGTGTAGAACATAACTGAATACTCAGTAGGTATTTCTTGATTATGCGATTTGCTAAAATCACTCTGCTAGTGTGTTAAAAATACCATTTAGAGTTTTCTATACCATTTACCATTTAATTGATAAGCATGTGGTTTGATAAATGTTGTTGTTATTATTGTTATTAGAAGTAGTTTTATGTAGTTCTTATAGAGATATAAGGGCCTTTAGATCATTTGATTTGGGGCCCTGCCTCAGCTATTAAAAATTGCATTGTACCTTAAATACCTGTTGCCTAATATTGTTTGCCTTCTCATTGTGACTCTTGGGGGTTTCTGCTGCTCAGAATAGAATGGAATCTTTCATAAGACTGGATTAAAGGGCATACGGCCTAATGCAGCAGTCTCTAACCTTTTTGGCACCAGGGACAGGTATTGTGAAAGATAATTTTTCCATGGACTGAGGTGGGGGGTGGGGGAGGATGGTTTCAGGATGAAACTGTTCCACTTCAGATTATTAGGCATTAGATTCTCATAAGGAGCATGCAACCTATATCCAAAGCATGCAGCCTAGATCCCTCTCATGCTCCTATGAGAATATAATGCTGTCACTGATCTGACAGGAGGTGGAGCTCAGGTGATGATGCTCACTCATCTGGCACTCACTTCCTGCTGTGTGGCTTGGTTCCTAACAGGCCATAGATTGGTACCATTCTGTGGTCTGGGGGTTGGGGACCCCTGGCCTAATGGATCATCTTAGTAAAGTTCAGAGGCATTTAGGAGGAAGACCCATCTGATGACATGCAAGGAGGAAATATCTGTAGACCCCTGGAGAAGAGGGAAAGCAGTGCTTTTCCATGTGTAAGCTTGGGACTGAGGGTTGGATTTTTGTGGTAGGTACATGACTGGGTGGAGAGGATGACATTCCTCAGTTCTCCATTTGGCTTTCAGTAGGACACACTTCAGGAGTCCCACATCAGGATGGCTTTTTTTCTCCCTGTGGCTAATTAAAACCATCGTAAGCCCAAAAGCTAAACTCAAAGGCCTTTGAGAGCCTTCCATTGGGCTGCCCAAAGTCCTTAGAGGCTGGTTGGCCAATGTAATGAATAATAAAGGAAATTCATTGAACACCGTTAAGAAAAGATAATGCATGTTTTCCTTCAAACCATCAATGCTTTGCCCCGTCACTGATTTGCTTGTGCGACCCTTCTTTTATGTCACTCTGAATAAACTCCCCTTTGTCTTTCTGGGCCGAGGGAACCAAATGACTATAGAGGGACTCTTATTGGAGTCACACATTTCTTTCCTCCTTGTGACTGCCAAACCACCAAACTCTGGGCCATTTGCATGTGTCTTAATTTCTCCTCATAATGTGGCAAAACACGTTTTGGTGCTAGGTACGATACAACCCTTCCTGGAGTGAACCAAATGTGGAAAGTGCTGTAATTTGAGGGAGTTTTCAGAAAAGAGCCTCTTCTGGTACAGAAAGGCCCTTTTTCCTTTTTTCTTTCTCTTTTTTCATTTATGCCTCATCATATTTTGTCCACTTTCAGCTCATCTCAGGCTGAATTTTCCCTTTGATGTCTGCTTTATAGAATAGCCCTTGCCTGAGAAAAGAGAACAAAAGGCCAACTCTGTGGCTTTCAATTTGCAGCGTCCCCAGCCCTTTTATCCATCTCAGTGCTTCCCTGGTTGGGAACAAAACCCAAGCTCCAGGGTCAGAGCACATACGGAGGAAGAACCCTTTTTGAAAATCCAAGCACATGAGGAATTCATGTTTCATTGTCATCCTGCTTTGCAATTGGGTCAGGTACATATGTGGGGAGGAGAGAGTGGGCTTGGAAGAAAAAAAATTGGTTTGTTACCTCCACAAAAGCAGACATTCTGATTTTCCCCCAGAAGTTCCATTAAGAAGAAAGCAAGTTTTTAAGGGTTTAATTGCTAATTCAGGGTTGCTTTCAGCCATTAGGGCATCTGTATCAAGGCGCCTAGTTTGGGAGGTGGAACAGAAGTTTGACGTGCTAACATTTGGGAACTTTCTCAGACAGGATGTCTTTGTTATCTAATTTCTTTCCATTTTTCAGTACCTGCTTTCAGATTTCTACTTTTTCTCTTCTGCTTCCTTTGGTTTCAAATCACAGAAGACCTATCTCTTTGTGCTCCCAGCTTGTTGTCTTGGTTACAGGCTTCTTCAGCTTGCCTTCCTTTGAGGGGAATATACAGTGTAAAGAAGATTTTTTAAAATGGTGACTAAGGTCCCTTTCTCTAAGGTTACTGGGATATTAAGCAGTGGGTAGAACAGTGACTTGTAAACCCGGCTGTACATTGAAATCAGCTGGAGCACTTTAAAATACTGATGCCCAGGCCCCAGGCCCAACCAGTTGAGTAGGCATCTTGAGGAGTAGGCCCCAGGAATTTTTTTTTCTTTTATGAAACAATAAACTGCCTACGTGAGTCTAATGTGCATTCAGTATTTAGAACTGCTGGGTTTTACAGCAAAGCCAAACAACTTGGTTCTGGCTGTTTGAGCCAGGTGAAGGAAATAGAATCAACTTTTCTGTACCTTAGTTTTACCTGCCTAGAACAGAGAAGCACTAAAGCTTAAGAATTTAAAGAGGCTTACTGTGACCCCCCTGTCATTATTGTTGCATACAAAAGAGAGGTAACTTTCTTTCAAAAAAAAAAAAAGAAAGAAAGAAAGAAAGAAAGAAAGAAAATCCAGTTATTCAGCTGGCTTGGCTTCTGGGCTGTAACAGTGGCTTGAGGATTAAAAGAAATCTTTCCAGTTGCTTGAAGAAGGGTTATCTGTATGGAGGAACAGCAGCTTCATTCCCAGTGTGGTTTGGACAGCGCATTCCAGGTTTTCAAACCTGCCTCAGCTTCCAGCTGACTCCCTTCTCATGCCCCAGGTGGTTAGCAGAGTTAGGCACCATACTTATATTTTTAGTGAAATTGCCTTTTAATAGTATTTTCCTAACATAAAAGCAACAGATGTTCATGATTCAAGCCCGGAACATTATAGGAATATGACACATAGCAAACAAAAGTCCCCTAGAAGTCGGTCTCCCAGACATATCCATTGTAAGCATGTTTTTCCTTCTGATTTTTATCTCTGCATATGCTAAACATTTTATATTTTTATTCTAAAAATGGGATCATTCAACAATGTTTGTATTTTTTTTTCCTTAATATCTTAGCCATCAGTCCATGTTAGTACATATAAATCAACCTCATTCTTAAGGACCCCTGATTCTTAGGATTTTAGTCACACAAGGGCACAATCTCCTTCCGCTTCCCTCCAAGATTTTGCTTTCCTATGGAAAGGCTTGGGTTTTGTTTGTTTCTTTGGGCTTCAAATAGAGCAAATCCATTATATCTGGTATATTTATGTTTGGTTGTTATTTAAAAATTCATACAATTTTAAAGGAATAGAATAGCATATATGATTCCCTCCAACCTCTGACCCCTGATCCACTAGTTCTTCTCCCCAGAAACAAACTGCCATTACCAGATTCTTGGAAATCCTGAGAATTACTGCATGCATAAACAAGGCTTGAATATTCTAAAATGGCTTTTGCTTAGGTAACCAAGTCTATCCATATTGTATGGAGACATCTTGTTTCATTTATTCATTCAGCAAGTACCTGATGAGCATCTCATATGTTCCAGGCACTGTGTTAAGTTCTGGACCTACAGTGAGGACCATCACACAGCTCCTGCTCTCCAGAAGCTTATGGTCAGCAGGGAAGATCAACATTTAATGAAAACATAGCTAAATATAAATGAGAAATGGTGATATGTGTTGTGAAGGAAAAGAACAGCATTTACATGCATCTGTTTTTTTTTTTTTTTTTTTTTTTGAGACGGAGTCTTGCTCTGTCGCATAGGCTGGAGTGCAGTGGCGCCATCTTGGCTGACTGCACCTTCCGCCTTCCAGGTTCAAGCGATTCTCCTGCCTCAGCCTCCCGAGTAGGTGGGGCTACAGGCATGCACCACCATGCCCAGCTAATTTTTTTGTATTTTTAGTAGAGACGGGGTTTCACCATGTTGGCCAGGATGGTCTTGATCTTTTCACCTCATGATCTGCCCACCTTGGCCTCCCAAAGTGCTGGGATTACAGGCGTGAGCCACCATGCCTGGCCTACATGCATCATTTTTTAAAACAGTGATTAATGGAGTCCCCTTTCCCAATTTTTTAATACAAAGGTGTGGATGGGAGATTTGCAGCAAAGATAGGAAAGCAAAGATATAACCCACAATCTTTACTCTTGCCAACAGCTCTTACCTTCTTTCCCACCAAAATTTTCCTTTGATAAAATGTCTTGCTGAGAGTTAGGCTAACTCACCAACCAGCTTTAATTTTGGTTGACAGGGTGCCGTAGAAGACCTTTGCTAGCCAGACTGTGAGCTTCTTGCAGACAGGAATTATGTCCTGCATCACTGTGTGCTCAGAACCTCAGGAAGAACAAACTGATGTAGGCACCAGGAAATAGGTGCTTTTATTACATTCTCATTTTATGCCTTAGAAGCACTGCAAATGGTAGGTATTCTTATTTCTGTTTTAAACAATGAGAAAACTGAGGCTTAAGGAGGTGTAAAAAATACTTTCTTTTAAAAAAAATACACCTCTCCCCCACCATCATAAAAACCCCAACTTTGGCCATAGAGTTCATTGGTGGTGGAGCACTGCAAACATTAGCTGTCCCATGTGGCTTTGACTCTGACACAATTGGTCCTCTTGCTTCAGGGAACTGGATACCATCCATCCCTCCCATGGGTTGGCCTAGGCTCTGTTACTTCAGAGTTTTCTTGACGAGTTTCAAGGTAACCAGGTCATCCTGTTCTACATATTTTTCTGGGATTGAGGTCAAGGAGCAGCATGATCCTCTCTTAAATGGGTCAGAGGAGGAGGACTCCTGTGGCTCCCTGAAAGGTCAAGCCCCTTCATGCTAACTACACCGTCTTCCCTTCTCTTCCAGCTTATGTCCTGGGCTGGGCTCTGGACAGGGAGCAGAGGCAGATGTGCGCATGTGTTCTGGAGGACTTTTATATGTCCGATGGTGTGTTAGGCACTATGTGGAGTGGAGGCAGAGGGAACTCCAGAAAAGATAAATTATCTTATGGTGGAGACAAAAGGTAGTATTGGCAACAAACATGACCTCTGGAATCAGATAGTTTTGGGTTCCAGGCCTGACTCTTTGACTCACTTATTAGTTGTGCGACCTTAGGCAATTTATTTAACCTTTCTGTAGCTCAGTTTCCTTGTATGCAAACAGGAGGAAAATAATAATCTCTTACATAATAGGATTGCTATGAAGAATATATGAACTAATATGTGTAAGACATTGACTGTAGTGCCAGGCACCTAGTAAGCACTCAGTAAGGAATAACTACTGCCATTATTGTTGTTACTAACAACAGTATGAGACTAATAAGTGATTAGTGTATAAGTACCAACAAATACCAATGGAGTTCAGAAAAAGAATGCTTAATTTTTGTGACTTATCCAGGAAATCTCTAGAGGAGACAGAAGAAGTGGAATGAAATATTCCAGGTGGAGCAAATATGAAAGTGGGAGGCTGAACTGAACTGGAGTGGGGAACAAAAAGAAGAAACAAACGCAACATCTGGCACCCTTGAGCTCTACCACCAGCTCACCTGTTGTCACTACCAATATGTCCAGTCCTTTATGGCTCTCCATTTTGGAGTGCCCTGAATTACTGGCTGCAGTTTTGACTTGGCCAGCTAGTTGGCCAGCTGCTCTGACTGAGCTTGAGGGTGTCTGTGCCTTGGTGGAGTTGACACGGGTCCTAACTCTGCAACTTGGTTTGTAGGTTCAAAGCCTAATTTTTATCAGCTTACCCAGGGCTGTTGGTTTCTAGTGGATTGGGTCACACTCCCCAACATTACAAAACACTTCTTAATAAATCACCAGGCTGATAAGTCGATTGATGATGAGAGAGAGACCTTTATAGAGATGAGAACACTTGTGTGTATCAGCCCTTTCTGATATCAAGGTACCTGAAGCCAAATTAAACAGGGACTGTTTTATAACCTAAAATCAGAACCTAATGGAGTTGAAAAGTCTCATGAGCGAGACCATATAGGCTTTGGTAGTCCATGGAAAACTGTACCTTTTTGCATGTCTGTCATAGCTTTGTAGTGTGACCAGAATGTGTGTCCTGTTCTCTCTCCACTGCTGGAGAAACATCAGTAACAATTTTTCTCTTGGATGTTCCTGTTTTCAATTCCATGCAAATGCTGTTTGTGTGCTATGGCCATGCTATTCTCTTGAATTTCTTTTTTCTTGACAAGATTTTTGAGTTGCCTACTTCTCAGCGACAACATAGTGATTCTCTCATTGAGTGTTCTTTTTGGCTTTGTTCTCAAACACTAGGAATGTTTCCAAGCAGGGCCGCCACGAATGGCTATGCACTGCACAACCCTAGGAGAGGGTGCCATTCACATAGACTATAATTGAATGGCGCCACTAGGGTTGTGCAGTGCACAACCTACACAACTGTACTCGGCGGCCCTGGCATAATGTAATGTCAGTACTTTCTTCATCAAGGTACCAGTTTGGGATTGTCCTCAGGGTAAGGGGGCTGAAGCAGTGAGCTGCTGCTGTGACCAGGAAAGGAAGAAAGAAGTAAAGTTGTGGCTTTGGGAGAATTATCTTCTCTGTAAATGAGAGCCATCATATAGGAGAACTACGTACCTTCGTTCTTTCAGTAAATAGTTTTTTAAGTGCCTACTATGTGAGGGTTGAAGAACAGGGAGGGGTTTGCATAGGAGGGAGCATTTGAACTGGGCTTTGTGAAAGAAGTAGAATATTAACATGTGAAGATGAGTCAGGAGGAGAGAATCTCAGGGGGAAGGAATAGCGAGAAGAAAGACAGATGGGAGACCACAAGGGATATATGGGTAATGGTGCATAATTCATCTTGGTTGGATAGAAAAGCATGTAAAAGGGAGTAGTGAGCAATGATGCTGGTCGGGGGTCAAATGATGATGCAGGAGGGGAGGGAGTTGAATGCCCAATTAAGGAATTTGGACTTTTATTTATCAAGCAATAAGGAGCTATCCAAAGTTTGTTTTTTAAACAGCTTTATTGGGTTATAATCATATACCATATAATTCATTCATTTAAAGTGTACAATTGAATGTTTTTAGTATATTCACATATATGTGCAACCACCACCACAGTCAAATTTAGAACATTTTCATCATCCAAAAAATAACTCCATACGATTTAGCTCACCCCCCTCCCTACCTTTCCCCCACTCACCAGCCCTAAGCAATTGTTAATCTACTTTCTGTTTCTATAGATTTTATCTATTCTGGACATTTCATAGAAATTGAGTAATTATAATATGTGACCTTTTTCCACTGGCTTCTTTCACTTAGTATGTTTTCGAGATTCATCTGTGTTTAGCATGTATCAGTACTTCACTTATTTTTATGGCCAATTAATATTCCATTTTAAGGATATGCCACATTTTATGTATCCATTTGTCTGTTGGTGAGCATTTGGGTTGTTTCTGCCTTTTGGCTATTACAGATAATACTTCTGTGAACATCTGTAAGTTTTCAGGTGCACATAGGTTTTTATTTCCCTTGGACATAGGTTTTCATTTCCCCCAGGTATAGGAGTGGAATTGCTGAGTCATATGATAACTCTATGTTTAACCTCTCAAGGAGCTGCCAGACTGTTTCTCTAAAATGGCAGCATCATTTTACATCCCTACCGACAGTATAAAAGGGTTCCAATTTCTCCACATCCTCATGCACACTTGTGTTTGCCTTTTATATTTTGGCCATGCTAGTGGGTATGAAGTGTCATCTCATTGTGGATTTGATTTGCATTTCCCTGATGACTAATGATGTTGAACATCTTTTCATGTGCATGTTGAGTACCCGTGTGTTTTCTTTGGAGAGATGTCTGTTCAAGGTTATTTATCTTTTTATTGTTGAGTTTTTTTAATACTTTAGCTATTTTTAATGTATATATTTAAGGTTTTCAACTTAATGATTATATATATATATGGAAATCACCACAATCAAGATAACACATGCATTACATCATAGAGTTATCATTTATGTGTGTATGCGTGTGTGTGTGTGTTGGAAATACTTAGGATCTATTCTTATAGCAAATTTTAAGTATACAGTACAGTATTTTCACCTATAGTCGCCATGCTGTACATTAGATATCCAGGACTTACTTGTCCTGGAAAACTAAAACTTTGTACTTTTTGACTAACATCTTACTTTCCCAGCACCAGCCCCAGCTAACCATCATTTTATACTCAGCTTCTATGAGTTAGACTAATTTACATTTCATATTTATGTGACATCATAAGATATTTTTCTTTCTGGCTCATTTCACTTAACATAATGTCCTTTGGGTCCTTCTGTGTTACTGCAAATGATAGGATATCCTTCTTTTTAAAGGCTGGATAATATACCACATTTTCTTTATTCATGCATCCATCGATGAACATTTATCTTGTTTCTATATCTTTGCTATTGTGAATAACGGTGCAAGGAATATAGGAGTGCAGATATCCCTTTGAGATCTTGATTTCAACTGTTGGATAAGTATTCCAGAAGTGGGATTGCTGTGTCATAGAATAGGTCTTTTTTTTTTTTTTTTTTTGAAACTATACTATTTTTGATAATGGCTCTATTGATCTCCATCAGCAGTTTTCCAGGGTTCTGTTTTCTCCACACCCTTCCCAATATTGCCATCTTTTGCATTTTTTATAATAGCCATTCTGACAAGGGTGACATGAGATCTCACTGTGGTTTTCATTTGCATATCCCCAATGATTAGTGATGTTGAGCACCTTTTCATATACCTGTTGTCCATTTGTATGCCTTCTTTGGAAAAATGTCTATTCAGATCCTTTGCCCATTTTAAAATTGGGTTATTTGTATTTCTGCTATTGAGTTTATGAGTTCTTTACATATTTTAAATATTGACATCAAATTTGTGGTTTGCAAATATTTGCTATATAGCTTTTTAGGTTGATGTAGTCCTAATTGTTTTTGTTTGTTTGTTTTTTACTTTTCTTGCACGTGCTTTTGATGTCATATTCAAAAAATCATTGCCAAGACCAATTTCAAGAAGTTTTTCCTATGTTTTCTTCTAGGAGTTTTATGGTTTCAGATGTTACATTTAAGTCTTAAGCCCATTTTGAGTTGGTTTTTGTGTGTGGTGTAAGATAAGAGTCTGATTTCATTACTTTGCGTGTGGATATCCAGTTACCCCAACATCATTTGTTCAAGCAAGCATCTTTTCCCCCATTGTGTATTTTTGACCCTCTAAGGTTCTTTATTCCTTTTCATCCTTTTTTTTCTTTTTCTCTTCTGATGAGGTAATTTTAAATAACTGTTCTTCAAATTTGCTGGTTCTTTCTTCTGCTTGATAAATCTCCTGTTTTTAGTTGAGTCATTGTATTCCTCAGCTCCAGAATTTGTTTGGCTGTTGTTTACAGTTTCTATCTTTTTATTTAACTTTTCATTTTGATCATACATTGTTTTCCTGATTTCATTGAGTTGTCCATCTGTTAATTTTCTTTTTTATTGTTGAGTCTTAAGAGCTATTTATTCTGAATACTAGACTCCTATTAGATACATGATTTGCAGATTTTTTCTCCCATTCTTTGGGTCCCCTCCCCTCCCCTCCCCTTTCTTTCTTTTTTTTTTTTTTGAGACAGAGTCTCACTCTGATGCCCAGGCTGGAGTGTGCAGTGGTGTGATCTCAGCTCACTGCAACCTCTGCCTCCCTGGTTCAAGCACTTCTCCTGCCTCAGCAGGAGAAGTAATCCCAAGTAGCTGGGATTACAGGCATGTGATGTGCCACAACGCCTGGCTAATTTTTTTTTTTTTTAATTTTTAGTAGAGACAGAGTTTTGCTGTGTGGGCCAGGCTGGTCTCAAACTCCTGACCTCAAGTGATCTGCCTGCCTCGGCCTCCCAAAGTGCTGGGATTACAGGTGTGAGCCACCATGCTCAGTCTGGGATGTCTTTTCACTTTCTTAATAGTGTCATTTGAAGCATGAAATATTTTAATTTTGGTGAAGTACAGTATATTTATTTTTTCTTTTGTTGCTTGTGCTTTTGGTTACATCTTAGAGTCTGTTACCAAATCCTAGGTCATGACATGTATCCCTATGCTTTCTTTTACAAGTTTTATAGTTTTTGCTCTTACAGTTAGGTCTTTGATTTTGAGTGAATTTTTGTATATGGGTTATGAGGTAGGGGTCCAACTTAATTCTTTTGCCTGTGGATAACCAGTTGTCCCAGCATCATTTGTTGAAGAGACTGTTCTTTCTACCATTGGATGGTCTTGATACCTTAGTCAAAAATCACTTCTGAGGATTTATTTCAGTACTCTCAATTCTATTCTGTTGGTCTCTGTGTCTTTCCTTAGGTTAGTACCACACTGTCTTTGTTACTGTTGCTTTGCCATAAGTTGAAATCAGGCTGTGTAAGTCCTCCCACTTTTTCTTTTCAAGGTTGGTTTGGCTGTTTGGGGTCCCTTGCATTTCCATATGAATTTTAAAATCAGCGTGTCAGTTTCTACAAAAAAAAATGTCAGCTGGGATTCTGATACGTACTGTGATGAATCTGTCATTTAAAACTTTCAAGGAGGAGTGTAACAGGATCAGAATGCTATTTTAAGAATAGGAACCTGACAATACTATATAAAATTAGAGCAAGCTTGTCCAGCCTGTGGACTGCATGTAGCCCAAGACAGCTTTGAATGCAGCCCAACACAAATTCATAAATTTTCTTAAAACATTATGAGATTTTTTTGCAATTATTTTAAAAAGATCATCAGCTATCATTAGTGTTAGTGTATTTTATGTGTAGACCGAGACAATTCTTCTTCCAGTGTGGCTCAGGGAAGCCAAAAGATTGGACACCCGTGAATTAGAGTGATGAAGGAAAAACACTGGATACTTGGAGATCAGATAGGAAACTGCTGTAGTAGTTTAAGAAAATGATAGGGACCAAACTAGGAAAAGATAGTGAGGGTGGATTTCAGATGTATTGAAAAGGTTGGGCTGGGTGCAGTGGCTCACACTAGTAATCTTAGTGCTTTGGGAGGCTGAGGTGGGAGGATCACTTGAAGCCAGGAGCTTGAGACCAATCTGGGTAACAAAATGAGACCCCATATGTACAAAAAATAAAAAATAAAAATAGCTAGGTGTGGTGGCACATGCCTGTAGTCCTAACTACTCAGGAGGCTGAGGTGAGAGGATTGCTTGAGCCTAGGAGTTTGAGGCTGCAGTGAGCCATGATCACACCAATGCACTCCAGACTGGGTGACAAACCAAGACCCTGTCTGAAAAAAAAAAAAAAAAAAGAAAAGAAAAAGAAAAGGTCTAAGTGACAAGACAGGATTTGGGGACTGAATACATGTGGGGCTGAGAAAGGTGGGGGATCAGGGGTAACTCTGAGGTGTGAAGAGAGGCTAATGGATTAGATTATAGTACCTTTTAAAACTTTGTATTATTTTGAAATGACTTTTGACTTACAGAAGAGTTGTAAAGATATTACAGAGAATTCCTGTATATCCTTCACCCAGCTTCCCCTAATGTTAACATTTTACATAACTATGGTAAAATTATTAAAACTGAAAAATTAGCATTTATACAATGCAATATGAACTTAACTACAGTCTTTATTTGGGTTTTACCAGTTTTTTTCACAAATGTCCCTTTTCTGTTGCAGGATCTATTTAGGATCCTTAATTGCATTTAGATATGATCTCTCTTTAGTCTTCTCTAATCTGTGGTAGTTCCTTAGTCTTTGCCTTTCACAACCTTGACTATTTTGAAGAGTACTGTTCAGTTTACTCTGTAGAATGCCCCTGATTTGGGTTTATCTGATGTTTTTTCATGATTCCATTGAGATTATACAATTTGGGCATCCAATAAGGACGATGCTATCAATAGCTCATACTTATTTTATTCCCTACAGTGTGCCAGGCATTTGAACTAGGTACCTCAAGCATTTAAATTTTACAGTTACCCTATGAAATAATACTATTGTAATCCTCACTTGACAGATAAGGGAACTGAGCCTAAAGGGTTAAGTATTCTCTGTAGGCAGCTGGACAAGGGAAGTTGAGTAATATGTCAGAATGTTGTTATTGCAAACATGGAATTAAAACAAGTGAAGTTAGAGGAATTGAAAATTTAATATGATTTGTTGCTGAATTGGCTCATAGTAGGGATGAATTTTCTATTGAAATCAGGATAATTATAGCTATTATGTATTGAGTGCTAGCTATGTGCTAGGCATTGTGCCAAATGCTTTTCTTGCTTTGTTTCATTTTGTCCTCTCCCAAACCTTGTGAGACATAGATACTATTTTTGTCTCTATTTTACAGATGAAAATTCCTCTAATCTCTTGCCCAAGGCCAGAGTGCTGGTGAGTGGCAGAGCCACCATGTGGATCCAAGTTTGTCTTAACTCTAAAGCCTGTATTCTTTAACCACTTGGCAATGCTAACTGTCCTCCTTCCATCTTCTTAGTAGGGATGAATTTGCCAATGGGACTAGAAAACATGATATTTATGGGCTTGGATGTAGACACTGCTTGGTTGTGGACATTACCAAATACATGTTTGCAACTCTCCTTATTTTATACCTCAGTGGTTGGTCAACCCCATTCTTTCTTTGGGTATATTTCAAGCAGGTTACAATCTGGTCTTTCAAGTCTGGGATTTTAACGCTTAACTCTTAGTAGGCACTCTTATTTCCCTTTTATTCAAATTCTTGAGGGAAGCTTCTTTATAAACTCCTTAGACTGACAAAAATAGTAAAATCTCAGAAATAGGCAAATCAAGGGAGATAATGAAATCACCAGAATGGGCGTTTAACCGTGGAGTGTAAGGGAAGCTTTCCTGGAGAAAATAGTTTAATTTTGCATTTGAAGGGTAGATAAGAGCCACAAGAGGAAAGTTGGAAAAACCATCTGGAAGAGGGAATAGGATTAGCAAAGGCACAATTTCTTGATGTTAGAGATTTAAATTTAAAAAATAAAATTATGAAAATGTTAAGAAAACAATAGGTGACTCTGTAATCCCACTGTTATAAAAGATTTTCAAAGCGTGATATCAAAGACAGAAGCCATAAAGGGAATGACAAATACATCTGATTACATAAAGATTTAAAAAGCTTCCATAAATAAAAACCTATCATAAACAGAGCTGCAACAATGACAGCCTGGGAAAATTTTTTGCAATAAATTTCAGTCTATATTAGCTGTCATTAATATATAAATAGCTCTTTACAACTCAGTTGAAAAGAACACACCAGCTGAAAAACAGTCAAAGTGCACAGATGGTCACATCCCAAAAGAAGAAATATGGCTGGCCAATATACCTGTTAGAAAATAGTTTAACATTTCTGGTAATCTGAGGCATGCAAATTGTGTGTGTGTGTGTGTTTTGCCTGTTAAACACGTGATAATTACCAAATGATAATGACCTGTTTGTCAGGTTGCAGCAGAAAACAGATCCTTGTATATTGCTGGAGGGAATAGCAATTTAAATAATTTTTCTGGAGGGCAGTTTAGCATTATGGGTCAAAAGCCTTCAAATGGATATTCCCTTTGAAGATCTAGACTGTCTTCTATCAATGTGGGCTAAGGAAATAGTAAAGGAACTGAAAATTTAGATGTAATTTACATGTGCAACCAGAGGATATTGGTTGAGTAAATTATTGCATATCCATATAATTGAATAAAATGAAGGTATTGGAAAATGAGATAGTAGAAGTGTAGTAATTGACACAAATACGTTCAGGGTACAGCTTGACATAACGCGCAAGGCTGTCATGCTGGAGAGGTAGGCAGGATCTAGAGCAAAGAAGGCCTTGTCCGCCATCCGAAGAACCTTGAGCTTTTTTGGTAGGTAGTGGCAAGCCATGGAAGGATTTAAAATGGCAGATCAGAGGGGCATTTTAGATAGATCCCTCTTGTAGCAGTGTGCCTGGAGGCAGGAGACCAGTAAGGAAATTATTGCAGTGGTCCTGAAAGAGATGATGAGGGCCCAAGGGTATGAAGTAGATGGAGTCATAGGACCAACTTTGGGCAGCCCAGAGAGTTAATCTTCCTTATGGTGGGTAACAGTCATAAGCACTTGGCCTCAGCGATCCCCAGATAGCTATGTGCCATCCCAGGAGGTGCTGACAGGAGAACTGGAGCTTGGGGAGATTGTGTGCTAGGCCAAACACCACTCTCCTGTACCTCTCTCACTCTGTTTCCCTTTCATTTAGTTTGCCCATATCCCTTCATTGCTTACCCTGGCTAGCCTCTCATTTAGGATGGCCTGTGGTCACTGGCCCTCCTTCCCAATTACATTTCTCATAGTACTAACACTTGCTCCAGTGTACAAAAGCTATCTTCTTTAAGTGCTATGAAAATGAGGATTGTTGAATGTAACACTGGGGTGGAGCAGAAGTGGATGGGAGGCTGAACAATGGTGGCAGTGAACTTGGGGCTGATATGACTGGGGGAACAGGAATGGGAAGCAGGCCAGGTGTTGGCTGAGAGGTTCGGTAGAGAAGGTGGGAACCTGGAACCAGAGAGGTTCGCAGGTAGAGGATGAACTGGGATAACAGCTGATGCCTAGATTGGATGCTTAGGAAAGAACTAAAGGTTAGTACAGGGATCTTTCCTGAGGAAGCTGAGAGAGTGTGTGGTTTTGAATGGAACCGTGGATTTTTTCTGGGAAAACCAGCCAAAAAAGACCTCAGTTTTATAAGGATTGCAAGTGCCCACCAGACCTGGGGATGAGGCAGGTGGGAGCTATAATGAACCTGTCTTTGGGACTCTGAAACTCATCTATGTAAATGCAATTTGCTGTCCAGTTGAGTTTGTGTTTTGAGATGTCTCACACTGTAGAGAGTAGATCTTATGAGCTGGCTGATGGCACAGGTGTGGGGCTGTTGGGGTGACTCCCTGTGTGCCATGTGGTCAAGGGCCAGGGCTAGAGTCTAAAGAAAAGGAGCTCTCATGAGCCCTGGTATGTGTCAGGTGTGAAGTGGAAAGTGCATTGAACTGGGAGTTAAGGGACCTGGGCTCTCATCAGAAAGCTTGTCAGAACCTTTTCCCCTCAGTTTCCTCATCTCTGAAATGGGGTTTAATAACATGGTTCTGCCTGCCTCCCAGGTGATGGGAAAGTGGAAGTGCTCTGTAGCACTTCTCTATATGCTACCTGCTCATGCCTTTTGTTTCAGGTGCTGAGCTGGGCAGATGTCAGCATGAATGCAAAGTGCCAAGTTGGTACTGGGGTATGCTCAGATATATTCTCATCTTTGTACCATCCTTGTTTGAACTTCTAAGTCTCATCTCTTCCTATTCTATTTGCAGCCAAAGTGATAGTTTAGCTTTTCACCTCCTAGTCTAAAAATGCATGCCACCAAAATTTTCAGGCAGTTGGAAGCCAAGCAAAGAAGAAAGCAAGGATATTCAGACCAAGGCTGGGGGCCCTTGCACCTCTGAATTAAAATGTTAGTTCCATGTGGCTCTGTTGGCTAATGTTGAATATGAATGTGACTCTAGCATGACAGGGTGAAGAGGTTCAGTATCAGAAATCTGAGAAGTTGCTAAAGGAGGCCATGAGTTTTCTGGAAATGCAATATGAATAATCAGGAATCCCCAGATAACTGTGTACCATCATAGGAGGTGGAATGTAATGTAATAAATAATCTTTCAATCAGATACATTTAGTTATATCAAGTCAGCAGATTTGAAAAAGGACCCTAGAGGCCAGGCACAGTGATAAACCTGTAATCCCAGCACTTTGGTAGGCTGAGGCAGGAGGATTGCTTGAGGACAGGAGTTCGAGACCAGCCAGGGCAACATAGTGAGACTCTGTCTCCACAAAAAAATAAAAATAAAAATAAAAAATAAAAAAATTAGCCAGATATGGTGGTGCACACCTGTAGTCCCAGCTACTTGAGAGGCTGAGGTAGGAGAATTGCTTCAGCCCAGGAGTTGGAGGGTACAGTGAGCTATGATTGCACCACTGCACTCCAGCCTGGATAACAGAGTGAGACTTTCTCAAAAAAAAAAAAAAAAAAAAAAAAAGATACCTTCTATGCTGCTATGCTGATGATAGAAATAGGCAAGACAGAAAAGATGAAACGACTAAAGTTAGAACCATGACTGATGGAGGATAACAGGACAACCAACTGGGTTGAAACTGGAGGCTTGTTCTCTTTAATAGTTTTCTGGGCTTCTAGCCTAGGGAAATTGTGGATCAGAACCAGCCAAATGGACTTATAAGGGAAATTTGTCCCCGAAAATCAGCTTACCTCCTCTTGTCTGTGGGTATAGAAAAGTAAGATTTAACTGTGGTGCCCAGTGTTGCATTTTTACATCTCTGTTTAGCATGTTGGAAGTGTCTTGGGTATTCCAGAAGCTCAGGAAGGCTGCTGGCATGACTCTGGTGACTCCAGAAGTATTGAGGACCTTTCTAAGGTGGTTGGGGCCCCTTCCTCTTCTCTGTGTACTGTAGCTTCTGAGTGTAGCCTTTGATGGGCCTGATGCTGGGTAACTATGTGCAGCCTCCAACTTGGTCCCTTACCTAAGGTGAGTAACTTTACTGCTGGATCAAGGGTAAAAAATATTAGCTTTGTTTATTTCTTGGACTGCTCCTGAGGGGTGGGATGGGGAGTGGGGATAAGTCGATGTTTGGATAATTGAAATTTCAAGTCTGTAATCCTTATCCAAAACCATTAAGATCAGATATATTTCAGAAATCAGAATTTTTTTGGATTTCAGAGAGGCCGTACAGTGCATGTAGAGTCTTTTACATACACTCCCAGTGGGGTTTGAGGCAGTACCCCGCAATTAAATACATTATTATTTTTATGGGAAACATATGAATATTCACCGTAAGTGGAAGAAATAAAGTCTATAAGTAGCCTAACCTCAATTCAAGTCGTATTTTGCTGTAACATTAGCTTTGAAGAAAACAAACTTTCAGTTTTTAGAGCTTTTTGGATTTTGGGATTGCCAACAAAAGATTGTGGACCTGTAATTATCATCGGCTTTGTATGTTTAATGAAATTGATCAAGGGAAAAGGCACATTCTTGACAGATATTTCCTTTGATGAGGTATCATGCAGGTGATGGACTCCTGACTGTGTTCTTTTTAAGACCCTTTCTCATTTTCATTCTTCTTCCTCTTCTTATTGGCAGGGATTCATGCAGGTGTCTTTCCTTATAGTGATTTTTCTTATAATACCCTTTTCTTCTAAATATGGACTCCGAGAGAACAGAAGAACCACATACTAAAGAACATACAAGTGATAAAGCCAACAAGTCCATAATGCAGATATCCTATATTAATAAGAGCTCTCAACAATATAGGGACACATGTCAACGATTTCTAAACCACACCATTAAGTCACTACAGGTGAAGAAACTCTACAAACATGAGTTTCATTCCTTTGTCAATCCTCAGTTCTGCTGAATGTTTTTGACTCCTGTAGTAGTTCAGTCCAAGGGCAAAAATTCAGCATCTCAGGCTACCAGGAGTGATTGAATCTCCTGGGACATTTGTGAAACATGAGGATTTCTGGAGTCCCATACTTGGGGAATCAGAATTCTTAATGGGGGAACCCAGGAATTTGTATGTTTTACAAGCTCTGCATAGGACTTTTTTGTTCCTCTTGATGTTTGAGCACCACTGCATGGGGGAAGGTCAAACTGCCACAGCTGCAGGTTTCCAAAGGCTGTAATCTGGGCCCATGCCACACCAGGTATCAGGGAACTGATTTGTCTGTTAGGACAAGGTTCTTTTTGTTTGGTTTTACCTGGGAGGAGAATGGAAGAGTAAAACCACCTAGACGTGCTTAGAAACAAAAGAATCAATCAAAGGGAGGCTTGGAACCTGCGGGTGGCAGTTTGATAGGGTTGCCAGCTAAAATAAATACAGGACATATTTATACTAAAACTATTCATTGTTTATCTGCAATTCGAATGTAACTGGGCATCCTGTATTTTTATTTGCTAAATTTGGCAATGTTGAGTATTGATAAACCCACCTTCTCCCCTGGGAGGCAAACCAGATGGCATGGTGTGTGCGTGTTCCATGCTCAGAATCTATTTTTACCTGCCCTGGGTTAAATTTAAGACTGACTACTTGTGTCGTATTGAAACTGAAGCATTGAAATATTGAGTCTTCTCACCCTCCTTCTCCCTTTCTCATGTGTGCGCACACACACACACACACACACACACGCATGCATGCATGCAAGCACAAACATGTACCTGTTGCCTTTAAAAATTTTTATATTACATTATTGTGTTAGAGTTTTGGTTATTTTTTGTTATTGTTAAAGTAACATTGTCTCACTCTGTCTGGCATTTTTTCTTGCTAACCATTCTTAATTCTTCTTCAATTGCAGATCTTTCTCCTGGCCTGCCCTCCATGTCGGGGAGCTATCGTCGTCTTCAAGTAAGAGAAAATTGGCTTTTGCTCTGTTGCTCTTCAGAGTATTTTTGTCTGTTTGCTAACAAGACTGATAACACATTGCTGTGAACACCTTGGGATTGTACCATTTTGTCTTTGCACTTCCCAAAGGGATGAAGGTCTGTGAGGGCCTACTGAAACAGGGAAATATTGTTTGTGAAGACCTGGTTTTTGTCAAGCCGTCAAATCCTTTTTAGCAAATCCTTCCAGTAGGGGATGTATGGCCAAGGCATGCTCCCTTGGAAGGTTGCTGCCCTGCTAAAATTTCTCTTGAGAGCATGCTAGGGGCCAGACAGCTTCCTTTCTCTCAAGAATCTTTGCTTTGTGAGCCTACTGCTCCACTGAGCATATGGTTCTTCACATTGAAGGGCATTGTTCTTATGTTTTTATGGGGTTTTCCCCCCTAAAGTGCAAATTAAAGTGAGGAGAGGAAAATGTCCACTATTACAAGTTCAGACTTTCATAAAAATAGCAAGCATCAAATCTATTAAAGTATATTGCAGGCAAATAGTGTTTCTCTGAAGGCAGGTTTATTTAAATGAAATTATCAAGAGTCCTGGAACCCTCATTTTAACCGTGAGTTGTGACCACCTCACTTATCAAACCTTTTATTAGAGTTGCTAATGAGAAGCCAAATCGACTGAATTAATTTCATCTCTTTTCTCCTTCCCTGGCCCCGATTCTGGAGATGTTCCTGAGCAGTGAAATGGCTGCAAGCCAGAGGAAGGGAACAGGAAATAAAGAGCCCAGCAGATTCTTGGATAATTGAGAATGGTGTAAATGGCTTTCTGATTTACTTAAGTCATTAAAGTGTTAGGTAGGGGAAAAAGGACCCCATTTGCTGCTTCAAATAGCTCCCTGAAATAGCCACTTAGTCTCTTGCCTTAGGTGAGTAACTTTCAGCTGCGTGAGGGATAATGGATCCTGATTTCATGTATTTCTTACTTGAACAGCTCCTAAAGGAAAGGGGTATTTAACCCTGTTTTCCTTCCTTGATTTTCCAAAATGAGCTCAATTATTCAGTGTAATGTTTTAAAAGTAACATTTATTGGTTCTATTTCATTATGAAAGTAACAATTCTCATTATGGAAAACACAGGGACACATAAGGAAGAAACATCATCCATCCCAAATCCAAGCACCAAGAGATAATTTTGCTTATTACCTTTCTTTTCTTAAGAAGCAGAGATCATATTGTATATTGAGGTGTTTACTGTATCTTTTCTAAATTTAACTTGGTTTATTGATACATTCATATAGGTGTGTAAATCATAAATATGATTGCTGGATTTTTTTTTGTAGTGGTCCTTTCTTTTCCCTTTTTTTCTTCAGCTCCTAGTTCTACCTTTCCACACTATCCCTTTGTATTACCAAAACAGTATGTATCTTTTCACATTTTACTCCATGTGCATAGATATACACATGCATACACACATACACACACAAGTTTTGGAATGTTTTGTTGTTGTTCATTGTTTGTTTTACAGAAATAGAATATTATATATACTTTAATATATCTTTTTCATTCTACAATATCTCATAGAAATCTATCACAGTCTATTGATGTAGCTCTTATTCTTTTATAATGTTGTAAAATATTCCATGAATGCACAATAAGTTATTCAGCCATTCCCCTATTAATGAACATTTACTTTCTTTGCACATTTCTGCCACTACATTCAATGCTTAAATCAACATGATTTTGTATATACCCTTATATACTGTTGCTTTCAGTTTAGATATAGATGTAGGTAGAGGTATATAGGTATATGGGAATGTTTAAATATATATTTATGTTAATAGATATCGCCATATTGATTTATAAAAACAGGCTGTTATGCTACACTTTTTGCTTTTGTATGTAATATGTGAGATTATTATTTTCTTCTTATCCCTATCAGCAACAGGTGTTAATGGTTCTTTTGTAATTTTGACAACCTAATGGATGCAGTTTCTTGGCTACTAGTGAGTTTCAGTATTATCTCAATTTTTTGTCCAATTAAATTTGTTCCTCGAGTTGTCTATTCATATTATCTGCACATTTTCCTATGGGTTGTTTATATTTTTCTAATTTCTAAGACCTCTTTGTATATTTTAGATTTTAGCCCTTTGTCTATCATCATTGTTACAGATACCTTTCCCAAATATGTTTATATTGACTTTTTTTTTTTTTTTTAATTATTTTTTTAGTAGAGATGGGGTTTCACCATGTTGGCCAGGCTGGTCTCGAACTACTGACCTCAAGTCATCTGCCCGCCTCGGCCTCCCAAAGTGCTGGGATTACAGATGTGAGCCACTGCGCCCAGCCTATACTGACTTTGTTGATGGAATATATTTCCATATAATTGTTTGCATTTTTATATCCAAATATGACTCTTTTCTTATATAGCATCTGAATTTCAAGTCTTGGTTAAGATAGTTTTCTTGAAGATAGGTAGCCAGTTGTATTGGAATAATATATTAAATGATCCCTATTTTACCCTGTGATCTCTTTGCAGCTATTAAATGTTTTATATGCTAGGATCTACTTATGGATTCTCTATTCTGTTTCTTCTTTTTGTCTATTTGTGTACCCAAATCTCATATATTTGATTACATTAGGCTTTAAAAAATATTTTTCTGGGGCCGGGCACGGTGGCTCACGCCTGTAATCCCAGCACTTTGGGAGGCTGAGGCGGGTGGATCACTTGAGGTCAGGAGTTCGAGACTAGCCTGGCTAACATAGTGAAACCGCATCTCTACTAAAAATACAAAAATTAGCCAGGCATGGTGGCACATGCCTGTAATCCCAGCTACTCAGGAAGCTGAGGCAGGAGAATCACTTGAACCCAGGAGGCGGATGTTGCAGTGAGCCAGGACTGTGCCACTGCACTGCAGCCTGGGGAACAGAGTGAGACTCTGTCTCAAAAAAAACATAAAAAAAATTCTTGGCTATTTGTTGTCACTTGTTCGTACACACAAATTTTAAGATCACTTATATTCACCTACCTCTCTCAAATACTAGTGGAATTCTAATTAGAATTGCCTTAAGTATATATTTCAGTTTTTAAATTATATGGCTCCTTTTATCTAAGAAATGGTATTTCTTTCCATCTGTTCACGTCTTATTGTTTCAGTTAGATTTATCTTTTTCTTCATATCTGCTCTATGCCTTTCTTGATGCATTTATTCCTCAAGAATTAACAGCTTTTCTGCCAGGTGCAGTGACTCACGCCTGTAATCCTAGCACTTTGGGATGCTAAGGTGGGCATACTGCTTGAGCTCAGGAGTTTGAGACCATCATGGACAACATGATGAAACCTCGTCTCTAACCCCCCACCAAAAAAAAGAATTATAAAAAGAATAGAAAAAGAATTAATAGCATTCCCCCTCTCCCCCAACCACGCCGTAATGAGTGGAATATTTTTCCCCTTTCTATTCCTAAGTGCTTTTTGCTAGAATAGGAAAAGATTGTTGATTTTTAAAAATATCTTATATCTGGCTATCTTACCGAATTCTCTTGTTCTTGTAAATTTTATTTTAGTTTTATCTCTTCTTTTCCTTAGTTATACCAGTTATTTCATTTTCTTGTTGCATTTGCTAGAAATTCAGAGTTAAATAAAAATTGTGCTGACGGGCTACTCTTGCCTAAAACTGATTTTAAATGGAAATATTTTCTGTACTCCTCCATATTTGCTGTTGGTGTTTGTTAATAGTCTATTATACTTAAGTAGTTTTTACATTTATGTAGAGATTTTTAAATATTTATTTATTTATTTATTTATTTATTTATTTATTTAGACAGTGTCTCACTTTGTTGCTAGGATGGTCTTGATCTCCTGACTTGAAGCAATTCTCCTGCCTCGGCCTCCCAAAGAGCTGGGATTACAGGTGTGAGCCACTGTGCCCAGCCAAGATTTTTTAAAAGAAGGAATGGTAGCTGTATTTTATCTAATGCTTTTTCTACATCTATTGGTCATGTGGGATTTTTTCATTTAAATTTTTGATATAATAAATTACATTGATAGATTTTCTGGTTTTGAACTACTCTTACATTATTGAAATACACCCGCTGATCATAGTATATTATTATTTTGATACATTGCTGGGTTCTATTTGTCAATATTTTATTTAGAATCTTGCTTCAATATTCCCGAGATTAGAGTCATGTTTTTCTTAGTGTTTTTTTCTTCAAGTTTAAGGATTGAGGCCAGGTGTGGTGGCTCATGCGTATAATCCCAACACTTTGGGAGGCTGAGGTAGAAGGATTGCTTGAGGCCAGGAATTCGGGACCAGCCTGGACAACATACCAGGACTTTGTCTCTACAAAAAAAAAAAAAAAAAAAAAAATTAAAATTAAAATTAGCAGGGCATGGTGTTGTGTGCCTGTAGTCCCAGCTACTTGAGAGGTTGAGGCAGGAGGATCACTTGAGCCCAGGAGTTCGAGGCTGCAGTGAACTATGATTGTGCTGCTGAACTCCAGCTTGGGCTACAGAGCAAGACTCCATCTTTTAAAAAAAACAAGTTTAAGGATTAAAGTTATGGTGGCTATGTAAAATATACTGCAGAATGTTCCTTCTTTTTCTCTTGTCTGGAATACTTTAACTACCGTTAGAAATTATGTATCCTGGCTGGGCGTGGTGGTGGGTGCCTGTAATCCCAGCACTTTGGGAGGCTGAGGTGGTCAGACCACCTGAGGTCAGGAGTTCAAGACCAGCCTTACCAACATGGTGAAACCCCTTCTCTACTAAAAATGCAAAAATTAGCTGGGTGTGGTGGCAGGTGCCTGTAATCCCAGCTACTCGAGAGGCTGAGGGAGGAGAATCACTTGAACTTGGGAGGCGGAGGTTGCAGTGAGATGAGATCGCACCACTGCACACCAGCCTGGGCGACAGAGACTCCATCTCAAAAAAAAAAAAAAAAAAAAAGAAATTATGTATCTTTTAAAGGTAAGATAATCTGTGAAGCCATCTGGTCTTGGTGCCATTTTTCAATGGGTAAACCCTTAATCACCTTTCTGATGTGTTCTGTGGTAATCTATTCAAATCTTTTTGGGTCAATTTTGGTCGTTTGTGTTTTGCTGGGAAATTATCCATTTCTTCTAAATTTTCAAATTTGTTGCCAAATATTTAGTTGAGCATGTAGTATCCTCTTATTTTATAATTTAAAAATATCTCCTTATCTGTAGTCATGTATTTTTTCTTGGACTTGATCTTGTCTGTTTTTGTGTTCTCTCCTCTGTATATTAATCAGGTTAGTAAGCACTTATCTGTTTTTGGTTGCTACATAGAACCATGTTTTCAATTTATTTATTCTTTCTACCTTATTTATTTTTTCTACTTAATTTTCAGCTTTTATCTTCATTAATTCCCTCTTCTGTTTTTTTCTTAATCTCTCAAGCACAAGGACAAGTATTTATTCCTTTATTTATTTTTTGTCTTTTTTTTTTTCCAATTTTTCTTCTAGATCCAAGGGTTACATGTGCAGGTTTGTTACAAGGGTATGTTGCACGATGCTGAGGTTTGGGACATGATTGAACCTGTCACTCAGGTAGTGATGAGCATAGTACTCAATAGGTAGTTTTTCAGCCCTTGTCATCCTCCTTCCCTCCCCTCTCTTGTAGTCCCCATTGTTTGTTGTTTTTATTTTATTTTTATTTTTTGACAGGTTCTCACTCTGGTGCCCAGGCTGGAGTGCAGTGTTGAGAACGTGGCTCACTATAGCCTCGACCTCTTGGGCTCAAGTGATCCTCCTGCCTCAGCCTCCCAAGTAGCTGGGACTACAGGCACTAGCTGTGACACCTAGCTAGGTAATTATTTTAGTTTTTGTAGAGATGGGGTCTTTCTGTGTTGCCCAGGCTGGTCTCAAACTCCTGGGCTCAAGAAATTCTCCCACTTCAGCGTCCCAAAGAGCTGGGATTACAGGCATGAGCTACTATGCCTGGCTTGTTTTAACTATCTTTATGTCTATGTGTATCTAATGTTTAGCTTCTACTCACAAGTGAGAACATGTGGTATTTGATTTTCTGTTTCTGTGTTCGTTAGCTTAGGATAATGGCCTCAGCTGCATCCATGCTGCTGCAAAGGGCATGACTTCATTCTTTTTATGGCTGCATACTATTCCATGGTATACATGTACTATATTTTCTTTATCCAGTCCACCATTGATGGGCATCTAGATTGATTCCTTGTCTTTACTATTGTGAATAGTGCTGCGATGAATATACGGGTACTTGTATCTTTTTGGTAGAATGATTTATTTTCCTTTGAGTATATACCCAGTAATGGGATTGCTGGGTTGAGTGGTAGTTCTGCTTTTAATTCTTTGAGAACTCTCCAACCTGCTTTCCACAGTGGATATGAACTAATTTACATTCCCATCAACAGTATATATGCATTCCTTTTTCTCTACAGCCTCACCAGCATCTGTTATTTTTCAAATTTTTAATAATAGCCGTTCTGATTGGTGTGAGATGATATGTCATTTTGTTGTTGTTGTTGTTCTTTGAGACAGAATCTCGCTTTGTTGCCCAGGCTGGAGTACAGTGGCCTGATCTCGGCTCACTGTAAACTCATCCTCCCGGGTCCAAGTGATTCTCCTGCGTCAGCCTCCCAAGTAGCTGGGACTACAGGCACATGTCCCCATGCCTGGCTCATTTTTGTATTTTTAGTAGAGATGGGGTTTTACCATGTTGGCCAGGCTGGTCTTGAACTCCTGACCTCAGGTGAACTGCCCACCTCAGCCTCCCAAAGTGGGGGGATTACAGGAGTGAGCCACCACGCTTGACCTGATTGTGGTTTGATTTGCATTTCTCTGTTAGTGATAAGAGATTTTTTCATGTGCTTGTTGGCTGCTTGTATGCCTTCTTTTGCGAAGTGTCTGTTCACGTCCTTTGCCCACTTTTTAGTCAGGTTATTTGTTTTTTGCTTGTTGATTTGTTTAAGTTTCTTATAGATTTGGGTTATTAGATCTTTGTCAGATGCGTAGTTTGTGAATATTTTTTCCCATTCTGTATGTTGTCTGTTTACTCTGCTGATAAGTTTCTTTTGCTGTGCAGAAGCTCTTTAGTTTAATTAGGTCCCACTTGTCAATTTTTGTTTTTGTTTTAGTTGCTTTTGAGGACTTAGCTATAAATTCCTTGCCATGGCCAATGTCAAGAAGGTATTTTCTGGGTTTTCTTCTAGGATTTTTACAGTTTGAGAGCTTACATTTAAATGTTTAAGTCATCTTGAGTTAATTTTTGTATATCATGATAGGAAGGAGTGCAGTTTCATTCTTGTGCACGTGTATAGCCAGTTTTCTCAGCACCATTTATTTAATAGGGAGTTCTTTCCCCATTGTTTACTTCTGTTGACTTTGCTGAACATCACATAGTTGTAGGTGTATGGCTTTATATCTGTGTTCTCTATCCTATTCCTTTAGTCTTTGTATCTGTTTTTGTACCACTACCATGCTGTTTTGGTTACTGTAGCCTTGTAGTATAGTTTGAAGTCAGGTAATGCGGTACCTCTGGGTTTGTTCTTTTTACTCAGGATTGCTTTGGCTATTTGGGCTGTTTTTTGGTTATCTATGGATTTTAGAATAGTTTTTTCTAATTCTGTGAAGAATGACTTTGGTAGTTTGATAGGAGTAGCATTGAATCTGTAGATTGCTTCGGGTAGTATGGCCATTTGAACAATGTTGATTATTCTAATCCATGAGAATCTAATACTTTTCCATTTGTTTGTGTTAGCTATGATTTCTTTTAGCAGGGTTTTTTAGTTCTCCTCGTAAAGATCTTTCATCTCCTTGGCTGGATGTATTCCTAGGCATTTTATGTTTTTGTAGCTATTGTAAAATGGGATTACATTCTTGATTTGATTCTCAGCTTGAATGTTATTGGTGTATAGAAATGCTACTGATTTTTTTATATGATTTTGTATCCTGAAACTTCACTGAAGTTGTTTATCAGTTCTAGGAGCCTTTTGTTGGAGTCTTTAGGGTTTTCTAGGTATAGAATTATATCGTCAGTGAAGAGAAGATAGTTTGAATTCTTCTTTCCTATTTGGATGCCTTTTATTTATTCCTCTTGCCTGATTTCTCTGGCTAAGCCTTCCAGTACTATGTTGAATAGGAATGGTGAGAGCGGGCATCCTTGTCTTGTTCCAGTTCTCAAGGGGAATGCTTCCAGCTTTTGCTCATTCAGTATGATGTTGGCTGTGGGGTTTTCTTAGATTACTCTTATTATTTTGAGGTATATTCTTTCAATGTTTAGCTTGTTGAAGGTTTTTATCATGAAGGGAAGTTGGATTATATAAAAAACCTTTTTATTTGACTATTGAGATGATCATATGGTCCTTGTTTTAAATTCTGTTTATGTGTCGAATCACATTTATTGATTTGCATATGTTGAACCAACTTTGCATCCCAGAAATGAAGCCTACTTGATTTTGGTGAATTAACTATTTGATGTGCTGCTGGATTCAGTTTGCTAGTATTTTGTTGAGGATTTTTGCTTCTATGTTCATCAGGGATATTGGCCTGTAGTTTTCTTTTTTCACTGTGTCTTTGACAGATTTTGTTATCAAGGTGATGCTGGCTTTGTAGCATGATTTAGGGAGGAGTCTCTCCTCCTTGATTTTTTTTTTTTTTTTTTTGTAATAGTAAGATTGGTGCCAGCTCTTTCTTTTTTATCCATCTGATAGAATTTAGCTCTGAATCTATCTGGTCCATGGCTTTTTTTGGTTGGTAGGTTTTCTTTTTTTACAATTACTGATTCAATTTCAGAACTTGTTATTTGCCCAAGGTTTTAGTTTCTTCCTGATTCATTCTTGGGAGGTTGTGTGTTTCCAGGAATCTATCCATTTTCTCTAGATTTTCTAATTTGTGGGCATAGAAGTGTTCATAGTAGTCTCTGAGGTTCTTTCATATTTCTTTGGGATCAGTTGTAATGTCACATTTGTCATCTCTGATTGTGGTTATTTGGGTCTTCTCTCTTTTTTCTTTGTTGATCTAGCTATCAATTTATAGATCTTGTTTATCCTTTCAAATAACCAACCTTTTTTTATTGATCCTTGGTATGGATTTTTTTGGGTTTCAGTTTCATTCATTTCTGCTCTGGTTTTAGTTATATCTTTTCTTCTTGCTTTGGAGTTGGTTCTTGTTTTCTAGTTCCTCTAGACACAACTTCAGCTTGTTAATTTGAGTTCTTTCTAACTTCTTGATGTAGGCATTTAGCACTATAAATTTTCCTCTTGATACTGTTTTTGCTGCATCCTATAGATTTTCATATGTTGTTTCTATGTTTTCATTAATGTCGAAGAATTTTTTGATTTCTGCCTTAATTGTATGGTTTATCCCAAAATCGTTCAGGAACAAGTTGTTTAATTTCCATGTAATTGGGTCTTCTTGGTATTGATTTCTATTTTTATTCCACTGTGGAACAAGAGTATGCTTGGAATGATTTCTAGCTTTTTGAATTTATTGAGACTTAACTTTATGGCCAAACATATGTTTGATCTTAGAGTATGTTCCGTGTGCAGATGAGAAGAGTGTTTATTCTGTGATTGTTGGGTGGAGTGTTCTGTAGATGTCTATTAGGTCCAATTGGTTAACTGTCAAATTTAAGTCCAGAATTTCTTTGTTCATTTTCTGACTTGATGATCTGTCTAACACCATAGTGGAGTATTGAAATCCCCATTATTATTGTGTGGCTATCTAAGTCTTTTTGTAGGTTTCAAAGTATGTGTTTTATGAATTTGGGTGCTCCAATGTTGGGTGCATATATATTCAGGATAGTTAAGTCTCCTTGTTGAATTGAAGCCTTTACCATTATGTAATACTCTTATTTGTCCTTTTTTACTGTTTTTGGTTTGTAGTCTTTTTATCTGGTATAAGAATTATCGACCCCTGTTCTTTTTTGTTTTTCATTTGCATGATAGATTTCTCTCTATCCCATTACTTTGAGCCTGTGGGTGTCATCACATGTGAGATGCTTCTCTTGAAGACAGCAGGCAGTTAGGTCTTGGTTGTTTTTATCCATCTTGCCACTCTGTGCCCTTTCAGTGGACATTTAGACTGTTTACATTCAACATTAATATTGATATATGAGGTTTTGTTCCTTTCATGATGTTGTTAATTGGTTGCTTTGTAGTCTCGATTGTGTAGTTGCTTTTTGGAGTCTATGGGCTGTGTACTAAAATGTGTTTTTGTGGTAGCAGATATTATTCTTTTGTTCCCATGTTTAGAACTCCCTTAAGGAGCTCTTGTAAGGCTGGTTTAGTGGTAACGAGTTCCCTTAGCATTTGCTTGTCTAGAAAAGATTTTATTTCTCCTTCTCTTATGAAGCTTAGTTTGGTGGGATATGAAATTCTTGTTTGGAATTTATTTTTTCTAAGGATGCTGAAAATAGGCCCCCAGTCTCTTCTGGCTTGAAAGGATTCTGCTGAGAAGTCTGCTGTTAGCCTGACGGGATTCCCTTTGTAAGTGATCTGACCCTTTTGTCTAGCTGCCTTTAAGATTTTTTCTTTTTCATTGTCCTTGGAAAGTCTGATGGCTATGTGTCTTGTGGATGGTCATCTTGTATAGTATCTTGCAGGAGTTCTCTGAATTTCTGTAATTTGCATGTTGTCTTCTCTAACAAGATTGGAGAAATTTTCATGAACTGTATCCTCAAATATGTTTTCCAAGTTGCCCACTGTGTTTCCTTCTCTCTCAGGAATGCCAGTGAGTCTTAGGTTTGGTCTTATTACATAATCCCATATATCTTGAAACTTTTGCTCATTTTTAAAAATTCTTTTTTCTTTATTCTTGTCTGACTGGGTTAATTTGTAGGACCATTCTTTGAGGTCTGAATTTCTTTCCTCAGCTTGGTCTAGTCTGTTGTTAATGCTTCCAGTTGTATTTGAAAACTTGTGTAGTGAAGTTTTTCAATTCCACCAGTTCTGTTTGGCTCTTTCTTAAAATGTCTATGTTGTCTTTTAACTCTTGGATCATTTTACTGGCTTTCTTCGATTGAGTTTCAACTTTCTCTGGAGTCTCATTGAGCTTCTTGCCATCCAGATTCTGAATTCTGTGTATGTCCTTTCAGACATTTCAATCTGGTTAGGATCCATTGCTGTGGAGCTAGTGTGATCCCTCGGATCATCACATTTTAAAATTAAACTTTAGGTTGGGCGCAGTGGCTCACACCTTAATCCCAGCACTTTGGGAGGCCGAGGCAGGTGGATCACCTGAGGTCAGGAGTTCCAGACCAGCCTGGCCAACATGGTGAAACCCCATCTCTACTAAAAATACAAAAAATTAGCTGGGCATGGTGATGGGCACCTGTAATTCCAGCTACTCAGGAGGCTGAGGCAGGAGAATTGCTTGAACCCAGGAGGCGGAGGTTGCAGTGAGCCGAGATTGTGCCATTGCACTCCAACCTAGGCAACAATAGTGAAACTTTGTCTCAAAAAATAAAATTAAATTAAACTTTATACTTTGAGATAAGTATATAATATGAGGAGATTTCAAAAAGTTCACAGAAAATGGAATTAAAGATAAAGATAAAAATTATAAACTTCATTTCTCAACAGAAGCTCCGTGAACGTCAATTTAATTCATCCCTAAAGAATGCAATTTAATTCATCCCTGAAGAACTGAGGGTACTGGGAATGTAACTGTCAATGTATTCTTTTTTACATTATTAACTAAAGATAAATGAGGGCCTTTAAGATATATATTTTTTTAAGTTTAAGAAACAAAAAGAAGTCAGAAAGAGCCATGTCAGGACTTTGAGATGATTGCCTAATGATTTCCCGTCGAAACTCTCAGAGAATTGCCCTTGTTTGATGAGAGGAATGAGCAGGAGCATTTTCCTGGTCAAGAAGTATTCCCCGGTGAAGCTTTCCTGGGCAGTTTTTCACTAAAGCTTTGGCTGACTTTATCAAAACACTGTCATAATAAGTAGGTGTTATTGTCCTTTGACTCTCGAAAAAATCAACAAGCAAAATGTGTTGAGCATCCCCAAAACCTGCTGCCATGACCTTTGCTCTTGACCAGTCCACTTTTGCTTTGACCGGACCACTTTCATTGCTTGGTAGACATTGCTATGATTGTACTTTGTCTTCAGGATCGTGTTCCATCTCCTGTTATAATTCTTTGAAGACATGCTTCAGGATCTTTATCCCACCTGTTTAAAATTTCCATTGAAAGCTCTGTCCTCATCTTCAGCTGATCTGGGTGCAATTTTGAAACCCATCATGGGGAAAGTTTGCTCATCTTTAATTTTTCAGTCAGAATTGTGTAAGCTGAGCCAATTGAGATGTCTGTGGTGTTGGCTATCGTTTCTGCTATTAATCATTGGTCTTCTTCAATTAAGAAATGAACAAGATACGAATTGATGTAGGTAGTCTGCCACTGCAGGCTTCATCATCAACATCTCACCCTTTCTTAAAATGATGACACTCTGGGGACTGCTGTGGGGTAGGGGGAGGGGGGAGGGATAGCATTAGGAGATATACCTAATGCTAAATGACGAGTTAATGGTTGCAGCACACCAGCATGGCACATGCATACATATGTAACTAACCTACACATTGTGTACATGTACCCTAAAACTTAAAGTATAATAATAATTAAAAAAAATGAGTTATCCTGTAAACTGCTGATTTCTTCTGGGCATTGTCTCTGTAAACTTTTTATAAAGCATAAATGATTTCACCATCCTTCCACCCAAGCTTCACTATAAATTTGATGTTTGTTCTTGCTTCAATTTTAGCAGAATTATTGTTGTTCTGGTAGGGGCTCTTTTCAAACTGGTGTCTTATCCTTCTTAGTGCCTCAAACTAGATCCTGTTCAGACATGTTAGAATAAGTTAGCACGAGTTTATTTTGGTGCTGAAAATTTGAAATCCATGCATAGTTTTTTGTAATAATATGTATTTCCCATTAACTTATTGAAGACCTGTTGTCTATTAAGTATAATAATGTAGAAAAAATAATATAGGAAAAAACACAAAGAAATCCCATGTACCTTTTACCTAATTTCCTCCACTGGTAACCTCTGGCAAAACTATAGTACAGTATCACTGCCAGGATATTTTCATTGATACGGTCTGATAAAGCAGAACAGTCCTGTCACCATGCAGATCTCTTCTGTCATTCTTTTATAGCCATACCCACCATCTACATATCTAAACCCCATCCCTGATCCCTGGCAACCATGAATCTATTCTTCATATCTATAATTTTGCTATTTTAGGAATCTTGTGTAAATATAGTTATACCTTATATTACCTTTGAGGCTGACTTTTTAAAAATCACCTAGCATAATTCCCTGGAGAGTTATCCAACTTTTTATAATACACAACATTTTTTTCTGTTTTCGAGACCACGTTTTGCTCTGTTGCCCAGGCTGGAGTGCAGTGGTGCATTCACGGCTCACTGCAGCCTTGGCCTGCTTGACTTAAGTGATCCTTCCACATCAGCCTCTCAAGTAGCTGGGACCACAGGTGTGCACCACTATGCCTAGCTAATAATTTTTTTTTTTTTTTTTTTTTTTTTTTTGTAGAGACGGAGTCTCATTATGTTGTTCACACTGGTCTGAAACTTCTGGCCTCAAGTGATGCTCCTGCCTCGGCCTCCTAAAGTGCTGAGATTACAGGAATGAGCCAACACGGTGGCTGATACACACCATCTTTAATGGGTGCATATTATTCCATTGTGTGGAAATACCATGTTGAGTTAAAAATCAGTATTTTAAAAAGTAGAGAGCCCTTAAAATACTTTAACTTTACATTAGTATTGTTCTTTACTGTTTAAAAGTTCTTTGCTTTAAATTTTCTCATCTAATCTTTAAAATAGTATTGGGGGATAGCGAATACATTATCCATACTATAAATAGAGCAGTAGGGGACCAAGAAATATTATATAACTTGGCTAAGATTACTTCGTGGCAGAGTCAGGATTCCTATTCTTTCTTCTCTTGCCAGTGATCATAACATAATCAGGTTTACTGTGTGCCTAGGCATGGTGGGAAACACTTAACATTGATTATTTTATTTAATCCTTCTAACAAAACTGTGTGGGAAGTACTAATAGTAGTACTGGTACTATTAATAGTAGTTTGGTCAAGAGAACTGGGGCTCAGAAAGTTTACATGACTGGATGTGGCTTGCATGTGGTACATGCAGGATTTGATCCAAAGTTTCTCTCACTCCAGAGCCCATGCTGCTAATCATGACCTTGTGTTGCTGAAGTGAATATTTTCTACTATCCCATTGTTGTTTAAATTGTTAAAAGTATGAAAGCATCTTATTTAAAATTCCCTATGTCTCAGTATACATGGATGAGCTCTGTTGTGATCTTTATGCCCGTGTGTTCTTTGGGTTTGTTGACTAGCATCATATACCTATCTCTCTTGCTTTCTCTATGGGCCCTTTGCTGTGCCAGCCACACATGAGTTTACCAGCTTCCCAGCTAACCAGGGGCCAGCATGTTCTTCCTGGAGGCATGCCCAGCCACTATAGGAAAGGGGTATGACGTGTGCAGCAGGCTGCATGTCCTGTGCTTGGCAAAGGCTGGCAACTCCCACTGGGGTGGAGAAGGGACAGGATTCTCCACATGGTTCCCATGGTACACTTGACAAGAGGGAATGATAGTACCACAGTGTTATGTCTGGGTCCTGGAATGCTTCATTTATATGTACCTCAGTTGACATGTGACTTGCTCAGTCCTGCTGCTATAGCCTGCTGCTGGAAGGGCTGCCTCAGTGGAAAGCATGCATCCAGGGTGTGGAGCCAAAATTAGAAGGGCCAAAATTCTACCTGGCCCACTACCACAGCAACCTTGGGCATCGTTTTCTTTTGATCTCTAGTATCTCCAACTCCTAGAATTCCAGCCTGGCAGTCTTCTGCCTCTGAAGGCCTCTTATCCTTCCTGTTCTTGGCTCCTCTTCTCTGTGAATGCTTACATAGCAGCGTCAGAGTTGTTTGTTGTATTGTGTCTGTACATGCAGTGCTGTTCTGTATCTCTTTGAATCTGAGCCATTTTCTTTTGACTCATTTGGCTGATGTGAATGGTACTTTCCTGAAGAGCTATCTACCAGTGCCGTTGACATCCAAGCCACAGAATTCTTTTCCTCACTTCGGTTTGAATAAAACCAACATATCCTTAGGGATGGTTTTGCACTTACTATCCTGCTACTAACTTGGAAAAACGTTACATGTCTCATTCATCTTAGGGAACCGACCCAGTCCCAAAATATGAACTAGCCTGCCTCACCAGTTATTAACAAATAAGATTTCCTTTTGAAAACCTCAGGGATAGGATAAAGGACTGTGTTGCAGTGTAACCAGACCTCCCCCTCACCCCCCAGTTCCCCCAACACATCTCACATCTCACTGGTGGCTTCTCTTTTCTTTTTCCCTTGCCTTTTGTGTCAGTTTTTTTTTCTTTCAAATATCATTATGGGTAATTTGGAACATATACATAATATGGTGGTTACTTATATCTATTAGCTATTTACATATTTTATTCTGTAGATTGTCAGCTCATGGTCTCTGCTGAATTTTGATGTACAGGTGTTTCCCTTGTTGATTTGTATGAGTTTTACATATATAAAGAGTGTTAATCTTTTATCACTTTTGCAGTAAATGTTTTCCCCAGATTGTCTTCTAACTTTTTAATGATGCTTTTGATAATAGATTTGGTTTACATTTTTATTGGTCAAATTGATTGATTTCTAAACCCCCTTCAGATCATGGTAATTTCTTCCATTGCTTTTACACTTGAAAAGACATTTCCCATTCTAAGGTTAGAATGGGATTTAAAACAATCCAGTTTTAAAATAGTTTTAAAAATATTTAACTTGTCAGTCCATCAAAAATTCATTTTGTGACTAGTATGAAGTAGAGTATAGCTTATATTTTCCCCTAGAGAGTCATTTATTTGAGCACCATTCATCAAATAACTATTTTCCTATGATTATTGCTATTATACTTTTATCATACATAAATTCTTCTATATGCTAGGATTTTTTCAGCTTGTATTATTCATTGATCTCTCTCTTGGGTTTTCCATCAGTTTCATACCCTTATATATGCAACAGCTGGTAAACCAGATTTCTTTTGCTTTCTCTGCAGCCTAGCGCATTACCCACACTTTTTTCTTAGCTAGTCTCAACCATTTTTTCGTCCAAATGAACTTAGAATGTTTCTGTCAGGTTCTCCTCAAAATCCTACCAGGATTTTGATTGGAACTACTTTAAACCTAAAATTTCATTGACATCATCACAACACAGAGTCTGTCATCCAGGAAAAGACATGATATGTTAATTTATTAATTTTCTTTTATGTTCCTTAGTTGCTCACATGCATGTGTGTGTATCTCATATATTTCTCATCAAGATCATCCCTGGATAGTTGATAGTTTATGATATTTATTATATTTTCAAACTAGTTATTACTGGTAGGTAGGAAAATTTTTGATTTTGTGTGTCTATGCTTAATTCTTATTTCTAATAGTTTTTCAGTTGCTTCTCTTGGATTATTTTTGAAATTAATCACACCAGCTCCCATATGATAACTTTATTTCCTTTTAAAGAACAAAACTGCTGTTTTGCTTTCAAACCTGATTGTATTGGCTAGATCTTTTGGGATAATGTTAAATAATAGCAGTACTAGCAGGAGTCCTTGTCTTGCTTCTGATTTTAATGGAAATGTTTCTAGTGATTCACTTAATAGAAATGTTTCTAATGGTTCATATTAGTTGGCTCTGATGTTGTCTGTTGGTTTAAGTTAGATGTTTTTTATAATATTAGGGAATTACCTTATTCTTAAATTATCAAGTCCTCACAAAAATCAAGAATAGTTGGCCAGGTGTGGTGGCTCACGCCTGTAATCCCAGCACTTCAGGAGGCTGAGGCAGAAGGATCACTTGACATCAGGAGTTTGAGACCAGCTTGGCCAACATGGTGAAATCCCATCTCTACTAAAAATACTATATATATATAGTATAGTATATATATAGTGTATATATATATAGTATAGTATATATATATAGTGTATATATATATAGTATAGTATATATATATAGTATATATATATATAGTATAGTATATATATATATAGAGAGAGAGAGAGAGAGAGAGACATGGTGGTGCATGCCTGTAATCCCAGCTACTCGAGAGGCTGTGGGAGGAGAATCGCTTGAACCCAGGAGGTGGAGGTTGCAGTGAGCCGAGATTGTGCCACTGCACTCAGCCTGGTTGACAAAGTCAGATCTGTCTCCAAAAATAAAGAATAGTTGTTGAGTTTAGCTGATGTTTTCTAGGAATCTATTAAGAGGTTCATTTGTGTTTTCTACTTTGATCTCCCCATTTGGTATATTATATTATAGATTTCCTAATATCAATCTTTGTTAGCTTTCTAAGATAAATTTTCCTTTTCCTTTGCATGCTTGGGAGAGCCTCAGATTTGGCTTCCATACTATTAATTTGATTGATTTTGCTCTCTGCTGTCTCCAATGTGAAATTTATTTATTTTTGTTACAATGTTAATTTCTCTGTATTTCTTTCTAGCTCTGTTGAGCTACTTACCCTAGGTTGTCTTTCCTTCTCAATGTTTTATTCTAGTGGCTTTCTATACCTGTTTCATAGAGTCCATGTTTTCTTTCATTCTATTGAGGATGTAAACAGTTTTCTAAAATATTTCTTCTGGTTTATACACAAAATTAAGACGTTTTTGTTTCCTCTGAGTTGTCAGAGTGATATGCATTTTCCTTGTGCTGCCAGAGGTTTTCATATGAACTTTTTTTTTTTTTTTGGTAAAGCAACAGGGTCTTGCTCTGTTGCCCAGGCTGGAGTGCAGTGGCATGTTCATAGCTCATGGAATCCTCAAACTCCTGGGCTCAAGTGTTCCTCTCACCTCTGACTCCAAAATAGCTGGGACTACAGGAAAACACCACCATGCTTGGCTAATTAAAAAAAATATATATATATATATATTAAAACAGGGTTTTGCGGTGTTGCCCAGTCTTGAACTCCTGGCCTCAAGTGATACTCCCACCTTGGCTTCCCAGTGTTAGGAATAAAGGCATGAGCCACCATGCCTGGTCAGGTTTTTTGTATGGTTTATGAATATTCAAAAAAGGATCTGTCTTTCATCAAATACAGGGTATGTAGATTGCCTTTGACTATCCTCAAGCTCAGATTCTCTCTCATATTGGTTAGAACCCTTTTCAGCTCCATTGTTGGCAGGCAGGTTGATACACATAGCTTTTAACCTGTTTCACAGTGTCTGTCAGCTACTCATCTAGTGGGTTCTGCTGGACCCATATGGAATCGTCTACCCCTACTACAATGTTCTCAGATGCTCTGAACCAGATAAACTATGTGAAACAGTACAGCCTCCCACATGTGTTACTACCTGAGTGTTACTTGTGAGGGCTCCCACTCCTAGCACACAGTGTGCCAGTACCAATTCTGCCATTTCTGCCCTTTTGATTTTGGGGAATTAGAGTCTCCATGTGAATGTAGACCAGTTTTGAGAATTGCTGATTTCCTCTGCAAGTAGTAACCACGTAGTCCAAATGGATGTCCGGTTTGCCAGTTTCTAGATGAACTCTTGGCTTCTAAGCCATGAGGCTGACAGTTGTGGAAGGACTCAATGTTTCCTATCTTCTTTTAGGTTTCTGTGGGCTGCTGCATGAATTGGCCAGATTGTTTTTTCTCATTTCAGTATTAGGCTTATTGTTAATGGAGATTTCTCCCAGATCCTGGTAATAAGTTGGCCATCAGTTTAAGTTTTCAGTGTTTGGGGAATTTTATCTTTTTCTATATCTTGATAGGTATTTGAGTGGGAAATTGAGAGAGGCTATGTTAGTGATTGCTAGCCAAGTGCTATTTTAAAGTAGAAATCCAGTGTATATTTTAGATTAGAGCAGAGATTGGCAACCATTTCCTGTAAAGGGCCAGAGAGTAAATATTTTAGACTTTGCAAGCCATATGATCTCTGTGTTTTAACTATTTAACTGTTGTTGGAGCATGAAAGCATCACAGAAAAATGCAAACAAATTAGTGTGGTTGTGTTCAAATAAAACTTTATTTACATAAACAGGAGGACCAGATGAAAAAGTTCTGGAGATAGCTGGCAGTCATGGTTACACAACAGTGTGAATGTACTTAATGGCACTGAACTGTACACTTAAAAGCAGTTAAGTTGGAAAAAATTTTATATATATATGTATATATGTGTATATATGTATATATGTGTATATATGTATATATGTGTATATATATGTATATATATATGTGTGTGTGTATATATGTGTGTGTGTGTGTATATATATAAAATCATGCCAATAAAGAAGCCAAAACAGAAAAACCATATTTTGCTGACTCTGAGTTTAGAGGAATTAGATCTAGCATAGGCAGAGAGAGAGAGGAAGAAATTACATATGTACAGTAGGACAGTGACTCTGTTAATAAGCTAGAAGGCAGTGGGAGACATTTGAGTATTTAAGAGGAATACCATAATGGGGATGGTGAGATCTTGGAAAGCTACAATTCATCCTAGTGATGTCATCTTATGATCTTTACAGATGGAGATACACAAGAGTTCACATTCACATTCTTTGACATAAGGATCAGAGTAGGGCTTTTCTACTTCTCTAGAGGCTTGAGAAACCTCTGCAGCTGTCAGAAGTGTTCATATCAGAAACAAAAGCTAACCAGTCATTTCTTTTTGCTTGTAGTACAAATGGTGACTAGTGATGCTTCTGGTAGTTGATCTGAGCTCTTCCCAGGACTAGAAGATCCTAGCATTTTAGTTATTAACCACAGCACACTTACTCAATAAAAGAGCAGTCATCAGTCTGAGTCAACTGTTTATACAGCCTCCAGCCTAAGATTCTTCCTTATCAGCTAGAGACCTGGGCTTAAGAATTTCACAATGGGCTGGGAGCCTCTTAGAGAAACTAGCCTTTTGAGACTTTCTCTGAGTTGGGCTCTCTTGTTTGTTGTTGTTGTTTTTGAAACTGTCTCACTCTGTTGCCCAGGCTGGAGTGCAGTGGCGTGATCATGGCTCACTGTAGCCTCGACCTCTGAGTTGGGATATCTTGAAGGAATACATGAAGGAAAAGGGAACAGAGATTAAGGTTTTCCAGGCTTTGGGTTGTAATCAGACAGTTTAGCTGTATTCTGAACACCCAGCACTTAATGTGCTTGGTTATCCATGTGTATGTATCAAGGGTGGGGGAACTCATGGAGTGAGTCACTGAGTGGTATGGTTTAAATGGCAGGAAACTCTTCCCTCACCCCGCCTTGGGTAAGAAAAGGGCATAGCAGAGCGCTGACACACATCCCTCTGCTCCAGAAAGTGTACAGTACCCCTCTGCTCCCCACTGAAACCCTAAAGTTGTTCATCTTCATGTGTGCCAGGAAAGGAGTGGATCTGTGATGCAAATAGGATTATTTGGTCATATCTGCTGACTCAGTCTAAAGAAGCTTTTGAAGGGGATGAGATGAAATTTCATCTATGCTGCAGAGAGCAGGAGGTGCATTGCTGGATGGAGAGAGGACTGTAGGCTGCATGTGAGCCAAGGTAGACGAGGGAAGCATGGGGGTGGGCATGAGGAACTGGGGCAGCCTGACACGTGATCTTGGCATTGCAAAACTGATATCCTGTTGGCCTTTGGGCCACATGATATGATGACAGTGCAGTATCCCCATGGCCCTTTCTTTTTCTAGATTTCATTTATGATACTCTCAGATTTTTAAATAGCATGACTTTCCCCAGGGAGAAATTCAGACCTCAGGTCTCTAGGACTGCTCTGAGGTCATGAGATAGACTCAGTTTGAACCTGTTGAGTTTAAATGTCTTGGAATGATTTTAGCATCTCAGTACCCCCTTTCCCAGTGCTCATCTGGTCAGCTGCTCTGGAACCTGAGGGATTCTAAACTGAGACTTAGTTTGGGGTCATATGCAGTTAAAAAGGGACAGTCTTTTGGCACCTTCACCTCGGAGGTGGCTGCTTTTTGGCTTAGCGTTGGACTCATCACTGAAAAAGATAGTTGAGAGGTTGTTTTTGACCTGAGCAGCCTTATTAAGACTCAGTTATTGGCAAAGGAGAGAAGGCTCTGCTTATAAATGTTGCAGATTTAAAGGGGAAAGAGGAAACCACAGTAAGTAAAGAGCGATTCAGGGAGACCAGTTTCTCTTTTTTATTCAGAATGCTGCTCAGGTATCTGCTTTCCTAGGAGCCACCTTATTGTCAGGTTCTGCCTTCGGTTTATGTGTATTCTTCCCTTAATTCTTAGAAGAGGGAAGATGCTTTGGGGTTGTTCACAGGTTCCCATTCGACATAAAATAGAAGCTGCCTACCTTTACATATACTCAGTTTTATCTTCTCCAAGTCTCCCAGAAGTTCTCTTTGAAAGTTCCTAGAGCAGGGACTGCTTTTATTTTTTTTCCTTCTCCTAGGCTTTAAGCATGTATTTAGATGTATGTCACCATTGGGTAAAAGAAAGGCTAAAGATTCAGATAACTTTTCCCATCTGTGGAAACATGGAAAGCAGTACTCAGCAGAGGAATGAGGACTGATTATTTTGGGCCTCTTTTTACTTTATCCAAGTGAAGAATCTACTGTGCTATATATTTGTCAAAAGCAATTCCAAAGGGCAGGGGTTGGGGGAAAGCAGTACGGCATAATAAGATTTGGGCAAGTTAGATAGGAGCTGTGCAGTTGGTAATGAAGAAGCAGAACTGTTTCTTTCTCATTATAAAAGTAATCCATGCTAATTGTAAGGAAAAGAAATAAAATATTATAGAAAGCAATAAAGAATACAATAATAATAACTGATAATTCCTGTTAATATGTTGGTATAATTTCTTCTTAGTTTTCTGTAGGTATAGATTTCGGCTCACTGCAACCTCTGCCACCCAGGTTCAAGCGATTCTCCTGCCTCAGCTTCCCGAGTAGCTGAGATTACAGGCACTGCCACCACACCCGGCTAATTTTTGTATTTTTAGTAGAGACAGGGTTTCACCATATTGGTCAGGCTGGTCTTGAACTCCTGACCTCATGATCCACCCACCTCAGCCTCCCAAAGTGCTGGGATTACAGGCGTGAGCCACCATTTTTAGAAACAAAATAAAGATCATTCTACATATGATACTTTGTAATATTTAAAATATAACGGGATTGTTTACCCATCTAATTAAGTATTCTTAACATGATTTCTGATGGCTACATAGTATTCCATTGTTTGGATGAACATAATATAATGTATTTAAACACTGTTCTGTTCAATTCAGCATTTGATTTATCGGGTAGACATGTTTTGAAGGGATCTTGAATAGTACAGTGGAATTAGAGTTATAGTTGCGGTTCTGCTTAATTCTTAGCTCTGTGATCCTGAGCATAGATTAAAGTCTTAGCTTCCATTTCCTCATTTGTAAAAGAATGCTATTAATAGTAATGACCCTCCTGAGTAAAAATGGTTAGATGACATGACCCATGTAAATTTCTTAGCATGAAATCTAACATATACCAGGAACTCAATAATTGTTAGTAGTAGCGTATAGCATTATCCTTGTCTTGACACTTTGTCATCTGTGTACTCACTGTTAGAATTTGGGTCTCAAGGAAAGAAAATTGCTTTCATTTAGATAAGTAAAATTTCAGAATGAAAATTGCCTTTAGATAGGTAGCCTCTTTTACCAGTTGAGTACCTTCCAGATAGGGGCATTTGCCAACTTCCTGAATTTCACAGGGAAAAAAAAAATTCTGCAGTCTCTGTGGTTGTGCGGCCCCATTTGGTTCAGAACAAGGAAGTGGGAAACCACCAGCTGCAACCAGGGAATTATCTTTGTGTCCGCAGGCAAAGCCAGCCAAGCCCCCCTGTTCTACTTATCTTTTTTTTTTTCTTTACTTGCTTGTTTTTTATGTTCTTTTAGTCTGAATTTTTTTTTTTTTGAGCAGAGTCTTGCTCTGTTGCCCAGGCTAGAGTGTAGTGGCACAATCTCGGCTCACTGCAACCTCTACCTCCTGGGTTCCAGCGATTCTCCTACCTCGGCCTCCTGAGTAGCTGGGACTTCAGGCACATGCCACCACACTCGGCTAATTTTTTGTATTTATTTATTTTTTTAGTAGAGGTGGGGTTTCACCATATTAACCAGGATGGTCTTGATCTCCTGACTTTGTGATCCGCCTGTCTCAGCCTCTCAAAATGCTGGGATTACAGGCGTGAGCCACTGCACCTGGCCTGGAAATTTTTAAACATACGGAAAAGTGAATAGCGCAGTACATAGAATACTTGTATAGCTTCTGCTTAGTCTCAGCAGTTGTCCTACTTTCTTTATTTTTATTTTTTATTATACTTTAAGTTCTAGGGTACATGTGCACAACATGCAGGTTTGTTACATATGTATACATGTGCCATGTTGGTGTGCTGCACCCATTAACTTGTCATTTACATTAGGTATATCTCCTAATGCTATCCCTCCCCCAGCCCCCCACCCCATGACAGGCCCGGCGTGTGATGTTCCCCTTCCTGTGTCCAAGTGTTCTCATTGTTCAATTCCCACCTATGAATGAGAACATGCAGTATTTGGTTTTCTGTCCTTGCGATAGTTTGTGGAGAATGATGGTTTCCAGCTTCATCCATGTCCCTACAAAGGACATGAACTCATCCTTTTTTATGGCTGCATAGTATTCCATGGTGTATATGTGCCACATTTTCTTAATCCAGTCTATCATTGATGGACATTTGGGTTGGTTCCAAGTCTTTGCTATTGTGAATAGTGCCACAATAAACATACATGTGCATGTGTCTTTATAGCAGCATGATTTATAATCCTTTGGGTATACACCCAGTAATGGGATGACTGGCTCAAATGGTATTTCTAGTTCTATATCCTTGAGGAATCGCCACACAGTCTTCCGCAATGGTTGAACTAGTTTACAGTCCCAACAACAGTGTAAAAGTGTTCCTATTTCTCCACATCCTCTCCAGCACCTGTTGTTTCCTGACTTTTTAATGATCGCCATTCTAACTGGTGTGAGATGGTATCTCACTGTGGTTTTGATTTGCATTTCTCTGATGGCCAGGGATGATGAGCATTTTTTCATGTGTCTTTTGGCTACATAAATGTCTTCTTTTGGGAAGTGTCTGTTCATATCCTTTGCCCACTTTTTGATGGGGCTGTTTGATTTTTTCTTGTAAATTTGTTTAAGTTCTTTGTAGATTCTGCATATTAGCCCTTTGTCAGATGGGTAGATTGTAAAAATTTTCTCCCATTGTGTAGGTTGCCTGTTCATTCTGATGTTGGTTTCTTTTGCTGTGCAGAAACTCTTTAGTTTAATTAGATCCCATTTGTCAATTTTGTCTTTTGTTGCCATTGCTTTTGGTGTTTCAGTCATGAAGTCTTTGCCCATGCCTATGTCCTGAATGCTATTGCCTAGGTTTTCTTCTAGGGTTTTTATGGTTTCAGGTCTAACATTTAAGTCTTTAATCCATCTTGAATTAATTTTTGCATAAGGTGTAAGGAAGGGATCCAATTTCAGCTTTCTACATATGGTTAGCCAGTTTTCCCAGCACCATTTATTAAATAGGTAATCCTTTCCCCATTTCTTGTTTTTGTCAGGTTTGTCAGAGATCAGATGGTTGTAGATGTGTGGTGCTATTTCTGAGGGCTCTGTTCTGTTCCATTGGTCCATATCTCTGTTTTGGTACCAGTACCATGCTGTTTTGGTTACTGCAGCCTTGTAGTATAGTTTGAAGTCAGATAGCATGATGCCTCCAGCTTTGTTCTTTTGGCTTAGGATTGTCTTGGCAATGCAGGCTCTTTTTTGGTTCCATATGAACTTTAAAGTAGTTTTTTCCAATTCTGTGAAGAAAGTCATTGGTAGCTTGATGGGGATGGCATTGAATCTATAAATTACCTTGGGCAGTATGGCCATTTTCACAATATCGATACTTCCTATCCATGAGCATGGAATGTTCTTCCATTTGTTTGTATCCTCTTTTATTTCATTGAGCAGTGGTTTGTAGTTCTCCTTGAAGAGGTCCTTCACATCCCTTGTAAGGTGGATTCGTAGGTATTTTATTCTCTTTGAAGCAATTGTGAATGGGAGTTCACTCATGATTTGGCTCTCTGTTTGTCTGTTATTGGTGTATAAGAATGCTTGTGATTTTTGCACATTGATTTTGTATCCTGAGACTTTGCTGAAGTTGCTTGTCAGCTTAAAGAGATTTGGGGCTGAGATGATGGGGTTTTCTAAATATACAATCATGTCATCTGCAAACAGAGACAATTTGACTTCCTCTTTTCCTAATTGAATACCCTTTATTTCTTTCTCTTGCCTGATTGCCCTGGCCAGAGCTTCCAACACTCTGTTGAATAGTAGTGGTGAGAGAGGGCATCCCTGTCTTGTGCCAGTTTTCAAAGGGAATGCTTCCAGTTTATGCTCATTCAGTATGATATTGGCTGTGGATTTCTCATAAATAGCTCTTATTATTTTGAGATATGTCCCATCAATACCTAGTTTATTGAGAATTTTTAGCATGAAGGGCTGTTGAATTTTGTCGAAGGCCTTTTCTGCATCTATTGAGATAATCGTGTGGTTTTTGTCTTTGATTCTGTTTATATGACGGGTTATGTTTATTGATTTGCATGTGTTGAAGCAGCCTTGCATCCCAGGGATGAAGCCAACTTGATCGTGATGGATAAGCTTTTTGATGTGTTGCTGGATTCGGTTTGCCAGTATTTTATTGAGGATTTTTGCATCGATGTTCATCAGGGATATTGGTCTAAAATTCTCTTTTTTTGTTGTGTCTCTGCCAGGCTTTGGTATCAGGATGATGCTGGCCTCATAAAATAAGTTAGGAAGGATTCCCTCTTTTTCTATTGATTGGAATAGCCCCTCTTTGTACCTCTGGTAGAATTCGGCTGTGAATTCATCTGGCCCTGGACTTTTTTTGTTTGATAGGCTATTAATTATTGCCTCAATTTCAGAGCCTGTTATTGTTATATTCAGGGATTCAACTTCTTCCTGGTTTACTCTTGGGAGGGTGTATGTGTCCAGGAATTTATCCATTTCTTCTAGATTTTCTAGTTTATTTGTGTAGAGGTCTTTATAGTATTCTCTGATAGTTTGTATTTCTGTGGAATCTGTGGTGATATCCCCTTTATCATTTTTTATTGTGTATATTTGATTCTTCTCTCTTTTCTTCTTTATTAGGCTTGATAGTGGTCTATCAATTTTGTTGATCTTTTCAGAAAACCAGCTCCTGGATTCATTGATTTTTTTGAAGGGTGTTTTGTGTCTGTATCTCCTTCAGTTCTCCTCTGATCTTAGTTATTTCTTGCCTTCCGCTAGCTTTTGAATGTGTTTGCTCTTGCTTCTCTAGTTCTTTTAACTGTGATTTTAGGTGTCAATTTTAGATCTTTCCTGCTTTCTCTTGTGGGCATTTAGTGCTATAAATTTTCCTCTATACTCAGCTTTAAATGTGTCCCAGAGATTCTGGTATGTTATGTCTTTGTTCTCATTGGTTTCAAAGAACATCTTTATTTCTGCCTTCATTTCGTTATGTACCCAGTAGTCATTCAGGAGCAGGTTGTTCAGTTTCCATGTAGTTGAGTGGTTTTGAGTGAGTTTCTTAATCCTGAGTTCTAGTTTGATTGCACTGTGGTCTGAGAGACAGTTTGTTATAATTTCTGTTCTTTTACATTTGCTGAGGAGTGCTTTACTTCCAACTATGTGGTCAATTTTGGAATAAGTGTGATGTGGTGTTCAGAAGAATGTATATTCTGTTGATTTGGGGTGGAGAGTTCTGTAGATGTCTATTAAGTCCACTTGGTGCAGAGCTGAGTTTAATTCCTGGATATCCTTAACTTTCTGTCTCATTGATCTGTCTAATGTTGACAGTGGGGAGTTAAAGTCTCCTATTATTATTGTGTGGGAGTCTAAGTCTCTTTGTAGGTCTCTAAGGACTTGCTTTATGAATCTGGGTGCTCCTGTAGTGGGTGCATATATATTTAGAATGGTTAGCTCTTCTTGTTGAATTGATCCCTTTTCCATTACTTAATGGCCTTCTTTGTCTCTTGATCTTTGTTGGTTTAAAGTCTGTTTTATCAGAGAGTAGGATTGCAACCCCTGCTTTTGTTTTCTATTTGCTTGGTAGATCTTCCTCCATCCCTTTATTTTGATCCTGTGTCTGTCTCTGCACATGAGATGGGTCTCCTGAATACAGCACACTGATGGGTCTTGACTCTTTATCCAATTTGCCAGTCTGTGTCTTTTAATTGGAGCATTTGGCCCATTTACATTTAAGGTCAATATGGTTATGTGTGAATTTGATCCTGTCATTATGATGTTAGCTGGTTATTTTGCTTATTAGTTGATGCAGTTTCTTCCTAGCATCAAAGGTCTTTACAATTTGGTATGTTTTTGCAGTGGCTGGTACCGGTTGTTTCTTTCCATGTTTAGTGTTTCTTTCAGGAGCTCTTGTAAGGCAGGCCTGGTGGTGACAAAATCTCTCAGCATTTGCTTGTCTGTAAAGGATTTTATTTCTCCTTCACTTATGAAGCTTAGTTTGGCTGGATATGAAATTCTGGGTTGAAAATTCTTTTCTTTAAGAATGTTGAATATTGGCCCCCATTCTCTTCTGGCTTGTAGAGTTTCTGCCGCAAGATCTGCTGTTAGTCTGATTGGCTTCCCTTTGTGGGTAACCCGACCTTTCTCTCTGGCTGCCCTTAACATTTTTTCCTTCATTTCAACTTTGGTGAATCTGACAATTATGTGTCTTGGATTTGCTCTTCTTGAGGAGTATCTTTGCGGTGTTCTCTGTATTTCCTGAATTTGAATGTTGGCCTGCCTTGCTAGGTTGGGGAAGTTCTCCTGGATAATATGCTGCAGAGTGTTTTCCAACTTGGCTCCATTCTCCCCATCACTTTCAGGTACACCAATCAGACGTAGATTTGGTCTTTTCACATAGTCCCATATTTCTTGGAGGCTTTGTTCGTTTCTTTTTATTCTTTTTTCTCTAAACTTCTCTTCTCATTGCATTTCATTCATTTGGTCTTTAATCACTGATACCCTTTCTTCCACTTGATTGAATCAGCTACTGAAGCTTGTGCATGTGTCACCTAGTTCTCATGTCATGGTTTTCAGCTCCATCAGGTTATTTAAGGTCTTCTCTACACTGTTTATTCTAGTTAGCCATTCGTCTAATCTTTTTTCAAGGTTTTTAGCTTCTTTGCGATGGGTTCGAACATCCTCTTTAGCTTGGAGAAGTTTGTTATTACCGATCGTCTGAAGCCTTCTGCTCTAAACTTATCAAAGTCATTCTCCATCCAGCTTTGTTCCATTGCTAGCGAGGAGCTATGTTCCTTTGGAGGAGAAGAGGCGCTCTGATGTTTGGAATTTTCAGCTTTTCTGCTCTGGTTTCTCCCCATCTTTGTGGTTTTATCTACCTTTGGTCTTTGATGATGATGACGTACAGATGGGGTTTTGGTGTTGATGTCCTTTCTGTTTGTCAGTTTTCCTTCTAACAGTCAGGACCCTCAGCTGCAGGTCTGTTGGAGTTTGCTGGACGTCCACTCCAGAACCCGTTTGCCTGGGTATCACCAGCGGAGGCTGCAGAACAGCAAATATTGCAGAACAGCAGATGTTCCTGCCTGATCCTTCCTCTGGAAGCTTCCTCTCAGAGGGGCACCCGGCCGAATGAGGTGTCAGTTGGCCCCTACTGAGAGGTGCCACCCAGTTAGGCTACTCGGGGGTCAGGGACCCACTTGAGGAGGCAGTCTGTCCGTTCTCAGATCTCAAACTCCATGCTGGGAGAACCACTACTCTCTTTAAAGCTGTCAGACAGGGACGTTTAAGTCTGCAGAAGTTTCTGCTGCCTTTTGTTCAGCTATGCCCTGTCCCCAGAGGTGGAGTCTACAGAGGCAGGCAGGCCTCCTTCAGCTGCAGTGGGCTCCACCCAGTTCGAGCTTCCTGCCTGCTTTATTTACCTACTCAAGCCTTAGCAATGGCAGATGCCCCTTCCCCAGCCTTGCTGCCGCCTTGCAGTTCTATCTCAGACTGCTTTGCTAGCAGTGAGCAAGGCTCTGTGGGCATGGGACCCTCCGAGGCCAGGTGCGAGATATAATCTCCTGGTGCGCCGTTTGCTAAGACCATTGGAAAAGCGCAGTATTAGGGTGGGAGTGTCCCAATTTTCCATGTACTGTCTGTCACGGCTTCCCTTGGCTAGGAAAGGGAATTCCCCGACCCCTTGTTCTTCCCGGGTGAGGTGATGCCCTGCCCTGCTTCGGCTCATGCTTCATGGGCTGCACCCACTGTCCAACAATCCCCAGTGAGATGAACCTGGTACCTCAGTTGGAAATGCAGAAATCAGTGGTCTTCTGCGTTACTCATGCTGGGAGCTGTAGATGGGAGCTGTTCCTATTCAGCCATCTTGGACGGGCAAGTGTCCTACTTTCTTATATGTGAATTCTGAAACGCAAGGTCCTAACTGCACTCCCTGCCACAAGACAGACAGGATTGCGCTACAGCACCTCACAAAGTGGGAAAAAAATGTATACACTCTTAGATCCAGGGGTTTATAGAAACAGAAAGTCAGTGCAGAAGGACTCTGGACTCCGGGATGGTAGAAATAGATTTTATTTTTTCAGATGGAGTCTCACTTTGTGCCCAGGCTGGAGAGCAGTGGCATGATCTTGGCTCACTTCAGCCTCCGCCTCCTGAGTAGCTGGGATTACAGACGCATGCCACCATGACCAGCTAATTTTTGTATTTTTAGTAGAGATGGGATTTCATCATGTTGGCCAGGCTGGTCTCGAACTCCTGACCTCAAATGATCTGCCTGCCTTGGCCTCCCAAAGTGCTGAGATTACAGGCATGAGCCACTATGCCCAGCCAGATCTTTTGTTTTTATAATACAAATCACAGAAAGTAAATCTTAGTGTCTGGCTGAAGGAAAGAAGTAGATCCAGATGTCCATCAACATGACAATGGGTAACTACCTTGTGGTATATTCATAAAAGTGAATAATATTCAGCAGTGAAAAACAGATGAAGTAGAGCTACATGTATAAACATGGATAATTAGAAGTTAAGTGAAAAATGTAATTTGCCTAATAATCTTTCTCTATACAATGTACCATTTATTTAAGGGTATAAACATGAAACAACACTATATGTGATTTGTAGATACATACAAACATAATAAATGTATAAAAACGTGGGCAACAAGGAAGTCAACTACTTTAGAGTAGAGGTTCCCCTTGTAGATGGTTGGGTGAGATGAATCGTATTCAGGAAGGGTACATAGAGGACAACTGAATCAATAATATTCAAATTTATTAAAGCTGTATGGTAGGTGCAGAGGTGCTAATTTTTAAAATATTTTACTGTATGTTTAAAACTTTAAGTGTAAAGAAAAAACTAGGGCAGAAAAACGTTGTTTAAAATGCTCAGAATCCTGGATCACTTATTTTGTGAGTGTGAAAGCTGAGACTGGGAGAGTTCAGTGTTTTGCTTCTCATATACATTTTTGAATTTTGTTCAATTATCATACAGCCAAATTGGCTTTTTTGGGAATAAAGTTCTATGAATCTTAAGACATGTATAGATTATTATAATTACTACCACAGACAGGGTTTAGAACTGCTCCATCACTTCTAAAAACTTCTCATACTCTTCCTTTAGTGTGACACCCAGATTTCTAAACCCTGGCAACCACTGACCAGCTCTGCAATCACTGTAGTTTTGTCCTTTGGAGAATGTCATACAAATGGAACCTTACAGTGTGTAACCTTTAGAGAGTGGGTTTGTTTACTTAGCATAATGCCTTTGAGATTCATCTGAGTTGATACATGTATCAATTGTTTATTCCTTTTTATTTCTGAGTGGTTTTCCATGGTCTGTAGGTACCACAGTTTGTTTATCCATTCAGCCATTGAAGGGTACCTGGACTGCTTCCAGATTTTGTCTATTATGAATAGAGTTGCTGTAAACATTGGTGTAGAGGGTTCCATGTAAACATAAGTTTTCATCTTAGTAGGGAGCCAGGAGCAGAATTATTGAGTTGTAGGGTGAGTACTAGTGTTTTTAACTTATGAAAGTTTTTTCTTTTTCTTTTTTTATTAAAAAAAACCTTTATAAGATACCATCAAATAGTTTTCCAAATCAGTGCTTTTACATTTACATTCCTACCAACAGTGTATGAAAATTCCGGTTTCTGCACATTGCTATTGTCTTTTTTGTTGTTGTTGTTATTATAGCAATTCAGATGAGAAGTGGCATCTTATTATCGTTTTAGTTTGCATTTCTCTAATGGTAGGGAACATTTTTATCTGCTTATTTGCCGTGAAAACAACAACATATTCAATAACAACTTCTTTTGGTGAAGTGTCTGTTCACAGTTTTTTCAGCCCTTTTTTTTTCTTCTTTTTTTTTTTTTGAGAGGGAGTCTCACTCTGCCACCCAGGCGTGATCTTGGCTCACTGCAGGCTCCGCCTCCTGGGTTCACGCCATTCTGCTGTCTCAGCCTTTCACGTAGCTGGGACTACAAGGCACCCGCCACCACACCCGGCTAATTTTTTTTTTTTTTTTTTTTTGTATTTTTAGTAGAGACGGGGTTTCATCATGTTAGCCAGGATGGTCTCGATCTCCTGACCTTGTGATCTGCCCACCTTGGCCTCCCAAAGTGCTGGGATTACAGGCGTGAGCCACCGCTCCTGGCTGAGTTGTGTGTTTTCTTATTGTTGAATTTCAGGATTCTTTATATATTCTGGATAAAAGTTCTTTGTTGGATATGTGATTTGCAAATATTTTATCCCATGTTATATGTTATATAGCTTATCTTTTCATTGTCTTAAAGTGTCTTTCACAGATCAAAAGTTTTTCATTTTGATTAATGTCAGTTTATCATTTTTTTTTTCTTTTATGTATTGTGTTTTTGGTGTCATGTCTAAGAACTGTTTGCTTAACTGAAGATCACAGATTTTTTCATATATTTCCTTCTAAGACTTATAGTTTTATATTTTCTATTTAGATTTATGACTTAGCTTTTATATAAGTTGTGAGGTTTAGGTTAAGTTTGTTATTTTACATATGAATGTCCAATTGCTTCAACCGCATTTACACTATTTTCAAAAATCAAATGATTATATTTGTGTGGGTCAAATTCTGGACTATTATGTTTCATTGATTGATGTGTCTATTCTTGGGCAATACTGCATTGTTTCGGTTGCTTTAACTTTGTAGTAAGCCTTAAAATCAGGCAATGTGACTCCTTCATTATCTGCTTCTTTTACAGAATTATTTTAGCTATTCCTGTTTCTTTGACCTTCCATATACACTTTAGAGTCAGTCTATCTATAAAATATCCTGTTGGGATTTTGATCAGAATTGCTTTGACTCTATAGATCGTTTTGGTGAGAAATGACATCTTTCCTATGTTGAGCCTTTCAGTCCTTGGACAAGGTATGTCTTTCCATTTATTTAGGTCTTTTATTTTATCAGCATTTTGCCATTCTCAGCATATGGATCCTTTAAATATTTTGTTAGATTTATACTTAAGCATTTCAGTTTTTTGAAACATTTTAAGTGGTTCTTTCAAAAATGTTGCTTTTCAATTGTACACTGCTACTGTGTAGAAGTGATTGATTTTTGTGTGTTGACTTCGCATCCTGTGACCTTTAAAAACTAATGTATTTTTTAGGAGCTTTTTTGTAGATTCCTTGGGATTTTCCATACATATAATCACGTCCATTGCAAATAAGGACAGTTTTACTTCTTCCTTTTCGATCTCTATTATTTTTGTTGCCTGATTTCCTCGCTAAAGTTGCCAGTCTAATAGTAGTGGTGAGAGTGGACATCCTTGTCCTGTTTCTAATGTTGTCGGGGGGAGCATTTAGTCTTTCACCATTAAGTATTAGATTAGGCATAGTAATTTTAGGTGCCCTTTATCAGGCTGAGGAAGTTCCCTACATCAGGTTGAGGAAGTTCCCTACTATTCCTAGTTTGATGATAATTTTTATCATGAATAGATACTGAATTTTGACAAAATACCCTTTCTGTATCAGTTGATATGATCACGTACTTTTTAGTCTTTTTTAGTCTTTTCAGCACTGATTTGGTGAATTATATTAATTGAATTTCAAATATTGAACTAACCTTGTGTTACCAGGAGAAAACGCACTTGGTCATAGAGTATTATTCTTTCTTGTTTTTGAGATGGAGTCTCGCTCTGTTGCCCAGGCTGGAGTGCAGTGGCACAATCTCGGCTCACTGCAAGCTCTGCCTCCTGGGTTCACACCATTCCCCTGCCTCAGCCTCCGGAGTAGCTGGGACTACAGGCGCCCACCACCTCGCCTGGCTAATTTTTGTATTTTTTTTTTATTTTTATTTTTTTAGTAGAGACGGGGTTTCACCTTGTTAGCCAGGATGGTCTCGATCTCCTGACCTCGTGATCCGCCCACCTCAGCCTCCCAAAGTGTTGGGATTACAGGTGTGAGCCACCGTGCCTGGCCAAGTATTATTCTTTCTATACTGCTACTTTAGATTTGCTAATATTTTACTGAGGATTTTTGTGTCTGTTGTTCATGAGGAATATTGGTCTGTCTGTCCTTCCTTCCTTCCTTCCTTTTCTTCCTGCTTCCTTCTTCTTCCCTCATCTTCTTCTTTTTCCTCTATTTTCTTCTTCTCTTCCTCTCCTTCCTCCCCACTACCCAACTCCTCTAGTTTTGGTATCTGGGTAATGTAGTGATGGACCATTCTGTTTAATTGATTGATGTGTTCATTCTTTCCCCTCTTCAACTCAACATGAGAAATGTTTCCTTCTCTTTTATTTTCTGAACAAGATTGTATAAATATTTGGTAGAATTGGTCACTGAAACTGAGTCTGGAGATTTCTTATTCAGATGATTTTAACTATGAATTCAATTTATTTAATAGTATTATTCAGGTTGTCTTTTTCATCTTGGGTGAGTTTTGGAGTTTGTGGTTTTTGAAGAATATGTCCATTTCATCTAAGTGGTCAAATTTATGTGCATAGAGTTGGTTGGAGTATTCTTTTATAATTTTAATTGCTAGGGTTCTAATATCTTCTTTCATTGCTGATATTGTTAACTTTTTTCCTTCTCTCTTTTTATCCATGTCATTCTACCTAGAAGTTTATAAATTGTATTGACTTTTTTCAAAGACAAACTTTTGGTTTTATTGATTTTTTTTTTTTTTTTTGAGACAGTGTCTCACTCTGTCGCCCAAGCTGAAGTGCAGTGGCATGCTCATGGCTCACTGCAGCCTCGACCTCCTGGGCTCAAGTGATTCTCCCACCTCAGCCTTCCAAGTAGCTGGGACTACATGTTTGCACCACTACATCCAGCTAATTTTTTAAATTTTTTTTGTAGAGACAAGGTTTCACCATGTTGCCCGGGCTGGTCTTGAACTCCTGGGCTCAGGTGATCTCCCCGCCTTGGCCTCCCAAAGTGCTGGGATTACAGGCGCGAGGCACTGAGCCCTGCCTCTCTATTGTTTTTCTTTTCCATTTCATTGATCTCTGCTCTTTATTATTTCATTTTTTCTGCTTGCCTTGGGTTTATTTTGCTCTTATTTTTTTTATTCTTAAGGTGGAAGCTTAGATTGCTAATTTGAGACCATTCTTTTTGCCTAATATAAGAATTTCCAGCTGGGTGCAGTGGCTCATGCCTGTAATCCTAGCACTTTGGGAGGCCGAGGTGGGTGGATTGCTTGAGGCCAGGAGATCAAGACCAGCCTGGCCAACATGGTGAAACCCCGTCTCTACAAAAAATACAAAAAAAAAAAAAACCAACACACCAAAAACTGGGCATAGTGGCAGGCACCTATAATCTCCTACTTGGGAGGCTGAGGCAGGAGAATCACTTGAACCTGGGAGGCGGACGTTGTAGTGAGCCCACATCCGGCCACTGCACTCCCGTCCTCCAGCCTGGGTGACAGAGTGAGACTGTGTTAAAAAAATTTTTTTCCTGTTACTAGCATATTTTTGTTGTTGTTGTTCAGTTCAAAATATTTTATAATTTCCTTTGAGAATTCCTATCTATGAATTTGCCTTTCCAGCCATCCAGAGAATTTGTCATCTGTTCCATATCTTTTTGTTCTTGGTTGTTATCAAGTACTAAATTAAAATAGAATTCATCTCGTGAAGGATCATAATAGCTTCATTTGTTATGAATAATGTGATATTCATTTACATTGATCTGTTAAGGATAATACAGCCACTGTATATTGAGTGCTTATTATATTCTAGGCACTACATTGATCACTTTACATGGTCTTATTTTATTAAATTCTCTAACCCTTTCAGTAGGTACTCTTATTAGTTCAATTAACAATTGTGAGGCAATTGACACATATTTTAAGTGATTTGTCTGTAGTCACTTGGCCAGTAAATGGTAGGGATGGGATGGAATGTAGACTTGATTCCAAACCCCCTTAACCATTTTACTACATTTCCTCTAGTTATTTCACTTCTTGCCTTCTCATAAAAATTGTTAGCTTTTTGAGGGCAGATACTGTGTCCTACTTATACTTATCTTCTTTTCCCTACAATACCTGCAACAATGTTAGGCACACAGTAATGGATTGACTAATGTTTGTGGAACTAAATTCAACAAAATTAACTGATCTAGAAGAGAATCAAAACCATGGTGCTTGCCATATTGCCTCAGATTCTTACCAGCTAAGCAGACTCAGTGTAGCATCCTATACAAAACCAAAAAAGCTTATAGGAAATATTTGTGTCAGTAATAATGGCTATCTTGTGTTCTTTTGTGATGATCAGTCAGATGTGGCCACAAGAGTAGACAGAGGAGAGGGTAAGGAAAAAACAAAGTTTATTATATTCACTGGTCCCAGAGACAAGAGGCTCAGGATACTAGGCAAGGCCACTTGGGAAAGACATTAGGGTGGTCAGGAGGCAGGAGATAGGAGCAAGGAGGAAGTTTTAGTCCACTGCCTTTATTGGGGTTTCCACAGAAAAAGCAGGGCAGGGCAGGACAGGGTGAATAGTTAAGGATTGGCTAGTTTGAATAGTTTCAGCAGGCCTCTAAGCTGTAGGGCTGCACCCTAGTTGTCTGGTGTCTGGCCCTGGGGCAATTAAGGAAGAGGAATATAGCCTCCTGGGGTATAAGGGGCAGATAGAGGAGGTCTGGCTTTGGATTGGTTAGTTTGCATATCAAAGGCATGTTTCTGGGTGAGTACTTGCTGTCTCTAAGAATTGGCTGGAGGATGGGGGTCGGGGTGGGGGCAGGCTGTCTCTAGCCAGAAAGGTTTTTAAAGATACCAAAATATCACAATATACAGAAAATAAAATATATGCTGCATATCAAGCAATTCAACTTTTTCTTGTAATATCATGACTTTTCTTTGCTTCTTGGGAGCACTTCCAGCATGACTGGTGGCACTTCATCTGGATCCCCTGGTGTTATTCAGGGGTTACAGTATCACACTAAACAGGATGGAAAACATGAGGGAAGGGTCGACCCTTGAACAACATGGGTTTGAGCTATGCAGGTCCACTTAGAAGCAGATTTTTTCAATAAATATATTGGAAAAAGGTTTGGGGGTTTTTGACAATTTGAAAAAATTTGCAGGCAAGTCTTATAGCCTAGAAGTATTGAAAAAGATTAAGAAAAGGTTAAGTATGTCATGAATGAATAAATACATGTAGACACTAGTGTATTTTATAGTTTACTACTCTAAAATATACACAATCTATTACAAAAAGTTAAAATTTATCAAAGCTTATGTACACAAACACTTATAGACTGTACATTGTGCCATCGTAATTGAGAGATGTAAAGATATAAAGATGCACTATTAAAACATAACTGCATAAAATTAGCTGTAGTACATACTGTACTCCTGTAATAATTTTATAGCTGCCTCTTGCAGTGAGCTCAGGTGTTGTGAGTATCCCTTAGAATGCCCTGTGCCCCTGATCATCTCCGAATGGGCTGTTCTTTCTCCAGTAAATGGTTGATCCCAATAAAAAAGTGATCCTTGTGGTTCTCGCATTTTTCATGGTGTTTAGTGCAATACCATAAATGTTGAATAACACCAGAGGACCCATACAAAGTGCACTAGTCATGCTGAAGTGCTCCCAAGAATCAGAGAAAAGTTAAGACATTACAAGGAAAAGTTGAATTGCTTGATATGCACCATAGATTGAGGACTGCAGCTGCAGTTACCCACTATTTTAGACGACGATTCATCTTGTGAACAGATGATGCAAACTTATGGTATTGATAAATGTAGTACAGTACTCTAAATGTATTTTCTCTTCCTCATGACTTTCTTAATATTTTCTCTTCTCTGTAAGAATACAATATATAATACATATAACATACAAAATTTGTGTTAATTGATCTCAGTAAGGCTTCTGGTCAACAGTAAGCTATTGGTAGTTAACTTTAGAGGAGTTAAAAGTTATAGGCAGATTTTAGACTGCTCAGGGAGTCAGTGCCCCTAACCTCCACATTGTTCAAAGATCAGCTGTATATACAATACAAAGACCAATACTCTGAGCTGGTAAGGAGGTTTATAAGTATGACTAACCAAATATAAGTCTGCCCCAAGCTCTGCTTTTTGGTTCTGGCCTTCAGTCTGTCCATCTGCTTTCTCTGGACCTCCTTCTCATACTTTGAATTTTTTAAGTAGTTTGTCCCTCATATGATTTTTTTTCTATTCCTTTTTCCCTTCCTGTCCTTCCTTCACTCCTTTCCCTCCCACCTCCCTCCCTCCCTTCCTCTCTCCCTTCCTTCCTTCCTTCCATCCAACCATCCATCCATCCATCCATCCATCCATCCATCCATCCATCCATCTATCCATCTTGAGGCTTTAGGTGAGTTCTTCACCATTTATTTAACAAATGTTTTATATGAGTCTTACTATATGCCATGCACATTTTAATGCATTTTTTAAATATAATTCCCATAACAATCCTATGAATTGGGTACTATTATGGTTCCTATTGTACAGATGAGGGAACTCCCTCACAGGACTTTCTAGTGGCCCTATAGCCATTTGCCACACCCATTACAAATTTTTGTGGCAGGCTGGAGGGGGGTATAAAGTTAAAACAAAGGCCTCTGCTTCTGAGTTGGTCAGTCATTTACCTGTAGAGCTGTGCTTTGTCGGTAAAGGGCAATGTAGTTGTGTGATCAGGATAGTTGCCACAGAACACACAAGGGGTTTAGGCATGACCTTCCTTGCCCCATTGGCACGCAAGAACTTTTTCCTTCCTGGCCTGCAGTCTGATACATACACACATAGAAACACAGACACACACACACACACACACACACACACACACACACACACAGACACACACACAGAGAGAGAGAGAGAGAATGAGAGAGAGAGAGAGAGAGAGAGAGAGAGAGAGAGAGAGAGAGAACATATGTAACATTCATGCCATGGATTTAAAGCAGAGTACAATGGCAAAAATACAATCTTGAAACTTGGCGACATCTGAGCGTGACTTCAGCCTCTGCCACTTATTGTCTGTTTGATCTTGGGCAGATCACTTAATCACTTGGAGCTTTGGTTTTCTCCACTATGAAATGAGGAAGATGATGGTGGTTATAATAAAAACTCTGATGACTGAATGAGATGATATATTTGAATCCTTAGCCCAGTGATTTGCACATAGAAATGTTCAATACATGTTAGAAATGTTTGTGATTATTAATATGCAAGGCTTCTTTATGTATTAAAGATAATTCACCCTCTAGCATATATATAGCTTGTATAAACTGAATTTTGAGAACCCAGAGCAATGCTTGTCTTTATCTAGGGACTTAACTGTTTTGGATCTTGATGTTAGTTTTATCTTCATCTTTGGCCGTCCGTAGGTCCTGATCAGTTCCATCAACCTCAAGATTTAACTTTTGGTGTCCAAATGTCTAATTGGCCCTGTGCAAATGCTGACATTTCTTTTGAGGTCCATGGCAAAGCCTGGCACCAGAATCCAGCTTTTTTTTTTTTTTTTTTGAGATGCAGTCTTGCTTTGTCACTCAGGCCGGAGTGCAATGGCATGATCTTGGCTCACTGCAACCTCTGCCTCCCAGGTTCAAGTGATTCTCCTGCCTCAGCCTCCTGAGTAGCTGGGACTACAGACGCCTGCCACCATGCCCAGCTAATTTTTGTATTTTTAGTAGAGACGGGGTTTCGCCATGTTGGCCAGGCTGGTCTTGGACTCCTGACCTCAAGTGATCCTCCCGCCTCAGCCTCCCAAAGTGCTGGGATTACAGGTGTGAGTCACCACGCCCAGCCCAGAATCCAGCTTTCATCTGGACTGTTGATGTGATTTTTTTTTCCCTCTCCCAGAGTGAGTCTTTATGTTGTGGCTGTCACATAGGAGGGCCCAGGGGCAGGGTTAAGCCAGATTCTACTTCACTGAAGGCCTGGAATGGCTGTTAATAGCTCCTGCTATAGACAGTGAGGCTTGAGCCAGATTTTTTAGTACTCCATTTGTCAGACACGGGGTGCCACCTTGAATGACACTGCTGAAAAAGGATTGTGGTAACCTGGCCAGCCCCAGGGAGGTTGGAGTGACATTGCGTTGGTGTGCCTCTTCCCTTTTATGGACCAGGCCAAGCCCTATTAACCTGAAGGAGTGTGATGGCCTTGTTTAGCCAAACAGCCTTTTCCACTTTAGTCATCCTTTGAAATCTTATTAAGCCAGGGGCAGGGAAGGAAGAAGGAGGCAGACAGACTCTTGAAACTAAAAGGAGGGAAAGAGGAACATTCTAACCTTCCACCTGAGGTCATACTTTGGCAGGAGGAAGGGACCAGGGAATTTTATACAAGGCAGCAAGAGAGATATAAGAGTTTGGGGTCTGGAGTCAGATAAACCTGGTTTTGAATTCTGACTCTACTCTCTTATGTGTGGTGTTGACCAGATCACCTCACTTCTCTGAAACTCGTTTCCTTATCAACAAAATGGGAAAAGTAATTGTACCTATCTCAGAAGATTGGTATAAAAATTAAGCAAGAAAGTTCATGTAAAGCAGTTAATCAGATACTTGCCTGGAATATTATTATTTTTCTTCTGGTTCTTGATTAAGGATGCCTGGAATATATTAAGTGCATACCATCGCTATTCGCAAAGTTTTGGTGACAAAGAACAATAGGAAGAAACAGCCTAGGGGAAGTGAAAAGCAGTCTTGGGGTTTCTGTGCCATTCTCCGGGGTCTCCTTGTAACATCTTTCAGTCTGTCTCCCTTCCCTTCTTCCCTTTTTCCCTTCTTCCCTCCCCTCCCCTCCCCTCCCTTCCCCTCCCCAAGTCTTGCTCTGTCGCCCAGGCTGTAGTACAGTAGCATGATCTCGGTTCACTGCAACCTCCGCCTCCTGAGTTCAAGCGATTCTTGTGCCTCAGCCTCCCGAGTAGCCGAGGTTACAGGCGCCTGCCACCATGCCTGGCTAATTTTTGTATTTTTAGTAGAGACGGGGTTTTGCCATATTGTCTAGGGTGGTCTTGAACTCCCGACCTCAGGTGATCTGCCAGCCTCTGCCTCCCAAAGTGCTGGGATTATAGGCATGAGCCACCGCACCCAGCCACATCTCTTAGCGTTACAAACACATCTGTGAGTGCCAAGAGAAGAGGTAAAGTTCTAGAGAGTCTTCAACATGTGGACTGTTTTCCCAGCCAGGGCATAGGAGGTATGCTGTGTGTGTGTGTGTGTGTGTGTGTGTGTGTGTGTGTGTGTGTGTGTGTGTGTGTGTGATTGAGATTGACATCAACCCCCATCTAGTGTTGAGGTCTAAGAGGCGTGTTGCCTCGGTGGTGGTTGTCCATGACCCATCAAATCAACGTTTCTTCAAGAGGAACAGACTGTCATTCTTTTCATCTCTCTTAGTAGTAAAGAACCATTTGCCTTTAATAATGAAGGAAGCTACTTAAATCCATCCCCAGAGCCCTCACAAGCAGGGTTTGTTCCTGAGTTAATTGTGCTTGACTTATGAAGGGTTTCTAATGAGTATGTATTTTAACAAGTCTGGCATTGGGATTGGGAAACAGTATCATTAACCAGTGCTGGAGACCAGTGGTTTTCTTCTTCTTTTTTCTTTTTGTTTTGCTTTTAAGTCACAGAGCCCAATATGTAAATGAAAGCCTGGAAGGCTGCCCACTTTTGCTCCTGAGGGCATTTCTAAGAAAGTGGGGAAATATAGTTTGCAAAACACTGCAGTTGGCTTCCTGGGTTGTAGCAATCTTTTTCTGTTTAGGTCTCTGTTTGGGGAAAAGGATTATACATGACAGTGTAAATAAGCAGCCATGTTATAATAAATAGGTTTCTACTGTAATAACAGAACACTTACCTCCCGCAGTTCCCCTTTTCTAATGCCGCCCAAGCTGTAGCAGTTGAAGCCGTTGATTGGGACTGACTGAATGTTTAGGGAACACAGAGCTCATTATTTAATAAAGTGTTGTAACCAAAGTATGTTCAGGAAGTGTTCAGGGGATTCTGAGCCAGTGATGGTGCTCTTCAGAACATTTCAGTTAATACAAAATATGCCACTATTAATTCATTTTGTGCAAACTCCAGTGCCATTTTCCACAGAGAGCAACTTGTATACATAGTTCTCTTCCATATGCCGTGGCTTAACCTGATGTGTCTTTTTTCTCCCTTTGTATCAGGGTCTGAGTATGACCTGAACTTTATCTTTCTCCCCCTCTAGGCTACAGATGCACATGTTGAATGGAGCTCTTCTGGCATTGCTGTTTCCTGTGGTAAACACTCGGCTGGTAAGTAGCCTCTTCTAGGAATGTAACAGCAACATGCAAAGCAGTACTTGCCTATATGCCCATGTGATTTTAAAAATATACATATAGCTGGCCAGGCGCGGTGGCTCACACCTGTAATCCCAGCACTTTGGGAGGCCAAGGCGGGTGGATCACTTGAGGTCAGGAGTTTGAGACCAGTCTGGCCGACATGGTGAAGCCCTATCTCTACTAATAATACAAAAATTAGCCAAGCATGGTGGTATTTGCCTGCAATCCCAGCTACTCGGGAGGCTAAGGCAGAAGAATCGCTTGAACCTGGGTGGCAGAGGTTGCAGTGAGTCAACATTGTGCCACTGCACTCCAGCCTGGGCGACAGAGCGAGACTCGGTCTCAAAACAATAAAAAAATAAAATAACCAGGGCAGACCAAAGCCTATACAAACTCTTGGAGAGGTTTAATGGAAAGAAAGCAGCTTTCAGGTGTTCTAAGGGGCTCTCGTTAGATTCAACCACATTGGCCTTGAATAATTTGCTGTGGGAGCCTCATAACCTGTCCACTTCTCCAAGGACTTCCTAGGGCAAGAATTAGATTCCTTCCCCATCCACCCAAACCCATGGGCCAGTCTGGACCAAACAGCCCCTCATGGCTAGCAGGGAGAATCCCATGGTTGCAGCGGGCTGGGTGATAAACCAGCCCAGAAAGAAGCAGGAGCTACGAGCCATGTCCTCAGACTCCCAAATGTGAGACTGTGGAGGCATTAGCAGGTCACATTGAGAAGCTCAGAAAAAGAAATCACTTATAAAATTATTACTACTGCTTTCTGACTTAAATTTGCCTTAAACATTAAGATCATAGTTTAAATCTTTAATTGATAATCATTTTTGGATAGCATTTTACAGTGTACAAGGTTTTTCGCATAACAGTGTTTGAGGTAGACAGGGCAAGAATTATGGCCTCTTGTTTTACAGAGGAAGAAAATTTTACTCAGGGAGTAAAATTCCAAGTGGCAGTTAGGATTGGAGCCTAAGCCTCTTGATCCTAAGATCACAGCTATGCTTTGCTCCCTCTCCACAAATATTCCTGTCATCTCCTCCCCACAAATATTCATGTATACCTTTATGATAGTTACAATTTTCAAGATGCATGTCATATATCAGTAGAAATTATAGAGAAAACATTCATCTAAAGCAGCGATTTTGAACCCTAGTATGTTCCAGGCTCACCTAATTAGCTTGATTTAATCATTTCACAATGCAAACATACATCAAAACATCATACTGTACGTACCTTATAAGTACCCACAATTATTTGTCAGTTAAAAATAAAATTAAAAACAAACACTGATGCGCTGCCCCACCCTTGGAGAGGATGAGTTCATGATCTGTGATAAAGCCTGAGCATTGTGTTTTAAAAAGTTCCCCAGGTGATTCTAGCATGGAGTGGGAGTTGAGAACCACTGATTTCATGCAATGATTCTGAAACGTAATGTTCATAGCAATCAACTGAAGGGCTTGTTAAACATGAGGCTTGTCAGGCCCCATCCCCAGAGGGTCTGATTGAGAGAGTCTACAAGTAATGGCAGGGACTGAATGTTTGTAACAAGTCCCCAAGTGATGCCAATGCAGGGGTCCTTAGACCATTCTTGGAGAATCACTGTCCCAGGTGTTCGTAACTCACAGTTACTCCAAGTGTGTAACTCAAAGTGTGGTCCTAGGATCAGCATCACATGGGTGTTGCTTGTTAGACATGCAGAATTTCAGGGGCCACCTGCAGACCACCTGCATCAGAATGTGCATTTTAACAGGACTCCCAAGGTAGCTTATATGGACTAGACCTTTTCTGCCAAGGACCCCAAAGCATCTTACAGATAAAGCATTTGAGCTCTCGATGGAGGGGAACATCTGTGTTGGGGAGGGCAGGGGGCACAGCCTCTGTCTTAATAGTCAGGGTGCACTTGGTTCAACATTCCCCTGTGAGCTGGGATCAGTAGGCACAGGCCGCTGACACAGGCACTGTTGCCCTGCCTTCTACATCTCCCACAGTCTGTGACTTGCCTGACTTCACCTGGTGGACTGTAGAATCAGAACTCCTGACTTGGTCTCAGAGTTAGATGGGGTAATTCCAAAGAATGGTAAAAATAAACCAAATTGGGAAACTTAACAAAAAACGGTGAATTTCCCATACCACAGCATAAGTCCTTCCTGCCTCAGGGTTGTGGAACAGGGTTGGAGCAGAAGTTACTTCCTGCTTGTGGAGGTAACCTGCTAGGGCAGAAAAGTAGATCCAATGCTATCTTATCATCTCTCTGCTCCCCCTTGTACCTGTTTTCTCAGGAGACTGAGAAGTCAGGCAGATAGAGAGCTGCTTTCTCAAATTTCAGCAGCTCTATCAGATCCCAGAAAAGGAAGGTGCATCAGAAAATCTCCCCCTAGGCTAATAGAGTTAGTGATCCTGAATTGGGGTGTTTCCAGCCCACAACTCTGGCCAAACAGCACCTGCTGAGGTGGATAGATATAGTTCCTCTAGACAGGCCACCTTCAGCTCTCTTTCTAGTAGGACCTTTCCCCCAGTGAAAACCAAATATCCTTCTTCTTGCAAAGCCATTGAACATAAACAGAAATTTTGATTCTCATTGTAGAAGCATGAGAATGAAGGCCCCAAAATGCTCCATTACATACCTGAAATCAGTTAGAAAGCTGGTGGTGAAGTTTTCATTCAGTCAATATTGTTACACAAAAGGTACATATCTCCCTGGGTCTGCTGAAGTATCCTTAGTCCCTTTATCAATAACAGTAGCGGTTGCTGGGTGCAGTGGCTCACACCTGTGGTCCCAGCTACTCAGGAGGCTGAGGTGGGAGTATCACTTGAGGCCAGGAGTTTGAGACCAACCTGAGCAACACAGTGAGAACTCATTTCTAATAAAAAATTTAAAAATCAGCTGAGCCTGGTGGCTCACACCTGTAATCCCAGCACTTTGGGAGGTGGAGGCAAGCAGATCATGAGGTCAGGAGATTGAGGGCAGCATGATGAAACCCCGTGTGTACTAAAAATACAAAAATTAGCTGGGCGTGGTGGCATATGCCTGTAATCCCAGCTACTTGGGAGGCTGAGGCAGGAGAATCACTTGAACCCAGGAGGTGGAGATTGCAGTGAGCCGAGATCACGCCACTGCACTCCAGCATGGCAACAAAGTGAGACTCCGCCTCCAAATAAATAAACAAATAAATAGAAATTAACTGGGCATGGTGGTGCAAGCCTGTAGTCCAGGCTGCTTGAGACTTCCGCCCTCCCTTCTGAGGTGGGAGGATTGCTTTATCCTAGGAGTTCAAGGCTGTAGTGATTTATGATCATGCCATTGCACACCAGCCTAGGCAACAGAGTGAGACTCCATCTCTAAAAAAATAAAAAGTAACAGTAGCAGCACTATCAGCTGCTGATTCTTGAGTGCTTACTATGTGCCACTGTTCTAAGTGCTTTACATGGCTTAGATTTATTTAATCGTTGCAATAAACTTATGAGGCAAGGTACTGTTATTCCCAAGATCACAGTGCGCCAGCAAGGTTAGTTTCTTCTGAGGCCTCTCTTTGGTTTGCAGATGGCCACCCTCATGCTGCCTCTTCACTTGGTCCTTTCTCTACACACACATCCCTAGTGTCTCTTGTTTAGCCAAATTTCCTCTTATAAGGACACACATCTGATTGCATAGAGCCCACTGTAATGGCCTCCTTTGAACCTAATCACCTCTTTGAAGGCCCTTTCTGCAGATACTGTACAGTCACATTCTGAAGTACTGAGAGTTAGGGCTCCAACATATGAATTTTGGGGGGACACAATTCAGCTCATAGCACCCATACTACCCTACATAGAAACCATTGTTTCTTCCCCTCACCCTGCTTTCCTTCCTCCCTCCCTCCCCTCTGCCTTTCCTTCCTCCTTCCTTTTCCGCCATCTCATAGCAGATGTGCTGGTGTATCTGTTACATTAACAGCTAATACTTTCCAAATAAATGTGAGGCTGTAGTCAACTAACTTATCAAAAATGTTTAAGTAACCTCTCCTGACATTGAAACTTCTTTGTTGGGCTGTCTCTTAACTAGTGATTCCAGCCAATCTGGTCAATCTTTGTGCTCTTTTTCTAAAGTGATGCTTAGAAAAGCTGGGAATGTCTCCATTTGCCTATGTATTTGCAATTGGTTTAGGTCTGGTTCTTTTAGATGGTTGGGATCCCTCTTGGACTACTCTGGCTTTAGGGCTTTTTGCCTTGCAGCCCCTTAGTTGAGCTCAGATTGACTTAACATGAGACACATGAGGATTGGCAACTCTTTCTTAAACCTGATGATCCAATTAGGTTGTAAGCCAGCTTTTGACTTTTGCCCTTCCTTCTTGGCCCTTTATCTTTTTAATTATTTTATTTTTTTGCTCATTAGCAGTAATGAGGAAGCAAGAAAAATAAAATGAACTGATTAGTGTGTGTACTGGTACCATAGACATACATATACTCACATACACAAAGACAGAGTGACAGGGCATTGGAAGTAGTTGTGACAGTCAGCTAAAGGATTTGGGGCCCTCAGTGAATTTCCATGTGTTCTACTCTGCCCTGTGACTTACTGGCACCAGGATTTGCAAATCAGCTAGAGAATGCCTAGGCTTCAGTTTCTCTGGGTTCTCCATCTTTAAAGCTGAACCCTAAAAGAAGGACTGTGTATTCCAGTGGCCCATATTACAAGTAAGTGCTCTTTACACCTAGGATCCTGGAAAAAGGTCTTTTTCTAGATTCAGATGAATTATATTAAAGGGCAATTTCCAGTGATATGCCCTTTTGTTTCTTGGAGTGAAGGAGGGGAAGTACATGATGAACCTATTGATTATTAGATTAGCAGGGAGCTCAAAGCTTGTCTGATGTCATCTTATCTTCCAGAGGGTAAATTTAGGAGGATAAATGACGAGTTTCAGTAGTCAAGGTGGGTGTCCCCAGAACCCATATCTCTTGACTGAGACTTCAGAATTATTTTTCTATTCCATGAATGAAATTCAGGGAGAGTTTGTGTGCTGGTGATAGAGTCTCTTCCTTGATAAATGCACAAACACACAATTTTGCAGACAATTTCAGGAGGGACACAGACTACAACTTCCTCTCCTAGCCCCTCTCCCCTCTGTAAGCCCACCTATTCATCCCATGTTAATGTCTTCCTGCCTAGGCTACAAATAGTTCATAGTTTAGGGAATAGATGTGCTGTCTAGTGTGTGAGTTCCTTGTTATAGCCGCTGGCCATTTGTCCTGATGGTGATACTGGGTTCCTTATCTATACCCGTGACTTTGCAAAGAATATCATCCAATCCAGGATAAACCACTTTCAGGAAATTAAAGCCAAGGAGTGGAAGCTAAGTAGGGTGTCCATGGAACCTGGTTACAGATTAGATTTTCAGTTACAGTACTCACGTGCAAAGCTAGTGATCTGGCCCTGAAATGAGACACTGGGCCCATGCTGCAACTTCAGCGCTCTGCTTTTCACCCTCTAACCCCCATGAGAGTTTCTTCTGAATGCAGAATGTTGTTAGCAAGGGAGACTGGATACAGAAAAGAAAGTGAAGATACTATATCAGCCCTCTTCCCAGACCAAAAACTCTAGCCTGGCCTGCATTTGTGTTTGTACCCATCTGTCTTCTACTAGGAGAAGCATGATAATTATTCTTTTCATCAAGCTCCTTTCTTCTTCAAGGCCTAAAGCCTCAAGTACATTATTATCTTATTATCAAACTTGCCCATTATTATATATCCATGTTGATCTATTATGTTAGTTCCTTTTTACCCCCTTTACTACCACTCTCCTTTTGCCCAGTTCTTTCTGCTCTGTTGGATGGGATGGTTCTTTTGAGTATTCCTAACTTTCAGACTGAGTGGAAGAAGATAGTAATGATTCTGTCATTACTGGGGTGTCTAGCCTCCATTCACAAACACTATATTGATGTTCTTGGGATGCAGCTTTTCCACTGACACACCTTGTACCCATGTGTGCTGCTGGAAAAACCTTGTTGTCACCAATGCAGATAGGCTTGAAAATCTCACTCTTTGCTAATTGGCACATCGAAATGTGCTAGTTGACCTAGAAAAGTTATTTCTGTGACTGGCAAATTGGGCTATTTTAAAAAGTTATAGTTTGGATTTTGGACCTGAACTGAGGACAGAATGTCCCTTTATTATCCTGAGGGTTCTTAAAGCGTACAAAGCTTGGTTTCAAAAGAGGTATTAATTTTCTAAAGAATTGAGTGAGGCACAATAGTGCCTCAACCTTCTGCAAAGGCCAGTATGTTTCTGATCAGATGAATGCATTGTGTCTGAGGATGTGGGGGGTATTGAGATGAGTTTGGGATTCCTGGTCCAAACCAAATTCTAGGGACTATCCTAGAATATGTCAACTTAGTAGCTTTATTTTAAGACTAAGCTTTGAGGGTCTTAAATCCTTGATGAATCCAGCCTAGATCACACCAGTCAAACCACAGATTTTTATTGAGCACTTTCCTGTGTTAAGTATCATGCCATGTGCTGCAGAAGATACAAAAACAACCAGTGTACATTCCTGGTCCTCAAAGAACTTGCAGTTTAGTTAGAAAGATAAAGTATAAATGCCTGAAAAGTTATGGCAATATTAAAGTTGAAAACATGAAAAAGGAAAAATCATGGTTGGGCATGGTGGCTCATACCTGTAATCCCAACATTTTGGGAGGTCAAGGCAGGAGGATTGCTTGAGCCCAGGAGTTTGAGACCAGCCTGAGCAACATATAAGACCCTGTCTTTACAAAAAATAAAAAAATAGCTGGGCGTGGTGGCACATGTTTATAATCCAAGCTACTTGAGACTCAAGGCTGAGGTGGGAAGATGGCTTGAGCCCAGGAGGTCGAGGCGGTGGTGAGCTATGGCCAACACTACTGCACTTCAGTCTGGGTGACAGAGCAAGACCCTGTCACAAATAAAAAAGTAAAACTTACAAGGCATTCAGGCTTGACTGCTAAATTGCAGTTGCTCTATGTTTCAAGAAATGGGAAAAAGATTAATATTAGCATTCACTGAGCCCATACTATTTTCCAGGTAATTTACACATATATTATTCAATTCTCATAAGAAACCCATTTTACATATGAGGAAACTGAGGTTCAGATCAGATTAAACGACTTGCTCAGAGTTACATCATTTGTAAGTGCTAAAGCTAAACCTGTGCACTTTGTACCTTAATACACAGCCTCCTGGAGTAAGTGGTCTGGAAAGGCTTCATGAAGAAATAAAGCCTGAGCCAAGCCTTGAGGGATGGTTAGAATGTGCATGCAAATTGCATAGGAAGGAGGCTGTTCAAGCTAAGGGAACACATGGACATGGAGGCAGAAAATAGTCAACTAAGTATTGAGATTCTGAAGAGCAGGGTGGGAGTCAGGGATTCCAGTTGTACACAGAGACATTACCACTTATTTGCAAATCACAAGAAGACACTGTTTCTGTCATGTCTCTTAACCCTTACAGTATTTAGATTTTGTGTACATTTCCTATCTTTTCAACCTCCACAAATAAGAATTTCTTATGTGTGGATGGGACTTTGGAATCAGAATAGCTCTTTTACACATATCTCACCCTAGTGTAGTTGTTAAGGGGATTGGCTCAGGGATCAGATTCTCTAGGTTCATGTTCTGGCTGGGCCACTCCCTTGTGTGTGTGTGTGTGTGTGTGTGTGTGTGCGCGTGTGCGTGTGTGTGTGTGTGGTGTGTGTGTGTGTGTGTGTGTGTGAAGGGGGGCAGGGGTGGGAGACAGAGAAAACACAAGGAGAACAAACTTGTGCAAGTTACTTATCCTCTGTGGACCTCAGTTCTCTCATCTATAAAATGGGGGTGATAATAGTGCCTATTTCATAAAGCTATTGTGAGGATTAAGTTAGTTGATGTGTGTAAAGCAAATAGCATTGCACTGTTAGCCATTATTAGTCTTTGATCCTCACCAAAACCCTGTGAAGTGTGTATTAGCATGTCCATTTTACAGACAGAGCCTTAGAAAGTTTAAGTAACTTGTACAGGGGGGCACACAGGAAGTGACAGAACTAGCATGAAAACTTTGGTCTTTCTGATACCAAAGGTCATCATACCAAAGGAAGGTTTGGTCTTCTTCTCTCCTAGTTATTTAGATTGATTTTTAAGTATTCAGCCATATGACCGCCTTTTGGCAAATTTTATACAGTATCGATTAGCAATTTGGGGGCTTAATTTTACTTTTAGGATTTTTTTGTTACAGAAATAGTAGATGCTCATGACTACAGTAGCAATAATATATTGTATATTTCAAAGTAGCTAGAAGAGAGGACTTGAAATGTTTCTAACACATAGAAATGATAAATACTCAAGGGCATGGATACCCCAAATACCCTGACTTGATCATTGCACATTCTATGCATGCAAAAAATACTCATGTGCACTCCATAAATCTGTAAAATATTATGTATCAATAAAAGGAAAAAGATTTTTTTAAAAATGAGATATGTGAAATATAGTGAATTATTTCAGATAAGTTCTAGGAAGAAAAATAATACATGGTCATTGAAAAGTAACTCAGAGGACTATAAAGAAAAAGCTAATCATTTTACCAGCTTTTAGTCCTGTTGCCTCAAGGGTAAATTGTGTTAAAAGTATCTTTTTACACTTATCCTTTGCTTGTACATGGAGATTAAAGATTTTCATATTTCTAGGATTGTTGGTTTATTTGGGTTCCAGCTTCTTACACACTTGGAATTCTACAAATACCACTCCAGTATATTTCTTTCTCTTTTTTTTGAAGTCTCAGTCTGCCACCCAGGCTGGAGTGCAGTGGTGTGATTTTGGCTCACTGCAACCTTTGCCTCTCAGGTTCAAGTGATTCTCCTGCCTCAGCCTCCCAAGTAGCTGGGGTCACAGGCATGCGCCACCACGCCCGGCTAATTTTTGTATTTTTAGCAGAGGCGGGGTCTCACCATGTTGGCCAAGCTGGTCTTGAATTCCTGACCTCAAATGATCCACCTGCCTTGGCCTCCCAAAGTGCTGTGATTACAGGCGTAAGCCACCATGCCTGGCCCAGTATATTTCTTTGTTTAACTTAAACACTAGATAATCAGTAATCTCTTCAGGCATGGACATAACTCTTTTCATCCATAGTTTGGTTGGACTATATATTCATATATTCCTTCTATTCTCTGTGGGTAAGGACAGTGTCTTTTTTCTTTCAAGTGAGCAGTTTAATAGGATAAAAATATTGCGGACCACTGACCTACTTCAAACCCCTCATGTTACACAAAAAATAGACACAGAGAGATTTGTTCCAGGGTCCACTGTTAGATAATGGTAAGCTGAAGTACAGACTTAGAATTCCCGTTTGTTTACTTCAAATCCAGGACTCTTTTCTGCTTTGCCATTCTCATTATTCCCGAGTTCTGAAGACCATAGTTTCCACAGAGTGCATGTGCAAGTGGATTATCGCTGGACACCAAATTCCAAATGTTCAAGTACACATCATTTCAGTACACACACATGTGGCTAGTGTCCTTTCCAACCTTTGCCAAAGTACCACCTCACTTTATGAGGCAAAATGTGTAATGGAGTCAAAGTCCGAAGAACCAAGCAGTAGATTGTAGAGCATGGATAGAGATCAATAATAAATACTTCAAAGTTCAAAAATGGCGACATTTGATTCATTGTGAATTGACTTGTAGAAAGCCCCATTGGAGCTGAGGACAAGTGTCTTTTGTTTTGTGGCTGCCCCTACATAGCCTTGTACTTAGCACCTGGTAGATATCTATAGATAGAATAAATGAATTCATCAGCCAACCTGAACCTCTATGTTGCTTAGGGAAATTCTGGGGATCCCTCTCACATATGTCCTGGGATCTTGGGTGCAAAGACAGAGGGGTGATAGATAATATTTTTTTCCAGGAGAATTTTTTTTTCAACCACCTAAAATAATGCCATTTTCTTGATTACAACAAAAGACATATTTACTGTTGAAAATTTGTGAAATATAGAAAAGTATAAATTTTAAAAAAATCATCACCAATGCAAAGGTGATTATTTTTCTGGACACTGAAAAAAAAGGTGGCGGCTTTGTGCCTTTTGTCTTTATACATTTATGTATCATTTCTTTACAGAAGTGATATATGTTCAAAACAGAAAAAAATGGAGGCCAGGTGCAGTGGCTCCCACCTGTAATCCCAGCACTTTGGGAGGGCAAGGCAGGAGGATCACTTAAGCACAGGAGTTTGACACAAGCCTGGGCAACATAGCGAGACCCCATTTCTTAAAGAAAGTAAGGAAGGGAGGGGAGGGGAGGGAAAAATAGAATAAAACAAATCATTGAGCAGTAACAACTATTAACATTGTTTGTTACATATTCTGGAAGTCTTTTTGTCTCTTTATAGATGTTAAGAGTTTATAGTGTAGTGGTCAAAAGTACCAATCCTTGAACCAGCTGGTCCATGGTTTTATGGCTGGCTCTTCTACCTGCAGCTGTGTGACCTTGGGTAAGATACCTAACCTTGCTGACCTAATTTTCTTATCTGTAAAATGGTGCTTGGTTGAACGGAGATGATGTGTGGTAAGCACTTAGCCCAGGGCCTGGCGCATAGGAGATAACCAATAAATGTCAGATGCTGTTGTTTTTACTACTATTACTACTATTATCCTAAACACTGAGGAGGTGCATGCCCTTGTTGATGTTAGTCTTTAGAGCTTTGACCCCAACTCCCTGAGCTTTTCAGTGGCGGTAATGTGAAGGGGGCTTTGTTTCTGCATTAGCCTTGCTGAGTGAGATTAAAATTCCCAGGCAGGCTTTCCTATCCACATTGACCAACACTGCCTTTGTTTTTCACATTTGTTTCAGTGACAGCCTGTTTGATTAGGGAACTGGCCAATCTGCTTTTCTCCCTCCTGACAGGTGAATTGGGCCCACTCCTTTTTGGGTTTTCAAATAAAATGTCCAGACCTTTTAGGTTTGTCAGTAGGCCCAAGCCCTTCAGCCCATTTAGGGAGTGGCAGCAGTGAGTGCCAGGCAGCAGCCTGTTTGCCTCCAGAGCTTACTAGTTTGCCTTGGCCCTTGTTTGCCTTGGCCCTGTCTTCCTAAAATCACATTAGAAGGAACAGCGTCTGGCAGTCTTACCCAATGTCTTCTGTCTCCACCTTGAGCCACTACTTCAAGCAGTGTTTCTTTATGCAATAGAAGCCTTATCTAGTGAGTGCTTCCACTCCTTAGTCTGTGGATCAGTGGTTCTCAACGCTGGCTGCACAATTAGTATCCCCAGAGCCACTTTCAATACACACTCATTTAAAAATTTTACATCATTTTATTTTTGGCACCTAATAATTGCACATATTTTGGAGGTACATTGTGATATTTAGATACAGACAGTGTGCGAAGATCAAATCAATCTTGTTAGCATATCTGTCACCTCAAGCATTTATCATTTCTTTGTGTTGGGAACATTCAAATCCTCTCTTCTAGCTATTGGAAAATATACAATACATTATTGTTAACTATAGCCACCCTACATGGCTATAGGACATTATAACTTATTCCTTCGATCTAGCTATAATTTTGTATCTGTTAACCAACCTCCCTATCTCCACCCTCCCCAGCCTCTAGTAACCACCATTCTACTTTCCCTTTCTATGACATTAACTTTGTTAGCTCCCACATATAAGTGAGAACATGTGGTAGTTATCTTTCTGCACATACTCATTTTTTAAAAGCACTCCAGGCAATTCCAATGTGTGCAACCAGGGCAGCTCTGCTGTACACCTTGTTCTAGTTCTGCCCTGCCACTGGCTGGGGCTTGGGGCTTTGAAGGATTTAATTTCACCATATTAAGTATCAGTTTCCACATTTTTCAAATGGGATTTGTAAAATTTACCCTCTCTACCTTTCAGACAAGTTATAAAGAAAAGATACCAAAAGATAACAATGAAAAGATAACAAAGAGCTTTGGAAAGTTAAAAGCACTACACAAATGAGCACTTGCCTTGTTCTCTCTTTGACTTCAGTCACAATTTTTTGTAAAGGGGGTTTAATTGACATATAATTTACAAATGAAAAGTTTATCCTTTTCAAATATACAATTCAGTGGTTTTTAATATATTCACAGAGTTGTTCAATTAGCACCACAGTCTAATTTTAGAACACTTTCATCACCCCGAAAAGAAATTGCATAAACATTAGCATCATCCCCATTCCTTCTTTCCTTGTTCTGGACCCAGGAAACCACTAATCTACTTTCTGTCTGTATGGATTTGCCTATTCTGGACATTTCATGTAAATGTAACCATATAATATGGCATTTTGTGACTGACTTCTTTCACTCAGCAGAATGTTTTCAGGGTTCATCCATGTTGTTGCATGTATCAGTACTTCATTCCTTTTTACGGCTGAATAATATTCCTTTGTATTATATATCACATTTTGTTTAGCCATTTGTCGGTTAGTGTACATTTGGGTTGGTTCTACCTTTTGGCTATTGTTAATATGCTGCTATGAACATTTGTATAAAGCTATCTGTTTGTCTGCTTTGGAGTATGTACCTAGAAGTAGAATTGCTGGGTCAAATGATAACTCAGTGTTTAAACTTTAGAGTAACTGCCAGACTATTTTCCAAAGTGGCTATACCATTTTATATGTCCACCAGCAATGTATGAGCATTCCAAGTTCTCAACATCCTCACTACCACTTGTTATTGTGTCTTTTTTATTATAGCCATTCTAGAGGGTGTGATGTCGTAGAGGTTGAGTATCCGTTATCCAAAATGCTTAGAACTCGAAGTGTTTCAGATTTTGGAATGCTGCACTTTGTACTTACCAGTTGAGCATCCCTAGTCTGAAAATCTGAAGTGCTTGAATGAGCATTCTTTTGAGCATCTCTTTAATACTCAAATTTGACCCAGCCATCCCGTTACTGGGTATATACCCAAAGGACTCTAAATCATGCTGCTATAAAGACACATGCACATGTATGTTTATTGCGGCACTATTCACAATAGCAAAGACTTGGAACCAACCCAAATGTCCAACAATGATAGACTGGATTAAGAAAATGTGGCACATATACACCATGGAATACTATGCAGCCATAAAAAATGATGAGTTCATGTCCTTTGTAGGGACATGGATGAAGCTGGAAATCATCATTCTCAGTAAACTATCGCAAGAACAAAAAACCAAACACCGCATATTCTCACTCATAGGTGGGAATTGAACAATGAGAACACATGGACACAGGAAGGGGAACATCACACTCTGGGGACTGTTGTGGGGTTGGGGGAGGGGGGAGGGATAGCTTTAGGAGATATACCTAATGCTAAATGACGAGTTAATGGGTGCAGCACACCAGCATGGCACATGTATACATATGTAACCTGCACATTGTGCACATGTACCCTAAAACTTAAAGTATAATAATAATAAAATAAAATAAAATAAAAAAATAAAATATCTGATAAAAAAAGTTTCATATTCAGGAACATTTCAGATTTCGGATTTTTGAATGCTATTTCTCTGATAACTAATGATGTTGAACACTTTTTCATGTACTTACTAGCTATTTGTATGTCTTTTTGGAGAAATATCTTTTCAGATCCTTTCCCAAATTTTAATTGGGTTGTTTTCATTGTTCAGTTATAATTGTTCTTTCTGGATATTAAACCCTTATCTGATATATAATTTGAAGCATTTTCTCCCATTCTGTGGGTTGTCATTGCATTTGCTTGATTGTATCCTTTGAGGCACAAAATATTTTAATTTTGATAAAGTCTAATTTCTCTATTTTTGATTTGGCTGCTTGTGCTTTTGGTATCACATCTAAGAAACTGTTGTCTAGTCCAAGATCATGAAGATATATGACTGTTTTCTTCTAAGAGTTTCATAGTGTTGGCTCTTACATTTAGGTCTATGATCCATTTTGAGTTAATCTTTATGTGTAGTGTGAGGAAGGGGTCCAAATTCATTTTTTTCATGTGGATATCCAGTTGTCCCAGCACCATTTGTTGAAAAGACTCTTCTATCCATCCCCATTGAAATATCTTGGTATCCTTTCTAAAAATCAATGAAAAATAAATGTGAAGGTTTATTTTTAGACCCTCAGTTCTATCTCATTTCTCTATATGTCTATCCATATGCCAGCACCACACTGTCTTGATTGCTGTAGCTTTGTAGAAAGCTTTGAAACTGAGTGTGCATTGTAACAAGATCTTCTGGGGATTAGTGTGTGTGTGTGTGAATGTTGAAAAGGGCTGGAAAGCAAAGTTGAAAGAAAGCAAAATGAGCAATATAGTGTTCAGATGATAAGGCCCAGGGGGATTGACTAGCCTGAGGCCACATAGCCAGTGATTGGCAGATCTTGGTTCAGCACTCAGGTCTTCTGACTTCCACATCAGTGCTCTTTCCACCTCCCCTGTTGCATAAGTACTGAATGAGATGCCTTTGGTTAATGGACACTCTGAGCAAGAGACTTCAGGGTTATTTAAGCAACTGAACTTTGCTCAATCGCCTCATCTGTACAACAGAAATATTACCTCTATCACTGGCTGGGCCTGGTGGCTCACGCCTATAACTGCAACACTTTGGGAGGCTCAGGAGGAAGGATCACTTGAGCCGAAGTGTTGAGACCAGCCTGGGCAACAAAGTGAGACCCTGTCTGTACAAAAAATAAAATAATTAGCCAGCCATGGTGGCATGTGCCTGTAGTCCCAGCTAGTCAGAAGGCCGATGTGGGAGGGTCACTTGAGCCCAGGAATTTGAGACCAGACTGGCCAACATAGTGAGACCGGTCTCTACCAAAATTTTTTTTAAAAAATTAGCCAGGCGTGGCGGTATGTGTCTGTAGTCTCACCTACTTGGGAGGCTGAGGCAGGAGGATCACTTGAGCCTAACAGTTCAAGGTTACCATGAGCCATGATCATGCCATACACTCCAGCGTGGGTGACAGAGTGAGAACCTGTAATAACAAATGGAAGGAAGGAAGGAAGGAAGGAAGGAAGGAAGGAAGGAAGGAAGGAAGGAAGGAAGGCAGGAAGGCAGGCAGGCAGGCAGGCAGGCAGGAAGGCAGGAAGGCAGGCTGGCTGGACGGAAAGAGGGAAGCAGGGAGGGAGGGAGAAAGGTACATCATAGTTATTATGAGGATTCAATGAAATAATCCTTTGTTGGGTGCCAACTGGCAAGATGAATTCAGTTTTCCATTGCATAAAAAGAATCGGGGGGTAGGCAGAGCTCCTCCTGAGGCCCATCTCTTACCTCAACAGGTGGCCTGCCAACCTCCCCTTAGGTCCCACACGCCTAGGACCTTGAGTGGAGTGAACTGAGACTTTAGGGCAAACTGAGGGTTTCTTTAGAAAGTCCAAGGAAAGAGTGATCACTTCTGGGTCCCGGTACTGCATGGGTGCCAGTTGAGGAAGCTTTGGTGGTAGGATCCGGCCAGAGGAGCTAACGCAGGAAAGGAGTTTGGGGTGGAAAAACTTCGTAAGCTAGGAGGTCCTATGATGTAGTGGATAAGAACAGGAGTGTATGTATATAATTTTATATTGTAGAAAATTGAAAGCATACACAAAAGTAGAAAAAATGTTCCCTAATGCATCTGTCACCCAGTTTCAATGATTGTCACCACATAGCCCATCTTTTTCTTTTTAACAATACACCTCACTCCACCACAAATCCATTCCACCCCCAACACAAACACCTATCCCTGGATTATTTGGAAGAAAATCTCATGTAATTTTAACTGTAAGTATTTCATTATGCATGTCTGAAATGTAAGGACACAGTAAAAAATAAACATTACAATACCATTATCATACCTATAATAACTAGCAATAATTCCTTAAAATCATCAAAGATACCTAGTCAGCAGAGCCCAGGCTTTTAATCTAGCCAAATCACTGTTCCAGTCTTCCTTCTACAGCATCAATAGCCTGTCTCAGAGCCTGTTTTACATTGTAAAATGAGGACGGTCATAACAATTCCTGAATCTTTAATAAGGTAATGCATGTAAAGTGCTTACCACAATGCCTGATACAAAGTAGTAAATGCTCAATAAAGGTTAGCTAAGATTATTTATTAATAATAATAGGAAATATTTGAGTTGCTATTAAGGTGCTTTTGAGAATGGCTTTGACTTAGAATCAAGAGGCAGATTTGGAGCCCAGCGAAATGATTGTTGCGGGGAGGAATAACGACAAAAACAAAACAAAAAAACTTTCAAAGTGGCTGAAAAGAGAGCACCGGTATGAACTGGGAAGTGGAGCTGCAGATGATGGCGTCCTGGTAATTTTCCTCCACTGTATGTAGTTTTTTCCCCCTGCAGTTCCCCTGGAGGAGAGAGGAGAACTGGCTCGGGTGGGGGTTGCAAATACTAGAAAGTATTCTGGGCAAGAAGGGGCACTGCAATCAAAGGGCTGGGGGCCCCCAGAGTCCTGGCTCAGGAGATGAAGTCTCAGGTTCCCTGGGCTCATGGGCCTAAAGCCCCACCTTGTGGGGAATGGTCTGAGTGACTCTGTTTCTGTGCACGGAGTTTGGAGGCATGAGGCAGGCTCACTACATCGTGTTAGAAACATTCCCATTGTTCAGGAATGGTCTTGCTCTCTGCTGCCAGTTCCAGGCATCAGCTGAAAGCTTTTTAATAAAAATGGAACTCAAAGGAGACGTGATAAGGTACCTGATTTTAACCTGAAGTGAGAGAACACCAGATGTTTCATTCTGTCTGAGGGTTTGAGAGGCAAAGCAATTAGCAGCTGCTACTGATTTAGCAACAGACACCTGCTAAATGAAAATCTGTAAAACCGGCCAGGCTTGGCAGCAGAAGCGCATACACTGCTTCTCAGGCATTTCTGGGAATTGTAAATTATGTTGGCTCAAATGGCAGGGCGGGGGGCTTCCAGTGAAGCTGAACATGCTCATCTAGACCAGGAGTGTGTTTTTCTAAGATGGCAATAACTTAGAAATGGCTATTTGGTTGGTGGATGGAGAGGACGAGATGAGAACGAATCTTCCAGAAGCTGCCTGGTTCGTCTCTGCTGCTGGCCCAGCTCACAGGTGCCCTCTGGGAGTCATCCTATAGCTGCCCTCTGGGGACAGATAGGGCTGACAGAAGGACGAGGGAATCCTGCCACCCCTCTCCTCCTGATCCAGAGCACATCTCTCCCTGCCACCAAAGGCAGTAAGTCTCAAAGCAGGAGGAACACCCACCTCTGGACTCACAGCATCTCCTGCTCTGGGACAGTTACAGACTGTTGGCTTTAGCAGTGATTTGGAGAGTTTGTGCTTGCTTTGGCTGGGAAAGAGACTTATCCATAGCCTACTGCCTTTCAGGATTCTTTTCTAAGGGGATATCAATGCCTGCTCTCCACGTCTATTTTCTCGAGGCCCACAGTGGAGCACAAACAATGGAAACATAGGAATCCATGCAGAGGGCTTTAGCGATCTCCTGGGACACTGCTTCTGTCCTGTCTTTTAGCCCTTATAGTTTATAGTTTAGATTTTACATGTGTTTCCTATCTTTTCAACCTTTTCTAATAAGAATTCCTTACATGTGGATGGGACTTGGCAACCAGCAAATCTCACCTTAGTGTAGTTGTTGAGGATGGGTTCAGGGATTTTCTAGAAAATAAATCTATTTTCTAGGTTTATTTCCTGGCTGGGCCACTCCTGTGTGTGTGTGTGTGTGTGTGTGTGTGTGTGTGTGTGTGTGTGTGTGTGTGTGGTGTTGGTGGGAAGAACATAAGGTTCTTCATGGAGTGGGTGTTCAATATATGACTGATTGAAGAGAAGGTCAATTTGTAGGTCAACTAGGTGGTGCTGAAAGAATTGAGCAACTCCCATTTGTGCCTTATGCCACATGCACTGTACATAACTGTGTCTTGGTCTCCAAACTAGGCCAGAGGTCAACTGTAACTTGGGCCAAAGGTGCCTTCTGTTTCCAGTTTTGAGCAAGGGAATGGCAGCTCTCCATATGGAGCAGGGACCAGGGGGTGCTGTTGGCAGATGCATGGTGAGAGCTGTCCTGAGGAAGTACCATCCAGAGTCTCGTCCTAGCAAGGTGTTTTAGTGTGGTTAAAGGGTCACTCCTGGCCGGGTGTGGTGGCTCATGCCTGTAATCCCAGCACTTTGAGAGGCTGAGGCGGGCAGATCACCTGAGGTTGGCAGTTCGAGACCAGCCTGACCAACATGGAGAAACCCCGTCTGTACTAAAAATACAAAAATTAGCCGAGTATGGTGGCTCATGCCTGTAATCCCAGCTACTCGGGAGGCTGAGGCAGGAGAATCTCTTGAACCTGGGAGGCGGAGGTTGTGGTGAGCCAAGATCGCACCATTGCACTCCAGCCTGGGCAACAAGAGCAAAACTCCGTCTCAAACAAAACAAAACAAAACAAAACAAAACAACCACAACTCAACTCCTGCTTCCAAAGATGGAAGTGAGAGAAGATTCTTTTTCCTTTAACTGAGTGGGCCCTTAGTTGAGATATACAGACATGTTTTAATTTCACTAACTCGGCCCCACAGTGTAGGAGGGGGAAAGGAACAGCAAGTAGTCCAGGTAGAGGAAGAGCTAGGGTCCCCACACTCTAGCCAGAATTGGGGGAGCTCCACCTTCTCTGATCAGGGGAGAGACAGGATTCCCATCACCTCCTTCCAATAACTAAAATAACCACAGCACAAATATGTGTCCTGTATCAGCAAGCTGCCATTGAAAGAGGGCCATGGACCCTGCGTATGATAGAGCATGCTAGGTGCACTCATGGTCCTTATAAAAGCAGCCAGGTATGCATGGGCTGGGCCCTGCATGCACAAGTTACCCATTGGTCCACTAAACGTATGTTCCTAAAACCCATTATGGTCTTAAGAATTCAGACTGGCATGGATGCAAAAATTCAGATAACCCCTAAGTAATAAAAGTACTTATTTTTCTTTAGAACCTAAGACCTATAAGTCTCAACTAATTTGAAGAATACTCTGGTGACCAAAGGGAGAATGCCTCTTCAAAAGATTGCTTTTATTTGGAGGTTGCAGGCCTTGCATAGGGTCGTTCCCCCAGCCCCCGGGGACTCTGTTAATGAAGGGGTTTGGGTAGGGCTTGAGCCTCTGCTCCTTCAACATTTCAGCATACACACAAAAGAGCCTACTTCTCAGCACAGATGTGACTACTATGTGTCCACTTGGATGTCACATTTCAGGGAAGGTTCATTCATAATACAGGTAAAATGTTACTATATTTTATCCTCTGTTGTTGCTTTGAAAAGTCAGTGGTCAGCCTTTTTACTCCTTTGAAAGTAATCTTTTCAGGTCACTTTTGAGGTTTTTTTGTTTCTTTTTGTTTGGTGTTCTGCAATTTTGCTATATGTTTCAGTATTGATTTGTTCTTTCTTATTCTGTTTGGGAGCCTTTGGGCTTCTGGTGTGTGGGTATATATCATTCATCAGGTTTCAGAACATTCTCAGCTGTTATAACTTCAAACTCTGCCTCTGTTCCATTCTATTCTTCTGGGACCACATTTTAGAGATATGTTAGTCCATCTTACTGTGTCTTCTTATCTCTTAATCTTTCTTTGATATTTTCTAATTTGTCTTACTGTATTGCACTTTGGCTAATTTCTTCAGCTGTATATTCCAGTTTATTATTTATCTCTTTAGTTAGTTCTATCCATTGAGTTTTTATTTCAGTTATTATATTTTTAATTTTTTTCAAACATACAAAACAGTCTGTAGGTAATAATTTTATTATCTGCAGTCTTTAAATTTCTGTTTTCAGGATTCCTGGCTTGTTTCCTTGTGTATTTAAGTTTTCTTTATTTTAAATATTATTATTTTTGTTGCTTTACTGTAAGTTGCTTATTTTCCTTGGGATTTTATTTATGGGTAGTTTTTGACTCCTGGTTTCCTGTAGAAAGGATCTGTCTTCATTCTTGCTAGGCACCTGAGAGCTGCCAGTCTGGAATCATGCTAAATGAATTCTGACCTCAGGTTTTTTGATTACCCAAGTAGTATACATTCACTTTTCAAATACACATGATGGCTGGCTTGCCGTTCCAAGTTTTTATTGGAGATAACCTAGTTCCTTTCCCTGCTACTCCAACTCAGTGTAAAGATTGAGAGTAGATTTTCCTTATCGTCCTAGGGGGCAGGAGTAATTTGTATTTCTAGTACACGTTTACACTGAAGTGTAGCTTTTTGGGGTCCCAGCTTTATGAGAGTTATCTCCTATCAGACTCTTTTTGGGATATCTTGACCTTTGTCCCCCATCCCTTATGCCCTGTGAAGCTATGAGAAATCAAAGCTCAAGTTCAGCTGGCTTAGCAAATCTACTTTGGGTGAAAATTGGATGCCGTATCCCACTTATGTCTCTGGGTTCCCACTTTCACTTTTTTTCTGGCTAGAAAATTCCTTGTGTATTTGACAGTTCATAGATTGAAAAATAAAACAATTTTAAAAATATTTTATCCAGGACTTTTGGATGTTTTCAGTGGTAGATTTGTTTAAGAACTAGCTTTTTATATGCTCAGAAATGAACATCTGGATCTTGTTTTCCAACACTTTTATGGCTGTGTCCTTACTTTCAGGAGCAACCAGGAGGACATTCTAATTCTATTCCTTGGTTGTCAGTGCTCTCCTGAAATATCTCTAAATAAGTTGATAAATACCTACTGTGTGTCTAGTATTGTGCTAAGTTCTATGAAATATCGGGAAGACCATGTAGCTTCTCATGTAGCTAACAGAACATTGGCAGTAGTGGCCTTCAGCCCTTGGAACACTGATTTAAACCATATTTTCATTTCCAAACCCTTTTAAGCCCTAGAAATTAGCATTTAGAATGATGTGGTTGTAAGACTGTAAGGTACATAAAGGCAGAGGCCATTTGTATCTTGTTTATAATAGTTGGCACATAGTAGATGCTCAATAAATACTGAATGAATGAGTATCTGGGAGGTCATGGAGGCAGATTCCAATGCTGATCAGTTCCCATGGCAATTTAATTAGAAAATTCCAGATCCATGCTCACAGGTGTGGAGGAGAAAGAATAGCTCAATAGCAGGAGGTCAAACCATCATGTGTTTGGGTCATTGGTATATCAAGTTTCTAAGTCAAGGGTCCACTCTCTACCATAAAGGGCCTCAGGGCACATGTAGGTAGTATAAGTCGGTGATTAAGAACATGGACTCTGAAGTCAGACTGCCCATTTTCATCCTGGCTCTGTAAGTTACGTTGGGTCAGTTACTTAACCTCTTTGTGTCTCAGTTTTCTTAGGTTCTACCTATAGAGTTGTAGGAATTAGCTACTACATACTAAGTATTAAGACAATGCCTGGCAGAGAAGTGCCATGTACTAACAATTACTTATTATTTCTATTATTATTATCTCCGTTGTTGTTTTGAACACCAGTCACATCATAAAAAATACATTCTCCTGGGAGTTATTTGTCATTTCTATATGAAAATATTCTGAGTTTTCATACTTACCCCTTAGGATTTTGGAGCCTGCCCTACTGGAGTATTTCTCCAGGTAGGGGTTGAATACCTCTGTATCTTTTTTTTTTTTTTTAGGGAAATATATTAAAATACAGGATGCTGGGCCCCATCCCAGTTGGTCCAAAGAAATTTCTTTCTCTGAAACTCTGTGATGAAAATAAAGATTCTACACATTCTCTGTGTGTTGGGTTAGCCAGGAACTGCTGCAGGTTTAAGTTTACCATCCTTCAGTGCTGATGGAAAATCTGGGAGCAGGCTTGGAGCCTGAGAAGAAATAGAGAATTGGAGAGTTAAACAGAAGAGAAGAGAAGAAAGAAAGAAATAGAAAGAAGTGACCAGAGTGTACTCATGTCAGGAGGTGGTCAAATCCCATCCATCTCTGGTGGCCTCCAGGGGATATGTGACATTTGCTTTCCCTTGATTTAGGGATTTATGAACCTGGCTCCAACTTAAAGCAGAGGTCATGGGGATTGTTAGGGGGAGATGTTAGAAGTAACAGGCCAGGGAAGCCTGCCTCACAAATGACTGCCAGGCCCACTGGTTGCCTTTAAGCAATGACCCCCAGGGAGTAGATTAACCAGATTCCCTTCTTGGCAGATGGTGGGGTGGGGGGTTAGGCTGAGTGCCCTTGAGCTGTTTTGACTGGCCTGAAAGCCAAATCCAGATGCTTTCCTGCTTGCCTTTGCTCTAGTGCTAGTGGAGGGTTGGCATTTATATCAGTCATGCCATCTGATGCTCAGGTCTTTTAAAGACATTACAATATGGGTGGAGGGTAACACAGACTACCTGTGCGGATGAAGAACTGGGAGTTTAGTACCTTTCCTCTCATACCTACTGCTCTACATGGCCTAAATTTTCTGGGTGGAATCTGTAACCCAGGGTAGAGGAAAATGATGTGTTGGTCCTGTCATTGGTGGAAAGGGGCCTCGTTGATCCCCTTGTTCCACTACCTAAGCAGGAATGTTAGGCCTGGGCAAGTCAGTCTGCAGGCACAGTTTGGCCTCCACATACAAGCCAATTTTCTTTTGACTTGCAGCTGCCCTGGTTCCTCGGTAGGCTTTTGAACCATCTCTTTGATTAATTAGACTTTCCTCTGAGTTCTTTGGAGAGATCTGTACAAATACTAACTTTCCCTTATTGAGTAAAAAGTCAAATAATGTGTTCAGGACTGGACTTCGAAGTCCTGAAACACCATCTTGTATACTCAAAACATCTTTCTTTTTTGTGTATGAAATTCAACCTTTGTCTCAGTTTGAAGAAGTGATAAATAAATTTGCATTTTGTGAATTTGGAGCTCCCTGAGTCCATTTTGATGGCTAGGTAGTACCTATATTATGGCAGCTAGGTAGCGTAAGTCCTTCCGTTTTCATAGTAGACTTTATTTCTTTTCCATCAGGGAGCAGCCTGAAGTATGGAACAGACAATAATGGTTAAGATGATGGGTTCTTGAGCCAGGTTCCCTGGGTTCAAATGCCGGCTGAGCCACTTAATAAACCCAAGACCATAGGCAAATTATTTCACTGAAACCCTATCCCTTTTTCTTTTAAAATGGACCTTGGATACACATAATTGGAGTAATCATATTTCTAATCCTTGACTCATTTCATGCTGCACCATTCGTCCATGTATAGCCTGCTTTAATTTTATTTATGTGTGCATTTACTTTTTTATGGATAATATGACAACTGTGAGCCCAACTTAAGAATTAGCCACATTGATGAGAACTCAGTCTGCCTGTGTGCTGCTCCCCCAATCCTGCTCTCTACCTCCCTCTCCACCCTGAAGGAATCGCTGGCCTGAATTTTGGTTATTATTCTTTTTCTCTTTTTGAAGTTTTATCTCTCTCATATGCACAGAGATATTTATATTCATATTGATGTAGCTATGGATATATAGATATATACATGTAGATATATCTTCCTAAATAAGATATTACTTGGTTGTTTTTCTGGCCCTCATAAAAAGGGTATTATGTTTTAGGTAGTTTTCTGGTACTTGCTTGTTTTACTCATCATTATATTAGTATGATTCATTCCTGCCACAGAGTATAACTGTAGTTACAATTTCACTGTGGCATAACATTTCATGTTAATATACCACAATGTATTTCTCCAGTCTCCTTGAGATGGGTTTTTGGTCATTTCCAGTATTTTACTATCATGAAAAATTCCTCTGTTCCTCAGTTTTCTCATCTTCAAATTGGGGAATAACCATAGGAGCTACCACATAAGGGTGTTATGAAGATAAAAGGAGTTAAAGTGCTTAGAACAAGACCTTGCTCATAGCATATTGTTGGTCCGTGTATTGGTTTGTTAGGGCTGCTATGACAAATATCACAGACTGGGTGGCTTAAAAAACAGAAATTTATTTCCTCACAGTTCTGGAGGCTAGAATTCTAAACTCAAGGTTTTGGCAGGGTTGGTTTCTTCTGAGGGCCTCTCTTTTCCACTGGTGAGTGGCTATCTTCTCCCAATGTCTTTGTAGGGTTTTTTCCTCTGTGTCTGTCTGTGTTGTAATCTCTTCTTCTTTATTGTTTTTTTCTTTTTAGTTGGAGTCTTGCTCTGTCACCCAGGCTGGAGTGTAATGGCACGATCTTAGCTCACAGCAACCTCCACCTCCCAGGTTCAAGCAATTCTCCTGCCTCAGCCTCCCGAGTAGCTGAGATTGCAGGCACCTGCCACCACACCTGGCTAATTTTTGTACTTTTAGTAGAGACAGGGTTTCACCATATTGGCCAGCCTAGTCTTGAACTCCTGACCTCAGGTGATCCACATGCCTCAGCCTCCCAAAGTGCTGGGATTACAGGCATGAGCCACCGCGCCCTGGACTGTAATCTCTTCTTATGAGGACACTGGTCATATTGGATTAGGACCCACCCATATGACCTCATTTTACCCTAATTACCTTTTTTAAAGGCACTATCTCCAAATACATTCACATACTGAGGTATTGAGGGTGAGGAATTCAATGCATGAATTTGGGGAGAGACACAATTCAGGCCATAAGAGTCAGTAAGTATTCATTATGACCATCATTCTCTTCACCCTCCTCCTTATCATTAAAGCTCAAGAAAATGCAGCAGACTTAGTTATGATATATCCCCTAGGAACACTATTATGTGAACTATTATTATTATCCTTAGGCAGACCAAACACCAGAGCTTCCTTCCCGGCCTTTTCAGAAATGACTTTGGATACTTGGATACCAGCAACAAGTACTCAAAAATGGTAAATTGTGGTTTCTTAAGATGATAGGCAGCAGCTCCTTAAGTCAGTTAGATGTGGGAGGAGGAGAGTGAGGAGGTTTCATTTCCATCTTGGTTAAAAGAAACAGCTAAGTGAGCTCTTGTAGAGTATCTAATGGTATACAGACTCGAAATTGCCACTTGGTAAAGTTCTATGGGTTTTCCTGAAAGAGGCAGGCAGATCTGGTTTTTCAAACCAGGAAATACACTTGCACAAGTGGCTGTGCCACCAGAACAAACAGCATCTTTTATGGGCTCAAAGTATTTGACATTAGGGAGCTGGCTAGGGGAAGGCACCTGATGACCACAACTCTGTTCCCCTGCTCTCTCAAGGGCTCTAAGCACTAAGGAGGAAGTCAGGAGTAGCCCTGATAGGGTTTGGACTCCAAAAGGAAGGACCAGCCAGACACAGTGGCTCACGCCTGTAATCGCAGCACTTTGGGAGACAGAGGCAGGCAGATCACTTGAGGCCAGGAGTTCGAGACAAGTCTGGCCAACATGGCAAAACTCTGTATCTACTAAAAATACACACACACACACAAAATAGCCAAGCACAGTGGCCTGTGCCTGTAGTCCCAGCTACTCGGGAGGCTGAGGCAGGAGAATCTCTTGAACTCAGGAGGCAGAGGTTGCAGTAAGCCTAGATCACACCACTGCACGCTAGCCTGAACAACAGAGCGAGACTCTGTCTCAAAAAAAAAAAAAAAAAAAAAAAAAAGGACCAGTGGCTGCCCCCCCGCTTAATTATGCCCCCCTGCCCTTTCCATGTCAGACGATGAAAATTAGATGGAATAGCATGTGCCTGGCAGGGCTGTGGGCATCTGTCCTTACTGGAGGTGAGGTGAGGAGTGGGAGTAGGGTCTCGAGGGAAAAATACAATGAGAACAAGGGATTTGGGGGTCTATGGATGCCCCCTTTACACATTATTTTCTTAACAGGCTGTGATTCTCCAAAGGAGGGAATTCTTAAAAACTAGAACAAATTAACACTAATCATCATTAATAATTTAATGCATCCTCTTGGATAAGGATTCCTGTAATGTAGAGATGTAAAGAATGTAACATAAAAGTTCCCACCTCCTACTCCCCAGAGAGAATTGCTGTTAACAGTTTGGTGTACTTATCTTTTAACTTTTTTCATCCTTTAAAAGAATTTAGCTACATGATTAAAAATGAATACATTCATTTGTTATAAAAAATATATATATACAAGTATACAGAGCCCAAAGTCAAGATCTTCCCTTTCCTATCCCAGTCTCTCTTCCTCAATCCTGTTTCCTTCTCCAGTTTGGGGAATAGTAACTGGGTGCTATCTTAGATCCATTTTATATACACCCAAAAATACATATACAAACTTATTCCTTTTCTTCTAAAAAAAAAAAGGATCATGCCTTATACAATATAGACTTGCTCTATTTTACCTAGAAATGGTTGTACCTCCTTAACAACAACAACAAAAAAGGTGGAGTAATACATCTTCCAGAGTGTTTTTTGATGACTGTCTTACTGATGATGGTCATTTAGGTTGCTTTTTTAAATTACAAATTTTTTGTAATTATAAATAATGCTGCAGTGAACATCTTTATGCATATATTTTTGTGCATGTGGGCAAGTATTGCTGTTAGTACCAATTCCTAGAAGTGAAATTACTGAGTCAAACTGAATGGGCATTTTAAAGTTTTCATAGATATTGACAAATTGTTCTCCAGAAATAATGTATCTTGTTTCTTCTTCGGTGTACTGTATCTTGGGGTTTCACCATATTAGTTCATACTTTTATCATTTAAATTTAGTTAAATATTTAAAAATTCCTAAGTTTTTACTATACAAATTTTCAAACATATTGAAAAGTTGAAATAGTAGCATAGTGAACAATGACTGTACATCCTCCAGCTAGATTCAACAATATCTAACATTTCTCCATATTCACTTCCTATCTAAATTTGCTGAATCATTTCAAAGTTGCAGACATCTTGATGCCTCAGTCTAAGTACTTCAGCCTGCAGCTCCTAAGACTAAGGACATTCTCTCGTATAACTACAATACCTTACCACAATTAAGAAAATTATCAACATTTCTATAATACCATCTACCTTATTTAATCAGCTTACATTTAAATTTCCTTGATTGTCCCAAGAATGTCTTTTAAAAAAAAATCAGGATCCAGTGAAGTTTCAAGTATTGCTTTTGATTATTCCATCTCTTTACTGGTTTTCATTTTTTTAACCTAAGAACGGTACCCCCTTCTTCATTTATGATACTGAAATTTAGGGAGTTATTTTGTAGAATGTCCCACATTCTGGATTTGAATGTTTCCTTAATGACACCTTCTTATTTTTAATGGCAATGTGGTATTCTGTACCATGAATTCATCGTGGTTTTTTTAACTAGTCCCCTATTGATGGTCATTTAGGTCGTGGCATTCCTTTTGTGGCTCCTCTCACAAGTGGTATTTCGTCCTAAGGAGTTTGTGGCCCCAGTAGGCCACAGTTAAAGTCTGTGGTCAGTTAATGAAGATAAAGTGTTCCAAAACCTAACTTCGCTGGCAGGAACATTATCAAGGGCAGTTGTAAACTGTGAATTGCATCCTTTCCCCTCTAAAGGAGATGGATTATCTTTTTTGATTCCCTGATTTATTTTGAGAGGCTGTAGTCTAGGGCTGAGCTGAGACCAGGGTTCTGTCTTTGTAACTACCTATTCTCACTTGGCACCTGATCATTAACCATGGACTCTTCTGGTAAGGCCAAGTCACCTGAGGTATGGTGTGAGCTCCCTTAATTTGCAGTGTGCAGCCCTCCCTCAAGCAGTTATTCTCACTTCAGCCTGTTCTTCCTTCCTCATCTCCTGGGATCCCAAAGCTAATATTTCCATCTGTGCTTTGGGTCCTATTCCCTCCCACCTGCTTCCAGTCCTCTCGCTGTCTAGTGCCTCCTGCCCCTTATGCTTCTCCAGCATCTCCCTGTCCACTGGCTCCTTCCTTCAGTCTATACAGAATCTCTCCTGTTCTTAACAGTTATTTCTCAATATTGATACCACCCTTTAGTTATAGTTTTCATCTCTCTCCAGGCATTTACTCTTCTCAAAAGATTACTGAGGACCAGGGGTCCACCAAATGGGGTGCAAGAGATGTTCCATTGGGTGTGTGAAGAAAATGTTAGATTTCTATTCTAATAAAATTTCATCCTTTTAAATTTCCATGTTTGTGTGTCCTGATGTACATTTAGGTGTGCATATTTTATAATTTACAGTTATACATGTATATCATTTGCCTTACTTTCGATTCTTATCATCCTCTCTAGCCCCCTTCAGATCCACACCCACCTACATTCTCACCGATTTATGAGCTTCTCTCCCAGGCAGTCACACTGGCATCACAAATTCAGCATGGCCCCAGCTTCTTTTCTTGTACCTCACCTCCTCCAATCTGCACCCTAGACTGTAGGTCCCAACATAGGGAGAAGCCCCAACATCCCACCATCCATCTAAGCCATAGCCTGTGAGTCATCTTCAACTTCTTATCTTCTCTTACTTCTGCACAATACCCTGTCCAGTCAATTAATTAGTCCTGGCAATTCAACTTCCTTACCTTCTCTCAAATCTGCCCATCCTCTCTTCTCTCGCTGTGTCTGCCTTTGTTTAGGCATTGCTATCGCCAGCCCCTAACTGGTCCCTCTGCCTCAAGTAGCAAACCCTGCACACAACCACCAAAAGGAGCTCTGCAAAACTACATACCATGCATGCCTCTCACTCACTTAGAAAATTCAAACCAAAGCCAATACATGATCTACAGGGCCTCCCATGATCTTTTCCTGCACTGATATTCTTGCCTTATCTGTTAGCCTCCTCAACTAGACTATGAACTGTTGTAGGGCAGGGGTCCCTACCCTGCAAGATGTCTTCATTATTGCCACATAGCAAGAGGCAAGCACATTACCTGTCACCTAGGCGTGCCTTAATAGGTGTTTTTGGTCAACAGTATGAAAGTGAGAATAGGACTGTTTTGGGTAAGAACAGGAGAGTGGAGTTGACCTTCCTTTGAGAAATAAAGAAGTTTCCAGTGAGAAACTCTGGCCTATAGATAGGCCAAATGAATGGACTGATGTGGGGAGCTAAAGTTACCCTGGTAGTCATCTGATAAACATACTAATGTGTGACTTAGGACTGTGGGACAGGCCCAGGTGATACCATCTCTTCTTGCTAAGGCAGAATGATGAAATGAAACCCCAGCTTTTGACCTAGAAAGATGTGGCATTAAGTCTTACTGCCTGGGATGGAAATTCTGGCTTTCCTGGTTACTGGCTGGATTGATGTTGAAAAGGGGGATAGTGATTATAACAGCCAGCATTTAATGAGTACTTACTATATGCCAGCACTGGGCCAAGGATTCTACAGGTATTATTTCACCACAACTGGATGAAGTAGATACTGTTATTCCCATTTATGAATAAGTCAACTGAGGCTCAGCAAAATTAAATGATTTGCCCAAAGTTGTATAGAGAATAAATGATGGAGACAGAATTTCAATCTCAGCAGCCTGACTCCAGGCTGGAGATACCGATTGGGAGTCATCAGTATACAGATGGTATCTAGAGCCAGGAACCTGGATAAGATTACCTAGTGAGTGGGAGTAGCTATAGAAGAGGAACATGGAATTGGTTCTTGGCCCCTGTAGTATTTAGAGATGAGGGACATAGGGGAAATTCAGCAAAGGAGATTGAGAAGGAACGCCATTGAGGTAGAGAAAGAACAGAGGGTGATGTGCGAGAATCCCAGCACAGAAAGTCTATTCAGGATGAGGGAATGATCAACTGCATCAAATACTGTTGATGGACCAAGTAAGATGAGACCTGAAAATAGACCAGGACTAGTATTTCTAGTTGTGCAGGTTGTTAATTGCATAATGGAGTGAGTGGTATCTAGAATCTCTCTGACACCCTGGCATGGGGTTGAGCCTTGGCAGAAGAAGGAGAGCCTATTTCACATAAAGACGCCATGTGGGCTAACTTCCATCCTTGTGTTGCCTACTGGAATTAGAAACATGGAGGTCATTGGTAACCTCAACAAAAGCAATTTGAGTGAAATGGTAGGAATGAAAATGTGATTGAATTGGATGGAAGAATACTTCAGAGGAAAGGCAGTGATGGCGATGAGTAGAGACATCTCTGGAGGAGTTTTGCTGTAAAGTATAAAGGAAAGCAGAGAAATAGAGGTGGAAGCTCCATTACTACCACAAATGGAAGTGAGGTCAAGAGCTTTTGTTTCTTTAGATGAAAGGTATTTTAGCATGTTTGTTTTCTGATAGCAATGATCCAGTGAGAAAAACAGACAATTGCTGGTATGACATTCTTGAGTAGGTGAGAAAGGATAGGATCTAGTACAGGAGTGATGGTACTAGCCTTAGCCAGCAGCACAGGTGCTTCCTGCATAGTAGCAGAGGAAAAAGCAGCTGTGGGGATGGGTGCAGGGAGGAGGGAGGTATGGAGGTGGGAGCTTATGCATGTTATCTTCTAATGGCTCTCCATGCCCCCTCACCTCACTGAAATAGGAAACCATTTCCTCAGCTGAGAGCGAGGATGGGGAAGGTCTGAGGAAAGCAGGAGAAGTTGTGAAATAGTGGCCTGGGAGAGAGGAGAGTAAATGGTCTTGGGAATATAGTGAGATTGTAGAGCAGCATGAAAGTCTGGCACTAAGTTTGTTGTCATGAATGTAAAGGGTTAATAGCATGGCTTTATATTTTTCTCCAGACATGTTTGCTTGCATGGGTTTAGGGATGTGAAGTCAGACAGTTGGATTTAGCCAGGAATGTGGTATTGCAAGGTAAGTAGGACAAAAAGAGAGAGTGTGTCAGGAGAGTTGGGAATGTACTGAAGGAAGTGATGGGCCTTGAACTCAATGCTGGTGAGCATAGAAGTGAGGACATGAGGTTGGTGAGGGGGCAGTAAAAAGGTGGTAGGATCAAGACTGTAGGTCCTGGTGAAGTGGGAAAATTGTGAGAGTAGGGATATTAGAGGGAGTGAATTGGCCAGACACAAGGTGGTGGCTGGATAGTAGGGTGCATGACAGAGGTTATGGAGAGATCACAGCCATTAACAGTAACTGGTGTGACCATGTGAAAAAGGTGTGAGGTAAAATGGAGAGGAGACCTTGAGGAGCATGGAGGGCAAGGCATTGAGAGGCCAGGGTGTTGCTAAATATTGATACCGCAGAGATTTTGACAAAGGAATGTTGGAAAGGCATCACAGGGAGGGGAAAGGCAAAACCTTCAAGGACTGAAGAAGGGAGGGTATACATGGAGGGGGCCGTAAATCCGTAAATGACTGCAACAGAAAGGAGTAGTGGGTGCCATAGTCTCAGGACATGAGATTCAAATCAGCAGAGTGGTTAGCAAGGAGGCAGAGAGAATGGTCTGGAAGAGACAGCAATTTAGAAACATCTGTGAGGCACAGAGAGGCACTCCCTTGGCCCAGTTGTGTAAGGTTATATGAGAAGAAAAACCCCCACTACTTGAGAGAGCTGTCAGGATAGCAGTGTCTTCAGAGAGGAAGAACTAAGTTTTTCTTAAAGAAAAAAGGTGAAGGGACTGCTCAGGTGACTGATGTAAACAGGGAAGTAGGGGCGTGGTGGGATCAGTGGTCTCCATGGCAGAGGACAGTGGTGTAGCTGTCAGGGTTGTAGAGTGGGAGGAAGGAGGTTGAGATTCTTTCCACGAACAGAGTCCACGCACCTACTGTTTCAGACAGTCTAAACTCTAGAGCCCTAGAGAACTTTACCACTCTGGTCTTTTGATTCTAAAAAGGATGTTGACTTGTGAGAAGGTAGTTAATGACCTGTGTTGCTTAAAGCATTTTTATTACTTTTGACTTTAAATTGCATTGATGCAGGACTTTTTGTCTATAACCTCAGGATTCCTCCAGCTGAAAAAGAACCAGGCTATGTATATTAGAGTGGAATTCCAGGTATGAGTTCTCTAGTGTGTAGAAATGAATTAACCAAGTGGAACTCTTTCTAGGGAAGTATGGCATTTCACAGATATTACTTGTAAAATGGGGAAAAGAGGGTCAGGGGAGGCTCGCTGAGAAAGTTCCCAGAACTCAGCCCAGACTCGGTGCTCAGTAAAGAACTGTCTTAGCTGGGCATCATGGTGCATGCCTATAGTCCCAGCTACTTGGGAGGTTAAGGCAGGAGGATTGCTTGAGCCCAGGAGCTCAGGGCTGTAGCATGCCATGATTGTGCATGAGAATAGCCACTGTACTGCAGCCTGGGTGACATAATGAGACCCTATTTCTTTAAAAACAAAAACAAAAACTTTTTCCTCCATTATTGATTGCCCTTTCCCCCTGTCCCTGTGCCTATTGCTGTTTCTTTGGATGTTATTTAATTTCTCTGTGCCTTAGTTTCCTGTATGTCAGATGCGCATGATCATAGTCCCTACTTCATAGGAAAGTTGTAATAATTAAATGAGATAACACTATGTGTATTAGTCCGTTTTCATGCTGCTGATAAAGACATACACAAGACTGGGTAACTTATAAAGAAAAAGAGGTTTAATGGACTCACAGTTCCATGTAGCTGGGGAGGCCTCACAATCATGGCAGAAGGTGAAAAGCACGTCTTACATGGTGGCAGGCAAGAGAGAATGAGAGCCAAGTGAAAGGGGAAACCCCTTATAAAACCATCAGATCTCATGAGACTTATTCACTACCACCAGAACAGTATGGAGGAAAATGCCCCCATGATTCAGTTATCTCCCACTGGGTCCCTCCCACAGCACGTGGGAATTATGGGAGGTACAATTCAAGATAAGATTTGGGTGGGGTCACAGCCAAAACATATCAACGTATAGAAATATTTAACACAGTACATGGTACATAATATAAGTACTTAAATATGATTTGCTATTAAATGACAAGTGGTAAGTTCTTGGCTCCCATTCAACTCTCTTATTCTTGCCATTATGTTTCTTCTTACTTCACCCCCTTTCTCTTACATCTTCTTCCCTTTCTCTCCTTCTTTTTCCACACTTCCTCCTTAACCTATTTCCTCTTTCCCTCCCCTGGCTTTGGTTGCAGTGGCATATGCACCTAGTTCAGTACTCTTTGTGGCCCCCTGAAGTAGAGAAGTCTTAGAGTAGGGGTGAGGCAGCCATCAGAGGAAGGAAACTGCTGGTGGGGACAGTCTCTTGGCCATTCCATCTGAAGTCTGTAGTGTAGCCATGGTGGCTGCAGAGATGCAAAGGGCCAGTGACAAGAGGCTCAGGAGCTGGGAGGCCTATGTTGCAGGGCAAGTTTGGCTACTGTGTGATGTGTGGCTGGGGCACCAGACAGTAGGCAGAGCATGCTATGAAGATGAGGATCATTTGAACAGGAAGGGACTGGGCTAAATCACCATGTGGAGGGACGAGTGAGGACATGTGCATGTCCTGCCCCTGGTCCTGTTGCTGATACCACTATGACTACTCCCATTCATAAGGGTGGCTCCTCCCCACGGGGCATCTCCTGTCAGTCGGCCTTCTGTGGGAGGGAGCGAGTGAGCAAAGGATAGCTGAGTGTGCTGGCTAAGACTATAAATTCTAGAGCCAAACTGCTTGGATTTGAATCCTGGCTCTGTCACCGAATGAGAATGTATCCTTGAGTAAGTTATCTAACTTTTCTGTGCCTCAGTGTCCCATCTCTAAAATGGATATAATTGGAACAATACAGTTCTTATGAGGATTTGTTTAAATTAACAGTTTACAAAGTGATTTTCATAGTTCATGGCATAAAAGAAGTACGATGTGAGTTTTTGTTATATTTTAAAAATTTTAAAAATCATACAACAATCTTAGAAGACTTACTTTCATTTTACCGATGCCAAAACGGAGGTGGAGAGGTTAAGGGCCTTGGCCAAGGCCACAGAGCTACCGAGCAGCAGAGTCAAATCTAGAACACAGCTTTGACATACTCCAAAGTCCTAGCTTGTAACTGCAATGCTTAACTGCCTCCCTGGACATTCAGGTGGAGACTTTGCTTTCTAGGAGAGCTGGGAGGCAGGGTGAGGCAGGTGGGCAATGTGAGTCAAGGTGGGTGGTCAGCAGTTGGAGTCTGAGAGGTTGGGAGAAGTACTGCTTGAGGACACACCTGGGACTAGTGGCTGCATGCCCTTGGCCCGGCTCCTTGGTTGGGGAGAGCAGCCTGGCTTCCCAGGCCCATTTCAGGGACAGGTCAAGTCCCTTAGGTGCATGAAGGTGCTGATTTCAGCCAGAGAGCTAAGCCTTCTTGGGACTTTTTCCTTCCTTCCCTATTTTCCAGGTGACCTCAGTGAAGTTAATAACCCTTTTGCACCTCAGTTTCCTCATCTGTCAATTGAGGATAATACTTTACCTGTCTGCTTCCTGGGTATTTTGAGACATTGAGTAGATTGTGGATGTGAAATCATTTGAAAAGCATAAAGCAGTACCTAAATTTAAGATACTAGAGTGATCTCAGACCACATTACTGTGAGGGTCCAGTGTAGATCTCTCAGGCCTCTCCATAGCTACCTTGTGCTGATAATGCCCAGTGTCCAATTTCATGACCTTTTCCAGCTGGGGTCTACAGTGATACTTGGACTCTTACCTCCTTTTCTCAGTTTTTACATTTCCCTTGGTGAGTGTAAAGTAATAGTTGAGCAGCATGTGGGTCCCTGGGAAATTATTTTCCGTGTGGATTTTTATTTTTAAGAGCCAGAGCCAACGTCTGTGTCCAGCCTCCACAGTTGTCCCAGCTCCCATTCTGGGAGCTCTGCCATCTTCTTGGTTTCAGCCCTTGGCATAAGACAGACCTGGGCTCCTGTGGCTGGGGAGCCTGTAACTGCCTCCTCTCATTAGCAGACAGTCTTGGTTATGTGCTTGCCCTGTGGGGAACAGGGAGGCAGCTGACCCTTTCCCCTGGGTGCCTTTGTCTGTCCTGGCATACTTTGGGGTGTGTGTGTGTGTGTGTGTGTGTGTGTGTACACGTGTGTGTGTATGTTAGAGATTCTGTAAGCCCAAGAGGCTAGGCCTCTTGTCAGCTGCCAAAGTTCTTTTTTCCCCAGAATTGAGTTAGCCACCCAACTGTTTCCATTCTCTGCCCGCTGCGAAGCTCTACAGCAGGGCTGCTGTGGCAGGTCAAAACATGCTCTGCTTTGAGAATACAGAGATTCCATTTTGAGAGAGATGGGAAACAGGAGCGAGTGAGTGGGTGTGTTGGATGTAGGGAAAGTGAGGACATTCTTTTTGGTAAGCTGTGCCAAAATTGGCCCAGAAGCTTGGTCTAAACTCAAAAGTAGGGCTAATGCTGGGCTGACACCCAAATATCCAATGGGGAAAGTTTATTCTTGGATCTAGACCCTATGAGACCTAGCAATCATTTTTTTTTCTCATCTGGAATATGGGGATAATTCTACTCCATATATTCTTCATGTCAAATGAGAAATAAACTTGTAAATAGTCTACCGTCTAGTCTCCAGGAGCAGGAAGTGACATAAGGTTGTGATTCTTAAAGTATTTTGCAGAATACAAACTGTTACTAAAAAAAGAATCACTTGCTAAATAAGTTTGGGGAACACTGGATAAACAATGGCATGTTTTTTGTCTGTAGGGGCCACTCAGGTCCTTCATATTCCAATAATACACATGGGAAACCACCAAGGGGATATATTATATACTACATCTCCTAAATTTTTAACCAAACTTTCTTAGTGGAGCATTTACAAGTACCTTCTCTACAAAAGACATCTAGGAAGATCCTGATCTAGATCAGAAGAATATTCATTTTGTTCTTTTTTTTTTCCTGCAATTGTAAAGAGAAGTGAATTGGTGAAATGCATGGGATTGCTGAAATATGGGTCCTGAACAGCAGGGGAGGTCAACTTTGGACTCTGTTGAAATGAATGCTTCCTGCTCTAAAACACTTCTCTCCCTCCTATCCTCACAGCTCCCCTTTGAATTGGAGATTTACTACATTCAGCATGTTATGCTCTACGTGGTACCCATCTACCTGCTTTGGAAAGGAGGTAAGGCCAGCAAACCACATTCCTATGTAACCCCCACACCTAACCTCTCCCTTCTGTTTTTGGGAGTCACAGCCTCTTGGGTGCTTCCCAGGATCTTCAGCTGCCGCTTGACTGAGTTTCTTCAACATAATTTATGCCGGGCACCAGGAAGTGGGGAGATGGGAATGGACGAGGCCTGCAAGGGGTCTGGGGACTTTTTAGACCCACCCTTCACTGGGTGACTATGGTGCTGCTGACTGTCTGTCACAGGGCCTGGGCTTTGGGTTCTTGATGGTGGCATTGTGTTTGCATGGAGCCCCCCACACTGTCACCTTCTTGTACTTGTGCCTTCCCCCTGCCTCAATGTGCAGTGTGGGATAGAAGGAGAGAGTAAAGCACTCGGTCCCCTCAAGAACAAAAGAAGATATTGTAAGGGGCAAGAAGTCCGGGGACCAGGGCAATTATGGGATTGAGGGGAGAGGCAGGTGAAAGAGTGGTGGTCACCCATGTAAAATAAACCACTGAAAACCTTCATTTGGTGAAGAGGGAGAGACCACCAACCTGGTAGAGGCAGCCTGGAAAGGAAGCTGATCTATTTGTAACCTCTCAGTGACCCTTAGATTATCCCTTCCCTCTATTGTGTAACAGACAAAAGGAAAGGGGTGCCTATCCATCTAGGCTTGTTGTGAGAGCCACTCCTTCTCAGTGTTCTTTACTTTCTGAAAGGCCCTGTGACTGGAAGTCATCCTCTTTTAGTTTTAGCCCCAGCCTCTCTATCTCAGTTGCTGAGACTTTTCTGCTCCTACCTCACTCCAGGCAGCAAGGGTTTCATTTCTACCATACTGAAAGTGGCATGAGGCCACATGGGCCCTTGAGCTCACTGGAAGATAGTCTGGGAGTTCTGCTGGGCACTGCTGCTTCTTGGCTTATGCGTGGATGCTCTAAATCAGGCATTCCGGCAGATCTTAAGATCTGGTGTGAGATAGCCCCAAGGACTGGTCAACCCAGGAACATATTACAGGATGGAGTCTACTTATAGTCCAGAGATTTGCCTCCTATGCCTTGATTTCTATCAGTTCTCCATACTTGCCTAAATATTCTTTGAGACTGCTTTTACCCTGTGCGGCCACTTGGGGTCTCACGATGTCCCAAAACACTTCCTTTTAATTTGCTGTAAAAGCACTATTTTCCTCACGAGGCTTTAAGGAAAGTCTGAAGTTCCAATATCCAGGAGACTTGTGCCATTTCTCAGGTCTGTCCCCTGTGGCACAGGAAACAGCCTCTTAATATTAAGTCTCAGAAATACACACATTCTGAATAGAACCAGGCAGATAGGTGTTCCTGGGCCTCAGAACCCTGCTACTCATCGTTCCTGGCTTCTGAGGTGTGTGATGGAAGTCCTAGCCAAATCTGCATGGCTGTTATTTAAACATATTTGTACTCTAAGGTCACCATAAAAATCTGTCAGGTAGCTGGGTTAGACTGGTCTGACATGGAAAATACCAAGTAGCCATCTTTCCTCCCTCCAAAAGAATAATCCAGGAAGCCACATCCTCAAGACTTGGCTAACTCTAAGATAATTGTATCTCCTTAGAGCAGATCCTCCCGATAGCCCAGTTCCCTAAGTGGCGAGGTGAGAGATAGTAGGGCTGTAATGAGAGACAGTATGCTCTGTTATTGCTAATAACCAATAGATACCCTGGTGCAGTGAGGGTTTAGCTTGCAGCACCAGTGGAGTGATCTCACCAAACTGACTTTTTACTCCAGGACCTCAATGAGAGCATCTACCACCCCGCAGAAGTTGATGGGCCCCAGTACCTTCTATCTGGCCAACTTTGAGCTATTTTGAGGGCTCATCTCCCATCTCCCTTTCCAGCTCTTTACTGCCATCTGCTGTTCACTTGGGGGGAATTATGAGCATTGAGAGAAACATCTGGATTTCTTCACCTTTGATCCCAAGCCTTGGACCTAGGCCTTGCAGAGGGAGAATGGATCTGAAGCAAGCTGTCAGAAGATTAGTTTTCTGTAAACCAAGAAAGCCGAGAGTCTGGGGCTTCTGTTCCCTAGAAGTCGCTTGTAATTTTGTAGAAATAAATGGCTTAGCAATTTTTACCCAGTACAAGACAGCTCTCCTATAGGTATCTCCCATGCCCAGGAACCCTGTTTTCCTGAAAGGCAAGGTCCTGCTTGAGCATATAGTGCCTCTTCCTATGGTTTGGGGTGGGTGGGTAGGTGGCGCCTTGTGGGAAACCCACTCATCCCTTATTGTTGCAGACCTTATGCACTGTCACAGTACATGGGACCTCTCTCATCCACACTGCTCTTTTCTTCCTCTGGCCTGTCCCTTCATTTCCCTGTTTCCTTTCCTTCAAACTTGTTGCCTGTGGCCCTCTGGAACTCTATTTCTTTTTTTTCTGTGTTACAGTATTTTTAAATTTAATTTTTATTAGATACTGACAAATTATGCTTTTATATATGTGTAGGGTACAAGGTGATGCTACGCTATATGTATACAATGCAGAATGATTGAATCAAGCTAATTAACAAACTATATTTCTTACAAACCACTCCCAACCCCACCGGCAGCTCTGCATGGGGCACAGAGCCTTCCTGTCTCTTGCCTACAGCTTCCTCTAATGGAGGCTGCTCTTTCTGCCCTGCCCCATATGCTGCAGAGCCCCCTCTGTCTCTTCTAGAGCACTATCTCATCTGTACGTTAGGGGAAAAAGGCTTTCTCTTTTACTATTCTCTCTCTTTTTTTTTCATCACCACCATCACTTGACCTCTTGGTCCCTTCCCCTATATTCCTAGAAGTCACTGGCCTGTAGCTCTCAATATTTCCATTATAATTTGAGCCAACATCCTGAGAGACTTCTTGTAAGGACCACCCATCCACCCCAGCTTCTCAAGGTTTGGGCTTCTTAATTGCAGTGACCTCAGCATTCCCTTCTTTTCAGCCACCAGGACCTTGTTTTCCCGTAAAGCTCCTCTATGTGAGAACGTAACTCCTGTTATGTTCTTTCTTTGACCCAAATCTCCACTCCTTTCCTCTTCTTCCTATTCAGCTTGTATCTCCATGACCTATCATTGAAACTTTCACTAGCTCCTGAAAGTGTCTCACCTCCCTTGTCCCTTCCAACTGGGATCAGTGTCCCATGCCTTTTCAGTGTGCCCAGTCTTGGCCTACTGGAGGAGCTCTTTCAAGCCATTCTGATTAGGGCCATGAAAATTTCATGATGTCTATTATAATTGTGCTCTCAACACCATTGCTCAATTTATTTTCTGTCTATGGCCAGCTCCTCCACACATTGCCCTCACAAGTCCTGTGCTAAATCTTTACCACCCTCCTCAAATTTCCTGTCTACTCTGTTCAAACCTTCTGTTCTCTCCACCCTCAATAGATCCCCCCTCTCCCCACAAATGACTGAGAAAATTGAGGTTTTGGGATGGAAATTTCCTCAACACTTCTCTCTACCTCTACAAGCTTCTTTACCCACATCCATCCCTATCTTCCTCCTTCTCATCCTGGAAGAAATGGTGTTCATTCTGTTCTGGCCAATAATATCCCTGTGCGATTAGCTCCCACCCCTGCTACCACCTCTGGAGCCTCATTCTATCAATTAATCACTTATGTACCTGGATATTCTTTTTCTTTCTTTTTTTTTCTTTTTTTAGACAGGGTCTCACTGTATCACCCAGGCTGGAGTACAGTGGTGCAATCACGACTCATTGCAGCCTCAACCTCCTGGCTTACATGGTCCTCCCACCTCAGCCTCCTAAGTAGCTGGGACTACAGGCACATACTACCACACCCGGCTCATTTTTTTTTTTTTTTTTTTTTTTTGTATTGTGTAGAGACAGGGTTTTGCCATGTTGCTCAGGCTGGTCTTGAACTCTTGGGCTCAAGTGATCTTCCCACTTCAGCCTCCCAAAGTGTTGGGATTACAGGCATGAGCCACTGTACCTGGCCATTAGCTGAATTTTCAACCCTCTCTTCACTGCTGGCTTTTCAGCCAATACAGATGTTCAAATCTTTCCCATTCTAAGAAACTTTCTCGCAATCCCATACAACTCTGTCTTCCCTCTTCCCTTCACACCTAAGCATCCTAAAAGAATAATCTAAACAACATTTTCTAAAATTTAGTTCTTTGGGCAAGACAATTTTTGTCTTATCCACGTAACCATGTGTGTTATTATGTATGTAATACATGTCCTTAAATCTATTGAGTTTTTTTTTTTTAACTAAAATATATACGCTTTCAAGAGAAGCCCCATAATATCCATGAGATTGTGGCTTTGATTTACTGGTTATCTATTTTAACACAGTTTATATACAAAACTATTAAAAATGAAATGTTTATCTGTTTGCCACCTGAAATCACCTCATACATGGTGCATAACTTTGGGAGACACTGGGGTCTGCCCTTGAGTTTTCTTCTCAATTACCCTTTATTCCTCAGACCATTTACTCTGATATCTAACCCTCTACCAGACTTTTCACAGAAATGGTGCTTCTAAAGATCACCAGCAACGTCTGTCTGACCAAATCTAATGACCATCTCTCAGTCTTTATCCTACGGAATGCTGTTGCATTGGATGGTATTGATCACTCCGTTTTGGATTGCTCTGCTTCGGGGCTTCCAAAGTTCCTCCCTTTCCTGGCTTTCCTACCTCACCAATCATGTCTTCTCAAGTCTCCTTCACAGGTTATTTTTTCTCACTCCTCTGAGATGTTGAGTTCTGTTCTAGGCTCACATCTCATTCTAATTGTCTGGTATGGTTTTGCCTGCTTTCACGGTTTAACTACTAGTCTGTCTAGTTATGGCTGCTACATCACTGTCTACAGCTCAGACTTACGAGAGTCACATTCATATAGTTTACTCAACTTCTCTACCTAAATGTCTCAAGCATATGTCAAACCCAACCTGTCTGTGTCAAACTCATTATCTTCCCTGTCAGCCCTCCTGCTCTTCTTGTGGTTCGTGCCAAGTAGCAGCATCCAATCACCCCAGCTAAAAACTGGGAATCATCCCTGCCTCCTGTATGCAATGCATCCGTTCATCTCACATATATTAACATATGCCTTCTTCCTGCCAGGATCCAGACTGACCACTGGGGTGCCCTGATAAGCAAAAATCAGACACCACCCTGTCCTTCATAACATTTATAAGCTAGTGGGGGTGGAGTGGGGAGATGGATATGAATCAAATATCACATGAATTTATAGTTATGACTGAGATAAGTACTCTGAAAGAAAGGAACATGCTCTTATGAGAACTTAGAACAAAACAAGCTGACTGAGTTTGGGGGTTTGGAGGAGAGTTCCCTGAGGAAATGACATTTAAATAGAAATCCAAAGGGTGAGTTGGAGCTTATTAGGCAAGTACAGGATTAGGGGAGGTGACTTCTTGTAGATGGGCAAAATGGCATGTACAACAGCACTGTGGCAATGGGGAGCACAAGGGGAGTGGATGACACTGGGCCTGAGGGGCAGGCTGGCGTCATATATGAAGGCTTTGTCACCCATGGTCAGGGGTTTGGCCTTGATTGCCAAAGCTATGGGAAGCCTGTGAAAATGTGAAGAAGGGATATAACATCAGCTTGCTTCACCAATTGATTCTTCTCTGATTTAACTTATTTGCACATTTTACACATTTTAATTCAAAAATCTAAAATATAAAAAGCCATACTGTGAAAAATATATTTCCCGTCCCTTCCCTCCATCCATATAGTTCCCTGCTACAACTCCACGAGTAACTACTATTTTTGGTTTTTGTATATCCTCCCAGAGTTTGTTTTTTTGCATATACAAGTAAATTTTAAAAATATTTTCCCCCTTCTTCAGACATTCATCCTAAAATAGCAAATACACAACCATCCTGTTGTTACTGTTTTGCTTAGCAATATTTCTTGGAGAGCTTTCCATGTGAGCCCACAAGAAGCTCCCCCTTTCTTTCTTTTTTTTTTATAGTGGCATAATATTACATTGTGTGGATGATAGAATACAGTATAATAAAAATGGCAGAGCTTTGACATAAGACAACTATATGCCAGATATTGTCACACACTTTTCCCATGCATTAACTCATTTAATCCTATAACAACTCTGTTAGGAAGGTGTTATTATTATCTCCCTTTTATGGAAGAGGAAACTGGTACTCAAATAGCAAGTGACAGTCCCCGGATTTGAAGCCAGTAGTATGGTTCCACGGTTCTTGCTTTTAATCATAACACAAAGTTACAACACTATATCATAATTTATTTTTTTCAGTCTGCTATTGATGGACATTTAGGTTGTTTCAAATCTTTTGATAATGTAAATAACACTGCACTGAAGGAACTGGTACCTTTGCCATTTTGCGTGTGTGCAAGAATATCTATAGGATATATTCCCAGAAGTGGTAATGCTGAATCACAGTATATGCATTTGTATTTTTGTTGGATATTTCCAAATCCATGAAAGTTGTACCAGTTTAAATGTTTACTAGCAATGTATGAGAGTGTCTGTTTCTACACAACCTCACCAAATTGGATTTTTGCCCATCTGATGGGTTAAAAAAAAAAGGTATATCAGTTCGATTTTAATTTTAATTTCACTTTGAGTGAAGCCAAGTGTCTTTTTACATATTTAAAATTGGCATTTGGCTGGGCATGGTGGCTCAAGCCTGTAATCCCAGCACTTTGGGAGACCGAGGTGGGTGGATCACCTGAGGTCATGAGTTCGAGACCAGCCTGGCCAACATGGCGAAACCCCCTCTCTACTAAAAATACAAAAATTAGCCAAGTGTGGTGGTGCGCATGCCCGTATTCCCAGGTACTCGGGAAGCTGAGGCATGAGAATCGCTTGAACCCAGGAGGTGGAGGTTGCAGTGAGCCGAGATTGTGCCACTGCACTCCAGCCTGTGCAACAGAGTGAGACTCAGTCTCAACAAAATAAAATAAAATAAAATTGGCATTTGATTTCCTCTTCCTTGAACTACATGCTCCTATCACATGCTCATTGTTCAATTGTGTTGGCCTTTTTACAAAATTTGAATCCTAAGAGCTTGTTACATATAAATATTAACAGTTTACCCTTTATGATATGAGCTACAGATATTGTCCTCAGTTGTGTTTTCTTTTGACTTTGCTAATGTTTTATTCTTGCCATGCAGGATTTTAAAATTTCTTTTTCTTCTTCTTTTTTTTTTCTTTTCTTTTCTTTTTTTTTTTTTTGTCTGAGACGTAGTCTCACTCTGTTGCCAGGCTGGAGTGCAGTGGCGTGATCTCAGCTCACTGCAGCCTCCGCCTCCCGGGTTCAAGCGATTCTCCTGCCTCAGCCTCCCAAGTAGCTGGGACTATAGGCACGTGCCACCACGCCCGGCTAATTTTTGTATTTTTAGTAGAGACGGGGTTTCACCATGTTGGCCAGGATGGTCTTGATCTCTTGACCTCGTGATCTGCCCACTTCGGCCTCCCAAAGTGCTGGGATTACAGGCATGAGTCACCCTGCCCAGCTGAATTTTTACCTTTCTATGTAATTTATCTTTTATGGCATCTGAATTTAGAGTCATGGTTAGAAAGCCCTTTACTACTCCAAGGTTATAAAAAATATATATCCCATATTTTCTTCTGGTATGTTTATAGTTCCTTTTATTATTATTTTTTACATTTAAGTCTTTTATTCACTTGGAATATATCCTGATATACAGTGCAAGATAAAGATCCAACTTTATTTCCAGCTGGCTTCCCATTTGTCCCCACACTGTTTATTAAATAGTCCAACATGATCCAATCTGCTTGTGGAGAAGATCATATTGGCTGCTGTGTGGAGAAATCACTGGGTCCTCCTGCTCTTACCTCCTAAATATCTCTCAGACTCATCCTCTCCTTACCATCTCTAGGACCAGTACCTTGGGCCAAGCCTTGCACATCTCTTCCCTCAATGATGATAATTGGCTCTGTGTGATCTCTCTCCAGCCAGCCTCCTTTGCTCCCCCTAAGCCCATTCCTGGAGCTACTTCTATAGCTCAAATAGGATCATAGCTCTTTGTCATTTGGAAGCTTTCAGTGGCCCCCCATCTTCCCCAGTGCACAAGACCGTATGACCTGATACCCAACCCCTTCTCCAACCTCATGTCTTTACACTCCCTTCTTTATACTGTACACTGTGGTGATACCCAAATCCTTGGGGTTCCCTGAGTATTTTATCCAATTTTCATGCCTCTGTGCCTTTGAAAATGCTGTGATTTCTGCCAGGAATGCTCTTCTCCAGCTGTGGGCCTAGAAACATTCATTTGTCAAAACTCATGTCAGTAGTTACTTTCTCCAAGAAGCCCTCTGTAACTATTCTACCCCAGCTCCCGCCAGCTGCCTCTGTTCCTCCCATTTTTGTCATCCTCACAGTATAGTCTTTACATGCTGGTCTCCCTGAGGACAGGAATTTTTCATTTCTTCTTGGTATGTAGGTGATGAATGAATGAATGAATGACCTTCTATTCAGGGATGTATTCCTGTACTGCAAATTGCACATAATTTATTATACATCTTACAAGCTAATGTTTACTAGGCACTGGGTTTGTTACATGTGTGATCTTGATCTCATTTAATTCCCACAGTGTCCACTAGACTTATGGGAGTACATCACGTGAGGCCCATGACCTTGAATGAGAAAAATAATCACATCTTTATGTCCATTAACTGCAACTGAAATACAGTCATCTCTCGGTATCCATGGGGAATTGGTTCTAGGACTTCCCCCACCACAAATACCAAAATCCAAGGATGCTCAAGTCCCTAATGTAAATGACGTAGTATTTGCATCTAACCTACACACATCCTCCTGTATACTTTAAAGGAAGCTTGTCTAACCTGTGGCCTAGGATGGATTTGAATGTGGCCCAACACAAATTTGTAAACTTTCTTAAAACATTATATTTGAAAAAAATTTTTTTTCAGCTCATCAGCTATCAGTAGTGTATTTTATGCGTGGCCCAAGACAATTCTCCTTCCCATGTGGCCCAGGGAAGCCAAAAAATTGGACATCCCTGCTTTAAATCATCTCTAGATTACTCATAATACCTAATACAATGTAAATGCTATATACATAGTTGTTATACTGTTTTTTATTTGTATTTTTTTTTACTATTGTTATTTTCATTTTTAAAAAATATTTTTGATCTGTGGTTGGTCAAATCCACAGATGCGGAACTTGCAGATATGGAGGGCCGACTTTGTGGTATATCCTTTAGTAAGGAATGTAGATAACAAACCACAGTTACATTAGCAGCACTTGGCATGCTGTTGTTAATGTAAATTACACTTATTTTCCTCTTATGTTAGAGTTGTTGCAGATATCTCAAAAAATCATTGGCATTCATCATTACCTCAAAATTTAAAAACAGATGTGCCTTTTAAAAGCATTTTGATAACTATAGTTCAACATGATTATTTTCTTTTATAATCCTATATATTCTATTTCGTATACTTAAATACTTTATTCTGAGAGAGAGCCTTTACACTTCCCCAGACTGCCCAAGGAGTGCATAGTACCACCAAGGTTAGGAGTCCCTTTACTAGAGTTTATTTTATTTTTATTTTTTTGAGACAGATACTCACTGTGTCACCCTGGCTGGAGTGCAGTGACCTGATCTTGGCTCACTGCAACCTCTGCTTCTCGGGTTCAATCAATTCTCGCACCTCAGCCTCCAGAATAGCTAGAAGTACAGTCACATGCTGCCACGCCCGGCTAGTTTTTGCATTTTTTGTAGAGATAGGGTTTCACCATGTTGGCCAGGGTGGTCTGGAACTCCTGGCCTCAAGTGATCCGCCTGCCTCTGCCTCCCAAAGTGCTGGGATTATAGGCATGAGCCACTGTGCCTGGCCTGCACTAGAGTTTAAACTGGTGTTTGAAACCAGGTGGGCAGAGATGCCTCTATGCTGCCTGTCCATGGAGTCGCTGGATTCAGACAGACTGTAGGTACAAATCCTAGTTATCCCACTTGCTAGTTAGTTCTGGCATTTGGTCGAGTACCTTGACCTCTCTGTGTCTGTTTTCTCACTTGCAAAATGAGGGTAGTAATAGTACCTACCTCATAGGGTGTTATGAGGATTCACTGAGCTGATACATGAAGAGTATACAGAACAATGACTGGCACATAGTAAATACTATGTATTGGGTTTGTATAATTATTAATTACCCACTGTTCTGCCTTGTGTTAATTATTCATCTTTCTTCCAACTAGACTGCCGTCTCTAGAGGTCAGGATTGTGCCTTGCTGTGTTCTAAAGCCGCAGAACCTTGCATGAACTGAGAGCATGCTTGTCAGTGGATGTAACATTACTGGTCCTCCCTCCTTTGAGACACTTGTTTCTCCTTTGAGCTCCAGGGTACCTCTTTCTCCTGGTTCTCCTACTTCTCTGGTTCTTTCTCCTTGGGCTCTTTTGCTCTGCCTGCCCCATAGATCCTGGTGTTCTTCATCAATAGAGATAACACAGGCTTGAGAAGCAGTACAGGTACTTCAAAAATAACAATTAGACTCCTCATTTCTGTACCCCTTCTCTCATCCTGCTTGTCTTCCTCCTCTGTTTCCTGTCTTGGTTAGTGGCTCTACTCTCCATCCACTACCAAAGCAAAAAATGTAGGCAACATCCTAGATCTCTTCCTCTGCGTCTTCCCATTTACCAATCAGTTCAGAAGTTCTGACAGTTTAAATTCTCAAAATTGTTTGCAAATTTGGCCCTTCCTCCTCATCCTCACCACCCCTGTCCGACTGTGGGCTCTCAGCCTCTGTTACCAGGACTACTTTGCTTCCTCTCTCCTCTCCCTGCCCCCTGATTTCCCCTACCTCCTACCCAGGCTATCCTCTATACAGTCTCCAGAGTGACCATTTTAAGGAAAGAGGAAATCTGATCTGATTTTGCTCAGCTGCTTAAAAATCCCATCCAGGATGAAGACCAAACTTCTTTGCATAGCATTCAAGACCATTCACAGTCTGATTCTTGTCCATCTCTTTGGCCTCATTTCTCATTGCTTAGACTCCGATTCTATCACTTTACCTTCTGGTTTTTATTTGTTTTGTTTTTTTAGAGATGGGGTCTTACTATGTTGTCCAGGCTGGAGGGCAGTAATGCAATCATAGCTCACTGCAGCCTGGATCTCCTGGGCTCAAGTGATCCTCCTGCCTCTGCTTCCCAAGCAGCTGAGACTGCAGGTACATACCACTGTGCCCAGCTCATTACTTTACTTTCTGAATAAACTTATCTGCTGACAGGTTTGCCCAGCCTTCCTTGCTTTGTGTCCAGGCTCATACTATCTATTCTACTTGAAACCTGGCAAACTTCGTGTGTTCCTTTGCAAGTTAGCTCAAGGGTACTACCTCCTCTCTGGAGGTGTCTCTGACTTTCCTAGGCAGCCAAGGGCATGTATTCCTTAATGTGCCTTTCTCCTTGTACTTTTATTATACTTTATTATAATATGCAGTAACCACCATTTCTAGTTGTCTGTATTTTGCCACTAGGTGGCAGTAGTCACATCTTTTCGGGAGATTAAGATAATTAATATTGGATATTGATTTATTTTATTTATTAAAGATGTTGATTAATAATTGTTGTAATTGAGGTGCTATGGGAATAAGGATGCGGGTAAAATCCGTGAGGCCCCTGAATTTTGGCCTGAGTGACTGGGTGGGATAGAGTATCATTAACTGAGAAGAGGGCGCAGAAGGAAGGAGCATGTTTTAGAGAGTGTCTTAGTCTTTTTGGCCTGCTACAACAAAAATGCTATCAACTGAGTAGCTTATAAACAATATAAATGTATTTCTCGCAGTTCTGGAGGCTGGGAAGTCCAGATCAAGGTACCAGAAGATTCAGTGTCTGGTAAGGGCCTGTTCCTCCTAGATGGGGTCTTCTCACTGTGTTCTCACACGTGGAAGGGGCAAGCAGGCTTCCTTGGGCATCTTTTATAAGGGCACTAATCTCATTCATGAGGGATCCACCCTCATGACCTAATCAGCTCCTAAAGGCTCCACCGCTTAATACCATCACATTGACCATTAGGTTTCAACATGAATCTGAGGAGAGGAACATAAACATTCAGACCATAGCAGCGAGGAAGATGATTTTACTTGAGTTTGAGGTGCTTATAGGCTATCTAGGTTGAGATGCCCAGGAAGCATTAGGATAAAATATTCTGGAGCTGTTCAGGGGAATCTGGACTAGACACTGACTTTAGTATCAGTGGTTATAGAACTAGTAGATGAAAACATTGGAATGAATGAGCTGGTCCAGGGTAACTATGTAGGTAGGGATAAAATAGGACTTAGAGAAAGCCTTGGGGAACATCAACTTGCAAACAGTAGACAGAAGAAGAAGAGTGTAAGGAGATTGCAGGAAAGATCAGTGATAGAAGGAGAGGCTGGTTGTCCTGAAAACTAAGGCAGTAGAAATTTTTCCCAAAGTGGTATTAGCCAAGCCATGTTGGATCTAAGAGGTACAGTAAAATCAGGTCCTCAGAGAAGTGGGAATTACAGGGAAGAAGTTAAGGGCATTAAGGAAGGAGGGGTTAAGGGTGTTACAGAGCCAAGGGAGGGTGTTTCTCCTCCTCCTTTCTCCCCCTCCCTTTCTCTCCTTTTCACCTCCTTTTCCCTTTCTCTCTGCCCCAGGGCTGAGCATGTTCAAATGCTAAACTGAAGCCCAGTAGAGCCAGGGAACATTGAAGGTACCAGAGAGAAAGGGGAGTGGATGAATTACAAGTTGATGACAACTGCTGAGAATGACAGGGGTTTGGTGGTGGATTGAGAAGGGTAATGACAAGAGAAATAAGTGCTGTGGGAAATGGAAGAAGGAGATAAGCCTAGACTCTCTCAACACTGTCCAATAGAATTCTCTGTGATGATGAATATATCCTATATCTGTTCTATTCCACATGGTAGCCACTAGCTACATTTGGCTTTTGAACAGTTGAAATGTGCCTGGGGGGACTGAAGAGTTGGATTTCTCATTCGATTTTAAGGTTAATTAATTTGAATTGAAATTGATTGGTTGGTTGATTGATTGATTGATTGATTGATGAGATGGAGTCTCATCCTGCCGTCCAGGCTGGAGTGCAATGGCGAGATCTTGGCTCACTGCAACCTCGACCTCCCGGGTTTAAGCGATTCTCCTGCCTTAGCCTCCTGAGTAGCTGGATCTACAGGCACATGCCACCATGCTTGGCTAATTTTTATATTTTTAGTAGAGATGGGGTTTCACCATGTTGGCCAGGCTGGTCTCAAACTCCTGACCTCAAATGATCCACCCACTTCAGCCTCCCAAAGTGCTGGGATTACAGGTGAGAGCAACTTTGCCTGACCTGAATTGAAATTTAAATGGCCATATGTGGTTAGTGGCTATTGGACAACATAGCTCTAGAAGGTTGGTGACTGGCACTGTGGGGCCCTCCTGAAAGAAGAATCCGTGGATTTTTCTGGCACTGGTTTGTACGGTTACCCCATTTGGGGTTCAGCAGCCTAAGTGGAGGTGCAGGACATCTGGCTGGAGGGATCCGTCCAATGTTGAGGCTTTGTAAGTAGGGTCAGTATTGTTGAAAATCTAGAAAGTGAGGGATGTTTGAGGGGTTCTGGAGAGTTTTGGTAATCCTGCAACGCACTGTATTGCTTTCAGGTTTCTGACCAAGGACAGGTCACCCAAGGAGCAATAGCAGAATGGGAGACAGAGCAGCACTTTATTATTAGCTGAGCAGGCATCCAGTATCTTTAGTGCTGGGCGAGAGCTTGCAGCTTTGTTCTCAACATCTAGGTGAGCTTCCCACTCTGTACCTAGAGAATATAATGTGGCTAGATGTGTAGCACAGGCCCCCCCATACTTTCCACCCTATCAAAGGCATTGAGAAGCTAGAGAGGAAAGTGAAGAGGCCTGGCTATGCAGAGAGACAGGTTCTGCTGAGATGTGCACGACGAAATACACATGCTGCCCATTACAAAGCTAGACTACCTGGTTTCAAATACTGGTTCTCCTCCTTACTAGCTGTGTGACTTTGGCCAAGTTCCCTTACCTTCTCCAAGCTTCAGTTTTCTCATCTGTAAAATAAAAATAATAACAGTACTTCCTCATGTGGTTGTAATTAGCATTAAATGACTTAATGTATTAATATATAAAGTGCTTATAACAGTCCCTGTCATGTAATGGTGGTATATAAGTTGTTTGCTATTATTAGTATGGTTTCAGCTTGCCAATATACTGTGGCCCTGCCTACTAATCTAATAAAATGTGGTTTGAGCAGTTTTTTAGGTTCTCACCTTTAGTAAGCCACCCTTTGGGGATGATCTAGTGAGGGGATAGATAGAAGTGTGGGGAGAGGGGGATGAAGAGTTCTGCTTCCCACCAGGGAGTTGAGAGTGCTGGTGTCAGAGTTCGAGGCCATGGGGTCCAAGCTGGTGTGGAAGAAAGGCTAGAAGAGAGCTGGGGAACAAGGAGGAATTCTATGGAGGGAGGTAAGGAGCATCAAGGGATCACAGGTCACGAGGAGGTCTAGGGGCATGCGCATAGTAGGAATAAGGATATGAAAGCTGAACTGTCGGGAGGTTGTGGTCAGATGATCCCAGCAGAGGCGGGGCAGTTCAAAGTGATGACAGAAGGCAGGTTGTGGTTAGTGCGGTGGAGTAGACCTGTAGAGTTGAGGAGGTTCAGGAGGCCACGAGGTTAGGGTATTGGAAGAGGTGCCTGCATGGATGTTAAAATCACCCAGAATGCCATCAGGAAAAGGTATAAAAGAAGGTGGTAAGCTAAGTGACACTGATCTGAGGTGAATTCAATGACCTGGAGGCCAACAACAGGTGACAGTGACAAAGAGGAGGAACTGAATCTTGAAAGAGAACGAGGGAAGAGTAAACGTCTAGAAGCAATAATGGAGGGCTAGAGGAATCTTCAACTTCCCTTCCCCCACAAAAAATTGCTGCAGGAATAGAAGGATTAAAAAAGAACAGCCTTCTCAGAGCTGTTAGTGGAAGAAATCACACCCTCAGTGGACAGCCAGGGTTCCTTAGGGTGAGGAGGTGAAAGGGACATTCTGGGGAAAGGTGGCAGGTATAGACAGATTGGTTGATCATAAACACCCCAGGCCAGTGGTGGTGGTGGGCTTCCAGAGGTTCTAGTGGGATGGGTTGGGAGGAAGTCAGCCACAAGGTGGTTGGAGGAAAGTGCCCACACAGCTTTAGGCCCACAGCTTGGTCCTGCCTACAGCTGGTGACACAACTCAGGAGTTCCCCTCTCTTCATCCTTGTGATGTGTTTCGATTGGTTGGTTGTGTTTGTTTTCATTTCGGCAGCAGTTCTTAACCTGGGGTTCACAAATAGGATCTTAAGGGGTTCATTCACTTGAATGGGGGGAAGTCACATCTTTATTTTCACTGACCTCTAGCAGAAATGTAGCACATGAACGCAGACAACAAGCACCAGTGGTATTAGCCCTACCTGTGTCTTTGTTGTCAGTAGCAATCACAGATGGCTTCCTATCACATTTCAGTAGTAGCGGCCATCTCAGGATAGTGTTTATGCTCATCTGCTTTGAAAGTGATGGTAGTTATTAGGCCTGCTGCTAGATCTTGTGATTAAATGTATTTATAAAGAAACATAATTAGTATATTACAAAATTTTAAAAATATTTTGGTAACTGTGTTTTAATATAATTGAATTCCTTTGGCTTTTATTTTATGCATTTCAAACACTGTTCTGAGAAGGAGTCCTTTGGTCTCCCCAGGCTGCTGGGGTGCAGGGGGTGGGGTGGAGGGCCTGCTTCAAGTCTGCTGGGAAATCCCTTTCTATTTCACTAGAGGGAGCTCTTGTTTCAGAATTGCTGAGCAGTGACCCTCAGGCTTGACACCCAGTAATAAGGTTGTTTTTTTGTTTTGTTTTGTTTTTTTGTTTTGAGACAGAGTCTTGCTCCGTCACCCAGGCTGGAATGTAGTGGTGTGATCTTGGCTCACTGCAACCTCCACCTCCTGGGTTCAAGGGATTCTCATGCCTCAGCCTCCTGAATAGCTAGGATTACAGGCATGCGTCACCATGCCCAGCTAATTGTTGTAATTTTAGGAGAGGTGGGGTTTCACTGTGTTGCCAAGGCTGGCCTTGAATCCCGAAGTGCTGGGATTACAGGCGTGAGCCACCGTGCCTGCCTGAGAAGGCTGTTTTGAAATACAGGCAATTCAGATGTTTTTGGAGGACATTTCAAGAAACTGGGGTTAAGAACCTCAGTGTTGTTTGTTCTAGGCAGGCCACCTCTCTCTTGAGTGGGCTTTCAGCTCATCTTCTGGAGGATGAGGATTGGACCTCCTGTGCTAGTTACTTTCTGGGACCAGTTAAAGCGGAAGTACTTTGGCCAATGGCAGCTCAAAAACTGGCCCCAAGGTCATGCTGACATCAGTATCCAGGCTGAGTTTCCTGTTTCTCCTCCATACCATTGAGCCCATTGCCCCTCCCATCTAGCTAGTGTTAGGATGTTAGAGAAGTTCCCCTCTTCCATGAGGCTTCCCTGCTCCACTATACTGGTCAGGTAAGGGCAGGTGAAAGTATAGGAACTCTGGTAAATCCTGAGGCTCCTAAAGGGTTAGTGGATGAGGGGGGACCTGAGGGATTTGACTGATTGGCGAAGGGCTGAGCCTTGTGCAACAGGTGGGTAGGTGAGTTTCTGAAGACCACTGGATTGTCCCTGCTGAGGAAGAAGTGATTGGTGCTCAGGAGTCCTTTGTGGGAGCAAATGGTTAAGTCAAGTGTTTTCTGCCTTAATTTTCTCACCTTCCAGGAGACACTGCTCCTCACACCTGGCCAGACTCTGTCCCCTTCACTGGCAGCTTTTCCCAGGTCTCTTGGTTCATCTTCCAGCTCCAGGATTCCCTCTAAGTCAGTGTTTCTCCTATATGGTTGGAGGACCCAAGCATCAGGATCATCCTGAAGCGCTTGTTACTACAGTGGAGATTCCAGGGCCCACTCAGACTTCCTGGATTCAACTCTATGGGGCAGGGCCCAGGAAGCTGCATTTTCCACAACTTCCCTAGGACAGTTGTTTTCAAAGTGTGGTCCCTGGAATAGTAGTATCTGCCTAACCAGGGAACCTGTTATTAATAAAAATTCTCAGATTCCAGATTCCAGGCCTCACCCTAGATCTACTAGAAACTCTAATCAGAAACTCTGAAGTAGGGCCCAGCAAGCTGGATTTTAAGAAGCCCTCCTAGAGATTCTGATTTTGACCCACACTCAAGTTTGAAAGCCACTGCTGTAGCGGATTCTGATACAGAACGAGTTGAAACCTTGTTGCCTCAGATGATCCAAGAGTTGGCTCCCCCTTGCGTAAAGCTCAGCAGAGACACAGCTAAGGTCACACAGCAGCTTGGTAAGAGTAGGTAAGAGTAGAAGCTGGGACCTGGGTCCTTGGACTTCAGTGCATATTCTGCTAGGTCAGGTCCACCTGTTGGATTCTTTGCCAATTCAGGGCCCTCATCCTGTGTACTACTGTCAGGGGGCTGCCTCTCTGATCCTCATGGATGAAGGTGGGTCTTTAAATTGCCTTAGCCACAGGCTGGGTGGCCAGTCAGCCCCAACTAGGCTCTTCCAGGGTGAAGCATGGCCTGGGTAGACTCTCCAGCCTCTTAGGATGGGAGGTTGACAAGATGGACCTTCCCTGTGAACACTTAACCCAGGACATCCTCCACTTCCAAGTACAGTAAACAGAATAGAGGATAGGTTTTTTTGGTCAAATGCCTGGATGAGGGGAAACCTGACTTGAGCCTACACTCAGTGGCTAAGAATGGGGAATCAAATATTCACGATCATCTTGGGGTTGTGCCATGCTGAGATATCTTTTAGGCAGCCACAGCTTACAAAGGCTAAAAATGGAGGTATCTCATTTAAAGAGTACCAAAGATGGGAATACATTGTTGTCAGGAACCAAACTTGTCATTCTCTTCCCTATCCCCAAACCTGTACCTTCTCTGATGTTCCCCATCCTTTTCAGTGATACCATCACCTATTTGTTATCCAGGCCAAAAATCTAAAGCCAATCATTGGTCTATATTCCTATCCCTGCCCCCATCCAATCAGTGACCACATCCTATTAATTTGACCTTCTGATCATTTCTCAAATTTATTTCCACTACTCCAACTTTAGTTCAGGTCAGATCATCCCTGACTTCGTTTATTGCAACAGCCACCTAACTGGTTTCCCAGCCTCTAGCCTCACCCTGTTTTGTCCTCAGGGCACATAGGATGAGGCCTGAGAATTGGCCATTGGATTTAGCAATGAAAAAGTCATTTGTGACCTTAATGGGAGCTGTTTTGATGGAGGGAGGGAAGCCTGATAAGAGTGAGTTTAAGAGAGAACAGTAAGAGAGAGGAATTCTAGGTAGGGAGTATACCAGTGCTGTCCAATAAAAACATGTGAGGCACATATGTAATTTCAAATGTTCCAGTAGTCGCATTAAAAGCAGGTAAGAGAAACAGGTGACATTAATTTTAATAATAGATCTTACTTAACCCAGTATATCCAGTATTTTATCATTCCAATATAATCAATATAAAAATTATTACCAGGATATTTTCCTGGATTTCCTTTGAAATCCAGTGCACATTTTATAATAACAGCACATCTCAAGTTCAAACTAACCACATTTCAAGTGCCCACCAGCTGCATGTGACTAGTAACTACCACATTGGACAGCACTGGCATAGACAATTATTTCAAGGAATTTAGCTATAAAGGGGAGCAGAGGAGTGAGGTAGTGGCCAGATGGGGAAGTGAGGTCAAGTGTTGACTTGTTGGTTTTAGAACGGGAGCTATTAAAGTACTTTCCGTTTATACACTAATGGACTTAATCCAGTAGAGAGGAAGAAATTGTTGACATAAGATGACGAAACAGTGACTGGAGTGATGCTGTTGAGTAGGGGAGAGGGGATGGAATCTGGATGCAAGTGGAAATGCTGGCCTTGGCTAGGACACAGGGCAGTTCATCTGTGGTGACAGGGAGCAGGGGAGTGAAGGAAGACCATACTGGGCACTGATGCAGATAGATGGGTAAATGTGATTGTGGAAGCTTATGGAAGTTTTTGTCTGATTCTTTTTTTCCTCTGTGAAGTGGGAAGCAAGGTTAATATCTGAGAGTGAAAATGGGATAGAAGTATTAAAGATTCGAGAAGAGAGAAAATATTAATTTGTGGCCTAGGAGCGTGACAGAGTGAATGGACTGGGGAAATACAGTATGATTGCCTGGCAACATGAAAGATGCACTTGAGGTTTGTGATCACGAATTTGAAGTGAGAACAGTCAGCGCTGTTGTTTTTCTCTAGTACATTCAGCTGTGAGGGACAAGCAAGGCAGAGGAGGAGCTTTGGATTCAACCAGGGCTGGGTTTTTTTTCCAGCTGAGTATCATTCCATAATGAGAAGAACAATGGAGTCAAAGGCGTATGCAAGGGATAATTAGAATCATGGGCCATGGAATTTAAGGACAGAAAAGGGAGCCATGAGGGACAGTAAAAAGATGGTAGGACCAATGGATCACAGATTCCAGTGGGGTCAAAGAAGTATTGGGGTCATGGTTATCGGGAGTGAGCTGGAAAGGTAGAAGTGGTGGTTGAAGTGGGAATGCTTGACTTGGAGATTAGGGAGGGGCTACAGATATACATAATTATAAGGTCTCAGGCACGACCATGATAATGAGTGGCTGAGATGTGGTAGAGAGCAGGGTCATTGAGAACAAGAGGCCGAGGAACTGACAGACCAGGATGCTGGAAGGTTCATCTAGATGCATGTTGAAATTAACAAGAAATCTGATGAGTGGTAGTGAGCCAGGTACTAAAGGAATGAGGGCCATGACCCATATGTCTGTAGATGACTGTGAAAGGGAAGGATAGCGGGTGGTACAGTATGGTAGTGGTAGGATTTTAGTGAGAAGGGAGGGCCACTCGTCTAGGACTACAATGAAAAGAAAGAAGTTATTCACTCTACCTACATGGGCCAAAGGAGAAAAATCAGTCACTACTTTAGAGGGCCACAGATGAAGCAGGCAAGGAGAGGTAGGTTGGGTAACAACAAAAGGGTGAAGGGAACATTCAGAGAAGAGATTGAGAACATAGGAATTGAGCTAATGATTTATCTGTGATTGTTGCCTATCCTGTTCCCTTTTCCTGGAATTTCCTTCCTTACCTTGTACACATAGAGAACTCTTCATCTTTCCTCATCCAGCTCTTGCATTGCTACTTTCCTGAAACGGCTATTGCAAAGATTACTAACTAGTGATCGGCATGTTGCCAAACCCAGTGGAAGTGCTTGCCTTTACTGTACCCCTATAGAGAAGTGTGTTCCCAGTGGAATTTTCTGTGGTGATGGGAATACTCTATCTCTGCACTGTCCAATATGGTGGCCACCAGGCACATGTGACTGCTGAGTATATGAAATGTGGCTGATGTGACTGAGGAACCAAAGTTTTAATTCTGCTTAATTTTAATTCATTTAAATGTAATTAGCCACATGTGGCAAGTGGCTACCTTATTTATTGGTTGGTGCAAGTAATAGAGCACTTAACATTATTGATCCTTTCCTTCTTGAAACTTGATGTTCTTTTGACTTCCAGCACACCTCTCTCCTAGCTTTACGATTGCCTCTTTAATTTTGTCTTCATTCTTGACTTCTCATGGATCTTTCTCCTTCTGCTAGCCACTTAACTGTTGCTATTTTCCAGGCTTCCTCCTTCAGCCTTTTATCACATTTTGTGGACTCTTTCTCATTGATCTTATCCATACCCCAAGTCCTGTTTCCAGGCCATCTCCCTCTCCTGAGCACTAGACCTGGACATAACAGCCTATTGGAGACATCTGCTGGTGTAGTGGATAGGCATTCAGTGCTGGCATGCTCCAACCTGAGCTCATCTCTTCTCTAAATTACCTCCTCTCAGTTACTGAAGCCATAGACCTGGAAGTTAGTCTAGATGTCTCCTTCCTGTCTGACAAATTGCCAAGTCCTCTATGCCACTGCAGTACCATTTGAACTTGTCATCAGTCTTGTCCCTCTCCAGTCCATTGTCCACATTGCTGCTAGAGCAGTCTAGGTAGCTGAAACATAAATTTGACCTTTTTATTCTCCTTGTTAAAACCTTTTAGTGGCTTCTCATTGTATATAAGATAAAGGCCAAGTTCCCAGCATGGCAAACAAGGCTCTTCATGACCCAGCCTCACCTGCATGTTTTTCCAGCTTCATCTCCTGACATGTGTCCCTTCTCACAAAGTTCTCTCCTTTCCAGTAACGCAGAACTCCTTCTAATTGCACACAAACAGCATGCTGTTTCATGTCTCCACAGCTTTTCTCAGGCTATAACCTCTCCTTCCTTCAAGGCCCTACCCTAACCCCTTCTGGTTCTGCAAAGCTCACCTCAACTGTCATCTTCTCCAGCTACTTTTCCTCAGTGTCCCTGTTACTTAATGCACTTACCTAACTACACCATTGCATTATTCACTTGTAAACGCAGGTAGTTCCCAAGAGTGGGGACCACCATCTTTGCCTCCTTCTTTCCACTGTCTGGCATGGAGTCTTACTCCCAATGTGGACTCTGTAGATGTTGAGTGAATGGGTACCATGAATAAGTGAGTGAGTTGAAGGAAGCAGGAAGAAGATTAGAGAGTGGGATGTCACACTGCCCAGTCTCATCTCCTTAGTATAAGTCCTTCATGGGTGGGATTATAGGATGAGAAAAGGGGCCCCTGGGAGGCCTGTGGGGATCAGTCTTGGCTGCTGCTGGTGCAACTGACTTCTTTCCCAGGACTCATAAAACTTGCTTCTGGCAGAAATTGATTTTAGAAAAAGCTATTATCTAGGTTTTCCCCTACCTTTACAGCTGACATGCTTCTCTCTTCCTGGGATATAAGATGCTAGCAAAAAATGTCACATTTTTTCTTAAAGGAGAAAAAGGTTTTGTATGTTTAATTTTTTGAAAGTGCTTAAGTTTCTGTTTTCTTTTAGAAGAAAACTGGTTTTTCACTGGGATTTTCCCAAGGGCCACATGCAGGTATACAGAAAAGAGAATGATATGTGTTTGCATACAATTTGCATATATCTGTGTAGACTGGATCATCTATTCTCAGAGTACTTTCTTTTTTTATTTTTTCAAAAAAATTGAATACTTGATCAACTTTTCAATGAAAAGAATCAGTAACAGTGAAAGGCAATGGAAGCCATAGTGGAAGTCCTCCTTCATAGAGAAGATCACCTCTTTAGAAGATGCCCCATCATCTTCTAGTCTTTTATAAGATTTTGGATGGTTGTGGTCGCCATGATAAAAAATAGCAGCAGCCATCTGCATGCCAGGATAGCTGTCGTATATACTTTTATCTCTCTTTTTCCACTCACCAGCCCTTAGAGGTAGATGTTACCCTCAGCCCACCAGCAGGAAAACAGGCTTAGAGGGGCAGCACAATTTGCCCAAGGTCACTCCTATGGGTAGTGGCAGAGCCATGATTCAAACCCAAGGCTACATGGCCCCAAGGCCTTTGTTTTTAAACTACTAAGCTGTATTTTCTGCCATTTGTGTACTGCCTGGTGTTTTGTCTTTTGTCCTTGCCATTACCAGCCATAGACAGATACATAGTTTGGCTGTCATTTGAATGGTAGTGGACTCTGTTGCACAATGTTGAGGTACCATAGTTTATGTAACTATCTCCCCACTTGGTTTGTTTCCAGTTTCTCAGTATTATAGATAGTGCAGGTGTAAATATCTTTGCGCAAATTAGGGTGGTTTGTTGGAGTTTTTAGGTATTTGATGGTGGTCCGCAAAGTAGTATTTTTGAGGCAAAGAGTTATAATTTTATGATTCTCCAGAAAGTCTATACCATTCATTCACCCAAGCAGTGATTACTTTTGGAGTGCCCACTGTGTACCAGGTGCTGGACGTGAAGAGGTAATTCAGAAACAGCCCCTCTCTCAGAGAACTAACAGTCTGGTATGGGATGGATGATGCAGCACAGAATGAATGCTACTAAAGTCGGGGTTTGGGCAAGGGGCAGTGAGAGCACTGAGAAACAGTGTCCCCTGGTAGTATCTCTGAGTGTTCCTTTCCCTCTGCAGCATGGGGCAAGACGGGAGGAGCATGATAACAGGGCTGGCTGCAGAGCTGCCTCCTGGCTGAGGACACCCCCCACCAACACCCACGGGCTTTCCTGCCACCGCCTGTTGGCTCAGTCACTGCTGCCCATCTGCCACTAGGGGGCGCCGAGCAGAGAGGATGGAGGGAGGGGGCACCCGGGACAACAGGACTGGGGGCTCCAGCAGTGGGAGGAGTGGCAGCCTAAGCCCTTGTCTGTCCTCCAGGCCTCCTCTTCCCCTGTATGCCCACCGCAGCCAGGGTGACAACACGGTGCCCAGTCCACACTCATTCAGCAGACAGGAATGTGTGCATGCCTTAAGGGCATAGCTCTGTGCATTTTCACGCACCAAGCACTGTGCTAGATGCTAGGAATGCAGAAGTGGCCTGACATGGTCCTTGACCCTGAGATGCACTTGGTCTAGAGGGTTGGACAGACAAGGGAAGAGACAATCCAACTTGTGTGCTGGAGGCCTTCACAAGTGGCAACAGGAGCGTTGAGCTCCCTAGTGAGTCCCCTGGCAGTGCGTGAGAGTTCATTTCTCCAGTGCTCCGCTCTTATGACTTTGGCTGTGACATTGCCCATCTTCTAGCCTGGAATTTCTCCATCTATAAAATGGAGGGAATGATATCTATGTCTGCAAGGGCCTTCTGACTCAGATGTGCCATGAGCCTAAAGCAAGCCTGAGCTTCTTCCACAGAAGAGCCCCCAGCCCTGGTCCCCACTTTAGTCACTGAAGAAAGTCTCCTTTCTCTTCTCGCCCACATGCTCTCCTTACATGGTTTTCCTTGGCATTCTGCCTCTGGCCTTTTCCTTCTCTCTTTCTACGTATGTTCCCATGACTTCAGTTACCACTGTGTGCTGATGACACCTACATCTCCATGCTCGCCCCCATCCTCTCCACTGAGTTTGTGACTCATATAACAATGAAAATAATCAGCATTTGCTAAATCCCAGATACAATACTGTAATTACGGTATATTATCTCATCTCATCTCTCCAACAACATTGTGAATTAGGCAGTGCCACCCCATTTTATAGGTGAGTAGAACCGAGTTCAAGAGATGCTGAGACTTTCCCAAGGCCCCAAAGTTGATAAGTGATGGGGCCAGGATTTGCAAACCTCTACCTGTTGAGCTCCACTGCCCATGCTCTTATCCATCACACTATATGTCCTAGAGTACAGGCAGCCGCCAAAGACCCATTTCCACTTGGATATTCCACATACACCTCAATTTCATGTCTAAACTTGGCCTCATCATTTCCCTTCTGTCCCAATCTGCCTTTTCCTCTCTTCTCCATGGCAATAAATGGCACCATCAACCCAGTGATACCCCAGCCAGAACACTGGGAGTTTTCCAAGATCCTTCCTCTCCCTTACCAACCCCCATCTCCCCAACAATCTTCTCCAATCTTCTTCCACATCATGGTGATTTTCCCCCCACTCTCCTCCAGCCTCACTGCTGTTGCCTTCCAAGGCCATTCATCCTGTTCTCTTTTTGGGCTCCTGTAGCAATCTTCTTACCAGCCTCCCTGCCTCGACTCTGTCTGCTTGAGTCCATCCCCTGCACACCAGCCAGGGTGATCCTTTGCAGACACACGTGATCACCTCACCTTACTGCTTCAAAACTTCTGCTTTCTGTGACTCTACAGCAGAGCTCAAAGCTGGCCACCCATGGGCTGAAATCCATTCAGAAGACATGTTTTGCTTGGTCCAAAATGTTCTTAAAACATTTTGAATTAGTCGCCAACATTGGAAAATCAGGAAATTTCACATAAAAGTTCATATATATTGGCTTCTCTTGCAAAAGTGAAAAGAACTGGTAACTCTGGGTGCACATCCCTTCAGGGCAATGATTGGATGGAGCTGAGTGGTGGTTGCCCTCTTTAGAAGGGGTGTGGGCTTTTCAGTTTGACAGTCTCCAGCATCCCCTAGTGTCTCTTAGGCCCTGGTCGCACCCCTGCTTCCAATTATCTGCCTGAGAGTTGGGGCATTTGAGTTCATGACCCTGGTGCATGGGATGAAGCCCAAAGCCCTCAGCATGGCTTCTAGTGTCCTATGTGTCGCAGCCTGGAGCAGACCAGCCCTGCGAACCTCTGAGGCTAGTACCTGCTAACTGCCCCGTTACACTCTCCCCTGTGGCCCCATGGAACCCTTATCCATAGTTCTCTGAATTGCCCCACTCTTGTCTGTCTCCATGCAAGCTTGTGCTTTGGAATTCCTAGGCCCCTCCTTAAGTCCTATTTGTCCTTCTGGGCTTTGCACCAGTACTTGCTGTACCAAGAAGCATTCCTTGTGCCCCTGGCTGAGTTTTGTTTTCCCATAACAGGTGGCGCAGACCTCAGTCATCCCACCAGCTACCCTGTGTTGTAGTTGTTGACTGTGAGTCTGCAGTTGCAGGGAACCTGCCTTCTTTATCTTCCTGTCCTCAAAGCTTTGCACAGGACTTGGAATACACAAGGTGCCTCATAACTGTTGAATGAATGGATGAATCAGTGAAAGACTGATTTGGGAAAATAATAGTCTAGGATATGATGTCAACCCTAATTGCTTGGGGTGGGGGTTCCAGGTCCCTTTCATTCTTCAGCATTCCCCACTCTGAGTTCCCACTCAGAGTGATACCCACAACATCCTATAAACCATGCCCCCATTCTCCAAGATGTGGAATATATCCAGGCCTACTGGGATGATACTTTTTAGCAATGATAGAGGGAAAATATATCATTTTTGGTATCCCTGGGGGAGAGTTGGCACATTCTTCAGTTATTTGAATAATAATTAAGATAATGCCAGCATTTAACACTCACTGAGCACTTACATTGTACCAGACCCTGAACTAAGAGCTCTCAGTATATTGTTTCATTTATTCCTTCAACACTAAGAAGTAGGTAGTACTATTGTCCCCATTTTACAGGCAAGTAAACTGAGATACAAGGATTTTAAACAACTTTTCACATGGCCCGTAAGCGGTAGAGTCAAGATTTGAACTCAAATCTAACTTCATAGTTAACATTCTCAACCACTACACCATACTTCCTCAATGACATTTCTCTTTAGAAACACGAGGAAATAAATGTGGGAATGAAGGGTATACAATTATGTGTACAGTAAGATTGCAAATACTAATTTAGAAAAGAAAGAAAAGAAAATCCTGAGGCAGAGAAAATGACCAAAGAGACAAACTCATGTGAAAATTTTCTTTAATGAATACATACCACTTTTATGATTAAAAAAAGAGTCCTCTCTTTGTAGTGACCCTAGAAATAAGTGGCAGGACAGAGGGCAGGAAGGGGCTGGGTTGAGTACCCAGCTAATCAGTGGGGCTGTCTCTTGAGTAGTTGCCAGTGATCAGTAAAAGGAACAGTCATCAGGCAGCAGCTGTGACCTCAGTACCTGCACCCTCATGGTACAAAGGTGAAGTGGGTCACTATTCCTGCCATCTCACCATCTCCCCTCTTCCTCCAGGTGCTTACACTCCAGAGCCCCTCAGCAGTTTCCGGTGGGCTCTTCTCTCAACTGGCCTCATGTTCTTTTATCACTTCAGCGTCTTGCAGATCCTCGGCCTGGTAAGTTTGGTTATATCCCCTTCTATCCCCTCTGTTTGCAGTTCTCCATAAATCTTGGTAATCCTGGTTGGTGCTGACGTATCACTTTGTTTTGAAAATGCAAGATGCTAAAGGCCAGGATGTCAGATTGTTGTGTCTGGATTGCTGATTTATGATCTACAGCCTTGGCCTCTCCAAAGAGTTTTCTGAGTCTTTCAGTAATGACTGTTTCTTTCATCCCTGGGGAGGCAAGGATGCCTTTCACTCATGGCCACTTGGGTCGGAAACAATGAGCTGCAACTGGAAAGTGGTTTGTTGTGGACCCCATGGGGAGGCAGGACCCTAACCCTGCCCCTTGGCCTGGGGGAGTCTTCTGACCTTGGGTCCATCCTGGGCCCATTCATAGGCCCTGAAGGCTGCACTCTTCCCTGAGCTTCATGGCCAGTGAAGTGTGGTGTTGGGGAAATCCTGTGGCATTCTGGGGTGTTTAGAACTTCCTGGAGTCATGAAGAATGGTTGGATGGTTGGACTCAGTAGCTGAGTTATCCAGAGCCCAAAATTGCTGAGTGTAAGAGTGTATATCAGTGGCAAAATGAGTAGGAAGAGCTCAGGACTGGGGCTGGGGGTCAGGAGACCCAAGTTCAAGTCCTGGCTCTGCCACTGCTCTGAATGAGTCACCTCACCCTTGAGGGCAGAGAGTTCTCCACCTCTCTTTGACATGGTATAAAAGCCCCAACTTCCCTGAGAGGTGGTGAGGACTTGTCTTTAATGTGAACAGGCTTGAAGGGCTTTGGAAGGCAGGTGCCGCGACCGTCCCCGGGGCAGGTGTCGCATGTCTGGTTTTGTGTGCAAGTGGCAGTAATGTAGCATTAGCCATGTGGAGCCTCGCGTGACCTAGCATGACTAGGGCGTGTAACTGATGTCCCCAACACCTTTGTAGAAGCAGTCACTTTCTCTTCCTCATTCTGGTGTATGGCTCTGCTCTGGTTTGCTGGGGGCTTAGTCTGAGCTCCTTGCCAACAGTGTGAATGCTTCCTGCGCTCTCAGGAGGAAGCCGTACAAAGTTCACACCCTTACCACTTGCTGCTCTCCACTGGGACCCAGATTCCAGAGGCATCAGTGTGCTCATGTCACCCTACATACCATGCTCAGGCAACGCCTCCTACAAGGAGGGCAACCCTCACCCCATTCCTCACCATAAACCCCCATCCATCTTTCATGAGTCCATTCAGGTACCACTTCTGTCATGAAATCTTCTCTGAGGACTCAGCCCCCATATTGTATGCTCCTCAGACCTCCTCATAGTGTATAAAGCTGGGTGAGCCCTGTCTGGTTTGGGGTCAGATGTAGTAAACCTTTGACCACCCCCACTTGATTGATTGCAGTTACGTGGAGGCAGGGCCCACGCTGTGGGCTGTACTTTTAGCCTGTAACACCTCTCCGGGGTCTAGGCACATAGTAGATGCTCAGGAATGGCAACAAGTTCTGGGCCCAAACAGAAGGCAAGACCGTGAGCAAAACTGAATAGCTTTTCCACTAGACGGCCCTCCGCCATCACCTCCAGAGGCCTCTAGCTTGACTCACTCAGAAAACCGAGGGGAGAGAAGAAATCCCTTTATAAACAGGTGGGGATTGGTCAATCCCTCCTTGTCTAGTCCCCCATTAGGTAGAGATGGCTGAACTGGCAGAAGCCAGAGAAAGCCTAAGGATGGTGAACGCTCACTCTACCTCCCTTGTCCCTGCAGGTCACCGAAGTGAATTTGAACAACATGCTGTGTCCGGCCATCTCAGACCCATTCTACGGCCCCTGGTATCGCATCTGGGCCTCGGGACACCAGACTCTCATGACCATGACCCACGGGAAGCTGGTCATCCTGTTCTCATACATGGCTGGGCCCTTGTGTAAATATCTGCTGGATTTGCTCCGGCTTCCAGCCAAGAAAATAGACTGAAGGTGCTTATTTTTTTTTTTTTTCCTCCCTGAGGAAGCAAGTCGTGACTTGACTTGGAGAACACCCAGTTCTTGATAAAATCATGGGAGAGGGCAGTAGGATGTTTGGTGTATTTCTTTTTCCTCCTTTCTGTCCCTTTCTTCTACCACTCTTCCTTTCCCAGCTCTTCCCCCTACGATGTCTCCTTGAGCCTGGGGTGTAGTGCTGGGCGCTGGATTTTCCTCCTTCCCTTTGGCTCTCTCTCTGCTCCTAGTGGCCTTACATGGGGAGATTGCAGTGAGCGGCTCTTTCACTCTGCTTGTCGGTGCTTTAACAACAGCTGGTTGAGGAGAAAGGGAACAACAAGTAGTAGTTCTTTTGGCATCGAAGCAATGAGATTGGGTTGTGTTTCATTTCTCCACTGCCAGGGACCTCCAGGCTTATGCTGGCGTCCCATTTAGTCTCCAGCACAGCCCTTACCACGGGGGACTGAGGCCTTGTTTCTATACCAGCGGCAAGCCCAGAGCCGAGGGATTTCACAGCTCGTGGTCAAGACAGAACCAGCCAGATTCTGGTCACTGGTGTCCCATGACTCAAAGTAAACAGCCAACCAGCCACTCCCTCCAGGATGCTGCCTGGGGTGGGAGGTGAGAGCACCACCCAGCCCAAGGGCTAGATTCCATTGAGAGGGTTGGAGATCTATTGCAATGACAAATCCAAAGTGAAGAGGGTCAAGATATATACAGTACTAGGCCAGACCCTGTGTAAGTTCTGCCTGTGAGAGTTGAGAACTGATGCATATCCCAATCAGAAGTGAGCACAGAAAACTGTGATTTGAATCATACACTCTGTTTTAGGAAAATGTTGATAATAGATACCATTTTAATCTTGAGTGCCCCTTAAATGTGTTCCCTCTCCCTTTCCCTCTCCCCCCACCCCTCCCCCTCCCCCCTCCCTCCCTCTTTCCCTCTCTCAGGCAGCTTCAGGGAAGAATGAGCTGGAATTGGCTGGTTGGTTGGTTTTTGAGTTTGGAGAATCCTCGCATCAGGGCCCATTTCTGGAAGATTCTGTAGATCTGTTTCTTGGTTTTACAGGGCCAGTGTTGTTTCCCTAGGGCCAGATTTCTTCAGTGTATCCACACTCAGTGCTGAATTGTTTAATGTGGGGGACATCACGTCCTCCTCATCCTGTCTACCCCCAAATCCCATGTCTAGGTTGAAAGGGGGCTGCCAAAGAATTAAGTCCTCATGGGTGGAGGTTCAGGTGCTCCACAAGGAGGAGCTTTTGTTGAAGGACTTCAGCTCAGTTATGCACGGACCTCAAGCAGGCAGGAAGTGGCTGGGCATTGCTGACTCCACATTGACTCCCACTAGGAACAGATTTGCTTAAGAACAGAAAAGCTCATTTGGTGATTTTGTCTGATGAGCCTCCCTTCCCCTGTCCCACTCTAGGCAACACAGTTGACCTAGACCAGTTCCAGTATTTCCAGTTTGACCGTGTTTGACCTACACTGAGCTTCGGTGCCTCAGTGGTCATAATTTTAGCAAGTGGACCTATAGGAAGCAACCCTGGGAGGGACCGTCCTTCTGCAGAGGCCTGCGGGCATTGAGGCTATCAATCCCCAGGGCTTGGGGAGCAGGAGGGGAGGGCACCAAGTGCTCTTACTCTCCTGAGCTCCTTTTGATGCGTAAGCTTTGTTTTTGGCCCTCTTTGAAGGCAGGGCCAAACTTTTCTTAGTGCCTCTCACCTTAGGGTGGCCCTCCAGGGAAGGTGCTCCTTGAATGGCTGGATTGGCCCTGCCCACCGTCAAACTGCTACATGTAGGAATAGCTGATGAGGAAATACACAAGGCCTCAGTGCCCCTTGGCCTCTTTACAAAAGGAGAAGTTGGAAGGGGATTGTGGGAGGAGCCCCTGGGGGCCTGGTCTGTCCTCCACCAGAACTTGGAGTTGCTGCCAGCAGAGGATCTGTGCCTCAGCTGAAGACTAGCTCCGGAATGTCATAGGGGTGTGACTGTGTAGGCCTTCTCCTCCTCCTCGTTTCTGTGGCATGGCACAGGTTGCCTGGTTGCTCGAGCCTTCCCCATGTTGACATCCTCCACAAGCTTGCCTTTGCTCTGTCTACAGCTTAGTACCCCATTCTGGAGGGCACTTTCTGGTGCTTGGAAGGAGAGAAGAAAGCAAAAGCCACATGCCTGGCATGGCCAAGCCAGAGACAGATCCACCTGTCAGAGGAAGGAAGAAGTAAAGGGGGCATGCAGGGCTTTTGGGGGCCAGATTGGCTCAGAAACATGTAGGTCAAAAGAATAGAGGGGGCCCAGTCTATAGGCTTCACAAGGAGCCATGGCCTGTATTTGGGGCATTGGGGAGCATAAGGCATCTGAACTGGTCCAGATCTCACTCTTATCTTGGGCCAAGCCAACGTGGAGAGAAGCAACCCAACCAGACTCTTGGCAGCCTGCCTTACAGGGTAGCCCACCTTATAGGGTAGCCCTCATATCTGCCCTGTGCCGGCCCTCTACTGCCCCAGCTTTGGTACAGGAGTGAGGGAGAAGCTGGAGCTTGCACACCCAGTGGCCAGTGGGGCTGTCTTCCCAGCTCCTCCTCAGGGCTTTCCTGTCAGTGCCAAGCCAGTTCCCCAGCCAGGTTTCCGTGTGCCATTTGCCAGCGTGTGGGAGCTCTGCGCGTGTGTGAGGGTGTTTGTAGAAGAGGGCAGTTTCCTTTCAAATGGCCTTAGGAAGGGAAAAGAGTACTCCCTCCAGCCCCTAGGTAGCCTTGGCCAGGGATGTGGGCCAAGAACAGTCTGTGGAGCTGGCCAACTTGTGGCATCCACTCCAAATAGCAGAGACCCAGTCACGCCTGCTTCTGGTCCTCCCTGCCCTCAGTATTTGGTTTTGTACACCAAAGATGATCTGGCCCATCTTCCTCCCAGAGGCACAACAGTAACATGTTCCTCTGTCAGCCTGTGAAGGCATGCAGGGTTCTGAAGCCACAGACTCAGTCTCCCCAAGTCAGCAATCTCTTTCTCTCTCTCTCCTCAAACTTCATCGCATTCATAGAAGCTGCTTGCAGGGTCGCCGGGCTAACCAGGGTGATCGGCGAACTTTACCGTACAGTACCTCAGTCTAGCTGTCAGATCACCCCTTTTGCTGTAGCCTCTGTTGAGGTTTTTATATTTGTGATCATTGGTAATTCAGTGTCCTATGAAGTGGGCACAGCTCCCCACAGAGAGCAAGTTGTCAGCAGGTCTCTGTGCACTGGTATTGGGGCAGGGCAGTGCCCTGGGGGTAAGCTAGGTGGCTCAGGGAGTGGCAGAAGGGCCATTTTTCCCTCTGCCAAAAAGACTTCCTTGGATTTGTAGATGTTGACCCAGAGTCCTCTGTCCCCTCCTGAAGAGGATTTTCTTACTGGTTTCTACTGAAGGGGAGGTAGGGGAGGAGGAAAAAAGGACCATGTGTGATGCTGTTAGACAAGACACTGACGCTGATTATGGAGGGTCTCCTGCAGGCCCTTGTGGGCTCCTTGGCAAGGCCCCAGGCTGGGAAGGAGCTCCCCCCACTGCCCATCCTGCCCGCTTTGTGGCGGGTAGAGTCAGTGACAGGGAGGCAGCCCTCCTTTTGTGTATATAGAGTGAGCTGATTTGGGCTCAGGAAAACCTAGTCGCTTGTTGCTCTCGTCTGTGACATTTTTGTACACTGGTTTGCTACTCATGGCAAGAAACAGACAAAGCCCCATGAAAAATAAAACAAAACAAAAGTCATTTCAAACAAAGCTGTTGTTTTGAAAACTCTTGCTTTCTTTTGGTGTCCATTTTGTGTTCTATTTTAAAGAATCTTTCATTTATATTGGTGTTATTGTAGTGAAGAGAATGTGATAGGCTGATCTGTAATGGTTTCTGTCAGGAGCTTAGCAAATGCCTCTGCCCCTCTTCCCCTACCCCTGTCCTTCCTCAGTTCCCAGCTGGGATTGCTATGCACTGGGCAGACCCGTCACTGTCTCCCCTGAACCCCCACACAGTGGCTTCCCTTAGAACCAGTCTTTGTACTCTCCCTAAACAGCAGCAGGCTTAGGATTTTTGTCAGGCTGGTTCTTGCGTGCTCTGTGCCCCCACCAGTTTGCTCACCTCTTGGGGCATTTTGTAATGTGTTTTCTCTGTCTTGTAAAACCTTTTGATTGTACCGAAATGGTATCTGCAGTCGCCTTTGGAAATAAATGGTCATTAATTTGTGTACTTAGCATTCTGAATTTTAGTCTCAGGTGTTTCTGTTGTTGAAGATCCTTGAATGAAAAGGAACCCTCACCATGGGGCTTACTGTTATAATGTTTCTTCATTTACTGTTATTAAAAGATTTATGAGAACCCAGGAGTCCTGGCCTTGCTTCCCAGAACCCTCTCAGAAGGCCCTCTGCTTTGAAAAATAGACAAAAGGGGCCTCTGGCCCTCCGTACTGTGGAAGACCCTCAAAGGACAGCTGGGCTTTCTCAGCACACTTTTGTCCTGGGAGCTGCGTGGCTGGTTGCCCTTGAATTCCCACACATTGCCTACTTCTGCCAGGGACCCAGCAGGCCATTTGCTCTTAGCAGAGGGCTTGTCTGCCGGGCACGTTTGCTGGGCTCTCTGGTACCCAAAGTGCATTGGGCTAGGCTGGAGGACTGAGCTGGAGAAGGCAAACACATTCAGGCCCACTCAACCTAGATTTCCTGAGGGCCAGCTCTGCACCAGCACTTCTCAGCACAGGCCTGCACCCAGCATGGGTCGGACCATGAACAAGATAGCCTTACCCTTTGGAAGCAGACCTGCTTTTCCAAGGCTACCTGCTGAGCAGCCCATGATGACTGTGATTGGCCCTTTTTACACAGGACAGAGGCCCTGTTCAGGCTTTCACCTGGGCTGCTGTTTCTGGAGAGGAGAGGTAGCCAGATAGGGAGGGGTAGCAGAACTGAAAGGCACAGGAAGAAAGGGGGCCAGATATGGCGAAGGGGAAGGACGGAAAGAGGCTGGTGGGGAGGAGGTGAGGAGAGTTGGTTCGTGTCCTTCCCCCATGTGTTCTTTTTCAGGAAGAGAGCTGAAAAAGACAATGACCTAGGCCATTGCCATCCCTACCCTGGGCAGTCTTTGTACAGCTAGCCAGACCTGGCAGCCAGTGCAGGTGGATCTCCTCATTTGCCAGTGTTTGGGCACCCAGGCTATGAATGAGGCAGGGTCTTGCAATTGTGGACTAGAAGATTAGCAGCCTAGAAAAGTCACTTATCTTGCTGCCTCAGGTTCTTAATCAGCAAAGTAGTAGCTCCAACTGCACACCAGGCATGGAGCCAAATCCCTCCCATTACCTCTTAGAATCCCCATCAAAGTACAATTAGCTGACTGGCAATGCTGTCCTTGTACGGTAGGGAGAAAGTGAGAACATGGAGGTTTAGTCATAAATGGAGGAGCTGGAATTGGAAACTAGTTTTGTTAGACCCCAAAGCTCACATGCTCTCCACTCTCCACCAGCTTCCACTGCCTTTCCAGTGTGCTGGCACTGCTGGGTAGACCCTTGCCCAGGGACCCCTGGTCCTTATAGAAGTGGAAAGAGAGCCGGGCAGTGGTGTGGAAGATGAGAGAGAAAGGGGAGGCCCACGAGTGTAGAAAGCAGAGGAATCAAGGCCTGTCAGCAGCAGCCTCAAAGCAGACCTGAAAGGCACAGGAAGAAAGGGGGCCAGGTGAAGGGGAAGGATGGAAAGAGGCTGCGGAGAGGAGGTGAGGAGAGTTGGTTTGTGTCCTTTCCCCATGGGTTCCTTTTTAGGAAGAGAGCTAAGAAAGACGATGACATAGGCCATTGCCATCCCTACCCTGGGCAGTGCATCTGCCCCTACCACCATGTCCATCCCCACCCTAGTCTGTATTCCCTCCTGCAGGCAACAGTCTTTTCCAGTGCAGATCTGCATCACTTCCCTGGGCCACTGGCTCTAGAATATAAAGCCCAGGCTCTTTCATGTAGCATACAAGCCCTGGGCTTTGTAAGCATCTTCAACTACATCTCCTCCACCCCACACTCCCAAAAGAAGCATGCAGAGAAACACTTCACTCCAGCGGGATCGTACTCCCCTTTGGCATGCCACGCCATTTCCCAGGTCCTTGCCATTTGTTTCCTTTGTGCTGTTTTCTCAGCTTCCCACTCTCCCGTTTCATCCTAAGGCCTCCACTCAAAGGTTAGCTCCTCTCTGCAGTCTTCCCTGAGCCCCAGGCTATGTTAGGTGCCAGTCCACTTTGCTCCTACAGCACCTGGTACTAACTCTGGCCATCATTTGCCTCCCTCTTACGTGATTCATTACTGGTCTCTCTCCCTCTGTAGACATTAAGCTCCTTGAGGGCCAGGTGGGGTCTGATTCATCCTCCAGCCCCTGGCACAGGACCCATTCCATGGAAAGTGCTCCGTGAACAAGGATCTTACACCTGAGTGCTAAAATATGGTAGGAGGCACCACTGTTCTCTGATGGAGAACCCTAGGCTACATAAGCCATGCCCATCCTATGAATTCTCCTGGATGGGGCTGGGATGCCTTTGTTTGCCCAGGCACCTCAAGCTTCTTGCTGAGGGGCCCCATCCTGTTTCTCTGCAGGGCTCTATATAGTTGGTGTCCTGGATAAGGAGGCAGTATTGTGAGGGAAAAGCACTAAGACCAACAGCAACTGTTCACCTGACTCTTTCCTGGACCTCTGGGCAAGGTGTCCAACTGCTTTTCCATATCCTTTATAGCTCTTCATCACCACCAGGGTCACCCCTTCCTTCCCTGGAGGCACACAGAGTTGGTGTCTGCATGGCAAAAGCCCCACCAGCCCATGGAATGTGTCATCCACCCCGCTGAGGGGTAGGGAGCAGCTTGAGATGGTTACAACCTGATCCCCCAATGAGCTTTTCCCTTGTCCTGGTTTGCCAGTGCCAGTGGAGGAACAGAAATACACAGATGTCAGCCTGACAAATGCAATGGTTTAATCAAAGGATGTGTGGTTTGCTAACCTTGGCAACAGGCAAGGCCAATGTAGTCTAAAGTCAAGGACTCTGTTACTGCCTGAACCCCCCCGCCCCGCCCACAGTCAGCACTCTGCCTCGCATCTGAATTGCACACCTGGGATGTCTGAGCTGCTGGGCAAAGGGGTTTAAGAGCCAGGGAGGCAGTAGGGAGAGGCTTCTCCTGTGGCTAATGGATGCCCTCCACAGCTGACTTCCTAACTTTCAATAACTCCTGCATCCCAGCCAGCCGGTAATCTCTGCATTTCACACTGAGGCAGGTCTTTGCAGTGGGGGTGGATGCTTCCTTGACACATCTGTGCTAGGAAACAGGGCCAGTAGCATGAGTCACAGAGCTGTTCTCCTGTCCAACAACCTATTCTCAGCCCCATCACTGCTCCAGCCAGCAGGCCTCTCTGCTCCCTTCCACACTTCCCTTCTCCATCCAAGGGGCTTGCCCAGGTGATGCCAACCTGCCACTGTTGTCCCTTCTCTATACTCAGGAGGCTCATGCTTTTTAGTATTGCATTTTTAGAAAGACCTTGGGCTCTCTAGTATTCTGTCCCCTGAGAACAGAGGGATCTTCCTGTGCATTCCAAGACATACACTCAGATTTCTAGCGTGTCGGCGCTAACAAGATACCTCTAGTACAGTGGACTGTCGATTTTGTTGCTCATTAATCCCCTGGGGAGCTTTAAAAATCTCAGTCCCCAGGCCTCACCCAAGCTCATAATTCAAAGCAAACTTCTTTTGCTTTCAAGTTTCCAGGCCGGTTCTGAGTCATCTCTTTGACCTGACCGTCTATAGCAGTGCCTTTTTAAAAAAGGAAATATTTAAGATATACCAAAAGGTATCAAGAATAATACCTAAATTCAGCTTAAAAAAGAACATTACCAATACAGTTGAAGCCCCCTTGCTCCAGAGGTGTACAGATTCTTCCTCAGCACCTCAGGGTTGCTGGAGAGGTGCCTCAGAAGCCACCTCAGGCAGCGGGGGATGCATCGGAGTAGAGTGGGTGGTGCTCTGGCCTTTTCCCTGGCTTCACCCAGAACAACTCCAATTTTATTCTGTTTTGTATATTGAGGTTTTGGAAATAACTTTGTTGGGAAAAGGAGTTAAAAGTTACTTATTTACAACCTCAGTAGTTATGTCTCTATCCTTTCCCTAAATAATAGTTGTTGTCCTGTAGTAGTCAAACCAGCATTGTAGCAGGACTGAGCAGGCAGGGCCTGCTCTCCCAGTTCTTCCCTTTCAGGTCCCGAGTGCCCTTGGCAAAGTCATACCTTTCCTGAACTCCATTTGTAAAATAGTAGTAAATATCCTTGTCTAGCTTACCCCACAGGACATCTATGAGGAATCCAGTGAGACCAGTGGGTGTGAGAGGGCTCTATAAAGTTCTGTCCAGTGGAAGGGGTTCCTATTTCCAGACAGTTTGGTTACTATGCTTGTTCCCAGAGCACAGAGGTTAGCTGGGGTTTTGACTGCACTCATACCCACTCTGCCTTAATGTGCCCTGTGTGGTTGCGGTCTGTGGTGTGTATGTGAGTGGGTGTTTGTGTGTAGGACAGGTGATACCTCAGTTTATTTCATGGACTCTAAGACACATTTTTTTCACATTTTAACATCACTAAAATTGGAATGCATCTTAAAATCAGTGGCATGACAGTTTAATCAGCACCTTTTTTTTTCAGCAGTATATAAAATAACAGACATCTTATAATCTAAGGCATATTAGAGTCAATGAAATACTGTAATTGTTAACTTAGACTCCTCTTCCTCTTCTCCCATGAAAGTCATCTTCTTGCTAGAGAAAACCCTTTTGGAAAAATATACAGACTTTTAGCATACAGCCTCATTCTAACACTCCTCTTTTTCTTCCCTGCCAGCATCCACCCAGGCCAGGCAAGGCTTCTGCTTCTTGACCAGAAGGGGACCCACTTTGTTGAGCTCTCTCTTGGGACAGATGGTTTGTGGGACATGAGAGGGAAGAGGCAGAGTATACCTGCATAAGGGAGCCCACCGTGCCAAATGACAGGGAAGGAGTCAGACAAGCTAGGCCAGCCAGCCCCAATAGCTCTGGTTTCTTTCTTTCCCCAACAGCAGCCTGGCCAGACAACTCAGCCTGCTTCCCTGGGGAACTCCTAGGGCTAGTCATTGCCAGAGGTGAGGTGAGCTGGCAGAAGTAGGGGTGGGGGTGTGAAGCCCAATGTGTCCTGAACTCCCTGGGTTGATGTGAGTGGCTGTCTGGCCCATGCAGAAGAACACAATGATTTCCCTACCTCCTCCAACAAGGTGGAAGAAGAGTCAGGTAGTAAGCCTTTCAAGGAAAAGCAGCACTTTGTCCTAGGGCACCCTGAGCCATGGGCATTTCACTGCAGTTAGGAATTGCCACCAACATCCCCTCAGTCCTGGCAGTCACTCAAATTAAGCTCTGCCCTTGTAACCTTTAGGCCAACCTCTTCCAGAAGGGAAGAGGAGTGTCTGCATAGTGAGATCTAGGGATACTTGGTCACAGGAAGCCGCTTTTGGACATTTCTCCCCCAGAGAGCTTAGCAAGACATGATCAGCCTGGATTACAGCTGCCCTCACGTAACTGGGTTAAAGTGTTGGCCTACTTAGGCCCCTCCTGCAGTGGCTTCCTTCAAAGCTGATGAGGCCGATTAGGGTGCTATTTCTGAGATCTAGTCGTGTACCCAGAAGCCTGAGGGCGGTCCTCCCCTGACTAGAAAGACAATGACTAAGGCTGGACAGCCAAGGGCAGAGTCAGATTTGCCCATAGGAGAGCACTGCCGTCAGAACTCATGTATGCTTGTAAAAGAACCAAATAATATCAAGGCTAAGTCCCTGGATTTTGAACTTCAAAAACCAAACCAACCAATCAGTTTTCAGGGATAGGCCTAGTCCTACACCTTTGCCATCTTCAGAGCTAAAGAGAGATAGCAGATCGTCAAAATAAAATCTTCAATTATAGTTGTAGTCACTAGCCGCCACTCAGTAGGTTCTGTGCATTTGAGATTGTTAACTAACCTCTGAGCCTCAGTTTGCTCATCTACAAAATGGCAATAATGATAGCATCTACCTCATAGGCTATTGTGAGGATTGAATAGAAAAGGCACATAAGGCACTTGGCACAGTACCTGGCAGCACATTTGTTAGATACCACCACTACCATCACCACAACCATTACCACCACCATTGTCACCATCATCATCCTCATCAAGACAACAGTGAATGGGAAAAAGCTCAGTCTCTGGAGCCTGACAAACTTTTTTTGAATCCTGGCTTTGCCACTTCACAGCTACGTGGCCTCAGATAAGTGACAACTTCTTTGAACTTGATTCTTATTCTGTAAAATGGGAAACTCATAAGGCTATTGAAAAGTGTATAACATGGTTCTTCACAGTAAGCACTCAATAAATGTTAGCTATTATGATTATTAAAAAGGAGTGATCAAGGTCAGTGGTTGCCTGGTGTTAGGAGGATACAGAGATGAATGGGCTAAGCACAGAGGGTTTCTAGGGCAATGAGACTACTATTCTGTGTAATACTATAATGGTGGATACATTTCATTATATATTTGTCAAAACTCATAGAATATACAATACCAAAAGTGAACCCTAATGTAAACTTTGGACTTTGGATGATAATGATGTATCAGTGTAGGTTCATCAGTTGTAACAAATGTGCCACTCTGATACAGGATGTTGATAGTGGGGTAGGCTGTGTGTGTGATGGGTGTATAGGAAATATGGGGGAACTGTCTATACATTTTGCTCAATTTTGCTGTGAACCTAAAACTTCTCTGAAAAATAAAGTATATTTAAAATGAAAAGGAAAAAAATGGGAGTGATCATACTAGATTGTTATAAACTTAGGATGTTAGCTATAATCCCCATGATAACCACTAAGAAAATAACTAAAATAGAGAGAAGAGGAAATGAAGTGGGAATCAAAGTGGATATTACCAAAAAAAAATACATCAAACACGAAAGAAGGCAGTATAGGAGGAACTGAGGAACAAAAAAAGATATACAGCACAATGGCACAAGTCCTTTATTATCAGTAATCACTTTGAATGTAAATGGATTAAGCTCACCAATTAAAAGACAGACATTGGCAGAATGGATTAAAAAACAACATGATCCAATTATATGCTACTGACAAGACACTCAGTTTAGACCCAAAGATACAGGTTAAAAGTGAAAGGATTAAAATAATAGATATTCTATCCAAATAGTAACCACAAGAGAGCTGAGATGGTTACACTAATATTAGACAAAATGGAGTTTAAGTAAAAAATTGTCATAAAAATGAAGAAGGAAATTTTTACTGATAAAGGGTTAATTCATAAAGAAGATATAACAATGATAAACAAGTATGCATCAAACAACAGAGCTCCAAAATATATGAAGTGAACACTGATGGAATTAAAAACAAATAGTAGACAGTTCTACAACAATATTTGGAGACCTCTGTATGCCACATTAAACAATGGATAGAACAACTAGACAGAAGATCAGTAAGGAAATAGTGTTCAACAACACTGTAAACCAACTAGATCCAATAAACATACAGAACACTATACCCCACAACAGCACAATACGCATTCTTCTTAAGTGTACATGGGATATTCTCCAGGTTAGAGCATATATTAGGCCATAAAACAATTATTTTAAAACATTTTAAAATGCTGGAATTATACAAAGTATGTTTGATCAAATGGAACAAAGCTAGAAATCAATAATGAGAAAAACTGGAGATTTTGCAAATGTGTGGAAATTAAGAACATACTCTTAAAGAACCAATGAGTGTCAAAGAAGAAATCACTAGGGGAATTAGAAAATGCTTTTAGATGAATGAGAATGAAAATACAACATACAACAACTTATGGGATACAGTGAATGCAGTGCCCAGGGGGAAATTTATAGCTGTAAACACCTACATTAAAAAAGAAGAAAGATCTGAAACCAGTACTCTAACTTTACACCTTAAGGGACTAGAAAAAGAAAAGCAAACGAAACCTAAAGCCAGCAGAGGAAATGAAATAATAAAGATTAGAGCAGAGATAAATGAAATAGATAATAGAAGAAAAAGAGTCAATGAAACCAATAGTTGGTTGTTTGAAAGGATAACAAACCACGGCCAAGTGGGATTTATTCCAGGAACTTAAGGGTGGTTTGATGTCAGAAAATCAACCAATGTAGTACACCGCAGTAATAGAACAAAGTAGGGGGTGGGGTGGGAACACGATCATCTCGATATATGCAGAAAAACCATTTGACAAAAGTTAATACCCTTTCATAATAAAACACTCAGCAAACTAGGAGTAGAAGGCAAATGCCTTAACATGATAAAGGGGCGTTTACGAAAAACCCACAACTAACATCATACCTAATAGACAAAGACTGAAAGCTTTTCTCCTAAGATCAGGAACAAGACCAGGATGTTTATGTTTATCTCTGCTATTCAACATAGTATTGAAAGTCCTAGCCAGAGCAGTTAAGCAAGAGAAAGAAACAAAAGGCATCCAAATTGGAAAGGAAGAGGTAAAACTATCTCTATTTGCAGATAATATGACTATATTCCCATAGAATACACACACCAACAACTACTAGAGCCAGTAAATGAGTTCAGCAAAATTGTAGCATATAAGATCAACACACAAAATCAGTTATGTTTCTAAATGCCAGTAATAAACAGTCTGAAAATAAAATGAAAAAAAAAAAGCAATCTCCTTTATAATAGCATCCAAAATAACAAAATACCTAGTAATAAATTTAACCAAGGAGGTAAATGACTTGTACATTGAAAACTAGAAAATATTGCTGGAAGAAATTTTAAAATGTCTAAATAAATGGAAAGGCATCCTGCTTTCATGTATTAGAAAAAATATCCAAATGGCAATAGTCTCCAAAGCCATCTACAGTTTCAGTGCAATCCCTATCAAAATTCCAATGGCCTTTTTTTTTTTTGCAACAATGGAAAAGCCAATCTTCAAAATCATAAGGAAACTCAAGGGGCCTTGGACAGCCAAAACAGTATTGAAAAAGAAAAACAAAGTAGGATTACACTTCCTGATCTCAAAACTCACTGCAAAGCTACAGTAATCAAAACAGTGTGGTACTGGCATAAAGGTGGACATATAGAGCAATGGAATAAGATTGAGAAATAAACGCAGACCTCTATGGTCAACTGATTTTCAACAAGGATTCCAAGAACATTCAATGGGGGAAAGAATAGTATTAACAAATAGTGTTGAGACAATTGGATAACCACATGCAAAAGAATGAAGTTGGACTGCTACCTCACTACACATACAAAATAGCTCAAAGTAAGTCAAAGACCTAAATATAAGGAATAAAACTATACAACTAATAGAAGAAAACATAGAAGTAAATCTTCATGATCTCAGATTTGGCAGTGGATTCTTAGATTTGACACCAAAAACATTAGCAACAATAGAAAAAAATAGATAAATTGGACTTCATAAACATGAAAAACTTTTGTCCGTCAAAGGATATTATCAAGAATATGAAAGACAAACTACATACAGAGTGAGAGAAAATATTTGCAAATCATATATCTGATAATGGTTTAATATCCTGAATATATGAAGAACTCTTACAACTCAACAATAAAAAGTGAAACAGTCGGCCAGGCGTGGTGGCTCACACCTGTAATCCCAGCACTTTGGGAGGCCTAGGCGGGCGGATCATGAGGTCAAGAGATCAAGACCATCCTGGCCAACATGGTGAGAAACCCTGTCTCTACTAAAAATACAAAAATTAGTTGGGCATGGTGGCATGCGCCTGTAGTGCCAGCTACTCGGGAGGCTGAGGCCGGAGAATTGCTCAAACCCGGGAGATGATGGTGGTTGCAGTGAGACGAGATCATGCCACTGCACTCCAGCCTGGAGACAGAGTGAGACTCCGTTTCAAAAAATAATAATAAAAGTCAAACAGTCTGATTAAAAACTGGGCAAAGTACTAGAATAGACATTTTTCCAAAGAAAATATACAAATAGCCAATAAGCACATGAAAAAGTGTTCAATATCAATGATCTTTAAGGAAATACAAATCAAAATCATAATGAGATGCCACTTCACATCCACTAAGATGGCTTTAATCAAAAAAAGAAAAGTAATGATGGTGAGGATGAGAAATAGGAACCCATATACCTTGCTACTGGGAACATAAAATGGTACAGCCACTTTGGAAAATGGTTTGGCAGTTCCTCAAAAAGTTAAAGGTAGGCTGGGTGCGGTGGCTCATGCCTGTAATCTCAGCACTTTGGGAGGCTGAGGCAGGTGGATCACTTGAGGCCAGGAGTTCAAGACCAGCCTGACCAACATGGTAAAACCTCATTTCTACTAAAAATACAAAATTAGCTGGGCGTGGTGGTGGGTGCCTGTAATCCCAGCTACTCAGGAGGCTGAGGCAGGAGAATCACTTGAACCCAGGAAGCGGAGGTTGCAGTGAGCCGAGATCGTGCCATTGCACTCCAGCCTGGGCAACAAGAGTGAAACTCCGTCTCAAATAAGTAAATAAATAAATAAAAAGTTAAGGATAGAATAACCACATGACTCAGTAATTCTCCACTCCTAAGCATATATCCAAGTGAAATGAAAACATATGTTCACACAGAAATTTGTACACAAATGTTTATATAGCATTGGTCCTAAGAGCCAAAAGGTGGAAGCAATCCAAATATCCATTATGATGGATAAACAAACTGTGTTACATGATACAATGAAATATTATTCAGCCATAAAAAGGAACAAAGTACTAAAACTTGGTACAACTTGGATAAACCTTGAAAACATACTCAATGAAAGAAGCCACAAAAGATCACATATTATATGAGTCCATTAATATGATACATCCAGAATGGGTAAATTCAGAGAGATGGAAGGAAGATTAGAGGTTACTTAGGGGTTGGGGGTGGGACTTGGCGAGTGACTTCTCTTAATGGGTGTGGGGTGTTTTTATGGAGTGATGAAAAAGTTTTAAAGCTAGAGAGAGCCAGGGGTTGCACAACATTGTGAATTCACTAACTACCGAAGTGTGCATTTTAAAATGGTTAATTGTATGTTATATGAATTTTCCTATAAAAATGTCCAAAAAATGGAGGGAGGTTGAAAATAAAGGTGTTTCTTTTTCACTTTCAAGTGCTTTGTGCACCCTGCTTGCAGGGCCCACTGTGTAACATTCCCTAGAGCAAAGGATGTTACCTGCACTTTCCCAGCCTACTGCTGACTATTTATTAGCAATGTCTATTTGACCTTCTCCAAGGCTGCAGGGCCAGTTAGACCCATCTACCCAACAGGAACAATCCCATCCTATTTGGATCCAACAACTGGATTAACCCCATGTTTCCCTTTTAAGCCCCATCATTCATGAGTACCACAGACCACAAGATATGCTAGGCCAGATAAACAAGAACCAATTCACCAAGGAGCATGACTTCATGTACACAGGTCACTATGGCTACCCACATCTGCCCCGACCACAATTCTGGGAAAGAGACCATTGCTGAGGCATATGCCAGCAGGGTGGCAATGTCTTCATGCAGAGTTCCTGAAATTCATTTGGATGTCTGAAGTAGAGAAAGCTTAGGGAAATGTTTGCATTACTCACACCAGCACTGTCCCTCAAAATGATGGGGGTTTCCCACTCTGTCCAGTCCAAGACACCCTTTCCATTCTGCTAGGATATGTGGGAGTGGGGAATATGATTGTTCCATCCAGCCGTTTGGCCAGCCCCCATCTCCTATGCTGATACACAGAAACCCACTTATACATGTTGACCCATATGGTAACCTTGGGTCATTCCAAAATACCATTTAGATGGAAAGTGACTATAGCAGCTCTTAGTTTCAATATCTGCCTGATGTTTGGAAACTCTCAGCAGCTTCCTGTCAGTTAAAATGTGATTTAAACATTCTATTGTATACAAGTTGCGCTTCCTGCTTTACAAGAGCCCACATTTAATACTGCCTTCCTGTCCTTTATGCATAGCTAGTGATTCTGAAAGTTACTCCGATTTTCCTTTCCATGTAGTTTACTCTTACTATTCTTTCCTTCTGCCTCATGAATGGATTTTTTTCTCTGTGGGGTAATTTTTCAACCAGTAAACATACTATAAACTGTCTTCTCCTCTTCAGGCCTCAAGATAGCCTCTTAGAGTCCTAGCCTCTCTCTGTCTCTTCTTATCGCCTCATCATAGGAAGGGCCCAATGCCTCTGAGAGGGCAGCTTCACAGTAAAGAACACAACTCGCAGCCACCCAATGCCATTCTGTGTGTCCAAACCTATTTCTTATACAAGCACATCACTTCTCTTCCAGCCACCTTGCATATTCCTGCTAAGGAGCAAGAGAGCCACATTATGGGAACAGAAAGTCTCCTCCACTCAAGAAATTATGATCATGTCCAGTATGGGGTGGCTTCTGGTGCTGACATATTGGAGTGCAAAGAAATATAATTTCTCAACAGGGGCAGTTACAACTATGTTCTAATGCCACTGAGGTGGAAGCTATTTAGTGAAACCCTATAAAACCCTAATGTTACCTGGGCCCCAGTCTGAAGGACTTTACCCAACTAGACCAAACTCATATGCTCCTTACAACTCTTAGCCCAGAGTGGACTGTTTGTTAATTTATCTTACAAAATTATACTATATTCATTCTGTAACCAAGCAAGGTGCCATGCCTCTGGAGGGACAGGCACTCAATAAATATTGATGGATCATGTTGAGCCTGACATTTGGGAGGAAAAGGCCAAAAAAAAAAAAAAAAGCTGTCATTTCATCAAATGATGGCTTCCCAAAAGCTCTCAAAATAACTGGGCATGTTGAGGCTCCAGCAGTGGTTTTGATTGTCCTGTGGGATCCTGGGGTTCTGTCGGAACAGCCCCAAGTTTCCATAAACTTTTTTTTTTTTTTTTTTTGAGATGATGGAGTCTTGCTCTGTTGCCCAGGCTGGAGTGTAGTAGCGCAATCTCGGCTCACTGCAACCTCTGCCTCCTGGGTTCAAGCGATTCTCCTGCCTTGGCCTCCTGAGTCGCTGGGATTATAGGCGTGCGCCACCATGCCTGACTAATTTTTGTATTTTTAGTAGAGACAGGGTTTCGCCATGTTGGCCACGTTGGTCTCGAACTCCAGACCTCGGGTGATTTGCCTGCCTGGGCCTCCCAAAGTGCTGGGATTATAGGCGTGAGCCACTGTGCCCGGCCCTCTATGAACATTTAATTCAAAAAATACGTGTGTGTTGAAATACATAATATTTTGAAACTGTGATAATAAAAACAGAAACAAAAAACACTTAACAACACCTGGTAAGTTAGTTATATACAGAATGGCAACTGAAGACCACCAGTGGGTTAGCAGAAGCCATCAGGTTACTTACTTGTCTTCAAACCTCAGGAGTTTTATGCTTCTCCTGCCCGAACTTCTTGTAAGCTTCAGATAGCTGTGGACTGTGCTGGGTTTTTACACTTTAGACCTATATGTACACACTTTCATAAAATTAATCTGATCTCCGTGCAAATCAGGACCTTCTTGTTGTTGTAGAGCTAAAACATAGAAATAGACCGCTGAGACTATTCATTCAACCCAGTTGCAACATTTTATAGTTATCAAAACAACCTCGTTCTCCTTAATAAGTAGCTTGTATACATTTGTGCTTAATAGCGATGAAATAGTTCTTTCAATCTGATTTTTAACATAACGAGGTGCCAACTAAGATTCTGAGTAAAAAACAAAGAGCTTCTCCCACCATGGAGGGAGACTAAAGGGGGAACAAATTACCCGCCCCTTGTGACTTGGATGTGTCCTTTTAGAATGGGAGCATGAGCTCAAAGATGCCATGGCAGTTGGTGAGCACGGAGGCATGTAATTCAGCCACTGCCCAGCTGTGTGCTGCAGACAGAGAGCATACTCTACATCTCACCTCTGTCAAATTAAGTAATCATCTGTCATGATGGAAAGCTGTAAGTGCAGGTCAGTGTTGGTTTACGTATAGCTGCACCCTCCACCGGCTCTCTGGGTGGGTCCATTTAAACAATTTGAGATATATATAGTCAGTACCTTCCAAACATAATACATTAAGAGGTAATTTTTAATTTTTTAATTGATACAAAATTGTACATATTTATGAGCGACACAGTGATGTTTCAATACATACAATGTATAGTGGTCAAATTAGGGTAATTAGCATATGTGTCACTGCAGACATTTATCATTTCTTTATGTTGGGAACATTCAAAATCCTGTCTTCTAGTTATACAAAGATATATCTTAAATTCATAACTATAGACACCCTACAGTGCTATAGAACACCAGAACTTATTCCTCCAGTCTAGTTGTATTTTTCTATCCTTTAACCCAGTGGTCCCCAACCTTTTTGGCACCAGGGACCGGTTTCATGGAAGACAGTTTTTCCACGGATGGGGTGGGTGGCAGTAGATTCTCATAAGCAGCACACAACCTAGATCCCTCACATGTGCAGTTCACAATAGGGTTCATGCTCCTATGAGAATCTAGTCCCACCACTGATCTGACACGAGGTGGAGCTCAGGCGGTAATGCTTGCTTGCCCACTGCTCACTTCCTGCTGTGCAACCCCGTTCCTAACAGGCCACGGACCAGTTCTGGTCCACGGCCCGGGGGTTGGGGATCCCTACTTTAACCAACCTCTCCCTTTTCACTCTCCCAACCCTTCCCAGCTTCTAGTAACCACTATTCTACTCTCCACTTCTATGAGATCAACTTCTTTAGCTCGCACATGAGTGAGAACATGCGGTATTTACCTTCCTGTGTCTGGCTTATTTAACATAATGTCCTCCAAGCTGATCCACGTTGCTGCAAATGACAGGATTTCAATCTTATTTATGGCTGAATAATATCCCATTATATACACAGCAATTTTTATTAAGGGGTCATTTCTAAACAAGGTTGTAACCAAGCGCTTGGGGTGAGGATGTAGATTGGCTTCAGAACAGTGCTTGAGACCTAATGTGATTCCCTCCAATTCTTGAAAGAGTTCTTCCAACAAGTTTGAGGTTTGAACACGAGATTGTCCCATGGGGCTACAGGTGTCAAGGCAGGCCTTTTAATGCAGTAGCCAAAAATAGTATATCCAGGGCTTTCCTCACTTGCATCCTCCCATTCATTTCTTCCTCCTGTAGGTGAAAAGCTTGAGCATACAGATGGGAAGCTATGAGAGCTTACCCAACCCAAACCCATACTTATCTTGGCTTATGTGGTTGAAGCTGCAGGAAGTGGGAGAAGCCATTCTCTGAATGGGCAGTCATTCACTGGCTGTCCTGGCTGGCAGCTCTGAATCCCGGTGTGACTTCTCCACCGCAGACTTCTCCTTACCTCACACTGATAGGACCCCTTAGATAGGGTAGTATTTCCCAGCAACAGAGGGGCACTGCTTCATCCTACACGCCCATACTTGCCCTCGGAAGCAGTAAAGCTATTTACACAGGGTCCAGAGGGGCATGAAATCTAAAGTGGAAATGCTGAAACTCTGGGAAGAATTTAGGTAGGTGGAGTGTGATTACTGAAGTTGAAATTTGTCCAGACCAGAGTTAACCACTAATGCTGTAAAAAAGAATGCTGTGGGCTCATTAAACTACTTCATTCTACCTGAACCTATTAATATGGTCGAAATCATTGAAAAATCTTATGTCCCATTAAACATGAATGATGAAAATAGGTAAAACCTGAGCAGATGGCTGCCTTTATGGAGCACTGGTTAAAACCACAATAGTCCTCTAGGATCTAAGAACACTTTTTAGCCACTGTGATTGACATAAGCACGTGTCATAAAATTTACATGGTTACCAGGGCTTTGGGGCAATGTAACAGAAATTGTCCTGGATATATTCAACTAGCAGCTAATCTTGAAATGTGCGTGAGACAGCAAATGTTTTAGAAAGAGCCAGAGGTATTTCCATACACAAGTACAATGTCCTTGGTAGCCTTTCCATAGAGAAAGGGATAAGGCAACAGTAGGCAGAGGCAGCACCCCAAGAGATTCCTTTCTTGACATAGGCTCTTATCTGGCCCTTGAAAGTCAATACCACCAGTTGCCCTACCCTACAATCCAGGTGTTTCCCCCAAGCCCAAGTTGGGGGTACCAATCTGGAACTGGAAAAAATAGCTGGTAATAAGTGTAAGCGTGTGGTATGCCTAGTGTGTGTATGAGTACGTACAAGCTCTGGGTGACCACATCTTGAGCATTTTCAGACTCTGTCCTATACTCAGAAAATGGGCAAGCCTTGATGGTAGGAGAAGGGGTCCCCATATCAGATGATTTAACTGAATAGCACTGCTACTGCCCCTCACCAGCTCACAAAGAGGAAATGCCCAATAACCACTGACTGATTTGGAGCGGACCTAAGCACAGCTAAGCTCCCGCCAGAATTCAAGTCTGATATTTGCCTGAGTTCTGTGGCAAAGGATCTGAAGGATCCTTAAAGGATCAATGTGGCCAGGTTAGGGTGTCCAAATAAAGGCTAATCTATATCAGCAAGCCAGGATTCAGAGATAGACAAAAGGATGACATTGGCAAATCATATGGCAGGGAGTGGCTACAAGCAGGTAAGGTTTCCCAAGTGCTAGTTTGGCAATAAATCAGTATCTGTTCCTAACTATATTCCTTCAGAGCCTTCAACTGTTAACCTTTTAGTAAGAAGTACCGACGAGACCAAGATCCTATGATGAGAGAGGTTAAACTTAAAAAAGAAACATAAAATGATAACTCGGTTTTAACATTTTATTGGGTAAATGATTTTAAAGGTAATAACAATAGTGTCAAAACTACTACAATATCTTTCCACAGCCATACCTTACAGACCCACATAAACCTTCTCATATTTTTTCTTTTTGCTCATATTTAATATTGTAAAGCCATACATGTCATATAAAATGCCCATTTCCAATAGTTTCTTCAAACTATTAAGCAATTAAATGTGGAAGGAAGGAGGGCCTAGTTATACTGGAAGGGGTTTCAGGTAATCTGTGATGTCTTACGGTAATCAAAAAACAGGTTACTAAGAAAGAAGGAAAAGAGGAGCTACTCCAGGTAGCTTTTTGCTCATTACAAGTCTCACCATTGTATCACCAAGAACTCATTATGCTGGTGACAGATTCAAAGTAATTTTGGGGAACATATAAAACACTAAAATAACTTAGAAACTAGATCCAAATATTTCAAAAGTAATCAACTTTGATATACAAAAGTAGTCAGAGGTGGTTACAAAAGTTTGTTTGCTCAGTGCGTCTATGTACCAGCGCAGTTACTGGGTAGAGCAAAATAAAAGGTTCATTTTCTTCTGAAATAGCAATAAAAAACAAGGAAAACATATATTTGTATATAAAGGATCAATGCTGGTCTTAAGAATAATGTCATCAGAAACCCTTAAATCGAGAGGCACACAACGGGTTTCCACTTTTAAAAAATAAAAGGAAAGTCACCAGTTTATTTAAATGGAGGAGGTGCTCACACCCCTCAAATAAACTTAATTCATTTTAACATCACTAGCAAAAATCACTTAGAAACTGTACAAAAATAAAAAAGTTAACACATTTAATCCTGCAAGGTTTTTGTAAGGACTGGAAGGCAGGCTTTTGAAGCAGCATTTGGGCATGGCTGGGGGCTTCTTTGGTTTGATCTAACACACATAAGAGATGGAACCTATTCCAGATGACAGTTTCAAATTTCCTGCACATTTGAAGACAAGATAAGAGGCCAGTATACAAACTTCCGGTGTGCTGGGCACTGGGACTGTATGTGCTGGACTGAAAATCTTACAACTGCTTTAAGCTTTAAGGGTGAGGGGAAGCAAGCCTTGCACTTCCTCCATCAATTTCACTGACCTCTCGTGTTAGGGGAGACTACAGAGGGTAGTAGCACATTCTCGTGCAGTCAGAAGGCCACTTGAGGGGTGGGGGACAATTTGTTCTTTTAGAATCTGGTACCTGGCTGACCTTGTTTAAGAACAAGAAAACCCTTCCAGAAATGGAAGCCTTTTGCTACATACCAAAGCAAAGTACGTACTATTTCCAAGAGGAAAAATACCCAGTTGCATCTGAAAATGGAAAACTTAAATGGAACGAATTAACATTTAAAAGGGGCTATGTAAACTTTGTGCTACTCAAATGAAGTTCAAGTATTACTTCTGAGCTGTTTAAAGATCACTGAACTCATACAATATTCTGATGATAAGAGTGCAATTCACATTTGTGTTTCTGAACAAATAAATCACAACTGGCTAGAACACAACCTGTGCAATCAGAATCTTCGTCTGAGTTAAAGACATGCTACATATTTCAACATGTTCAAAGTTAATTCATACCACATAATTAACAGCTTTGTATATACGACAAAGGTGAAAGGGTCTAGCATTTGTTTGAAGCACACCATTACAGTTTGTATAACACCCTTTACACTACAAAGTCTTTTAGTCAAAAGCTACTTAGAGACAAAAATGCACTTTGCATTACTTGAATACAAAAGGAGACAAAACTATCCTTTTCCCCCAAGCCATGTTGGGAAATATTGCTGACCTCGTCCTTTGAAGCCTGCAGGATGGTTATTTCTTCAGTTTAACGTTATTACACTGCTAAGAAAATCTGTATAACATCTGCATATATCAAGGATTTTAAAAAATCTGATATGATTTTAGAGTCCGCATGACCAGTCACGTGACCTGCTCAAGATTGATTAGCACCGTTAAATAAACACACATATATGTATGTATGTATGTGTAAGTATATGTACACACACACATCTATGTATGTAATAAATCTTTGCTAAAAAAACTTCTAACCATAAGCTCACCCAGGACGAGGAGCCTGTTGAACCGATGAGATGATGGATAAGATGGATTTCACGATAATATTGGTCTATTTTGTCTCTCTTCAGTTTGCTTGTTTTATTTACCTTTTTTTCCTTTTTTTTGTTTTTTGTTTTGTTTTTTTTTTGTTTGTTTTTTTTTGCAGCAGACAATATCATTCAGCTTGTGCTCAGTTTCCCTATAAGGGTAAGAAAAGTTTCCATCAGGTAGCCACTTGTTTTTATACTGAAAGACTAATCTGCTCCAAAATGCTCCCAAGTAGAAATGACAGGACTCAAAATCCCTTTCTAAAGCCCAACAGCTAACTTTTTCTGACTAATCTCTAGCTTCATTGAAACTGGCTACCAAGATTGCATTTCAGGCTAACAATTGGCTTCTTAGTTAAGGCATCACAACTGAAAATGGTTATTTCAACAATGGATGCTGTGGATGAAGGAATACCAACAAACTTCTAAGAACTCTCATCAAAAACTAAAGCAATTTGCTTTGCCCCAGTGGCAGGCAGAAGGAATTTAGCCCATTATCTCACAAACTAGGAAAGGATTTTTGAATTCTGAACTAGCAGTCTGTCACTTGTCACAGTAACTATATGTATAAGCTGTATCATTTTGATATTCAGTGACTTTTTTGTAGTTTTAGAATATATATTCTGCAGCATACTTTAATTCATCACTTGATATGTTGGCTTCCTATTTGAAAAAATTATATATATTTTTCCAAAGACACACAGACACACACACATAACCATAAAATGAAGGTCATCTTCCTCCAGAATAATCTGTCATTTTTCCTGGGGATATATGTATGGACCTCCTATCGACATCAGTAAGTTATCTTTGTATGCATCATGGGAAGACTATACTTGCAGATGAGCTGGGCTCTAACTATAGCATATCTGAATGCCAACTCCATTTTCACAGGTGTGACATAACATCTTATCAATGTAGTAAATGTGTTTCTATCAAAAGTATGTAGTGCAGAAAGAAATTCAAGCTATTTTATAGTATCTCTAAAACTCTAATATTGTCCCCATGACAAACATATCTGAAATCATGGCAAATATGAACTTTTGTTTTACTAAATTATCTTTACCATATCTTTAGATGGTAGCTAAAATGGATTCTAGCCAATCATGACTTATTGAAACCTAGAGCTAACAAATTTAAATTAATATAAAATAGACAAATGTCTCTTATTGGTTATTTGCTCAAAATAATTTTTTTTCAGCTTAAAAAAATACTTAAGAGTAAGGAATTTGTCTAATCTTCTGTTTCACATATAGAAACAATAAAGTTTTACAAGAATATTTTTCTAAATTGCCTTTTTTCTAACCCCTCTTAATTCCACTTAATTATATTCTTCTCAAAGGCACTAAATTCTGTATCTGCTCTCTTCCTAATATTTGCTGCTCATAAAATGTTTCCTGTAGCCTTTTTGAAAGGTAGTTTGTACCTTCTCCAAACAGTGTTTTAGTTTGCAAATTGGTTCTATAAAGTGGTGAGGCAGTCTCTTCTATGATAACCAGCACAATAGGGATAAATGATTTCTCTCTCTCTGTGACAAGCCCTATCACGGACCTTTGAATGCTCACTACTAGAACTAAAGTTCATGTATTTTCACCATGGGAAAAACATATACTTAAGGAGTGAAGACCCAACTACTAGGCTGTCATAGCAAAGTGAATTTCAGACAAAAATCAAGAGTAATATACAAATACCTGAATTTGATATGAATTAATCCCAAACTCAGGTATCAAAAAACAACTATCTTACTGAGGAAAACTAAAGACGAACCTAAGTAAAATCCCTAAAAACTGCACACTTTCTTCCATCCACAGTCAAAGGAAGGGAGGCAGGGAAGGAAGAAGGAAAACGGGAAGGAAGAAGGAAAACAGGAAGCAAAACGGGAAGAAAGGCAAGGAGGACAGAAAAACAGAAACCTGACTGAGACAGCAAAGCAAAATTCTACATAATATTATAAGGAAAAAAAAACCCAAAATTATATATGCTGCAAAAAAAAAATCAACGATCTAAAATAATAAAACAGGATCTTAACAAATGCCATTTTTCTACCCGTTACCATGATGATCTTAGTTGACGATGTCGAAGCTTCACCATGGCAACGGAAACTATCATCATAAAATGGTACAGTAAAAGAGATAGCTAGACCAAGAAGGTGTAGGGTCTCCTGGGAAGAGGTCTGCAGAGAGGCCCAGTGACTGGTTGTGCGGCTCAGTGTCAGGAATAATGGTTGTATGGCGGAAGGGGATGCCCAATGCCATTTTGGAAATGATGATGCTGGCGATGAGCAAGGTATTCAGCATAGCTCAGGGTCATCTTTTCACTACGATACCTGAAAGAAAGTCAGGGAAGAGAAAAGTTAACATTGAGAAGTAGGTGACATGCCATTGTCACTGCTAGGAAGGACCTTAAAGATAATTTTATAGATCAGGAAACGGGGTCCCAGAGAGAAGCAGTGACTGCCCAAGGTCACAGAGATAGTAAGTAGCAAAGCTAAGATCAGAACTTGGAAATCAAAAGTCTGAGTCCAGTGCTCTTTGCACTCTACTACTCCTTGTTTAAATTGTTCTTTTAAAAATTTTATTGTCCCCTCAGCCCCAGTTTTCTAACAGGAGTATGCATCTCATTCGATTCAGTTGATTATTTTTCTTCAGAAATCTTCCACCTCTCCCTCTTTTACTGTTCCTTTCTCTGTCCACACATCTACTTAGGTCTTACCATTAAGTAACAACAACAAAAACAACTTTTCTTAATTCTGGTATCCTGAACTCTCACTTTTCCCCATGTCTGGCTTTCTTTTCATTGCCACATTTCTCAAATAGTTGTGTGTATTTTCTGCCTTCAATCCCCATCTCACACTACTACTCAGCTCAGTGCTCCTTGGCTTCTGCTGCCACCCTTCCATGGAAATAGCCATCAGAAGGCTTCCCCTGACTCAGCTTGATCTTTCCATTTGCCCATCATGCCCTTAAGCTCTCTGGTGCTAAGGATTCTATACCTCCACATGCCCCTGGTTCTCCCCTGCCTCTCAGATTGCTCCTTGTCTCTGAATGCTCCTATCCCTGCCTTGTAGAATTTTGTTATGTTTCTGTATTCAGTTATTTTGACTCTATACTGTCCCCCCACAGTGAACCCTATCCTTACAATTTCAATCATATCTAGCCATGAGCTCATACATTTTCATTGACCTACTAGATATTTCTATATAGATATCCTAAGAAGCACCTCAAATCCAAAATCGATGCATAAACTTAACACACTCCTCTTGTGGTCCCTACTTTGATTAAAGGGATTACCTTGGTCCCTTTTATCTAGATTAACGCCTTGACTTTCTTCTTTATTTCTAAATGATGACCCAGTCCTTTCATTTCTTCCACATTATTTTCATATCGATCCCAACCTTTCTTCCCATCTCACTGCCACAGCTCTAGTTAAGGCCCCTGTTGCACCTCTTTTGGACTGCTGCCACAGATTCTTAGATAATACCAACGCTTCCTGGCTCATTTTCCTGTTTCCAATTCCATTCTTATACCTCCCCAAGCCCATCTGATTAAAATCCTTCAATAGCTACCAATTGCCTATAGAACCAGGTCCAAACTAATTACTCTGGAACTCAGGACCCTCAATGGTCTGCCCAACCTACCTTCTGGGCCATATTTTCCTCTAATGATCAGCTTCTCTATTACACTAAAAGACCAGCCCAATCAGACTATTTCATATTCTCAGAACTTGCTTTGTACTTCACCACCCTTGACTCACAAGGTCTTCCTTAAGGGAATCACTTTCCTCCTGTCAAAAAAAAATCCCTTTTTACCTGTCAAATATTCTATCCATTCTTCAAACCCAGCCCCCAGCTGACCTCTTTGAAACTATCTGTTATCCCCCTCCCACCCTCTTAGAATTCCTCTTTCCCTACTTTATGGGAATGGATCTCATATTATCCATCATATTCTGCCTTAGATTAATAATTTTGTCCATGCCCCTTCTATTCTCCTCCACTGTGAACTCAGGGAGAGCAGAGATGGAGGTATTTCTGAATTTGTAACTCCTCAGAGCTGAGAATAGGCCATTTTTAGACTATAAGCATTCAATGTAGTTTTATGGAATTGAAATAAATGGAACCAGCAGCCCATTTTCCTAAAATGTACGGTATTTTCCTTTTTAAATAAGCATCCCTATTTTTTCATGCTGAAATTTATTTAGCATTTGAGTTTAGCTCAATTGTGTTTTTCAGCAAGCTAACAAGTTTTCTTGGTAGACTTCTATCACTGCCAAAATTCTGAGATTAAATTCGAATTTGAGGACTGTTTATCAGAATCCTGGGGTTCTGCTCAGTAATGTCAAAAGCTAGCCAATTGCTAATTCAAGTACTTTCTCCAATAAAGTAGTCTAAAATCTCCAAGGGCTTGCTCGTACAAAAGCCAGAGTAATCACACAGAGCTAAAGATGGGAAAGATAGGCTCATACATCACACAGGCTTTACTACGAAGCAGAGTTCCATTGTATCCACCCTCAGTATGACCCTGCCATTCATTTCCACTCTGTTTCAGAAAAAAGAAGTGTAGTTAGAGAGACCAAAGAAATCAAAGGGTTATAGGCATACACATCAAAATGTACAGGTTAGCCTTGTGCTAGAAAATGTCTTCTGTACCTGGTCAGTTTTATGGTTTTCCTGAATTCATTAGTAATCGGAGCTTTGTATCCTCCTTTCCTCAATAAGGAGTCTATGGTCTGTATATGGTCCCATCCTGTAGAGAGATGACCAGATAAAATATCAGTCAAGCACATGTAACAAACACCTTTCATTAAATACAAAATGACTTTGTAGAGGTCAGCTATCACTGTCACCAAATGCCATCAAATCTTTTGGTCCTAAAAACAATCACACAGAAAAGCTAAGATTTCATCCTTTACAAAAGCAGGGTCATCACCACACTCCTTAAATTCTAGCTATCCACAATGCCAAACAACACTGGCTCCTTTATCTTCGCATTCGAAGTCAAGGGGTCTAAGGGGCTGGCAGAAATTGCTCAGTCATGACTGTAACAAACCATATCTGTTGTACTTTCCTCTAACAGTGACATCTTTAAAAGGGAGTGAAAAGCCTATATGCCATTTTGCCAAGTCAATATTTAGGACTCCCACACCACCTCACAGTAATTGTTGTTCCTTATGGTATCTTCTGTAATTCTGTAATCATTCAAGTTTGTGTGCAGTATTCAAGGGTATTTTGATTAGTTCTGACATGGATGGTATACTAGTATCTGAGGCCCTCTATCTTTTATGTATGCTTTACAAAGTTAATGATACTAGGAGATTAAGACATTTTCTAAAGCAACCCAAATAAATCTTCAAGTAACTGCCTTGAAGACTTTCTGATCTGGGGATTTAATGGCATTAATTTTGCTATTATGTATCTCACATTTATAAGACAAACACGGGAAAACCAAATTACAAATGCTTTCTGATGAGAAGAAAAGCTCCCCAAGATAAAAGATTCATTTCGACCAACATGAAACCAGAATTTAGTAGTTGCTAAGAAAGGATAAAATACTACAGAGTGAAAAGTTACTTTGTGTTACAATGTTGGTTCATACAGGTCTATGCTCTATGTGTGAAACAGGAAAATTCTGATTAGGAAGTGTAGACCAAGCATATAAAACACTAACACTTCATGTTTTCGCAATCCTCTGATCTTAGTGGGAAACCTAGAATCTTAGTATCAGCAGGATGAGTAATGGCAACCACCTAAGAATGAAACATTTGATACTTAAAATGACAAAGAACTATGTGGCTGATTGTCAAACAAAAGGCTTGTTTATGCCACAATGGAATATGGGAAAAATGCATTTCAAATCGGTAGCAAATTGTTGCCTAAAATGAAAACCAACTAATATAAATTCTGCTTTTTAAAAAATATACACTTATGGGTTTATGCCATCAAACTTCAATGCAGGGATTCAACTTCTGTGAGTACTTCACCGACTTGATACAGACATTGCAGTGGCAGTGATGGAAGAGTCACTTCTTATAATTTGACACTTCAATTATTAGACATAACTGCAAGGTCAGATAACGCATTTCAGTTTGTATATTTGTTTAAATTCTTCACCAGATCATATGAAATAAAGTACAACAATGACCTTGCTCCTTTGCAACCTCCGGTAGGTAGGTGGCGGTGCGTTTTGATCCTTTTTCATTGATGAATTCTATTCTAATGCCATGTACACCCACCTGAAAGAAATTGGCAGTTTTATTAGTACAGTCTTCTTCATAGAATCAGAAAGAAAAGGTTATAATTTAACTTTCAAGAGAATGCAGTTCTTCCTTTCCCTTTGTTTTTAGAAGGACGTATAAGTTTTCTCTTTCCAAAGCTTTGACTTTGGATTTGAAGGCCATTATGATGGCCACGGAGAGGGAAAATATTGATTTGCATGTGCCCAACATGCACTAGGCTATGATACTATGTTTGGAAAACTGGAACAACTATTCTGAAGCTGTCTGTAGAATAAGACGGTTGATGGCAAAAATCCTGCCCCACTCCCAAATTGTAGCTCATGCCAATAAAGAACTAGAGACAAAGGTGACTGACTTCAAAGAGATAGCAAACAACCATCCTGTTTTGCAGGTACACTCACCACTTCTGATTAAGTTCCAAAATTTTTGGTGCTGATCCCCTCCCAAACTGTCTACTCCGTTTAAAACATTAAATTATACGTAGGCAAGCAAACACAGTCAGGTAAGATTGAAAATTAATAATGAAAACAACCAGATCCTACATCATCACCCAGTGTAGACAGCATTTCTTTAAAAATGCATTATGACTTAGAGTGGGGTAGTAGCAGACCTTCACTGTCCATCTACACCATTGTCTTCACACAGCTCTACTAAATTTAAGAATAAAGATTTCAAATCACTTCACTGTAGTGCATTATTGCAGTCTCTTTATATACTAGCCCAGAGACCACTGTAACTTTTTAATGTAAAACAAGCTTGTGGTGATGCCCTTAAAAAGGTAGTCTTCTAAGTAACTGTGAGCAATTTCTTGCTAATTTTTTTTTAATAATGTGCTTTTCCTTTGATTAGCATATGATTGAAAGAAATCTGTCCTTTCCCCTCATATCTCACATAGAATAGTATACAGAGCTAAAGATCAAAATTAAAAGTTCTTAACTTCTTTGTGAACATTGATAATAAAAACGAAATTTCAAAAGCATAATGACACCATTCTGTTCTCTTGGATCTGTGGTTGCCTCAGATCAATGGTTCCCAAGTGGAGGGTCAGGTTGTGCAAGGTACTGGAATGGAGATGTAAGACCAGGTAAACATTATTACCCAAGATGGAGGCTTCTTTTCAGAGCAGGTGAGTAAAGTCATAAACCTTTATACTTTCCATGTGTATGGATGTAAAGGTCTAGAAGAGGAAAGGGGGTCAATGAAAACTTCTTTTGCTTCTTCTACCCCCAGTCTCAAATTTTCCAATTTTTTCAGGAATAAAAAGTCCTCTGGGAAAATCCATTTCATCTTTCCCCAGGTCTTCACACATCTATCCATTAGAGCCTGTCAGATCTTCTGAGGAATTTATGGTTTTTTATTTTTATTAAAGCATATCTCTGGCTATTTCTTCTATCTATTTAATATCAGTACTCTTACGAATCTCTTTCTGCTAAAAATGCGACCAGGGTAGCTGTTTAAAAACTAACACAATACTTGCCTCCCATACTGTGTGGGAAATAACTACGTATATAGCTGAGAAGAAATATGAGCGCTTAGCTATCAGGCATTTCCAGGATAAAGGACATCTACTAATCTCTCCAGTGCCTGATGAGACAATGACAAATTTGCAAAATTTCCTGTATACTGACTTCCTGATCAGTAGCTTTGAATTTTTTTTTCCTTTGACAATATCAGATTCCTCATAATTTGTTTTTTAAAAGATACACAGCATAAGTAATTTATACTCCATCATCCACTGAAGTGAATTTTGAATCTTCAACTCTATTTATCAAAAACCCGTCATGTTAAAATTGAAAAGAATTTTGGTGTTTATTAAGGTGTCTAGTCAAAATTGTGATAGGAAGAATGTCTCCCTATCTGTGAGATGAGAGTGTCAGACAAAATTAATGATATTTAACTGGCAAGGGGTGGGGAGCGGGGCTGCAAAGTTTATCAGAATTTCAACAAATACGTTTTGGAAAAAGAACAGCTCCCCAGGTAATTTTTATTCTAATTGAACTAGATAACCTCTAATAAGCATTCTAGTTCTGACAAACTGTGGCTACATACTAAGATTTTTAAAAGTGATTTAGGCAAATGGGGTTAATTTAGACACTTAAGTCCTTTCTTTATAGGAGTACATCCTGTGTTCTTGAACAAAAATATCAGATTTTTAATGTCTAGTAATTTAATAATTAAAAGAAGTTAAGACTGATTGTATGGTATGTGAATGGTATCACAATAAAGCTGTGTGTGTATGGATACAAAGGACATATTGGCCAAAACAAAAATTACTCACGAATAAGACTGCTTTATTTACTCTGCATTTTGAGAAGGTCCTACCATCAAATTTGATAAGAAAAAAACCCCAAATTCTCCAATTTTGATTTAGTACCACATTTACAACTTTTAATTCTTTTCTGGGTTCCTATGACTCTGAACAATTGAAAGCCCCTGTAAATTGAACTGTAAGTATAGTGGTTTTAAAGTGAATTCTTTTTATGAACTTTTTTCATAGGTCAAAAATACTCCCACAAAGCTACAAAGCCCAAACCAGAGTGACTCATTTTTTTCAGCTAGTAGAATTAGGAGAATGGTAATAATGTTCTTAACAAAATCATAGTAGCTTTCTTTCTGTTACCTCTTGAGCAACAGCATTTTCTTTACTCCTAGAACCACAAGCCACTAAATAGTCATACTGAACAATCAAAACAGGAGAAGGAGAACATGGCCTGCTGTGGAGAATGACCAATTCTGGCCAACCTGTGGAAATCACTGGCTTTGCAATGAAATGAGCACCAAAACTAATTCCATATTGTTTCAGGGAGGCATCTGTCACAGCTACAACTCCAAAATGTAACCCTCATGCATAATTGAATCTTCCCTTATACATATTGGAGAATCCTCTGGCCCAGCAACATCCCAAGAGACAAAGGCTATAGTTGCAATTATAAACTAGATAAAAGATCAGCGAACCAGGGAACTGGGATTCCCCGAAGCAGATCTTTAAAACACTACCACGGTAACTTTCTACGTATGGATGAGGGGGCAGCATGTGGGAATACTATGTCACTAAACATACCCCTAACTAATCCTGCCACTGTTTGAAGTACAGCCAGGTGGGTACAAACTGGAAACTTGCAAATCTAGCCTTATGGGTCTGCAGGTCATTTTCAAAATTACTAGATGGTCTATGAAAAAAATGCTTTCGAGGTCCATCAGTTGCGATAATATTCTTTTAATCAAGACTACTTTTGCTAAGCAAAGCTAAAAATCAACCCCAATGGTAGTAAATTAAATGTAGGACTTATAGATAAGAGGATATGGAATTAAGCAGAGCTGTATCTGTGTGTGCTGATAGAACATTAAGACCAGTTCAACGGATTCATATTTCATGCTAAAAAGAAAGCCATATTTATTCTGAACCATTCCATAGCAAGTGATTTTTATTAATGCTATTATACAATCTTTTGTTTTTAACATTGTTCAGAATGATTAAATATCAAGATTAATGTTAAGACCCTAAAATATATCTTGATTATTCTGGGGTTGATTATCCAGTTTAGGGATTATGCATCCCCAGCTCCACCTGGCCTCAGCCCCATCCTCTTTCGTCTCTTGTCCATTTCTCTATTTTTTCACTCCTCTATCAGATAGCACGTGGTCACAGAAAGAAGAGGTACACACAAATTAATCAATTTTGCTACACAGTAAAAGGTTTGGTAGGAGAAGAGATTATAAATAATGGCTAAAATTAAGCTTTGAGACTGTCTGCAGATTTCATTTATCCTTGTTATCTAGTCCCGTGTTAGAAATGTGGCTTCATTTAAAACTATTATCCTCTAATGCAGTGACCCTCAACACAAGAGCATTTTTTAAAAGTACCTTCTCCCATATTATATTCCTTGTAATTGCACAGTCAAAGCTTAATATACCCTAGTCTGTCTAATAAGGCAAGTGTTAGCCTTGTGATCCACAAGCAGCACTACAAAAGAGTCTCACTTTTACTTGTGAGCCTTGTCAGCAAGCCAACAATCTGAATATGCTAAAACATGAAAAAGAGTCATCTGGCTAAAAGCATAAATGAGTATAAAATGTGCTCTGGCTAAGTTGAGTAGCCTCCATGTAAACTTCTGACAGTTTGGGTCCACAATTATCTCCATAGTCCTGACCCTCAAAGCTAAATCTTCCCAATTACATCCTGGCCAACAGAATCACTCTACTACCTTGGGTGGCATCCTGTTTTAGCAAATACCATGGTCAGTCCCATTCTTCCCCATTTTCAGAACCAAATGCTGGGTTTCCCTGTAATAATATGGCCATGGCTTACTCTACTCATTTTCAGTGAGTTCATCTGAATAGCATAAGAAATATCAGGAGGTCAAAGAATCGAAAGTTGTTTGACATGTCTTTTTGGATGAAATCATTTGGCAAAATATGCTTTGCAATTAACAAAGCATCCAGTTACTGGCCATTCACATAAGACTGACCTGCCACGCTCAATATGCCAGTCCAATTGAAGTGAATGAAAGGACACTGTTCCTAATGAGAGGAGCTCAGGATGTTTGGCACACCCCCTAACCTTTAGAGGCTGGTATCACAGAAGGAATGCATGCTCTCTCACAAAACAACCCTGGGTACCACAGCCAGAAACAAACACTGTATTGGACAGTCCATGGGTCTGACCCAGAGTCTGGTGTTTCTGACATTCTTAGGAGGAAAAAACTATGTGCTATATCTCCTAACAGCACAAAACTCATGGTGCAGCATGGTCCACTCTTGAACTTATTGCCCCACAGTTCCTTCTGCCCTACTACTCCAGCTTAGCCTTTTGAAAACAGAAACTCTTCCTTTTCCTAGTGAAAGCAAATTCAACATAAAAGAGAAAAATACTTCGAACTTAGGCCTACTCCAAGTTTCTCTTGGATAATTCTTTGAGCTAGAAAAGTTAAGAATTTAATCATAGAAGCTGATAAGGATTTGTACAGATCCTAATGAACCACTTTCCCCAAATCTGATACTACCAAAAAAAAAAATTTAGATGACATATTATCTCGATCTGCCCATCAAATCCTCACAGTTGTTACTCTGCATCACTTCAACCTGACCACCAATTTGAAAAGCAATTCTGGAGTTCTGAAGGTACATATCTATCTAACATGATCCCTTCATAATCTGGCCAAATTGTAAATTTTTATAACAATGTTGCTGCGATTCAGCTTTTGTTTTTGCTGAGTATTATTTACTCTTGTAAACCTTAGAAACTGTAAACATGCATCTTTTTTTCTGGTTTATAAAAGGAGGACATATGTCTTACAAAAAAATTCCCTTTAGAGCCAGGCAGAGTGGCTCGAGCCTGTTGTCCCAGCTACTTGGGAGGCTGAGGCAGGAGGATCACTTGAAGCCAGGAGTCTGAGACCAGCCTCGACAACAGAGCAAGACTCTGTCTCTAAAAAACAAACAAACAAACAAACAAATAAAGCATCCTTTTAGGAAAGCATAAAGGAGAAAATAAAGATGGCCTGTAATCCTAGTACCATCCGACTAGAGATAACTCTTATCTTAGTGACGTAAAAATTATTTTTCTCCTGAACCAACTGAGATACCACCACAGACTATATTTTAGGCTGTTTTTATACATTATCTGACCAGTTCCTATACCTGTCTTTATTTTCAAATATCCTTTGAGATGCGTTTAGAAGCAGAATACCAGAAACATGAATCAAAAAGGATAATTGATTACAAAGTCATCACCTGAGCATGACTAACCTTTTAACGTACTCTACTATAAAACCTCTGCTTCATCATCTGTCTCAGCTGAAGTTTTTCTTTTTTTCTCAGTTGTTACTTTATGAAAAAGGTCCCCTTGACCAAAATACATATGTGTTGCTCTTCTTTAAAATCCCTGCAGATTAGTCACCTTTGGCTTAGATATTAGTTCAGTCTCCATGAACCAATTCTTGGCTTTTACAGAGCTTACCAAAGGACTAATTAGGGCCAATTTTGATTTATGTAGGAGACAGACTACTTGTCTATCAGGAACAAAAGCCTGCCAACTTATTTCACAAAAGCCACTGAACAACGATCTGGTAACATTTATTTTAATAGCTGACACACAGCTTTAAAATACCTGATCTCTCTAATAGTCACCATGAAATTTTAGTAAAATTTTAAATAAAGTATGGCTAATGAAGAGGTGCTTTGAAAAACTCTGAAGCCAAACATGTTTATATATCTTTTGCAATGAAGGAAATTGATCTTACTCTAAGATTTTGCAGAGAACAAGTGACAGCTCAGAGTGCAATTAAGGGGAAAAAACCCCCAATTCTCTGTAATGATTAATTATAATGAGCATCCCATAAAAACTTAACATCCTAAAGCTTCCCAAGAAATGTTCAGGCAGCACAGGTGACCTTTAAATAAAAAGCGTGCTTTCTATCAAAGTTAGAAAAATGCATTCCTTCCATTTCTTAAAAAAGGGAATAAGGGAGTGAATTTACAGACAAGAAAACTAAAGTTATAAAATTTTCTCAAAACCTAGAGATGTGACTTAGTTTACTTTCCAAAGGCTAGTGGGGACAGGGTGGGCGGGGGGAAGAAATCACCTCCTAGCAAACATGCCTAATATGAAATAATGCTGTTTGCCTAATAAGAAATTAAGAAAAATAAAATTGTATTCATTAGAACTGTACATTGAGTATCTGACTCAATACAGTTTAACTTAGTCTACAAAAGAAATTTGTTCCTAAAAAGTTACATGTGGGTTGAGTTTACATAAATGAATTAATCTTAAAGTCAAGAGGAAAACAATAACATTCTATAGTGAGTTCTTCTACAAAGCAAAATACGTATTCATAAAGTGAATCGCTCCCTAATGTATTTGCCTAATTTAGACTTAAATATATAATGTTGACTTAAAACAGGATGATACAGTAATTAAATGGAGACATTAATGGCTTAGAGCATTTTTCTTCCTCAAGGGAATTCTTTTTGTGAACAGGAAATCTAGAAGGTACAACTTAAAAACTGGACTGTTTTTCACGTTTGTTGCCTACATTTAACTTGGCAATGGCCACTTTGAAAGTTAGGGACCTCTTCTTAAGACTTCTAAATGGCTAGTGGTGATTCATTCTCTGGACAATGAAACAGAAGCCATCTTTTAAAAAGGAGTATGTCACAGAATCATATTCTGTCAGAGTCCAAAGAGATCTTAGGTATCACTTAGTCCAACTTCTTCAGGTTCCTGAAGAAACTGAGGCCCAGAAAGCTCACAGAGCTGGGCAGTGGCAGTCAGGAACAGAACCCAGGTCTCCTTATTCCCAAAATTCAGCATTCTTTTAATTAAATGCTGGGGACACACACACACACACACACACAGGCAAATCATACATGAAATAATAGCTATAACAAAAGTACTAGGGAAGGGGCAGGGAGTTTATGGAATTCTGGGGAAGCAGCAGGCTAACTTCCTCCAACCAATAAACATGCTGCGAGTAAAACTGGAGACAACTTGAGGCGGCCTGAGAAGGGACTAATCAGCAGCGCATTTTGCTAAGAGAACCAACAGCTAATGGAAATTTGTATGCATTAAATCACCTTCTAAGAAGTTACTTTACTTTGTACAGCTTGCTTCCCCACTAGGCTTCTTATACATTGACTTGTTGATGCACAGCAAACTCTTTCTAGATGGCCAGGAAGCCTGAAGCCTTCCTTTCCCAACACTCCACGGCACTTAAAAAAAAAAAAAACATTTAAAGTAGAGCATCAAGAAAGGACTAATCTTAATGATAGTGACATCTTATAAAAAAACTCAACGTCCCTGGGAAAATATGTACTGTGAAAAGCATTTTCCTGGATATATGAAGCTCATATTTTTTAAGTTAGAAGAGAGAAAAAACATGATGTATATCATAGTTGGGAAAAACTAACCAAGAGGGGAAACATAACATATACAACCAGAAGTCATTTCGCTGGGTGACTTCATGAGTCATGCTTACCATCTGTGTATGAATGGGAACTCTGTTTTCAATGGCACATTAAGAGGAGCTAAAAAATGTAAACCTTTAAGGGGGGAGTGAGGGTGAAAAGAACATTAACTTCTAAAATATGTGGGAGATAATGACAGTAGCCAATTTATTCATCTCATCTGTTTACTCTCACGAAGGTTGTTACAAAAGCACCCTATTATTAACTGCAACTGAACACGTCAGAATTGAGCTGTGATCACTCAAGAGGTGTGCCTTGGAGGTTGCTTTTAAAGTGAAACACAGCTTTCTGAGTACCAGGAGTCCAACGAGGCTCAAATACAATGACAGATGCTTTGGTACTTTAGGGACAGAGTGAGATCAGGGGCCTGAGGTATAGCTTTATAGTCCAGGGACAGATTTTTGGCATCATACAATAACTGTGCTGGCCAGCCCCACCCAGCATGGGTTGATTCCATGTACGTATTGTGTGCTCCAATGGAACAGTCTGTCTTGGGACCACAATGTATTGCCCAGGTGACAGCTGTATAGAAAAAGTGAGATACCAGTGATCCAGGTAGCCAGATATAGGAGAAAGTGACTAATGGTTTGTGAAAATGTCATTAATCTTTTGAAATCTGATCTAAGGAGTTACTTTAGAATACAGAGAATATTTTTACTTCATGCCTTCAAGTGATCTTGTCTCTAAAGCACAGAAGTAAAAGACGCTTGATTACAATTTAGAAAATATTTTGACTTCTGTCAGCAAATTGCTACATTAGCTTCCACAAAATCACTGGTAACATACTTGCTATACGAATTCTTCTACAAACAAAAAGTTTATTCATTTATATCATCCTGAAAATGAGCACCTATGAGGTGACACACATAGAATCACCCCTCAAGTCAAGCTCCAGTCCATTGTAATGTCTGGTTTTATATCCTTTCAGATTTTTAAAAAGGAAACATGGCTCCCAAACAGTTTAACTCTACAAGTTCCAGGCTATGTCATTTTGGCAGGCTCCAACATGCTGCATGAGTTTTTCTTTCTTTACAAAGCACCATGTCTGTCAATCACCCTGTCATTCAGAATTAAGAAAATGATGTCAACTGAAGAACACAGAACAATGGTGATGAGTTTCCGTGTTCAAACACAAAGCATATCATGTCAGATTTATCTAGGGGAGCAATTTTCCTCATTTAACAACCATTTTAGCCTTGCAGGTAGACATTCCAATTTATCAGCTAATGAAATTTTTCCTCAAATTATTCACTCTTCATCCTTCTCATACCTACTAGGACAATAAGTACATCATGATGTGGGCAATGATCAGTTATTCTTGGAAGGGTGGGGCCACTGCTCTAATTTGTCCTTACTGCCTTTTGTGGATGGCTGTTATTTTTAATGACTGCCCAGATTCCTTCAGAGGCTACCCATAAACACTTATTTTAAATGTTATAATTACTATTCTGAGGAAATAGAACATATGGAAGCATTATTGATTAGTCTGTCAATTCAATATTGACTTGAAATTAGTTACAGCCATTTGTAAAACCATTTGTCAAACATCCCTCACATTATCAAACAGAAGCACTCTAGCTCCTAAAACAAGGTCTAAAGTAAATCCTACTTTCCTACTAACTTCCATTATAAAATTAGAGACATGTTATCAGAAGAAAGTTCCCAAATAGACCGAGTTAAAAACCTTGCATGAAAAAGACAGTAAGATGGTAGCCAGACGCGTGGCAATTCATTTGTTTCCTGATCATCTGAAAACTGGGTGGCTATTACCACTGATCGTGGTCACGTTCCTCATCCTCATGACCACAGGGATATCTGTCTTGGTAGCGAAGATATCTACCTCTATGCTTTGGGACTTCTAGACTTTGCCCTCTTCCTGCTTTAATCTGGGCATTTTCATCCCTTTAATTAGGAATTCCACTGCAGTAACACACTTAACCAGTGGGGGTCAATTCTCAAACTGTACTTCCACCAGAAAAGTGCTACGTTAGAAGCTTCTGTTTGTATAAAACATGCTCATTATCTATCTTCAACTTTAACATTCTGTATTAAAATTCTGTAATAATCTCCTTGTTTTCCCCTGTGGCATAAACATACACAGGACTTCACATTTCAGGTTAAAATTGCATACTTATGGTGAATAGGATATTTTTTCTTGGAAGAAAAGTTGTACCTATTAGTGTGAAAATTCTCGTGAAGCATATACTTTCATAATATAGACTGACTTCTCAAAAAGGAAATTCAAAATATAATTTACTTATATACAAAGATAAACCATAAAGACTTCCCCACAATCTTTTAAATAGTGATTGCATATTCAATATGATCTGTTATGTAACCAAATATTCAGATTTATTGATACAAAGACAGATAAAGAATGGAAAAAAAATTTTAAAAAGTCTTAGTATAATATATAAAAGATAATGGAAAGAAATATTCCAAAATGTTAACAGTAGTTATTCTCAGAATGGTGTAATTATAAATGACTCACATTTCTCTCATTATATGTTTTTAATTTAAAAAATTTTCTTCTTTGATAAGTTAAAATTGCTATTATGAACAGAATATATGTATAAAGTTTATTTTCCATTTTTATTGTAGTAAAATACACATAAAATTTGCCATTTTAACAATTTTAAAGTGTACAATTCAGTGGTATTAAATACATTCACAATATTGTACAACCACCACCACTATCTGGTTCCAGAACTTTCTCACCACTCCAAATGGCAACCCTGTACCATTAAGTAGTCACTTCCCATTTACCCCTCCCCCTAGCCCCTAGCAACTATTAATCTGCTTTCTATCTCTATGGATTTGCTCATTCTGGATATCTCACATAAATGGAGTCATACGGAATGTGGCTTTCTGTGTTTCACTTCTTTCACTTAGCATAATGTATTCATGGTTCATTCATGTTGTAGCATGTATTTCACTTCTTTTTATGGCTGAGTAATGTTCAATTGTATGAATATAACATATTCTATTTATCCATTCATCTGTTGATAAACATTTGGGATGTTTCCACCTTCTGGCTATTGTGAACAGTGCTGTTATGAACATTCATGCACAAGTTTTTGTTTCAACACTTCAATTCTTTTGGGTATATACCTAGAAGTGAAATTGTGTCAACGTATAATTTTTTAATGCCTTTAATTCCATTTTGGCATTCTGTGTTTAGTAATGCTTTTTCAGAATCATTAAGGATAACCCTTAGAATATCATTCCCACAATACTATTACTCCATTTTCAATCACTGAGTAAGGTACATATTTTTTTAAGACCAAATCACATTCTTGTACTTAAAAATATAATTTCCACCCTTATTCGTTGTATACAAATTTCTCTTCTGCCAAATACCTGAAACAATGATGAACTAACTGAAAAGGATGGGCTTTTCCTCTTAGCATAGCCATTCTAACAGTAACTAATTCACTTTCAAATACTTGTATATTAAAAGTAAAAAAAAAAAATGGGGGCCAGGCACGGTGGCTCACGCCTGTAATCCCAGCACTTTGGGAGGCCGAGGTGGGTGGATCACGAGGTCAGGAGATCGAGACCATCCTGGATAACACGGTGAAACCCCATCTCTACTAAAAATACAAAAAATTAGCCAGTCATAGTGGTGGGCGCCTGTAGTCCCAGCTACTCAGGAGGCTGAGGCAGGAGAATGGCGTGAACCCAGGAGGCGGAGCTTGCAGTGTACTGAGATCACGCCACTGCAGTCCAGCCTGGGCGACTGAGCGAGACTCTGTCTCGAAAAAAAAAAAAAGTGTATTTTTTGCTTCAATAGGGAACTAATACTTAATAGAAATTAATATTTAAGCCCCCTAAAATATATTAAATACACAATACCAAGTAGGAACAATATAGAATCTTCTGGAAATTCAGGCTGGCAGATGGTGACCAAAGAGGATAAATATGCCTTGAAAGAGTATATAGTGGAGTACACAGTACTACTTCTTAAGGGCTTTACATCCCACTCTCCTAACAAACAGAAAGCTGATGTATCTTTTGGACATAATAGTCCAATAATATCAAGGTTAATTTTAGCTGTAGATAGTGCTTTAACTGGGCTAAAGATGATGATGATGTACTCGGTGCTTAACCATGCCTATGTAACAGCTGTTGTATTCTCCCCTTTTTCCTTCCCCCAAAACACATGCACACACATTTATGTAATACTAGTATGTTCATGTTTGTGACACACACACATGCACACACACAGAAACACACATGCCAGAACTGTACTTCCAACTCAGTAGCTGCAAGAGTAGAAGTGTTCTTGTAGCTTGGTCATCCCCCTTGGATCTCAGGCTTTTCCCATATAATCACTCCCATCCCCACTACTACATACACAACACCCTGCAATCCAGAAAGCAAAAGTAAATCTGGCTGCGGAAGAGGAAACAGCAGCCTTAAAACAGTAAAAGAACCACCCAGACTATAATATATGTTAATAAGTAGGGAACATGATTTGGGGCTGTTTAAAAATAAAGTACTAAGGAATATTTCCATAATATTTGTAGACTTTTCTTTAAGAAAAATCAAGTAAGAACAACAAACTTATAGCAAATAATAAATCAGAAATTTCAAGTTTACAAAAGGTTTTCTACATTCCAACTTTGGTAGGAACAACAGTATAAATTTATTTTATTTCTTCCTTTGCAAAAATCCTAAGATGTGTTCATATTCTGATAATGCTCCAGAAAATCTTAGCACAAAACCCAGAGGGGACTCTAGCATTGTACTCTCTGTAGAAAAGTTTTTTTTCACCCCACCCCCTAAAACTTTTTAAATAGCTCTGGTATAACAACAATAATTTATATCATAGAGTTTTTTTTCAAATGAAGAACCTTATAAATGTCTTATTCTGTATATTGGAAAACTGAATTGCAGTGGAGTAAGTAAATTGTTCAAAGTCTCACAAGGAATCAGGGCAAAGCCAAAATTAAATTCAAGTCTAATAAACTGTGAAGACAGTGATCTGTCTCCAAGGCAGAATAGTTCAGTTACTATGGGGGATGGTCCTTCTAAAACAGCAGAAGAATTAAAATCTGTCATAAGGATACAATAATGCCATTTATGAGTGTATGTGTGAGAGAGAATGTTATGTTTATCACTGAGTTCCCATTGTTTCATTCTCATAGCACTTATTTCTTCATACTTTCTATACACATTTACTCGCCACTAAATTATGACATGCTTCATGGTGGGAACCAAATCTTACCACTTTTATACATGGAGCACATTGCCTGGAATAAAACAGGCATTCAGTAATATGGGCATGCTTGTGTGTAAAATTTCATAGACCCAATAGACCTACACTCAACATCTCCTCCCAGCCACCAAAGCAAATCATGGTGAGAACCTTTGAACTTCACTAACAATGTTAGCCAACCCCATGTACTAAAGAAGAATAAAAATATGATCAATATAAGCTACTCTAACAATAGCAATGCACAGAGATACCCTAGAAATAACCTTAGTATTATTTGTTAGAGTGTTTAAGTGTATAAACTAAGGTAGCCAAGAATGAATTCACATTATTTAACTCTAGTTAATCAATACCTTGTTGTTATCACAAGCTGATTCCCCCAAATGGTGTATTATCCTAAATATTTCTTCTTGTTTCTGAGATGTATCCTCTGACCAACTAGTTACTTAGTGGCGGTTATACCAGAGTGCACCAGAATGAAAGTAAGAGGAGAAATAAATTCCAGTCAGTCCTTCTTATTACTTATTAACAGCTTTTATGAGGTGCTTTGGTGAGGTAGTAGGAGAAAAATGAAAACCAAATTCAGTTTGGGGATTATAACAACACGTGGCACTTTGTCCTTTAAAAAACTCATTTACTTATATCTCGTTCAGTTGTGAGGTTTATTCATCCATATTACTCTCGACCTCCATTACAATAGAGAATGGGCTGAAAGAGTTATTTTCTGGGCCTAATTTTTAACATCTCCTCAAGAGTTACCTTCATTTTTCTTTAAAAATTTTTCTATAATCTTACCTCCCAGTCCAAATAATCACAGACATCTTCAAAGTTAGTGAGCAGAGACACTGAGCAGAAAAGCCGTGGCAGCTCATCCCTTGTCATTGGGGGAAAACGGCTATCTTTAAGGGCACTGTTAAAAACAAAGCAAATATTAAAGCAATCACTGGATATGAAAGTTCCCAATTTCAAATGCAAACAATTGTTTGAAAAAGGTAAGAGTTTCAAAAAGAATCAGTAAGATGTCAAAGGTACCAACAAGCTTCAAATGTATTCAAATTCCCCAAAGATTTTAGAAGTCACCTTTTTTTTCATTTAATAGATTGTGTTTGCTAGCCAATCTTGTGACCACTTCAATTGTAAAGAGAGAATCATCAATTACATTTCCTGTACAGCCATTTCCTGATGTCTTTCCCTGCTACTTGTAGAATCTAAGAATGTTTTATTTTGCTTTTGAGAAGAATAAAAACTAGACTAGTGGAAACTTGTAGGAAGATTTCTGGATCTAGTGCTGGTGGCAGTAAAATTATATATATATGTGTGTGTATATGTGTGTGTGTATGTATACATATATATGTATACAAACATACACATATATACAATATTGTTTTAAAAAAGATTATACTAGGAAGGCCAGTCACCATAGAACAGCACTCAAAGAATTCAAAGGAAGATCAAAATTTCATTTTCTTCAATTAAAAAAAAAACAAAGAAAAGAAATAATCATGCAAATTATAGACTAAAAATACTCATAAGAATTTCAGGCCCCCAATAAAGGATAATTTAACATATGACTCAAAAATTGTGAAACTACAGGAAATAGGGCTAATCTAGGAAATAAAAGTATGATTAGGAGACCATTAATCATGTCAATGAATTTCTGAGTACATCAACTCTGATTGGATCCTGTAATCAAGTGTAGGATATCATAGTGCCAAACTCTAGAAAACCCCACTGTAAAATGTGGAAAAACCATAATTCTTCCTGCAACGGAATAGAAAATACACACACACACACACACACACACACACACACACACACAGTGTGTGTTCCTTATACTTTTAAAAGAAACCACTTCCTGATTAAGAAAAACAAACATACCTCTGATTGCCTACTATATTAATGGCACTACTGGTATTCATAACATCCATCTTCAAATGTCCTAGATAGTAGCCAGGCTTAGAAATATTTTCATGGATTTATCCTCAGAGGTTACAAACTCAGACTCTACAAACTGCTTGGGTCATAACATAGTTCCATAGACTTGGAAAGAATTTAATTCCTTTTTCAGTGACTTTCTCACTGCTGAATTTTCTTTTTTTCATTTTCCCATCCCTTTGTTTGCATTTTGAAGCTCATCCACTGCGTTTTTATATTTGCACCACATTTTGGTGCTCATTTTATCCTGCTATACAAAGGAAAATGCTTATAGGAAGATACAGAGATGTTATATATGTATAAAAGTATATATGTTTTTCCCATTCAAGATGCCAAGATTAACCAAGAAAATCAGGAAATCTGTGATAATTCATACTCTGAGAACAGCATTTCACTATTTTATAATTTAATTACGTAAATTTCCTATGGTTTGGCTTCTTTTATTTTCCTACTGACAAATAAAAGTTTTAAAAAATACTTCCAAGTTCTCATTCAAAGCCAAGATAAAGACGTGTGTGTGTAACCACCCGCATCCCCCAACGCCACACAGGAAAGAAGTTCTAAAATACAGACCAGAAGAATTATATGCATAAAAAACAAAAGGCCAATCACATTTTCAGTTTTACTGTTAAAAGAAGAAAAAGAGTAAAAGACACATCATTCATTAGAATAATATAAAATATAATCTTAGGGGGTTATGGATTTTTTTACTGTGGTAAAATATACATAACATAAAATTACTATTTTAGCCATTGTTAAGTATATAGTTCTGTAAAATTAAATATATTTGTTGGGTATCTATCACTATCTTCCATCTCCAGAACTTTTTCATCTTTCCAAACTGAAACTCTGCACCCATTAAATACTAACTCCCCATTCCCCCCCGCCCCTAGTCCTGGCATAAAATGTAATTTAAATATACTTTTATAATTTCAAATAGTTATAGTAATACAGTCACTAATGTTTTTAATCCATAACACTTTTATTGAGATATAATTCACATACCACAAAATTCACCCTTTTAAAGTATATAATTCAATGGCTTTTAGTATATTCACAGTTGTGCAACCATCACCATTATGCAATATTAGAACATTTTCATCATCCTTAAAAGAAACTACGTACCCAATAGCAGTCACTGCATATTGGCACCACTCCCAGCTCCTGGAAACCATTAATCTACTTTGTTTCTATGGATTTGCCTATTCTGGACATTCTGTATAAATGAAATCATACAATATATTGCCTTTAGCGTCTGGCTTCTTTCACTTAGCATATTTTTGAGATTTCATCCATGTTGTAGCATGTATCAGTACTTCATTCTTTTCATTGCCTAATAATATTTCATTGTATGGATACACCAAATTTTGTTACCTATTCATTGGTTGATGGACATTTGGGCTGTTCCCACTTTTTGGCTATTATAAATAGTGCTGCTAGGGAATTGATGTATAAGTTTTAATGTGGATGTATGTTTTCATTTCTCTTGGATAGATAGCTAGGAGTGGAACTGCTGGATCATAAAGGTAATTCTACCTTTAACTTTTTGAGGAACCAATGAACTATTTCTCACAATGGCTGCACGATTCTACTTTCCCAGCAGCAATGTATGAGTTCCAGTTTCTCCACATCCACACCAATATTTGTTGTTGTTTGACCTTTTGAATATAGTGCTAGACCTCCTTTAATGAAGCACATTTTGTACCTAGCTCTAGCTTTTTCATTTTAAAAATACACATGCTGAAGTCGCTATACAGTTAATTTCTCAATACTTTGAGGCAAGTTATTTTGTTTAGTTCATTTCCTAGCAGACCAATAAAAGATAAGTTTTAGCTCAATGCAGTTCAAACTATTTGAAATCAATGTAATTTTCAAATACCTAAAACATAAGTGAAGATCAGGCTACAGTGCTTTTCTCATGACATGGAGCCTTGTTGTTTGTTCACTCATTCTAGGCTTAAAAAAAAAGAAGAATGTTTAGAACAAGGAGTTAGTAGGAAAATGCTAGAACAATGAATGGGATAAAATGACAATGGTGCCTCACCATGTCAAGATTCAAACATACTGATTTCAAAACTCTGAAATAGTAAAGGTTGTTAGTCATGATGGGAATAGTCTGATTTTACAGAGACATTTAAACAAGACTTTTGATTCTTGCATTTTTTAGCCAGCTCTAAGTAATTTTTCATTAAATTCATGAACACAGAAAAATTACAAAGGTAGGAAGTCCTCAATGTCTCTAAATGTAAATTTCTAGGGAAATGAACTAGCAATGAAAGCCTGCAAGGATTTAAGAGATTACAAAAAGATGAAAATACAGCTGGAGACTGACCTCAGAGCTGCCAGGCTGGTGTGGATAGCTGATAAACAACAAGATTCAGCTTTCCTCAACCAAGCTTTCCTTAACCAAGCTCTCTTTAGAATATGCAATGTTGAAATTGTGCTTTTAGAGAGAATACTGTAATCTGGAGTTGGGCAGTGACTTACTCAAGGTGACTCAGCTAAGTTAATGACAAGGGTAGGGATACAACTGAGATTTTCTGACTCAAGTCCAAAATTCTTTCGAGTATCTATACTTTAGTTGTCACCTTTGCATGGATTTGTTTTCAAATTTTAAAATTAAATGCTTGCCTTACTTGGCAATTCTGATCTCATACCTGTGGTACCTCTACCTAAAGATGATAAATAATCATTCAGCAGCACTCATTAGTAGCCAAAGGGTAAACAGAGCTAGACTTCCTGTCTACTGGAAATCTGCAGGAGTAAAACATTTTAAAATATTAATACTGTCCATAGAAAGCATTTTATACCAAAGTAGTATCTGCCAATTTAAATTCTAGGCAGTCTAAGGAACTGACAAGGGGGTCCTGTAAGTAAATTCATATGAATTTCTCTTTGTTAGAATAGGAAATCATTTTCTAATGTTTAAATATTGCTAGAAAAACAAAACAAAACACTTACATGTAAAATCAGTCAGCTGCTCCATCACCCATATGATGGATGGGTAAGCTTTAAACAATTACAGTTTAGTTCACATATCAAATTCAAATATATTCAATTCAAATTGGCACCTTCTCAAGAATACACCTCACCTAATTGAGAAGGAACGTTAACATTTGTCAAAGTTAATATATAATGTTATATAGTACTTTAATAAAAATGAACATTTTAAGAAAAGATATTAAGAGTTTAGCTATGAAAGAACCAAAGAGTTTGTGACAGTGCCTGGAAACTATGCTAAAAAGAAAAAAAAGTCGCTGAAAAGAGGCAAAACCTTAGATATTACAAGGCTCATCGTAAACGATAGAGCATGTAACAGAAATAATTTAAGGGACTCTGTCTAGTCATTTGCTCACTTGTTCATTCACTTTCTAAAATATTGTTGACCTTAATCGGTTAACTGCTGGAAAGTTATCAAACTGAGAGGGGCTTCATATTACATATAACTATTATTCAGGACAAGGAAGTAATTAAAACCCAAATTAAAAATCCCTGTTTGGACAGGCAAAGAGAAGCAATTCAACTATGTTTTAGTCTAAAACTAAAAGCAGTTTTTTCATGAGGGGTTTCAACCACCAGGAAATTCCATATTCTGTCATTCCCTGCTAGAGCTTCTGGAATAGAATGCATACATGGCATGTTTGAACCCCAGAAACTCAGAATACTAGAATCCTAAACCCACATCTGAAAAATTATCTACCGCTCTGTCTCACTAAGTAGCAATTTTAGCTTTCTAAAATTCACGAAGTAATGGACACAAAACAAAATGTAAAAATGTGCCTATTCATCAAACCTAAGGGTAGAGAGGAAGAACAAAAGACACAATTATGGTTAAGGAAGGAGGAAAGGTGCCTTATTTTGGTGAGGGCTGTTACTCAAAAGAAAAGTTTCAATTGTAAGCTATATGTACAGTGTTACTTAACTGGGAGATGTTTTTCCTTTTACAGTAATAATAAAACCTTCTTGCTGCTCAATGACCATTAACATTTATTAATTTTAATATATATGCTTAATATGATATGATGGGTAATTCATGGGGAATAGAGGAAAGAACTAAGGGATGGAACAAAAGGAAGAGAAGATAGGAGAGAAAGAAAGAAAAAAACAACCCCATCAAAAAGTGGGCAAAGGATATGAACAGACACTTCTCAAAAGAAGACATTTATGCAGCCAAAAAACATGAAAAAATGCTCATCATCACTGGCCATCAGAGAAATGCAAATCAAAACCACAATGAGATACCATCTCACACCAGTTAGAATGGCAATCATTAAAAAGTCAGGAAACAACAGGTGCTGGAGAGGATGTGGAGAAATAGGAACCCTTTTACACTGTTGGTGGGACTGTAAACTAGTTCAACCATTGTGGAAGTCGGTGTGGCGATTCCTCGGGGATCTAGAACTGGAAATACCATTTGACCCAGCCATCCCATTACTGGGTATATACCCAAAGGACTATAAATCATGCTGCTATAAAGACACATGCACACGTATGTTTATTGCGGCATTATTCACAATAGCAAAGACTTGGAACCAACCCAAATGTCCAACAATGATAGACTGGATTAAGAAAATGTGGCACATATACACCATGGAATACTATGCAGCCATAAAAAATGATGAGTTCATGTCCTTTGTAGGGACATGGATGAAATTGGAAAACATCATTCTCAGTAAACTATCGCAAGAACAAAAAACCAAACACCACATATTCTCACTCATAGGTGGGAATTGAACAATGAGATCACATGGACACAGGAAGGGGAATATCACACTCTGGGGACTGTTGTGGGGTCGGGGGAGGGGGGAGGGATAGCACTGGGAGATATACCTAATGCTAGATGACGAGTTAGTGGGTGCAGTGCACCAGCATGGCACATGTATACATATGTAACTAACCTGCACAATGTGCACATGTACCCTAAAACTTAAATTAAAAAAAAAAACCATATTATCCAATTCTGGAAAAAAAAAAAAGAAAGAAAAAGGAAAAAGGAATATGTAAAAAGAGAAAGGAAGAGAAAAGCAAGAAGCTGAAAAAAGAAGTAGGAGTCAAAGAAAGTACAAAAAAGGGGGACACTTAGAAAGGGCTCAAATAGAGACATATGCAAAGAAACAAGGAGAAAGCAAGAAAGGGAGAATGGAAAAGTAAGAGAGAGGAGAGGGAGATAAAGGATAACAGGTTCAGTAGGTTTTGATATATATTATCGGGCTTCTATCCTATGAGATTCACTTAGGCTTTAGAGTGTTATCACTTACTGCCCTCTGATTAAAGTTCCTGAAATGCTCTGATCTTGCATTCTTAAAAGCCTCTACTCTCTATGAGATAGCCATAGCTGCCCACCAGGAAGGGAAAATTCCCTGTGAGCTGCCAGCTGTGAGGACCAGCAAGTATCATCAGAATCTGCCTCCTAGGCCACAAATTCCTCCCCTCTAAATTAAGAGAATTGGGTCTGAATTTGATTTAGTGGAGCAGAGCTAAAACTGGAAAATAAAAGATACATAAAGAAACAGATGGCTAAATGTTTGTATATACAGAAAGTATTTCTTATTTCCCTCTACAAAATGTCTACATAATGCTTTCTCTGCAGAGTTTCTAGATTTACTCTATCTTGTTTTTAGAAATGAACTACTAGAAACTATTTTTGTTTAAATTATGTTTTTCTGATGAAAATCTGCCAAAGTAAAATGAATATAATTTAATTTTCTCTTTATGAATCTGGTTCATCTTTAAAACTCAATATAACTGGGTCATTTGTTACTGTACACCATAACAACAGTGCTCTCGAGGCCTTGGCAAGAAAAAAATGTGTGGGTTTGGAAAAGATTACGATATGACCACTGACAATTATAAGCTTGGAAATGTGAAGATATGAGATTGTCTCTACCTTCAAGAGACTGTGTAACACACAGACTGGCAAAATTTCCAGGGATCTCATCCGTGTGTTCTCTTAAGTTAGGATATACTATAAAACTGAATGAACCACCTCTTGAACTGAATTGGAATTTAGAAACCTGGTCTACAATCCCAAATTAGTATTACTTCCCCAGACCCATCAAAAGTGTGTCTCCAAGGTATAACAACAGTTCTCTGTGACTTATGCCAATAAATATAGCTCCTAAAATGCAAAATTGAAGTAATCGTTAATTAATGAGCACTATTTCACAGTTCTCTAGAACATAACATATTACAATGGCCAACAGCTTGGGTTCTGGAGTCAGATATACTTGCATTTGGATCCTGGCTCCACTATACATTAGTTGTGTGACATTTGGGCAAGTCTCTTAATCTATGCCAGCCTTCATTTCCTCATTTATGAAATGGAGATCATAACAGTACCCACCTAATGGAGCAACTGTAACAAATAAAATAATAATAACTGCACAAGTGCCTTTACTAACCTACTCAATAAGTAGTGGCTGTCAAAGAACTCTGATTGATCATCCGTCTGTCCACAGGGCTGCCCCATATTATGGCTCTGGTGAAAGAAAGGGAGCCACAGGACTAAGCTGTGCTGTGGGAAGAACTAAACAAGTTATCTTCTCTAGGAATTAAATGTGGCCATCTCGGGGGATAATGACTACCTTTCCAGGTTCTGGTGTTTTCATTTCATTTTCTTTCATTTTCAAAATAAGTATTAAACACCCACTATTTGCTTTTTATTATGCAAAGAGCCATGGAGAATATAAGAATAGATTACTAAATAATATATGGATATGTATAAAATACGTGTTAAAATCATGCTATAGGACTGCTGAGAGGAATAATCAGAGCAGGTTAGCGCTCTTTTTGAAAAGATCTGTTTTACAATATGCTACTGGTTTACTGGTTACCAACTGACTCAGAGTTACAGGGAGTTTTACAGAAATAAAAAAAAGATATATATATATTTTTCAGAAACAAATCTACATCAAGTAAGGTACATCTTCATCAAGAGTTTCCATTATACTGCAGGCAGGGATTCATATGCTGCTTTGAAACAGTTTCTTAGTTTTCTTGAACTACAGTTTTTAAATCTTTTGGGCAGGAATTGTTCTTTTACTTCTGTAGAAGAAATGTTTATCAGAAATAAAGTTCCCTAAATCATGTTTGATGGATTTAGATATATTACTCTCTATCCTACTATTCATACTATAGCAAAATCCTTAGGTAAAAAACAAAACAAAACAAAACAAAAACAAGAAAAATGATTTCTAAGCAGCAGATACAGAATGAGAGATGAGAGATTCCATAGGCAGCAACTGCTTTCCTCATTTAAAATAGCAGTCTCCAAGCTGTTTTTTTTTAAAATTAGTTTTTCGTTTTTTAAATTAAAAAAAATCCATAGAATCCCTTCAGAACTGCAGGACATGTCCTCACTACCACATGGGGATTGGCTGACAATGTCGTCTGTCATCACCAGGATCCAAACAGTTTTGATTGAGTATTCTTATCACTAAAAAAAGTTTGAGCACACATCCTCAATATGTATATTTATAAAGTATATACTTGTACTACTATGACAGGCTAATATATCAAAGCATGATACTTAGAGTAGGCTTTGTTATTAAAGACAGTGAGTATAAATTAAATAATGCTCTTGATCCTTTCTTGTTTTGGGGCTGACATCTTGTCAGATTTGATTAGATTATTTTTGTTTTCACTTCATGACTTGGCTAAATTAAGAGGAAACTCATAGAAGTGTCAGCTAGTTCACCATTTTCTTGCCCTTGCATTATCACTGTTATCATCAGCCCATTTTTTTCCTTGCAGGAATCTTCCTAAGCCACTTGTCCATTCTGCGTGGGTTAGTTTATCTAGCTTTAACTGACCTACACACAATAGTCAAACAGCTTAAGAAGATTCCTGCAAAGAAACCACAGGATGAAGATTATATAGGTTGGAATATCCCTTATTCAAAATGCTGGAGTCTAGAAGTGTTTCAAACTTGGGATTTTTTTGTGATTTGGGAATATCTGCATTATACTGGTTGAACATCCCAAATCCAAAATTCTGAGATCTGAAGTATTTCCTTTAAGCGTTACATTGGTACTCAAAAGTTTTGGATTTTGGAGCAATTCAGATTTCTGGATTTGGGATGCTCAACCTGTACTAAGAACTAGAAATCTACTTAACTAGGTACATGTAAACTGAAATATGTTACAATATGCCTAAAGTGAGCAAAAGAATGTGCATGCCACCATGAACTCTCACCAAATCAAGAAATCTCACACTTTTCTCGGGATCCCTCATTTAGAGTATATGACAGTGACTCTCCAACATGGACCAAAGGAGAGCATCAGGGTCAATCCACATGTTAAACATTAGTGGAGTTTAAATACTTTCTTATATTTTATCTAAAATGATATAAATAGACTTTCTAATATTTTTATCTCACCCCACAATGAATCCTTCAGGTGCATCCCTCTTTGGATGGCCTAAAGCTCCTCATCAAGCTCTAGAAGACTGGTCCTAAGATATTTAGACATGGCACTATGAGCAAAAGCAGCTTAAAATCTCAGAAAGCCAATATCTGCTAAGTACCTACTGTGAGTAAGGTACTATACATGCATTAAGTTGTTTAGTCCTCAAAACAACTCCATTTTGTAGAGGAAGAAGCTGAGGTTCAGTGATGATCAGTGAGATTAAGTAACTTGCCAATGGTTCTAAAAACAGGTAAGAGAGCTGGTCGGGCGCAGTGGCTCATGCCTGTAATCCCAGCACTTTGGGAGGCCAAGGCAGGCGGATCACGAGGTCAGGAGTTCAAGACCAGCCTGACCAACATGGTAAAACCCCATCTCTACTAAAAATACAAAAAAAATTAGCCGGGCATGGTGGTGGATGCCTGTAATCCCAGCTACTCAGGAGGCTGAGGTAGGAGAATCACTTGAACCCAGGAGGTGGAGGTTGCAGTGAGTTGAGATTGCGCCACTGCACTCCAGCCCAGGCAACAAAGTGAGACTCCATCTCAAAACAAAAACAAAAACAAAGAAACAAAAACAGGTAAGAGAGCTGACATATGAAATTAGGACCGCCTGCCTCTAAATCCCATTCTCTTTTCATAGTACCACTTTCAGAATGTCAGCAAATCAACATAAATGTATATACATTTAATCAGTATTAAGGAATTTTTCCCCAATTAATGCTTCCGTTCATAGGATTTAACTGAAAGTATTAAGTATAAATGTGAGCAGGTTCTGAAAATGCCTAAGAAAAATAGTACCTTTTTAATGAAAGTGTTAGCTTGTTTTTGTTCTCTTCTTTCTCCATTTTGATCTTGGTGACTCAGAGCTGCTACCATTGAAAAACATCTGTTTTATCTAAACTTAATAAGCCTTATTAGTGGGATGCTAAGCCTTCCCTTATTCCGAAGCCCTTTCCACAGTTTGAAACTTAATCTGCTGGAAGTCATAATAGGTTACCAAAGTACTAGTTTTGGACATATCTAGGCTGGTGGGCCTGTTTCTGATTTTTTAATTTTGCTTTTCCAACCTGTATGAATAAGCTCTCTCATACTCAGTACACGAGTCATGCAATTCTTTTCCTTCCCTCTTTCCATGGCAATCAAATCTATTAATTGAACTCTATAAACTGCAAAACATGTGTTGTCACTCTAACTTATGTGTCATGTCAGGCTGGTTCAGCTGTCCTTTCTAAAACTACTGCCAGTCCTAGATGATACAAGTCTGCTGAGAGGCAGGATACTGGTTCCTATCATGCGGCCTGTTTATAATTTTCTGCATATGTCACTGATCGGGGACTAAAGGTAACTAAAGAAAAGAATGAAGTCAAACTTAAAGATGAGGTACAAAGTAAAATTATCAAGTCCGTCATACTGAGAAGGAGAAAGAGAAAGAGAGGAGCCCAACCTTCCCCACTACCTCATTGTAAAGTTTTTAATCTTTATTTTCCTTTCTCTTCTTCCTTTTCCCCACCTTTTGTATGCGCTCCTCTTTTCTACTCTAGTAAGGTAAGGAAGAAAGAATAGTAAAAGGTCACAAGAAGGACATGAAAGAACAGAATGGGGGTGGAGGAAGAGAAGAGGACCACAAAGACAAAGGCATACGGCAGCTGCCTTCACTGCTACCTAGTGCTGGCGAGGCCAAGTCTGACAAGCCAGTATGCAAGGCGGCCTCATGTTCTCATACTCTGCTATTGGGTCAAGATGACCCATTCCCTTCTGTACAGGTTTTAATGTTCTATTCTAACTTTCGTGGAGTGGATGGGTGATAGTGACAGAGAAAAGAACATGATCCACTGCCTGTTTCTTTCAAACTTGACAAGCACAAGGGGGATCAGGAAGAAAAGTAGAATACCTCATCCCCAAAGCCTAGCTGCCTAACCAATCAATCAATGTTTATTGAATCATTCCTTGATCTGTGTGCTTTTAAATGGCATATTTCTCTATGGTAAGTATAACTGCATGTCTGTTCTTATGGCCTCTGTAATTGGCCTCACATTCATTTAAATGGAATTACTTTAATTTTTATCACTATATGGTATCTTTGGAGGAAAGAATCTTTTAAACTACTCGTATCATTTTTGTTTTATATGATTCTTAATAGTTTCCAAAGCATCTTCACATCTTTTATCCTAGCTGAAACTCAAAACAGCCCCATGAAATAGACAAAGCTAATACTACATTATATTAGAAATCATAATAGGTGTCCTCCAAGAACAAGGCCCCCTAAAGTCATGGGGTCAAGCAAATGTCAGCTAGAAGCGCTTAGAGATCATCTAGTCTACATCCTTCATTTGATTTTGGGGATAACTAAGAGCAAAAAGCTGCATGCCCAAAGTCACAAAACTACTTAGAAATCAGTGACATCTCCTGACTTCCCCAATTCACTGATCTTTCCATCATTCTTTCACATAATCCAATAACACTCCAGAGCAGATGTTCAAGATGCAAAGAGGAAAATGATGCCTAGGGCACCAGGGAATAGCTAAAACAGTGAAACAGTGAGCTGCCCAACATAACTCAGCACTGACAGGCACCTGGCACGTGTCAGCATGATGAAGCCAAGCAGAACTTATAAATTAAGCAGATAAGGGTGGGGGAGCAGCGGAGCACCAACACTATGTGTGTGTGGAGAATGCAGTCTTAACTATTGTCTTCCTCTGCGTTTCTTATCCACTCCACTCCCTCCTCATCTTGCTTATACGCTCCTAGTAGGGGCTGGTCTCACCTCGCAGTTCATCCATTCTGTCCCATCATTTCTACTTAGCTGCTGAGCTACATAAAGGATTATTCAAGGGAAAGGCTATACATTTTTAAAATAGAGTATTTGGTTCTCTTTTATCAAACTCTAAATAGAGAATCTGTCCCTATTGTAAAAGCAACTGTATGTTCTGGTTGTGCGTGTATAACTACAAAATTGTTCAGGGCAAGATAATCTCAACATTCGTTTTCAAGTAAATAGCACAATGACATGGGTAGATTCAGTTCAGGTCAAATATGTGATTCTTGATGTACTGCTAAAGTCTCATACGTTAAGCAAACCTACTTTCCAATCTCAACTTGGAACAGGTTTTACTTTACTCCTTTCAACAAACATTTTTAAAATTAGCCTGATAAAACAGAAAAGGACATTTTAACTCTTCATCTCTTGTCTGGTCATATCTTAAGAACCTAGTTTTCAAAGAAAAATTTTACTTGTATAGGTTTCCATTCTATTACCCTTAAAAGTTATTTAATTCTCCCATTGAAAAGGTCCTACTTTACTTTTGTTTCCATGAGATAAGCACATGGGGTAATAAAATATGTTGGAAAAGCTTCAAAATGTGCTGCTGAAATAGTGGCAATTGCTGATTCTGTACTATGCTACATATTAGGAACACCACAATAGATACAGAAAGGAAATAGCTTCATTTGAGGATGAAAAAAGGGCAATGGGAGTTGCCAAGATGGCCGAACAGGAACAGCTCCAGTCTGCAGCTCCCAGCATGACCAATGCAGAAGGTGGATGATTTCTGCATTTCCAACTGAGGTACCTGGTTCATCTCATTCGGACTGGTTGGACAGTGGGAACAGCCCACGGAGGGCGAGCTGAAGCAGGGCGGGGCGTTGACTCACCCGGGAAGCGCAAGGTGTTGGGGGATTTCCCTTTCCTAGCCAAGGGAAGCCGTGACAGACTACCTGGAAAAGCGGGACACTCCCTGCCCAAATACTATGCTTTTACCAAGGTCTTAGCAACCGGCAGACAAGGTGATTCTCTCCCGTGCCTGGCTCGGCAGCTCCCACGCCCACGGAGCCTTGCTTACTGCTAGCACAGCAGTCTGAGATGCATCTGCGAGGCGGCAGCCTGGCTGGGGGAGGGGTATCCGCCATTGCTGAGGCTTGAGTAGGTAAACAAAGCAGCCAGGAAGCTCGAACTGGGCGGAGCCCACCTCAGCTCAACAACGCCTACTGCCTCTAGACTCCACCTCTGTGGGCAGGGCACAGCTGAAGAAAAGGCAGCAGACAACTTCTGCAGACTTAAACATCCCTGTCTGACAGCTCTGAAGAGAGCAGTGGTTCTCCCAACACAGCGTTTGAGATCTGAGAACAGACAGACTGCCTCTTCAAGTGGGTCCCTGACCCCCGTGTAGCCTAACTGGGAGACACCTCCCAGTAGGGTCCAACAGATACCTCATATATGCAGCTGCCCCTCTGGGACGAAGCTTCCAGAGGAAGTATCACGCAGCAATATTTGCTGTTCTGCAATATTTGCTGTTCTGTAGCCTCCGCTGGTGATACCCAGGCAAACAGGGTCTGGAGTGGAACTCCAGCAAACTCCAACAGACCTGAAGCTGAGGGACCTGACTGTTAGAAGGAAAACTAACAAACAGAAAGGAATAGCATCAACATCAGCAAAAAGGTCATCTACACCAAAACCACATCTACAGGTCACCAACATCAAAGACCAAAGATAGATAAAACCACAAAGATGGGGAGAAACCAGAGCAGAAAAGCTGAAAATTCTAAAAATGAGAGCACCTCTTCTCCTCCAAAGGGTCACAGCTCCTCACCAGCAACGGAACAAAGTGGGACGGAGAATGACTTTGACGAGTTGACAGAAGTAGGCTTCAGAAGGTCGGTAACAACAAACTTCTACGAGCTGAAGGAGGATGTTCAAACTCATCGCAAGGAAGCTAAAAACCTTGAAAAAAGATTAGACAAATGGCTAACTAGAATAAACAGTGTAGAGAAGACCTTAAGTGACATGATGGAGCTGAAAACCATGGCACGAGAACTTCGTGACACATGCTCAAGCTTCAAGAGCCGATTCAATCAAGTGGAAGAAAGGGTATCAGTGATTGAAGATCAAATTAATGAAGTAAAGCGAGAAGACAAGGTTAGAGATAAAAAAGTAAGAAACAAACAAAGCCTCCAAGAAATATGGGACTATGTCAAAAGACCAAATCTACGTGTGATTGGTGTACCTGAAAGTGATGGGGAGAATGGAACCAAGTTGGAAAATATGCTTCAGGATATTATCCAGGAGAACTTCCCCAACCTAGCAAGGCAGGCCAACATTCAAATTCAGGAAATACAGAGAACGCCACAAAGATACTCCTCGAGAAGAGCAACCCCAAGACACATAATTGTCAGATTCACCAAGGTTGAAATGAAGCAAAAAGTGTTAAGGGCAGCCAGAGAGAAAGGTCCAGTTACCCACAAAGGGAACAGCGGATCTCTCAGCTGAAACGCTACAAGACAGAAGAGAGTGGGGGCCAATATTCAACATTCTTAAAGAAAAGAATTTTCAACCCAGAATTTCATATCCAGCCAAACTAAACTTCATAAGTGAAGGAGAAATAAAATCCTTTACAGATAAGCAAATGCTGACAGATTTTGTCACCACCAGGCCTGTCTTACAAGAGCTCCTGAAGGAAGCACTAAACGTGGAAAGAAACAACTGGTACCAGCCACTGCAAAAACATGCCAAATTGTAAAGACCATCGATGCTAAGAAGAAACTGCATCAATTAACAGGCAAAATAACCAGCAAACATCATAATGACAGGGTCAAATTCACACATAACAATATTAACCTTAAATGTAAATGGGCTAAATACCCCAATTAAAAGACACAGACTGGCAAGTTGGATAAAGAGTCAAGACCCATCAGTGTGCTGTATTCAGGAGACCCATCTCATATGCAAAGACGCATACAGGCTCAAAATAAAGGGATGGAGGAAGATCTACCAAGCAAACAGAAAGCAAAAAAAAGCAGGGGTTGCAATCCTAGTCTCTGATAAATCAGATTTTAAACCAACAAAGATCAAAAGAGACAAAAAAGGCCATTACATAATGGTAAAGGGATCAATGCAACAAGAAGAGCTAACTATCCTAAATATATATGCACCCAATACAGGAGCACCCAGATTCATAAATGAAGTCCTTAGAGACCCACAGAGAAACTTAGACTCCCACACAATAATAATGGGAGACTTTAACACCCCATTGTCAATATTTGACAGATCAACGAGACAGAAGGTTAACAAGGATACCCAGGACCTGAATTTGACTCTGCAACAAGCAGACCTAAGAGACATCTACAGGACTCTCCACCCCAAATCAACAGAATATACATTCTTCTCAGCACTACATCACACTTATTCTAAAACTGACCACATACTTGGAAGTAAAGCACTCCTCAGCAAATGTAAAAGAACAGAAATCACAACAAACTGTCTCTCAGACCACAGTGCAATCAAACTAGAACTCAGGATTAAGAAACTCACTCAATACCACATAAGTACATGGAAACTGAACAACTTGCTCCTGAATGACTACTGGGTAAATAACTAAATGAAGGCAGAAATAAAAATGTTCTTTGAAACCAATGAGAACAAAGACACAACGTACCGGAATCTCTGGGACACATTTAAAGCAGTGTGTAGAGGGAAATTTATAGCACTAAATGCCCACAAGAGAAAGCAGGAAAGATCTAAAATCGACACCCTAACATCACAATTAAAAGAACTAGCTGGGCACCGTGGCTCATGCCTGTAATCCCAGCACTTTGGGAGGCCAAGGTGGGCAGATCACAAGGTCAGGAGATCGAGACCATCCCGGCTAACACGGTGAAACCCCATCTCTACTAAAAATACAAAAAATTAGCCGGGCATGGTGGTGGGCGCCTGTAGTCCCAGCTACTTGGGAGGCTGAGGCAGGAGAATGGCGTGAACCCGGGAGGCGGAGCTTGCAATGAGCTGAGATCGCGCCATTGCACTCCAGCCTGGGTGACAGAGCCAGACTCAGTCTCAAAAAAAAAAAAAAAAAAAAAAAAAAAAGAACTAGAGAAGCAAGAGCAAACCAATTCAAAAGCTAACAAAAGGCAAGAAATAACTAAGATCAGAGCAGAACTGAAAGAGAGAGAGACACACAAAAAAACCCCTTCAAAAAAATCAATGAATCCAGGAGCTAGTTTTGTGAAAAGATCAACAAAACTGATAGACCGCTAGCAAGACTAATAAGAAGAGAGAGAAGAATCAAATAGACGCAAGAAGAAATGATCAAGGGGATATCACCACCGATCCCACAGAAATACAAACTACTATCAGAGAATACTATAAAAACCTCTATGCAAATTAACTAGAAAATCTAGAAGAAATGGATAAATTCCTGGACACACACACTCTCCCAAGACTAAACCAGGAAGAATTTGAATGTCTGAATAGACCAATAACAGGCTCTGAAATTGAGGCAATAATTAATAGCTTACCAACCAAAAAAAGTCCAGGACCAGATGAATTCACAGCTGAATTCTACCAGACGTACAAAGAGGAGCTGGTACCAATCCTTCTGAAACTATGCCAATCAATAGAAAAAGAGGGAATCCTCCCTAACTCATCTTATGCGGTCAACATCATCCGGATACCAAAGCCTGGCAGAGACGCAACAAAAAAGAGAATTTTAGACCAATATCCTTGATGAACATCAATGCAAAAATCCTCAATAAAATACTGGCAAACCGAATCCAGTAGCACATCAAAAAGCTTATCCACCACGACCAAGTTGGCTTCATCCCTGAGATGCAAGGCTGGTTCAACATATGCAAATCAATAAACGTAATCCATTACATAAACAGAACCAATGACAAAAAACACGATTATCTCAAAAGATGCAGAAAAGGCCTTCGACAAAACTCAACAACCCTTCATGCTAAAAACTCTCAATAAATTAGGTATTGATGGAACGTATCTCAAAATAGTAAGAGCTATTTATGACAAACCCACAGCCAATATCATAATGAATGGGCAAAAACTGGAAGCATTCCTTTGAAAACTGGCAGAAGACAAGGATGCACTCTCTCACCACTCCTATTCAACATAGTGTTGGAAGTTCTGGCTAGGGCAATCAGGCAAGAGAAAGAAATAAAGGTATTCAATTAGGAAAAGAAGAAGTCAAATTGTCCCTGTTTGCAGATGACATGGTTGTATATTTAGAAAACCCCACTGTCTCAGCCCAAAATCTCCTTAAGCTGATAAGCAACTTCAGCAAAGTCTCAGGATACAAAATCAATGTGCAAAAATCACAAGCATTCCTATATACCAATAACAGACAAACAGAGAGCCAAATCATGAGTGAACTCCCATTCACAATTGCTACAAAGAGAATAAAATACCTAGGAATCCAACTTAGAAGGGATGTGAAGGACCTCTTCAAGGAGAATTACAAACCACTGCTCAACGAAATAAAAGAGGACACAAACAAATGGAAGAATATTCTATGCTCATGGATAGAAAGAATCGATATCGTGAAAATGGCCATACTGCCCAAAGTAATTTATAGATTCAATGCCATCCCCATCAAGCTACCAATGACTTTCTTCACAGAACTGGAAAAAAACTACTTTAAAGTTCATATGGAACCAAAAAAGAGCCTGCATTGCCAAGACAATCCTAAGCCAAAAGAACAAAGCTGGAGGCATCACACTTCCTGACTTCAAACTATACTGCAAGGCTATAGTAACCAAAACAGCATGGTACTGGTACCAAAACAGAGATATAGACCAATGGAACACAACAGAGCCCTCAGAAATAATGCCACACATCTACAACCATCTGATCTTTGACAAACCTGACAAAAACAAGAAATAGGGAAAGGATTCCCTATTTAATAAATGGTGCTGGGAAAACTGGCTAGCCATATGTAGAGAGCTGAAACTGGATCCCTTCCTTACACCTTATACAAAAATTAATTCAAGATGGATTAAAGACTTAAATGTTAGACCTGAAACCATAAAAACCCTAGAAGAAAACCTATGCAATACCATTCAGGACATAGGCATGGGCAAGGACTTCATGACTAGAACATCAAAAGCAATGGCAACAAAAGCCAAAATAGACAAATGGGATCTAATTAAACTAACGAGCTTCTGCATGGCAAAAGAAACTGGCATCAGCGTGAACAGGCAACCTACAGAATGGGAGAAAATTTTTGCAATCTACTCATCTGACAAAGGGCTAATTAATATCCAGAATCTACAAAGAACTTAAACAAATTAACAAGAAAAAAACCACCCTGTCGAAGGGTGGGCAAAGGATATGAACAGACACTTCTCAAAAGAAGACATTTATGCAGCCAACAGACACATGAAAAAATGCTTATCATCACTGGTCATCAGAGAAATGCAAATCAAAACCACAATGAGATACCATCTTACACCAGTTAGAATGGCAATCATTAAAAAGTCAGGAAACAGCAGATGCTGGAGACGATGTGGAGAAATAGGAATGCTTTTACACTGTTGGTGGGAGTATAAATTGGTTCAACCATTGTGGAAGACAGTGTGGAGATTCCTCAAGGATCTAGAACTAGAATTACCATTTGACCCAGCCATCCCATTACTGGGTATATACCCAAAGGATTATAAATCATGCACAAGTATATTTATTGCAGCACTATTCACAATAGCAAAGACTTGGAACCAACCTAAATGTCCATCACTGATAGACTGGATTAAGAAAATGTGGCACATATACACCATGGAGTACTATGCAGCCATAAAAAGGGATGAGTTCATGTCCTTTGCAGGGACATGGATGAAGTTGGAAACCATCATTCTCAGCAAACTATCACAAGGACAGGAAACCAAACACCACATGTTTTTACTCATAGATGGGAATTGAACAATGAGATCACTTGGACACAGGGTGCGGGACATCACACACCAGGGCCTGTTGTGGGGTTGGGGGCTGGCAGAGGGATAGCATTACGAGAAATACCTAATGCAAATGATGAGTTGATGGTGCAGCAAACCAACATGGCACATATATACCTATGTATCAAACCTGCACGTTGTGCAGACGTACCCTAGAACTTAAAGTATAATAAAAAAAAAAGAAAACAAATACCTTCAGGGGTAATATTTCTAGCAGTTAGGACTAGAAAAAAAAAAGAAAAGAGAAAAGGGCAATGGATAAAATCTATGCAATTTAAATTACAGTCATGTGATAACAGCTCTGCTCCCCATAGTGACAAAACTTTTCACGAATAAGTAGCAGTCCTAATGATTACTGATATGAGGGCATAACTATGAACATGAACTATTTCAACAAATATGTATTGAGTGCCTGCTATGTGCCAAGCACGAGTATACATCCAGGAGCATGCTACATTCAATTTCAATGCTGTGGAACACCTTGTTTCATTGAAGTTTTACTACACTACAATACCATATTATACGAGTTACTCAAAGCACCTAATGAGAAGTGCAAGTCTTATAAACTAAGTCACATTCCAGAAATAAAAAACAAAAAAAGAAAAAAAAAAGAGGAAGACACCTAAACTCACAAGGTCTTATTACTTCTTAAAGTTCATGGATACTAGCCTATCTCTAGAAATCTACCAGGCTAAGCAAAACCCTATAGAAATCCAAATTAAAAACTAACTTTTGGACTCTTTATCCCCATGTATATGTTATAGGTATAACTTTAGCTCTATGAGTATGGTGACTGTGCTCATTTTTACTCACCATTATATACCCAGTGCCTAGCACACAGTAGCTGGTAAATAAATATTTAGTGAATGAATGAAGGAATATAGGAAGGTAGTTTCAAATTTAATAAAGTTATTGGCAGTATAACAAATATTAAATGGCATTACTGGTTATACTTTATTAAATGGTCAGTGTTCCCCTACATTCAAAATATCCTTTTAAACTGTTCCACTGAAGTGTGTCTTCCCCTGTTTTTATTTATTTAATGCTGTTCATTTAGAAGGTGTTAACTGTTCTTTTTAGTCTTTAGATTACTGTACATTCAAAGTACAGCAAAGTTTGGCAACATTTTTCTATCTAAAACTCATAGACTGCTATAAATAGATAAAAACATAATTCCATGATAAAGTTACAGAATTGCTTTGATCTCCCAGCCTCTATCACCCCCCTGGAAAACACACATAAACTCTGCATCCTGAAGGAGCTCCATTGCTTCTTATATGGGGCAATTAATAATAATATTTTATTGCAGTTTGAAACACATAGGGACCCATATTACTAGTCTATTTTTATGCTTTTCTCACCTTCTTATAAAGGAACATCTTATGAACTGGATGAATCACAGGACATCAAGGGCAGGCATAGAAAAAAGAAACATAAGATAACGGACTCTTTAGATGAACATGGGCCTAAAGAAAATCAGATATTAGTACACAAATTTTTTTAAATCCTCCAAAAAAATCCAGTGGCCACTCTTCCTGTTCTCTGTGGGATTTCAGGTTAGTAAGCAGTCTAGGGGGATGGAGGACTTGTTGAAAATCAACCCTCTGAAGCAATGAGAATTATCTAGTGGGAGAAGGGCTGACTCTAGGGAAAATGGGTGGAAATGGTGCATGCCTCGTGGGGCTGTCAGGGTATTTGTCACCTAAGAGGTTCTTACAACTTACCCGACTGATGGGGGTTAAAGTATTACTATGCACCAGCACACATTCTCTCAATCACATTAGACTTTAAAATTCCAAGGTCTGGTTTGCCTTTTACAAGGAATAATATTGGTTTAGAATGCTGCTCAAAGCCTGCTCCACAAATCTGAGAGACCAGGTTATAGCACCTCATTTTCCTTTGCCACTGCCATGTCCTCACTCTCCCCTCATGTAACTAAAAACCACTTCTTAAACTTTGGTAAACAACATTAAGGAAACTGAGAGAATGCTTTCTGCAGACTTAACTTTCCTGGAAATAATTATCAATGATGGAAAACAAGCTCTTCATAACAGAATAAAACCTCATTAATTTGAACTCTACTATTTCAAAATTTGTGCTAATTCAAACAGACCTAGACTGAAAGTTTTCCTTAGCAAGTTTGGAAAAGAAGGGTCTGCTAAGCAAATCAACTTTATAATTAAGGTTGTAAGGGAAATACAGGACTTGCTTAAAGAGAATAAATTATTTCCAGGATTCTGGAATTAACCATCTACAGGCACTGTAACATCATAATTACAAATCTTTTGTGTAGTATGTTAAAAAGCAGGTCTCTGGGGGACTTCTACTTGGTAACACTCCATTAGCCCATTCTGAGTTATTGTTGTCACTAACACAAGCAAATCGGTGTCACTAAAACAAGCAAAACTACTTTTTAAATAAATATTTCATTCATTCTTTATTGAGTATACTGGGCTTCCTGCAATTATTGTGAATTTGAGAGCTTTTACTTCCATGTTGGTGTTGCTAGATCCTCACCTACAGTCTTTGTCATGCTCAAAGATCTCTAAGTATAAATCTTACAGTCACTAATAACTGAATCAGAAATATAGCTCAAGCCGAGTAGGCGGTTTTCCCCTCACAGTGTAAACAAAGCCGCCAGGAAGTTCGAACTGGGTGGAGGCCACCGCAGCTCAGCAAAGCCTCTGTAGCCAGACTGCCTCTCTAGATTCCTCCTCTCTGGGCAGGGCATCTCTGAAAGAAAGGCAGCAGCCCCAGTCAGGGACTTTCAGATAAAAATCCTATCTCCCTGGGACAGAGCACCTGGGGAAAGGGGTGGCTGTGGGCACAGCTTCAGCAGACTTGAATGTTCCTGCTGCCAGCTCTGAAGAGAGCAGTGGATCTCCCAGCACAGTGCTCGAGCTCTGCTAAGGGACAGACTGCCTCCTCAAGTGGGTCCCTGACCCCCGTGCCTCCTGACTGGGAGACACCTCCCAGCAGGGGTCGACAGACACCTCATACAGGAGAGCTCCAGCTGGCATCTGGCGGGTGCCCCTCTGGGATGAAGCTTCCAGGGGAAGGAACAGGCAGCAATCTTTGCTGTTCTGCAGCCTCTGCTGGTGATACCCAGGCAGACAGGGTCTGGAGTGGACCTCCAGCAAACTCCACCAGACCTGCAGCAGAGGGGCCTGACTGTTAAAAGGAAAACTAACAAACAGAAAGGAAAAGCATCAACATCAACAAAAAAGATGTCCACACCAAAACCCCATCTGAAGGTCACCAATATCAAAGACCAAAGCTAGATAAATCCACAAAGAAGAGGAAAAAACAGCGCAAAAAGGCTGAAAATTCCAAAAACCAGAACGCCTCTTCTCCTCCAAAGGATCACAACTCCTCGCCAACAAGGGAACAAAACAACAGAGAATGAATTTGATAAATTGACAGAAGTAGGCTTCAGAAGGTGGGTAATAACAAACTCCTCCAAGATAAAGGAGCATGTTCTAACCCAATGCAAGGAAGCTAAGAACCTTGAAAAAAAGTTAGAGGAATTGCTAACTAGAATAACCAGTTTAGAGAAGAACATAAATGACCTGATGGAGCTGAAAAACACAGCATGAGAACTTCGTGAAGCATACACAAGTATCAATAGCCGAATCATCAAGTAGAAGAAAGGATATCAGAGATTAAAGAACAACTTAATGAAGTAAAGCATGAAGACAAGATTAGAGAAAAAAGAATGAAAAGGAATGAGCAAAGCCTCCAAGAAATATGGGACTATATGAAAAGACCAAATATTTTTTGATTTGATTGGTGTACCTGAAAGTGACAGAAAGAATGGAACCAAGTTGCAGAACACTCTTCAGGATATTATCCAGGAGAACTTCCCTAACCTAGCAAGACAGGCCAACATTCAAATTCAGGAAATACAGAGACCACCACAAAGATACTCCTCGAGAAGAGGAATCCCAAGACACATAATCATCAGATCCACCAAGGTTGAAATGAAGGAAAAAATGTTAAGGGCAGCCAGAGAGAAAGGTCGGGTTACCCACAAAGGGAAGCCCATCAGACTAACAGTGGATCTCTCGGCAGAAACCCCACAAGCCAGAAGAGAGTGGGGGCCAATATTCATTCAACACTCTAAAAGAAAAGATTTTTCAATGCAGAATTTCATATCCAGCCAAACTAAGCTTCATAAGCAAAGGAGAAATAAAATCCTTTATAGACAAGCAAATGCTGAGAGATTTTGTCACCACCAGGCCTGCCTTACAAGAGCTCCTGAAGGAAGCACTAAATATGGAAAGGAAAAACCGGTACCAGCCACCACAAAAACATACCAAATTGTAAAGATCATTGACACTATGAAGAAACTGCAACAACTAACGGGCAAAATAACCAGCTTGCATCATAATGACAGGATCAAACTCACACATAACAATATTAACCTTAAATGTAAATGGGCTAAATGCCCCAATTAAAAGACACAGACTGGCAAATTGGATAAAGAGTCAAGAATCATTGGTGTGCTGTATTCACGAGACACATCTAACATGCTAAGACACACATGGGCTCAAATAAAGGTATGGAGGAATATTTACCAAGCAAATGGAAAGCAAAAAAAAAAAAACAAAAACGGGGGGGGGAGGGTTTGCAATCCTAGTCTCTGATAAAACAGACTTTAAACCAACAAAGATTAAAAAAAAAAGACAAATAAGGGCATTACATAATGGTAAAGGGATCAATGCAACAAGAAGAGCTAACTATCCTAAATATATATGCACCCAATACAGGACCACCGAGATTCATAAAGCAAGTCCTTAGAGACCTACAAAGAGACTTAGACTCCCACACAATAATAGTGGGAGACTTTAACACCTCACTGTCAATATTGGATCAACAAGACAGAAAATTAACAGAGATATTCAGGACTTGAGCTCAGCTCTGGACCAACGGAACCTAATAGACATCTACAGAACTCTCCACCCCAAATCAACAGAATATACATTCTTCTCAGCACCACATAGCACTTATTCTAAAATTGACCACATAATTGGAAGTAAAACACCCCTCAGCAAATGCAAAAGAGCAGAAATCATAACAAACAGTCTCTCCAACCACACTGCAGTCAAATTAGAACTCAGGATTAAGAAACTCACTCAAAACCATACAACTACATGGAAACTGAACAACCTGCTCCTGAATGACTACTGGGTAAATAACGAAATTAAGGTGGAAATAAATAAATACGTTCTTGGAAACCAATGAGAACAAAGACACAATGTACCAGAATCTTTGGGACACAGCTAAAGCAGTGTTTAGAGGGAAATTTATAGCGCTAAATGCCCACAGGAGAAAGCAGGAAAGATCTAAAATTGACACCCCAACATCACAATTAAAAGAACTAGAGAAGCAAGAGCAAACAAATTCAAAAGCTAGCAGAAGATAAGAAATAACTAAGATCAGAGCAGAACTGAAGGAGATAGAGACATGAAAAACTCTTCAAAAAAAAATCAGTGAATTCAGGAGCTGTTTTTTTGAAAAGATTAACAAAGTAGATAGACCGCTAGCCAGACTAATAAAGAAGAAAAGAGAGAAGGATCAAACAGACACAATAAAAAATTATAAAAGGGAGATCACCACTTATCTCACAGAAATACAATCTAACATCAGAAAATACTATAAACACCTCTACGCACGTAAACTAGAAAATCTAGAAGAAATGGATAAATTCCTGGACACATACACCCGCCCAAAACTGGAAACCATCATTGTCAGCAAACTAACACAGGAACAGAAAACCAAACACTGCATGTTCTCACTCACATGTAGGAGTTGAACAATGAGAACACATGGACACAGAGAGGGGAACATCACACACCAGGGCCTGTCGGGGGGTGGGGGCCTAGGGGAGGGATAGCATTAGGAGAAATACCTAATGTAGATACCTTGGGGGTACATCTAGCTGTAAAATAGGGGGAAGGGAAAAAAGGCTTATGCCCCTGAGGTTATAGACCGACACACAAAAAAAACAAACATAATAAAAAGCCAAAACAACAGCTAAAATTCTTTGGAAACCTGTAAGTTAAGTACTAAACATATAATCATTATGAAATAAATATCTAATGCAAACCCAACAAAGTAGCATCATTGTCCAAAGGAAGCATTCCTGGAGGTTGTTACTCCTCACACATCTATACTGGCTCTCACTTCACTAGCACAGGGCAGTCTTCCAGCTCTCCACAACCACTCCCTCTGCAAGCATGGCTCACTGCCTAGGAGTCTTAGTTACCTTGTCACAAAGAGAGCCTAGCTACTCTAATTATATTGTAAGCTCCTGGATTTGTACAGGTTTCCCTTACTGTAAGACACAAAACTTGCACATCATCGGTGCTCTACAAATTTTGCTTGGTTTGAGGTGATAAGACTCCTCCTTTACATATACAGAATTGTAAATCAGAGCAACAATATAAAAAAAATGGCTGTAAGATTTCTTGTTTCTATAGAAACCTTCAAAATATCAGAACTACCAAATGTGTTTTCTTAAGAACATTTGGTACAATAAAATTGATAGGTATCCTTTCAAAGGCCTATGCAAGAATACTGAATAAAATAATCATAGGTCAATGTTCCAACAAAAGTGAAATGCTAGCCAGTAAGTTTCGTATGGGAAAAAAATCTCCAAAATAGTATTGGCCAAGAAAGTCACCAAAAATCTCTCCTCTCTTTTAAGATGTTATGTCTCTTTATATGCTGGGTTAATCATATTTGTCATCTCTGTATCATCAGTGTTAATCAGGAGGAACAAGAGGGCCCACAAGTCCAAACTCATCTACAACTTGACACCCTAAGCTTGTGACTCTTTAAATGAGAATTTTGCTTTTTAAATTATGGCTTGACTTGGGCAAATATTTAAGGTAATCAGCAAACATAGGGCACAAACCAACTGCTGGGGCAGAGGGAGGCAGCTCTGAGTTATTCCAGTTAGGTAACATTTTTCTATAGAATATTATACAAGTTATAATCCATACTGGGATAAAACTAAGCATTGACTACTAATTTTCTAAATAAATACTAAGAAATAAATGTAGTCATAAAACAATTTGGACACTTGTCTGAAATTGTTTCACTACTCAATGCTAGGCTATTACAGTATATTAGCATTAAAATACATGTTTACAATTGTTATTTGAAATGGTTCTTTCTAATAATGTGTACAATAGCAACCGCCCTGTCATTTTCACTGAATTTCAGAGCTTCTCTTCCTTTCAGAAAATACAAGTCAACGTCTGTACCAAAGGAACCATCTAAATTGTTTTGTGGTACTAGCTATTCATTTTCACTGCATTATATGAATGTTGCTCAAAACTGAGTGATCCCAGAAGATAGCTGGAAATGTTAATTCCTTTGTTAATGTAAATTACTACAATGAGAACTGGACTCTGCCTCCAGGAAACCTTCCAGCCACCTAGCTTTGAGAGTCTGGGCAAGTCAAAGAAGCCAAGGTGTCACAGGGCATTCCTACACACATTGCAGAGGACCCTTTGGATACAGTTACACCAACCTAAGAGTTTCATAGTTAGGACATCACTCAGCTACAATATAAAAACAACTCTTGTAAATTGGAATCATATTCCCAAACATCTGGAAAATTCCCCAAAGGAGAAAAGATTACCCAAAAGTATTGCTAAATAGATGGAAGATGCTGATTTTTATCATAATCAAAATTCAGTCAGTTTCCATTGTACTAGACAAATCAACAGATGTGTTGTTTACCTTTAAAGATGCCTGGAATCTATTTTAATTCAGCCTTGAAACCCAGACATTCTTAGGTAATAAGAACAGATATTTAAATTCCATAACAACCGCCCAATGTTTACAAACATTTATTTCTTTATAGATTTCTTATCCACAAAATGTATTTTTGGTTAGAAAGAAGTTTGAGGATTCAGCTGTATTTTCTAAGCTTTGCTTTGTGGCATGGCCTAAGAGAAAATAATGATATCAAGGGTCTTTTCCAACTATTTTATTTATTTTAATTTTAAATAAAATATTTAATAAGATACAATGTATAATAATGTATTACTCTATTTCACTCTCACTACCATATCCTGAAAGCAAACAATTTTCAATAAATTCTTAATTTTAAAAAATCTTCAACATTCAAATTCAGAAAAAGATAATCTAGGATTAATTAAAAATTACTTTCACATTAAAAATGACTCTTTAACAAACAATGTGTCAAATGTGCTTCTTGTCTTGTGTTGCCTATCACCTTTCATCTTATCATCCTCCCCCTGCCCCATCATCTAAGAAGGAACCTTTGAAGCCATCTTCAACTCTTCCCTTTAGCTTACTTTCCACAAGTCTCATCTTGTTCAATTACTACCTTGTCTCTGTTATATGTTTCTTTACATCCCTCCTGTTACTAACCTAATTCAGGCCTCTACCATCTTTCATTTGGAATATTTAAGATTAGCTTCATAACTGCTTCTCTAATCTCTATCCTTTCCATTCCATCCTATATATTAATACAAGCAGCCCGAGTCAGGGTAATAGTAATAGTCAGGGATGTAACTTGGGCTGCTTGTATATATTTCTCTTCTCATATATATTTCTCTGTCTCCTTACATTTGGCTCAGGAAGTTTTCTGGATGCATAATGAATATCTTCTCCATATCCCCACTTTTGAATGTTGAAATTGAGTCGTATATGTCCATAGAGGTTCGGCTTACATGTCAGCTAGTCAGTAAAACCTTCCCCAATCTATCCAACTAGAGCTAATTTCTCCCACTTCCAGTAGCATTGTTTCTACATCTAATGCAGTTATTTTGTGTACATGCCAATTTCCCTCAAAAGACATCACTCAGCTCTTGAGCACAGACATCATGTACTGTTGATCTTTGTAGCTGCATAGTACCTAGTACAGTACCATGGTCAGAGTTAAGTGCTCGATAAATGTGGAATTGAACTGACTAAACCTTATGTCAGCCTGATATAAATGAGAAGGAAGACTGTCAGGATTTATAATAAGTTATGTATTTAACTACAGCTGTGTTGTTATAATTGCTACATATTTAGAGAAAACACTGAATGTATCTTTCAATCAAGCTTTGAAACTATAGTGACTATTCTAAGTTTGAATTATCTTATATAGAACAGCAAGAACACTCAAATCTGTAGGACATAATGCCAGTGAAAAAAGACCTTTTACAGTAGATTCAGCTGTACAAGTTCAACCAATAAACCACAAAGGCCATATTTTTTTAAAAAGCCAGAATATAAAGAGGGCAATAGTAAGCATATTAATGAAAACCAGCTAGGAGACACTGGATAGAGCTCACTACTTCTGAATCAGTCACTGCTCCTTGCTGCAGCTGGATTTGGATCTTCTCCCACTGAAGGGCTGAGTAGATGTGATCCCACTTAATTTCTAAGTCTGACAAAATCACAACTTGGAAGTGGCCTGACTACTGGCAATTGTTAAGCACAGTAAATCCCTTCTCCTTCTGTAACCCCCTCAAATGTCCTGCATTCACAACTCTTTTATACCAGATGTTTTGTTGAAATTAACACATTCCTATCAAATGCATATCAAAAGGACTTTTCTCCCTACTGCAATGGAGCTTTATTATATTGAGCATTCCATTTAACCTCCAAACTGTTTATTTGTTACATAGACACTTATTGTATAGTATTTATTGCAGGGGGAATGACAAGGGAAGCTGGGCTCAGCATAAGGTGGGATCCATTCAGGAGCAAATATTCCCACAGTTAATGATAGCAAACAAAAGCCCTTAGAAGACACATCTCAAAAGGACTTTTAAAAATTTGCTAAATACAAAATCTCCCAATCTCTAGCCCAAATCTTCTTCTTTGTGAAAAAGAGGTGAGGTACTGTTTTGTTTGTTGAATGCAAATTTTATTTTTGTATCAAGCAGAATCAAGCATAATTAACTAGATAATAAATGGCAGGATGTGAAGCTATGACCTAGGATTGCTCACCTGAAACTTTGGTCCTCCCAAAGTTTTCAGCCATCACAGAAAGATCATTTCTGACAAGCCATCACTCACTCACTAAACCTTTGTAGGACCAGGAACTACAACCGAAACTTCACAAAAATGACCATCTCTCTCGTAGGGATTTAAAAATAATATATGGACAGTAGTGCTACTGTGAATAAAATGTCCTTCATAAAACAATTTTAATAAGCAGCCCTCATGGCACCTCTTCTTATAAAGTGATTGTAAATTGCAATTGTCTGCTAGAAGTAATATATAGGATGTTAAATAGCATCCCCATTTCTTTTCCCCAGGCTATTTCTGTTTCTCATCTCATTTGTACAATTAGTACATATAGATTCTTCCATGGGAGCACATCTTAAACTTGTATTTCAACTGTTTCATTTTTATAATAGCACAACTTAATAGGTGTGATTAGAATATCTAAATATCCCATAAGAATTGAGTGTTCCTATCCTTTATTAAATGAAAACTGATCCAGTTATAAAACAAGTGAGTAAAAATTTCCTTGATTTAAAACTATAAATAGAAAACAAAATGCAGATACATCTCACCATTCCTAAAAATAAAAGTAAATCACCTTTGCAAATTAATTTTATTTTCCTATGACTTATACTTTCAGAGATGCTTTAATCTTCATTTCTCACTTCCTTTGCATAGGCTGTGGCTCCTAACACTTTCTTTAATTATCTTACCCAGCTAGTAAACAAATACCTCAGTATACTAGGGGAAATGACTCTCCTATTCAAACATTTATTTTGCTCTATGCCTAATCCCTCATAGCTACTTAGGGGATGCAAAGATGTGAAAAATATAGTTCAGGTCCTCAAGGGACTACCAATCTAAGTAGGAAAGACAATCATGTAAGAAACTACATTGGAAGGCAAGATAAAGCAAGTGCTGTAACAGAGATACCAGTAATGTGTTATGAACATACAAGGGAAGAAACAGTAACTCTGGGGAGTTAGGAAACATCACTGGGTGAGTCCTTTGGGAAATAGAAGAAATCTGCAGTGTAAAAGTGTAGAGCCATGAGCATTTACTAGTTTATTTGCTTTGAATTTTTTAAACTTTTTGGAGGGTTTTCTTAGTCTTGAACTTAAAATGGGCTACACTATAGGCAAGAAACAGAATAGCAGCAATCAACTCTAACATTCAGCTACTTAGCAGAATTTCTGCTTTACCATGTCCCATTACTCTTTCCTCCTGCTTCTCTGGCTTATGACAAAAATGACACTTAAATACACTGTGCACCATCACTGACATCCCAAAGACTAAAAATGTTACTCATTTCTGAGCTAGCATCTACAGCTCTTTGCTGGTTTCTCTTCAACTACATCATTAATTTGCCATTTTGCCATGATCAGGTATGTGGGACTTGAATATGTGAAATAAAAACTTCTTACTGTGGCAAAATTCTTTGAAAACCTATTAGGAAACACGTGACATGGGCTGCGCATGATAGCTCACTCCTGTAATCCCAGCACTGCGCATGATAGCTCACTCCTGTAATCCCAGCACTTTAGGAGGCCAAGCCAGGTGGATAGCTTGAGCCTAGGTGATTGAGACCACCTTGGGCAACATGGTGAAACCCCGTCTCTACAAAAAATACAAAAATTGGCCATGTGTGGTGGCTTACACCTGTAATCCCAACACGTTGGGAGGCCGAGGTGGGCAGATCACTTGAACCCAGGAGTTGAAGACCAGCCTGGACAACATGGTGAAACCCCGTCTCTACAAAAAATACAAAAATTAGCCAGGCATGGTGGCTTGCACCTGTAATCCCAGCTACTTGGGTGGCTGAGGTAGGAGAATCACTCGAGCCCTGGAGGCACAGGTTGCAGTGCGCCCAGAGGGCACCACTGCACTCCAGCCTAGGCAACAGGAGTGAAACCCTGTCTCAAAAAAAAAAAAACAAACAAAAACGAAAGAAAGAAACACGTGTGACATGGACAATGTCCCAACCAACCTGGCTATTAATTCATTAATTTCATTATTATTAACAGGCAGTATATGAAAACAAGTTTGAAAGATATTTTCACTGTCAAATTTAAAAATACCTATCCTGATAACAGGTTTCCAATAATACTTGTTTCAGACAAAGAAAAGTTTTTAAATGGTTCAGGAGCAAAATAGAAGATAATGAATGATGCCTATGATTCTAAAGTTTTCACTATTGTTTGCCACAGAATTTTAAAAGAATGCATCATAAAATACTTGTATACTACAGAAAGCACATTCTAAAAATCTTCTTTGCCTTTTAAATACTGAGATCCTCAAATCCCAGCTGTGGTAAGAAAAAGACACAATCTGAGGCTGGCCGTGGTGGCTCACACCTGAAATCCCAGCACTTTTTGAGGCTGAGGTGGGCAGATCACTTGAGCCTAGAGTTTGAGACCAGCCTGGGCAACATGGCGAAACCCTGTCTCTACAAAAATTATAAAAATTTTGCTGGGTATAGTGGTATGCACCTGTAGTACCAGCCACATGGGTGGCTGAGGTGAGAGAATTCCTTGAGCCTGGGAGGTTGAGGCTGCAATGAGCTGTGATTGCACTACTGTACTCCATCTTGGGTGACAGAGCGAGATCCTGTCTCAAAAAAAAAGAAAAGAAAAGAAAAGAAAAGAAAAAAATACAATCTGGAGAATTTTATTGTTTTTTTAAACCTTACTATTGTAAGAAATCTAAGTTCAATAAGATGGACACAGTCCACGACTACATACTTTCAATTCCTTCCTGATACCAGTCACGGATATATTTGTCTGCCACTTATCTAACTGTTTTATGATCATTTGTTCTATCAAAAACTGCTCCTAAGGAACTTCAAATTGCAAAAATTAAAACTAAGACAATATATTTGGTCTTAATTACTTAGAAACTTGGAATTTGTTTCCTTAATTATAATTTCTAAGGAACTGTCTCACTTCTTAACTCCTAAATGTCTACCTTTTGGCCAGTTGAAGAGAATAGCTGAGTCAGGACTTTTATTCACAGTTCCTTTATGGTGAATCCTTCCCCCGAGGCTCTCTAGTCAGCAGTGGATTTCAGAGAGTTGTGTCTGGCTAGAATCTAAGGGCTAAACTAGTATTCCATGTAAATGTACTGATATTAAGTGCAAATGTTGTACAGAAAGAGATCAATCACTTCTTGGCCTTTTGGCTAAGATCAAATGTAGAAAGAAATCAGTTTGGGGAGTATGTATCCCTGAGAAGGTGGTAAATTCTGATGGGACTATGGAAGTTCAGAATACCAAACTGAACTGGGAGGATAGCTGTGAAGAAAAAAGTCATATTAAGGGAGACAGTGCCTCAAGATTCTAAAAGGAAAGAGAACCCAAGAGAAGTTGAGACTGGAATTAATGGACTAGGGGTATAAGGGAGATTTTGGAAAACTGAGTTAAGAAACTGAGTTCCCAAATGAAGAGAAAGGTTATTCAGTGATTTTTTTTTTTTCTGTAAGTGGACACCAGGGAATACCTGTTGAGTCAGTGAAACAAATGTCCATAAGAAGCTTTCACCAGGGAAGGGGGAGTGATATTACTGGAAGGAAGCAGTATCGCACAGTGGTTGGGAGCACAGGCTTTGGAATTAGATAGAATCAGGTTATTATTAGCTGTCATTCAGCAAATTACTTAACCATCTAAGACCTTGTTTTCCCTAACTGCAATATAAGTGAAATACTTTCACCTTCATAAGGTTGTTGGAAATATTAGATGAGGTAACTTATATAAAATACCTACGAGAGTTCCAGCACACACACACAAAACAGAAGTTACAAGTATGATTGGGACACATAACAAGCAGAGATATGTTTAAAGAAAAGGGAAATCTGGCTGGGTGCGGTGGCTCACACCTGTAATCCCAGCACTTTGGGAGGCCAAGGTGGGCAGATCACGAGGTCAAGAGATCGAGACTATCCTGGCCAACATTGTGAAACCCCGTCTCCACTGAAAATACAAAAATTAGCTGGGCATGGTGGCGCATGCCTGCAGTCCCAGCTACTTGGGAGGCTGAGGCGGAAGAATCGCTTGAACCTGGGAGGCAGAGGTTGCAGTGAGCTGAGATCATGCCACTGCACTCCAGCCTGGTGACAGAGCGAGACTCGGAAAGAAAGGAAAGGAAAGGGGAAAGGGGAGAGGGAAACGGAAAGGGAAAGGAAAGGAAAGGGGAAATCTAAGGTTTTGCTTTGAGATTCTCTAACTCTGATATTGTTACTCCTGCAGTTGAATAGTTCTAAGGGTATTGTTCATTTTATGGAAGTATGCCTAAACTTGACACAAGGCAGATAACTCAAGAATAAATCTTTACATTACAAAATGATCATTTCATTACAGGGTTCCTTGAAATTGTATGCTTCTTAACTAAAATTAACAAATTCATATACTTTTATGGGTACTTTTTCATTTTTTAAGCATCAAGTCACATATAATATGGGTACTTTCTATTCTGGAATTTGTAATGATAGTCCAAGGCAATGTCAGGAGACCTGTGTTCTAACTCTAGTTCCAACTCTGTGACATTGTTGGGATCACTAAAAGATCTAGCACCAGGTCTATCTTGGAATCTCTGGGCTCTAGGGTTCAGCCAACTCCAGAAGTCTAAGGTAGACTGTGAGAGATATTGTGGCAGCAGTAGCTTCAAAGGTTTCAACAATAAGGGAAGAGTTAAAATTTGTATGGGTGGGTGGATGAGACTCAATTGTAAAGCTGTGTTATCTTACTACTCCTAAACTCCTAAAGACTCAGATAATTCAGATATTACTCGGAGGGTTAAGTTTAACCACTGCTGGTTAATGCAGCTTTCTATAAAGAATAAAGTGCTAATTGCAGGCAATCTTTGACTTCTAGCACTTCGACTAAAACTATGTGGTAACTGAAGTTATGGGAGTAGAGTTCAGAGGTGTTTGAAATGAAATGGGCTACTTAACTGGAAGTGACTTCCAAGTCTACAGAGATGTTCAGATAGAAGCTAGATGCCCATTACTCAGGAGATTTTTAAGAGAGATTAAAGTATCTGATAGGGGTTGGACTAGATGACTTAAAAGAATCTCTTCTAGGTCTATGGTTCCATGGCAGGAATCAATTCACATAGTGCATCTTCAGTCACTTATAATGAGATCAACCTCATGTCAATTTGTTTTCTAAAGTGTTCTGTATAAAGATCCCTGTCCTCTGGCTCAGTCTAATTCCAAGTGGCCTTAAGCCACCCTTTGCACTATCAATCAACACTGGTAACTCTTACTGGCTCAAGTATGCTGGCAGCAAGAAGAGGTGACAGATATAAGCTAACATATGCAAACAGAAAAGAAAGAGAGTAGAATGGTTATCAGGATCAAGCAAAGTTGCTACAAAGCAATGAGACTGGTTTTTGTTAGTTTGCTTTGATGTTGCTTGGTAAACTACTGTGGAGCGCAATTTCAAAAGGGAGAGACAAACATAAAATTAATAATTATAATCCAGTGTGTTAAGTGTTATAATAGAGGCCTAAAAGAGACTGACCAATTTTCCTGGGGACTGTCAAGGAAATCTCACAGAGGAAGCAATGAGCAAGCTGAGTCTTGAAGGATAAGTAGGAGTTGACTGGGTGGAAATGGGGAGAGGCAAAGAAAAAAATGTGAAGCCAGAGAGACATGAAAGAATATATTTGGGAAGTGGTGAATAATTGTGTGCATGGCTGGAGTGTGAGGTTAGGTCCTCAAGTACTATGCTTCTTAATAAAAATGGGTTTTCCTCTCTGGTGATAAGGAATAACAGGCACTGTTTTAAGGAGAGTGAGATAGATTTTTGTCAACAAAGATAATTCTGGTGATTGGTGTACAATGGCTTCAAAGGGAAGCAGGGAAACCAGTGAGCCAGAATAAGAACCCAGACAAAGGCAGTGGCAGTGAGGCTGAAGAGGATGGGGTGGATTCAAGAGATATCTGTGGGGCAGAACCAACAGGAAATATAGACTGATAGCGTTTTGCTCAATGATCAGTTACATGTATGTGTGTATTTTTTAAAGAATTACATAAACAGAAATGTGATGGTGACTGATTATGGGGTCACTGGTTTATTTACTGATAATGCTTGTTTCTTCTCATATTATGAAAATTCCTGCCTACCTACATGTGTCCAAGAGAAAAAGAAAAACTGAAATTGCTATAAATATATTTAAAATTTCATTTCTTGGCCATTCTCACTACTTAATTTCTTCCTGAAGCAGAAATATAAATATTTACTATGCATGTACTACAATATAAATATTTACTACGTACCTAGTATGTATAAGATACTTCATATACATATATATCCTAATCCTCACAACAAACTTACCAGTTTAGAATTATACCCATTTTACAGATGAGAAAACCAAGACATGGCAGAAATTCAGTAGCTTCCCTTGGGTCACAAAGCTAAGAATTGAGGGATTCACAACTAGAACCCAGATATGGCTACCTCTTTCTACAACCTCATACTGCCTCTGTACTTAAAAAGCAAGTATTAAAATAAAAATAAGTAAAATGAAAAAGCAGCCAGGTATGGTGGCTCACACCTGTAATCCCAACACTTAGGGAAGCAGAGGCTGGAGGATTGTTTGAGCCCAGGAGTTCATGACTAGCCTGGGTAACATAGTGAGACGCTGTTCCCCACAAAAAGAAAAGAGAAAAAAAATCACTATTATAAAAATGACTGCATCATTATAATAGTCTATTTTTGCGAGTATTTAAAAGTGTTCATGATAAAATGAGTTTTAAAAGAGAATTTTAATGTCAAACCACTCACACACACAAAAAATACATTCAATATGCACTCAATGAAAACTATAAGAAACTAGCCACAATAAGACCAAATAATTTCACATCTAGGTAAAGTAGTAAGACAAAGAATTATACTTTATAATCCACAATTTCTAAATGCTGATAAAAACAAGACTTTTATTTATTCAACTAATATTTTCTGAATGCCTACTATGTACCACGTACTGTTGTAGGCTTTGAGGAATATTACAGCAGTCCTTGCCCTCATGGAATTTACATTCGCATTAAGAAAGACTCACAAATATACAAGTAAATTTACAGTATGCCAGGTGGTGATAAGTGCTACGGAGAAAAATGAAGCAGGGTAAACGGGCAGGGAGAGCCAGATATCAAATGTAGGCCTTGCTATTTTACATACGTGTCAATGATAATGGCATCATTTGAATAGAGACCTGAAGGGCGTGAGGAAGCCAAGCTACATGTCTATCTAGTAGAAGACTGTTGCAAGTAAAGAAAATTCAAGTGCAAAGCCCCTGGCGGGGACCATGCTTGGTGTGTTCAAAGGGAAACAAGGAAACCAGCCTAGCTAAGGCCAAGAGAATGAATGGAGGTGGGAAGAGGGGAGTAGGAGATGAGGTGAGAGGGGCAAGCTGAGCATGGTGGCATTCATTGCAGAACATTAACTTTACTCTGAGTGAAATATATGTTTTTTAAATACTTTGGCTTTTACTCTAGGTGAGAAAGGTAGACACAGGAAAGCTTCTTATCTCAGATATAAGGATTGACACCAACTAAGGAGAGTTCAGTCATGCCAATGGGCGTTGTTTGTGCCATTTTGGCTAATGGGGTAAATGTGCTGCTCTGGGCAATAATAAAGCCTATGAAGAGGAAGCTGCAACAGTATGAGAGGGTACATATTTTTAGACAATAGCTACCACACCTTAGTGAGCTGATCTGTGAGGCACAGGAACATCTCAATACACAATAGATGACAACTTTAAAATGTAGGCTTTTAAAAAAATATGTGCTTTTAAAAAGAACAATTACATTTTATAACATGTATTTACAAACCCATGAATTTAACATAGTCATCCTTTTACCACTGAAATATTTAAGAGTTGCTTCAGCTGAAATCCAGTATCATCTGAGATGACTCCTATTCCTAGCCACTACTCTTTATTAGAGGCAGAAAGAAATCTCCCCTTTTGGCCATACCATTTTCAGGCCTGCTGAAGTCCAACCTGTGTTGTCAGTTCTACTGCCACTCCAAAGACCTTTTCTCTAATGTCACATTGACACTCTTCAAAGAGTTTGTGAAGAAAAATTAACATCTAAAAATATTCTTTTTTCTTTTAGATTCAAAGCAATTATTATTATAATTAGTATCAACTGTTCATGAGATAGCTAAGTTTTGGGTAGTCTCTTTTCTTCCCTAAAACTTTATTTCAAAGTTATTCACCTCACCGTTAATAAGGTGTATGATTAATGCTCTGTGCCAGTATTACCAGGCCTGCCCATTGCCAGCAATGGTCTTTGAGATAACCCATTTCCTAGCACCCAAAAGTTAAATTACTCTTTTCAAAACATACCGACCTCCCCAACACTTGCAAAAGTATTACATGCGCCATTTTGTCACCATTCTTTAAATCAGAACTTACAATATTAGTCTACATCGGTACATGTTAAAATGAAGTCATTTTAATGAATTATGACTGTACAAATCCAAATACTACTAGTTAGTATTAGACCAGAGTATCTTACAAACATATTACATATTACCTTGCAATCTGAAACATTACATTTCATATTTTTGCATGTTTATTTTAAATAACTGAAATTTCACAGAATTTAACAGCAAATAAAATTTAAAAATTTTCATTATGTACATTAGTTTCAACTATATTTTACAATCTATAAGGCTCATGTCATAGTTCATCACCAAAAAGATCTACAAAACTTCTTATCCATTCTGTGTGATAGTTTTTGTTTAGTGATGTTGTTTTTTAAGGTGAAAGTTTGAGAAAATGCTACTCTCAGATCTTGAAGTGGAATACTTCTAGTCAGACTATGTAAAAACCTGGGTTGTACCTTATTTTCATTGAACAGATACAAAAAAAAAGAAAGAAAAAAGAAAAGAACTGTGTTATACCATGAATTTAGGTTGACAGTCTATATGTTGAACTTACAACACTGAAGCATCAGAAGTAAACTTCCCTTCCATTTAAAATTTTTTAAAAGGGAATTAGAAAAATGTTTCATTTATTCTTTAAAATAAGGTGCAAAAAAGGACTGCAACAACAAACTTCCTCATCCACACCTCCAATAACATCTCAATGTTGTTAAGCATAATCTACTGTGAACTGATTTAGGAGCACACCTGGAGCTATATTCACAACTCCCAAATGTACCATGTTTTCTATACCAGAGGCCTGCTCAATGGCAGTGTCTGTCTGTTCAGAGGTCATTACAATAACTTTTGTCACTGCTGGCCTGGACTTAAAGCAACATTCCAGATTCCAGAACCAGTGTTTTATTGTCCCAACTCTTTTCTTCCTCTTCGGGATTTGTCAATTTTAGAAAAAGGGCATGTCTGTCTTGCTACTTTCAAAGGGTTTGTGTATATCACATTTTAAGACCACATTGTTTTGGGTACTTTTAATGTAGCACGTTTCATATGCTGAAATGATGCTAAAACTTGGGTTTGGTACTGATTCGCCCACGTGCTCTGTCTGAGCCCCACTGTAATCAACGCCTGGGATCTAGTGGTAGCTATTGTCTAAAAATATGGTCCAAATAGGGATTGAACCCATGATCTCATTAGCAGTACAAGTCTAACCAGCAGTGTACAGTTGTTTACTGTTCTTCATATGCAACACAGCTCCACTCATTTCAAAGGCTTAAAATACTTCTCCAGGCTTAGCTAGGAGGCAAGTAATGGTCATCTTAGAAGAATGGTTTAGGTTAAAAGCAGCCTGCAGAACTTAAGAGATTCTCTTTCCTGCCATCCTCAGTGAAGTGACTGCAGTTGGAACCTTTTAAATCAGCTTTGTAGAACATACAAAGTAGTCCTGAAGGTAGTTGGGTATAGCAACAAGAAGTTGAGTTCTGGGCAATCCCTTTAATTAAAGCTTCTGAAGAATTTATTTTATGGCCTTTTCTAACTTTCTCTTTCACTACTAGGAAGGATACAAAAGTTAGCATTTCCATGTAGAAATAAAAAAAACAGAGTGTTAAAAATGGAGACAATAACATGCTAATCTAATCTGAATAAGTCTATAGTTTCCATATGTAGATTTACAGGATAATTTTTTGAGCTGAAGTAAAATTAACAAAAATGAGTTTTCTGAACATCACACCAAGTGTAAATCTGTACCTTATGAATCCAAATGTATTTTCTTCACTTTCAGATTTTAAATATACTGAAAAGTACACTGCATATTTGATATTAACAATAATTAGAGCTTCATTCTCAAAAGAATGTATTAAATACAGTCAGGTATTGCTTAATGGTGGGGATTCATTCTGAGAAATGCATCATTAAACAATTTCATTGTTGTGTGAACGTCATAGAGTGTATTTACACAAACATAGATGGTATAGTCTACAACGTACCTAGGCTATATGATATAGCCTATTGCTCCTAGGCTACAAAGCTGTACAGCATGTTACTATACTGCATAATGTAGGCAACTGTAACACAATCGTTAAGTATTTGTGCATCTAAACATAGAAATGATAGAGTAAAATTAAAGTATTATAATCTTATGGGACCACTGTTGTATATGCAGTCCACTGTTGACCAAAACGTCATTATGCGGTACATGACTATATTGTTTTCCATCTTTAGAATTTCCTAGCATCTATGATATTCTATTCCAATAGAAAATTTTTTAAATGTTACAATTTGTCCATGTCTATTTTGTTATATAAATATAGATATATTTATTTCTTTTGTTAACAAGAAGTAGATCAGATAATGTAGTTCTTTAGGACAGGACTTTTATGTTGAAAGTTTGCTCTTTATTTAAAAATTGAGAGAGAATGTAAGAAAAACTAGAGTTGTTTCTAAGAAAAATATATTTATGATGCAAGATAAAGGACTTACGATGCAATAAGTGTTTAGCATTTAAAGATCAACAAATTGTTATCAATGATGAAAAGTAAGTTTTTTCCAAGGACTACTACTTTGGATAACCACATTTAAGGCAGTTTGAAGTTTGAGAGAATGGGAAAGATCACAGAGAAGGGCTTCATTTCTTTTGCCTTCTACTTTTAAAAAGTATTTCTCATGCTCATAAGATCATAACTAAAATTTTAATATTCAATTGCTACACCAAAACCTCAACTTTCAATTATTTTAAAGTACTCAAATTCCTAACATTGTCCCCTTAAAAGTGGTAAAAGCATAGGATTTGCATGATAATCACCTTTAGTTACATCAAAGCATAACCATCTTATTCTTCCAGAACACTAAGATACAAATCTGTCCTCCTGTTCATTCAGGTCCTAATGACTCAAATACTTTAGACACTTATAAGTAAGCCCAACATTTATTATGTAAATATTCAGACAAAAGAAATATATTTTTAATGTCTATAGTATAATTTTAGGCCACATCCAATGTAATAATTTCATACAATATTTGTGTTCTAACTTAGCTTTACCATTTCAGTCATTCATCTGAAAAAATGAAGACTATCGCAGACAATGACTCTCAGGAAAGGAGACAGATATCAGTTTACTGTACTAAAACAAAATATGAATTCACTTTAACAAGACAAGAGGAAAGTGAAATCTAAACTATAACTTTTAATTTTCTTCATTTGCCAAGCATCAGAGCTATAATCCAACTTGGTTCTAGCTAATGTTTGGTAAACTCCCTGTGTATGTGTGCATGTGCATGCACACTCTTAAGAGTCCTCTATTTCAAAGGCTTTTTCTTCTATGACAAGATCATTTTCCCCTTTAAAATATGTATTACAAATTTCTTAAAATATAAATACCCAACACCTTGTATATGGTTGCTTTGATAATAATGATTTACACGCATCCCTATAATTTTGACCTTTTTGGACCATGTAGGATAAAAACAAGCCAGAAAGTGGTACATACTGTTTTGCTTTTATAAAAAGTGAACTAGGGATGAACCAAATAAAATAATTTATAGATACCTTTAAATACATTTTAGCTTTTATAACAGATATAGAGTAGTAATCATCCAGTATCACGTCCTCTGCTTCTTGAGAAAAACTGCTTTCTACCTAGGACTACAATTATTTCGATAACTTCTTATCTCTCCTAATATATCATAAACTCCTAAGGCAAAATTAAGACAAGATTTGCAGGATGAACTGTTTAAACATGATTAAAAGGGGAAACAGCCTCGAAGGACCAGAGAGGTATTAAACTTTACAGATAGATGTAAAAATAGGGTAAATTTCTTATAGTTCACTCTCTCCCTATCAAACTTAAGAACCAAGAGCCCTGGTGCTGAAAAAGCCCATTTTCAGCTTCTCTCAACACTACCTTTTCACAGATGGCCTTTTCTGCCCCAGGCATTTTGCCTGTGGCTCTTAATCAAAGCAGCAGGGAGATTCCAACTGGAAACTCTAAAGATCTAAATGATGTGATAAGGAATTAGAATCTGATATACTCACTACACTTAATTTCTGTGGCAGTAGGTGCTATATGAATTCAGACAATTCTCTACAATTCAGGAGCCATTACCCATTCTGCAAATGGTTCCTGCTGCTTAGTTTCCACATTCTGCTGGGAATTTTGTGGCTACATCTCTGCACATTAGCACAACCTTGGGATAACGAAGGAGTGCATTAACCTCATGGCTAAAATGAGGATTCCAGTTTGAGCAGATAGTTCACCATGCTTCATGTGGATAATTTTGAGTAAAGAGCGTACAACAACCTAGGTTCCAAACTGTACCTTAAATTAAGTGCCTATAAAATCTGACAAATGTTTCTCATTTTGTAATTAATAAACTGAAACTATCAAATTAGGTATAAGTTTTAGGACTCAGGCCATCATCTCTTTTATAAAAAGGCAAAAAATGTAGGTTGTAAATTAAACTAATTAATTTTGCATTGTTTGTGATACATCTAATTTATTTCCCCAAAATGCATACTTTAGCCAGAAGTCTTGCCACAACCACTTGCCAAAAATTGTTTGGCCTTAACATCTCCAGAATGAGCTTCCATAACAATAATGTACAGTCAGAGGTGATTCATACAGCTTTTCTTTTCATAAGAAAAATCAATCTGGGTGATGCTACCATAAAGACTAATATTAAATGAGAGGGAGGAGGAACTTGTTTAATCTAAGTGTTCACAATGAGCCTAGAGTGGTTACCCAAATAATCAAGAATAAAAATGATCACACGATGGTCTACTATGACAGGGAAAATATTATGCTGCTTATAATGGCTTTAAACTCATACTGCTTTAGAAAAATGCCAGATTACAACACCAAAATATAAAAGCAAATTCAGTTTACAATGAATCCCATAAGTACCCAATCTAGCTAGGACCTTTGAAAGTAATAAAGTAGGTTTGTTAGCTATTTTCAGTATCTCAAAAAATCTAATGGAAAGTGAATATTTGTACCATGCAAGCAATCAATCCCCCCTCAAACTCCCCTGACACACAACCCCACTAACCCACACAGAACAAAATAAAACTCCAAAACAAAACACAGCACATCACCTTTTATGTGGTCATACTGTTCCCTAGAAAGGGCTAAACTTTCATTGCTAATTTCTTAGAATTAAGTAGTTCAACAAAAGTGGCATAGTTCACAATCAAGTTCTAGAACTGCCAGCACCTGCATAATTATTTCACTGCCGAGAGGTCTAAGTACAACAAAGGAGAAAAAAAGATAGTCTTTTAAGTGTGGTGACAGACCACAATCCTGTTTTGCTGAATAAGAATACATCTATTAATTACTTAATGTGTTCTAGAAAAATTACTGCCAACTTGAATTTACATAAAGAAATAGATCTGCATTTTGCTGGGAAATTTATTAGCCAAAATTTTAAGGAAACTTTCTTTTTCTTTTTTTTTTTTTTTTAAGAGATGGAGTCTCGCTCTGTCACCCAGGCTGGAGTGCAGTGGCGCAATCTTGGCTCACTGCAAGCTCTGCCTCCCGGGTTCATGCCATTCTCCTGCCTCAGCCTCCCGAGTAGCTGGGACTACAGGCACCCGCCACCACGCCCGGCTAATTTTTTGTATTTTTAGTAGAGACGGAGTTTCACCGTGTTAGCCAGGATGGTCTCGATCTCCTGACCTCGTGATCCGCTGGCCTGGGATTACTGGGATTACAGGCGTGAGCCACCGCGCCCGGCCAGGAATCTTTTTTGACTGAGATGTTTATATTCATCTATATTAGTGGTAATTTTCCTCTCTATAAAAGTATGTTTTCTAAGTACTAAAATTGGGGAAATGAATCTGCCTCTGCTTTCTAATATATAAAAGCCATAAACACAATACTGGAAATTATCTCCTTCAGCTCGGACAAAGAATATTTCTACTTTGAAGTCTTGAGCAATGATAAATAGGGTAATTTGTGGACTTTATCACCAAATTCTATGGATAGACTTTTATCAATAATTCTGAGCTCTCCATCCTGCTTCGTATTTTCTATAATCTTTCCTGCTTTTACCCAGATCCTTCAAGGTCAGACAAAGAATAGTCTATTTATAATAGTTCCATGTACTTCTCATAAACTTTTCATTACCTACACAAATACTATGTATTTTCACAATTGAGAAGAAATCCTCAGCCTCTTTATAAGATTTTATTTCAATCTAAAATCAAAATTTCAATTAGGAGAACATATGACTTGACTTTGACAAGTACTTTACATTTAAAAGATTATGTTTATATATATATTTAAAAAACTTAATTCAGGATAGGCATTTCATTTAAAAAATACCCGGTCATATTTGAACATACAACTTGACTATGACAAGTACTTTAATTCTAAAAGTTTAAATAATTTTATTAAAATTAAAAGTTTATAATTTTATTTATAAATAAAAACTTAATTCAGGATAGGCATTTCATTTTAAAAAATATCTGGTCATATTTTTAAGAAAGGTTTTAGAGTTAAGGGACTACACACAAGCTAGATCATTGTCTTCTATAAACTGGTTCACTTTTAAGAGGAAAAAGGGTACTCAAACAGATATTTTGTGCACCTATGTTCATCGCAGCATTATTCACAACAGCCAAAAGGTAGAAGCCACCCACCCAAACGTCCACCAATGGATGAAAGGATAAACAGAATGTGGTATATACATACAATGGAATATATTCTGCCTTAAAAAGAAGGTAAATTGACACACGCTACCACATGGATGAACCTTGAAGACATTATGCTAAGTGAAATAAGCTAGTCACAAAATGACAAATATCATATGATTCCACTGATACGAGGTACCTAGAGTAGTCAAATTCATAGCAACGCAAAGTAGAATGGTGGTTGCCAGGGCCTGGAGGAGGAAGAATGTGGAGTTCATGTTTAATGGGTAGAGTTTCAGTTGGGGAAGATGAAAAACGTTCTGGAGATGGATGGTGGTGATGACTGTACAACAACATGATTGCGCTTAAGGCCACAGGACTATACATTTAAAAATGGTTAAAATGGTAAATTTTATGTTACATATATTTCCCCACAATAAAAAAAAAGAAGAGATATAATTGAGTAACATTCTGAAAATCAAACAATAGTCTATCTAATCACAGATGAACCGGATATTTGAATTTTTAAAAAGATGCCTATACCTAGAATGCCTTTAATTTCACTGCTTATTTTTTGTTTTGTTTTATTTTGTTTTTTGTTTTGCTTTCTCCCTCCTTTATGCCCCTATCCCCTAAGTTCATTTAATTCTATTTATTCATTTTGTGAGTTATGGGTTTTTAAGGTGGGATGACCAGAAGCCAAGAATCACCAATTTTTATGTTCAAAAAAAATTGTATTCTTAAAGTCTAGTCCATGTAGCCAAAGAATACAATTTCCTATCCTACAGTAGTATTGTTTTGTAATAAGCTTTATCCTTAATACAATATTAGTTCAAGTCAATTTTCTTCTGTCTGCTCTATACAACTCTGAGTTGTATACTTTCCATAATAATATCTATGGATTTTCCTGTTGCAAAATTTCAGTCTTAACTCCTAACTAGAATTTTTGAAGGATTACTGATCTATGATTTATAAAATTTATAGTAACTTGCTTTCAAGTTCATTATTTTCATGACAAAGCTGCAAAACATAAATAATCAGAAAATTTTGCCTCGGTTAGGGGATGGATTTTGTAGACACATGCTCTGGGTTTGAATCCTGGTTCTATCACTTAATAGATGTGTGAGTGGGTAAATTATTTAAATTACCTAATTCTCAGTTTCCTCATTTTGAAAATGTAGATATTAGTACCTAAGGGTTATTACAAGGACTATGCATGTAAAGCTCCTCAACAATGTCTGACATAGTAAATTCTTAATAAATGGCAGCCATTAACAAAAATAATCATAATAACATAATACGTAAAAATGATAAGCACACTACTGAACAGAAAAATATTATATTCCAACTTTTAAAAATGACTCCTTACAACTTTTGATGCTAAAATGAATCCAGGAAAAAAGATTAATTGTATTTTGTAAGACTTGTTTTCTTTTGTTCATCTTTTCCAAATAGTATGATTGTTAATATCTTGTTATACAAAAGAAATTAAGCCAAACAAAAATGAGAAGTAAAACCAGGTATGTGCATGTGTGTATACACACACAAACATATGTATACACACGCACACACACACGCCTCTTTAATGTGATATATACAATTTGAGGAAGCTGTATAGAAACATGAGAAAAAAGATGAAAAGTAAACAGGAAGAGCTATAGATTGCAATGAGGGTAACAAGGTATACAAATGTAGGCAAATTTCCAACTTCAAGTATTTGAACAATTCATTCAGAATCACATTATTGTCAGAAAATTATACTGTAATTCTTCTGGTCATTACCCTAGGATATAAATGGACAAGTCCAGAAAAGTTGGATGTTTTCACCCCTTGCCAACATTGGCAAAAGAATTTATTTTTTTCTTTAAACAAAACCCAATTGCTACCACAATGACCACTACGAAAGATTTCTAAGGTATATAATGTTTGATAATGGGATTTCTGCTACAATTTCACTAGAAAGCACAAAGGGTTTCTATAATACCAACTCTTACTACCCAAATATAAAGTAATATTCTGTTTTGAAAACAGACTTGTGTTTCCAAAAATGTTTTCCTTGGAACACTCAGACTTTGGGGTGGGAGGATAAAAGGGTCCTGTAGTCAAATAAGCCTGGAAAATGCTACATTCTATTTCTCTCTCTTAGATATACATAACACTATTAACATAAAAGGTTCTGAGAAGTCCTACAGTGAGCAGAGTTGTTTACATTTTTTAACCAGTGTTTCCCAAACTTATTTGGTCACAGAATTCTTTTCTTCAGGTAGCGCAAAGGAACCAGTGTTCCTCATAACAACTTATTTTGGGAAATGTACAATAAATTGCCATTGATTAGTATTAAATGTGTAATTTAATATGTACCTGTCCCAAAAAGGTAGCCATTGGCAGAATTTGCTGAAGTCCCAAAAATGAGCCCATTGTATTTTATGTCAGAAAAAAAAAATCTAACATGCCTAGACTAGTACTTATATTATCTTTAACAAGTTGAATTTATTTCCAGAATATGTGTTTCAACCCTTACAGCCTGTATGTTATTTAATCAAATCCAAACACCCAGTTTCTTATACCTGTGAAAAGCTAAAAAATGAATATGATCCCCCAAGCCATTGGTTTTTTTTCTGGGCTTCACTGTAAGCTGAGAAAACCCTGCAGCTGTGAGCTACTGCATACCTTCAAATATGAGAATACCAAACTCAGTTACAGTATTTTATTAACTGGTGCTATGAGCCTGCATTTATGCAGTTCTACAGTAAAATAATGTTCCACATTAATCCTGAAGTAAAATAGTGATTATTACTTCATTCTCCTAACACCTCTATTAAGTATATAGAACAAAATACTGTAATTACTATTTTACCTATGGAGGTTGAGAAACATGCCCCAAGTACCAATAGTCAGCAGGGAGCAATTTCTTGTTGGACAGACACTGTGCATATTACAACTATAGAAACTGTATCAGATAATCACCCTAAAATGTGAACAAAAACAGGAAATTCCTTTACTAATAGCTTATTATTTAAGGAATTTTCTTCTTTTGAAATAATTTTGGGTCACAATTTGCTTGAAATCTAAACTTGAACCAAAAAATTCACATTGTGTGCTAGATAGCTTTTTGTGAATTCAGAAATTAAGAACAAAGTTTTAAACAACTGTAATGAGGAATTACTTTGTCCTTTTATTAGATAAAAGAAAATAAGCAAGCTACAATTAATTCTGGGTGAAGTGTGAATGTGAATGATTATACTGCTAGGCTGTGGCATCACTTTCTTCCTAGGCTCTCCTTTCAATTTCAAAAGTCCTTAAAAGTGTAACAAAATGTGTAAGATGAAAGAGACAACAACTATTTTTAAAAAACACAAGAGGGAAGAAATAATGACTGTTACTATAGAAATCACATATTTTGGTAACCCGTGGACATTTGGTCATTGGTTTTCAAGTTATACAAAATAAGCTGGCCACTGGAAGAAAAAAAAAACACTTCAAAACATCGATGGCAGAATACATTAATCACAGTATTTTATATTATGGTAATATATATCAATAACATTTTACCAGAGAAAAGGTAAATGGTTAAAGACAAAGGAAAAACCTGACATGAAGGAAGACAAGAACGTTGACAATTCAGTAAAAGGAGTTAAAGTATCAGATTCAAGTTTCATAAGTTTTTTTTTTTAATGTAAAAGCAGAGGTAACAAAAATTGGTCTTCACCTGGTAAGTGTGTACTCCCTGAGTCCTGAATGCAAATTCATGGCAGAAAAAGTACCTATGCATCCACGTAATCTTTTGTCTCGACCAATCTTCCATGTTACAAACAGTGGGCTGTAATGGAAGATAAAAATAGGGTAAATAAATCAATTCAATTCAAGCAAGTATTTATTGAGTATTGACTGTCTGCTAGGTTAGGTGCCTGAGATATAAAGACCAAAAGACAGGCCTTCAAGGGGCTCACAGGCCAGCCCAATAGGACTACATTTAGCAAAAGTTATATTATACTACTACTACATTATATTGAGTGTATCCTATATGTTTGCTATCTCAATAAATGTTTTAAACAAACTAATTATGTTAGTCTTCATCAACAATTCTAGGAGGCTGATACTAACATTCCTATTTACAGATGAGGGAGTCTCACAGTTGATACATAATGAAGCAGGCACTCAAACCTGGGCAATCTTAACTATAGAGCCTTAACCATTATGGCTAACTGTGTAATTACTCATTTAAACCTCAAATTACTGACTTATTTGTAAGTCTAATTTGGAAAATCCGGGATAAAAACCAATGGTTTTCATAAATACTTCCTGAAAATATAGGGGATATGTACTGTGAAAGGTGCTACAAGGATGCCTAAAACACAGTCATTGCTCTCTAGGAGCCAGTATAAGAGGCAGGCATAACTATTACACAGCTAACTAATACAAGGAAAAAGGAAATAGATACTATAAACCATGTCCAAATGCCATAATTTAAGCTATTGAGATAGAAGAAAACTTCATCAAGCTTGACATTCTTTAGCTTGATCTAGAAAAATCAGTAGGGTTCAGAGAGGTGAAGGGCAACAGCAGACATTAACAAAATAATACTCTGAAACCAGAAAATTCATCTTAATTTTTAGATAAAAGTATTACCTGCAAATACAATCTCTCAAGCATCAAAGAACAAAGTATCAATTATAACAAAATATCATCAAGAATAACGTGGTTTTAGATGAAGTTTAATACAGTAGATGCTTGGATTCTGCTGCAAACTACTGACAGCCTCAATTAATGGTTAAGTCTAAAAACAATTACGTTCTAATTAGAGCAACTTTGTATGCCAGTTTTTATGAAATAATTTACCCATTTTAGGACATTTTATAAAAAGATAAGTACCTTACAATGGGGATGGTCTATGGTAATATAAGTATTCACAGTAATACTGGAATAATGCATTTCTGCTTTCTAAAAACTTAAATTTTAAGGGGATATACCATATGTTTTTTTCCTCTAATACACTGGTGAGTTGGAGAACATCCTTTCTTCAAAATACTCTTTAGTGAGTCATCAGCAGATAGATGAAAAGATATCTCATTCAAGTACTTCAATCACCCTCCTTAAACATTTAAATTATGCTGAGCTCTGACAGCCACAATGGCAGATAGGTTCCCAAATAAGTAATATATACAAACCAGGGAGAAGTACTAAGAGTTACCATCTTCCAAGAGCCAAATGTCCAGTGGCATTCAAAAAGATGACTTAAGTGTAAGGTCAAGTTACTGTCAACATTAGCATTCAAGTGAAGGATGACCTACACTAAAGGTATTAAAATAACAAACAAAAGGTAAAAGCCAGTTTTTTTTTTTTTTTGCTTTCTATATCATATGCAATAAACCTGTTATAACTTGAGCCAAGATTCTAATGCTCCATTTGGGAATTTTTCTCCAATTGTTCTTGACTAACCACTGATCAGGAAGACAAGAATTAGATGGGATTACTTTCTCACCAATTCTTTCATTACTCATATAAATACCAGTATCTTAAAATTTAAACCTTATCTTTAAGGATGAAATTCACCTCTTCATTTTTCAGTTTCTAATCTGGCATAGTCAATATCAGCAACCATTTTTTTGTTTTATTTTGTTTTGAGATGGAGTCTTGCTCTGTTGCCAGGCTGAGTGCAGTGGTGCGATCTCAGCTCACTGCGACCTCCGTCACCTGGGTTCAAGCAATTCTCCTGCCTCAGCCTCCTAAGTAGCTGGGATTACAGGTATGCACCACCATGCCTGGCTAATTTTTGTATTTTTAGTAGAGACGGGGTTTCACCATGTTGGTCAGGCTGGTCTCAAACTCCTGACCTCGTGATCTGCCCGCCTGAGCCTCCCAAAGTGCTGGGATCACAGACGTGAGACACCGTGCCCAGCCTGTCTCTTTTTTTTTTTTTAAATTATACTTTAAGTTCTGGGGTACATGTGCAGAACGCACAGTTTTGTTACATTAGGTATACAGGGGCCATGGTGGTTTGCTGCACCCATCAATCCATCACCTACATTAGGTATTTATCCTAATGCTATCTCTCCCCTAGCCCCCAACTCCCCGACAGGCCCTGGTGTGTGATGTTCCCCTCCCTGTGTCCACATGTTCTCATTGTTCAACTCCCATTTATGAGTGAGAACATGTGGTGTTTGATTTTCTGTTCTTGTGTTAGTTTGCTAAGAATGATGGTTTCCAGCTTCATCCATGTCCCTGCAAAGGACATGAACTCATCCTTTTTATGGCTGCATAGTATTCCATGGTGTATATGTGCCATATTTTCTTTATCCAGTCTATCATTGATGGACATTTGGGTTGGTCTGAAGTCTTTGCTATTGTGAATAGTGCTGCAATAAACATATGTGTGCATGTCTCTTTATAGTAGAATGATTTATAATCTTTTCGGCATATACCCAGTAATGGGATTGCTGGGTCAAATGGTATTTCTAGTTCTAGATCCTTAAGGAATCGCCACACTGTCTTCCACAATGGTTGAACTAATTTACACTCCCAACAATGTAAAAGCGTTCCTATTTCTCCACATCCTCTCCAGGAGCTGTTGTTTCCTGACTTTTTAATGATCGCCATCCTGTCTCTTCTTTTTTTTTAAAAAAAAAAAAACTTTATTTTTTGATCACAGAAGTAGCATATGATCATAAATTAAGAAATCAGAAATACAGAAATGTATCAATCCTCTCCCGTAACAATGGCTATCCAAAGTATCTCTATGTAAGACAGGTCTTTTGGCAGCTTCAGAATGAAGTGAATCACAATGTAATATAGATAATAGCATGTTTTTAAAATACCATGATGGTTTCTGAATAAGGCAGAACTACGTTGTATATTCTCTTCCTCAATGACTTCCATGAGAAACCTAAAAGTGTGAGTGAATTCATTTCCTATCAAAAACGCTAGAAATGAAAGTCATTTAAGTGTTTTACCTTCTACTTTCTTATTTATCCCAGGAAATATATACATACACCATTCTTACTATAATATAACCCTATCTGCTCAAGTAAACATTTAAAACTTAAAGTAGAAAAATAACACAAACTAAACACTATACTATGAAATACGTTGTAGGGCACTCAAACATAAGATGGGAGAAATTATATATTAATAGTTTCTTATAATGCCATGCTATCACTGATGACAGAATGATTAATTCAGAGCTTAAGTTGCTGGAGGACAAGCTGCATTTTACAAGGCAGCCTGAGGAGCAAAGATGCTCCAAAACAAGCAAGGGCATGGACATGTAAAAGTGCACAGCACATTCAGGAAACAGGAAGTAGTCTGATAGTCTTGATAACTTGCTATGGGCTCTTTCAGATTTAACATTTCTTTGAATTTGAAGCACTGTGGACTATGTGTTCTCAAGAGCCTTCATAAGACGTAGAGCAGATACAGAATGATCTATACTCTCCCTGATCCTTACCTACCCCAGGCAACATCCACTTTGGGAGTTGGGATTGCGGGGAAGTATCTGTGTCAAAGATGGGAGGGAGTGCTACTCCACAACCTCACTGTGTTTAGGACAGATGCCTGAAGATGGAAGAAGTCAGACTTTTAGTAGACAGAACAAAACTATTCATTAAAAATCTGGGACTCTAATTTCTCATTACAAATGCTCATCCAACATATTTTATAAAGTACACGTGTATGGAATTAAAAACAACTAAAATACCTAAAAGCAACATTTAATGGGGATAAGAATCCGGGAAGTTAAGCATTTTAAAGTAGACAGAAACGTAATAAACATCCCTGAGCACAAGACATTGTATCTTGTGTGTGATAACCACGTTGTACAGGGCAATGACTACGAGAACATTCAACACATATTATCTAAAAATAGGAACAAATTTTTTTCTTCACGCAACACAGAGGGAAGGAATAGGCAATTTCATTTTTAAATGTGCTATTAAAACATGTATGAGTTCCAAAAAGGACCTAATACATCAGCATAATCAGAGGCAGATCAAAGTAGAAAAAGGGTTTTGAGCCTGTTGAGAGGAGCTGCTCAATGAGAAAAAAAATACAGAAAACCAGTTCATAGTAAGACAAAGATTGGATGTTTTGGGAAATGCTTTTGCCATATGGTTTGAGGCCACCTACATACATTGAAAAAATACTACAAACTAGAAGAGGGCTCAAAATGAGATGAAATATTAATGAAAATGTTTATCTGAAGGCAACCAGACAAAGCTTTTAAAGTAATTTTCCTACTTCTGAGAAACCTTTGGAGAAAAGTAAACACTCCATTTTTTCATGTCTGTAGACAGGAACAGGAAGTAACCATCTAATCTAGATGATGAATCCTCCCTGCCAACTAGCAGCCAATACTGTCAGGTCAACAGTAGCTCTAGGGAAATGTAGTTGCATACAATCAGCAAAAGTACGAAAAGCAATGTAAATCTGAACAGGGCACTCCCCATCTACTGATGTGAGCCAGAACAAATCAGAAATATGTTTGCAGGAGCAGAATACAATTAAGTGATACAACAAAAAAGGTGTATTTACTTAATAATATTTTACCTTAAACCCTATCTCTCCTGCCATATCAAGGCAAAACAGAGGTTACAAAAAAGTCTTAGACTCTGGCAATTTGCTCTTCTTTAGAATAAGATTCTTTAGAATGAGATTTATAGGAGGCAACATTAACAAAATTACATCAATCTCTACCAATGCAATAATAATTATAATAATTAATAGAATAGGGTACTCAACAAGGTTATTTATATTGGGGGGGGGGATACAGGAAAAGAGAGAAGCCCTGTAACTTGTTCTGTTCTTCTGCCATCAAATAATGATTGTTTCTCAACTGTATTCAGGTTTCTCAGCAATTTAGCTCAAAAATACAACTATATTCCTCATAACATCCAGCTAAAAATACCATAATTCCCCAGGATCTAGCAGCTTGCAGAAGTACAGAAATGATGATGTCTTCTTTCCACCACCAGGTAAAAACCTTTCACTTCCTATTTCAACAAAAAGAAGCTTTACATTTCATTTCTAAATCATATAAACTACAGATTCAATTCATAAAAACATACCTAACATGGTTAAATCATGTAATAGGGATGCCATAATAAAATACTATACACTAGGTGGCATAAACAACAGAAATTTATTTCCTCACTGTTATGGAGGCTAGAAAGCCCAAGATTAAGGTACTGGCAGAGTTCAGTTCCTGGTAAAGGCTCTCTTCCTTTACTAGGCTTTAAGGCTGCTATACGGCCACTTTGTACTCACATAGCTTTTCCTCTGAGTGTGTGCAGGGAGAGGGAGAGCACGAGCTCTCCAACAGTCTTTTATAAGGACAATAATCCTATTGGATCAGGCCCCCATCTTCATGACTTCATTAAACCTTAATTAATTTCTTGTAGGCCTTATCAAACACAGTCACATTAGGGGTTAGGGCTTGGACATAGGAATGTAGAGGTTGGGGGGTTACAATTCAGTCCATTACAAATCCCTAACCCAAACTTTAGTACATAGTTTAAAGTGTATATAACAATGTATCTAAGCTCATTCACTGAAAGAGTCTTTAAGAGATAATCCATTTGCTTTTCATTTTACAGGTGAAAAACAAAAAGAGATCCAGGCAGACAGTGCAGAATCACCAAACTGGTTAGTGTTAGAACCTGGCAAGTCCTCCAAATTTTCTTACTACTGGTATAATATGGTTTTTTTTTCCCCCACTACAGGAAAAAAAAATGTGAGTGGCAAACCTAGGTGTCTTCTAAAAGACCAAAGAATAGGAAAATCCTATGAATACTACATAGCACCACACAGGTGAGCATAAGCACAATCTCCTCTTCCTCCTGTTTCTCCCAGTAGGGGAGAGAGAAAGATTAGCTGAGAAGACACCAGGACAAACTAGAAATGCTGCATCAGCCTAGAAACACTAGCCCCAATTTATAAGTTTCTACATTATCACCATTAGAAGCCCACAGCAAGGCCTACCATTTTATGCTTGATGGCTTCCCAGCACTCTTTCTGATCTCCCTCAGCCTTCTCACTTCATTTTTTCCTGTTGTCTAGCTGGACTTCATCAAACCCAGGTCCTCTGTTAAATACAAATTTCCTCCAAATCAAAATTTCCATTTATTATACCATTGGTTAACAACTCCTCAGCTAGGTATTGATCTGATTATTTGATTAAGTAGTTCATATTATAGAATGAATGAGACTCCTCCAGATAATATGAAATTCAAATTGAGAGGAATGGAGAGAAATGGGAGGGGGCTAATCTGAGGCAGGGTCGAGAAGTTAAGATTCAGATGCATTTCTCATCCAACCATTTGCTGTAGATAAAGAAAATGCACTAAGTCACCACTGTATCCTTATACCACACTCCTCCCTCCAAGCTTTGTATAATAAATAGCCTGTACCCCACAGGGCTCAGGAAAATAAGATCATACTGCTTAGATAGACAGCATAAATTAGTATAGGAGACCACAAATATCTGAAAGCGGGGATCAGGACCAATCTTTCAATACTTTTCTTTGCCTGGTGTTCCAAGAAATTCTATCATAGCAGCATTATATTCCCTTTCTCCCATTTATATAATTCCAATTTAACTGGCAAATGCCAGAGGAAGGAAGGCAGACTAAAGTCTAACAGATGATTGGGAAGGTAGAATTTTTTGCTGTTGTTAATCAAGGGTAATCACCACAGACATACAATCAGCCAAAGCACAAGCATACTTTAAGGGATTAGCTTGATTCTGCCAATTTTTGAACTGAAAGAACCATTTCTTCCTTTAACAAGAGCAAATCAACAATTTTCAGCAAACGAAAAAAAAAATTAGTCCCAGATTTGATATGCTGAGACAATCTTATAGTTTTTTAGAGCCCTAAATTAGATGAGAAAGACTACCTTAATTGGAAAAAAATAGTATTTTTGCACATATTTTCTTAGTTTACACTGAGAACATTTAAAGGGAAAAATAGCTGTGGGTTTTTTTTCCTGATAATAGGAACACACCAGAAATCTCTATTACCTGAAAATACAACTTAATTTTAAATGACATTTTGCTATAGATTTCAAAAATGAAGTAATTTCTATTTGGAAGTCCTATTCTGAACCCATTTGTTCAAAGGGCTTTAAGGTTTGAGACTTAGTCTTTACTATTAAAAAAAATTAGTTATTTTAGGCTGGGCGCAGTGGCTCACGCTTGTACTTTGGGAGGCCAAAGCGGGCTGATCACGAGGTCAGGAGATCGAGACCATCCTGGCTAACATGGTGAAACCCCGTCTCTACTAAAAATACAAAAAAATTAGCAGGGCGTAGTGGTGGGCGCCTGTAGTCCCAGCTACTCGGGAGGCTGAGGCAGGAGAATGGCGTGAACCCAGAAGGCAGAGCTTGCAGTGAGCCAAGATCGGGCCACTGCACTCCAGCCTGGGCAGCAGAGCAAGACTCCATCTCAAAAAAATAATAATAATTAATTATTTTAATATAAAACAAATCAGGCAAAAAAGAGCTTCTATTGAAGTCTTCCGATTCCTAAGCTAAATGTTAAGCAAAACTAAGAATAACAGAAGAACTAGGTCCAGAAATTTTAGAATGAATATTAATTGATACAGTCAACTCCTATTTTTTATGCCATTAAAAACTTGTATGGAACTTTGTTTTGGTATTTCCATTTGACTGTGTATGCAGGATGGTCAGGGAATTCGTAACACTTCAAACAAAACAATGAAAACAGTTAAGCGTTTTTTATTTGTCTTTATTTTCTTTTAGGTTTAGGGTTTACATGTGCTTGTTGTTACATGGGTATACTGTGTACTGGTGGGGACTTGGTTTCTAGTGTACCCATTAACCAAATAGTGAACATTGAACTGGATAGGTAATTTTTCAACTCTCACTCCCCTCTCACCCTTCCCACTTTTGGAGTCTCCAGTGTCTATTATTCTTTCCATCTTTATGTCCATGTGTACTCACTGTTTAGCTCCCATTTACAAGTGAGAATATATGGTATTTGGCTGTTTCTTAATTTACTTAGGACAATGACCTCCAGCTCTATCCATGTTGTTGCAAAGGACACAATTCCATTCTTTTTTTAATGGCTGCATTGTATTTCATGGTGCATGACACACCACATATTCTTTATTTAGTCAATTGTTGATGGACACTTACATTGGTTCCATGACTTTGCTATTGTGAATAGTGCTGCGATGAACACATGAGTACAGGTGTCTTTTTAATGTAATGATTTCTTTTCCTTTTGGTAGATACCCAGTAGTGGGATTGGTGGGTCAAACAGTAGTTCTATTTTTAGTTCTTAGAGAAATGGCCATCCTGTTTTCCATAAAAGTTGAACTAATTTACATACCCTCCAACAATGTATAAGCGTTCCCTTTTCTCCACATCCACACCAACATCTGTTGTTTTTTGACTTTTTAATAGTAGCCATTCTGACTGGTGTGAGATGGTACCCCAGTGTGGTTTTAATTTGCATGAAGATTCGCGATGTTGAATGTTTTTTCACGTGCTTGCTGGCTGCTTGTATGTCTTCTTTTGAGAAATTTCTGTTCATGTCCTTTGCCCAGCTTTTAATGGGGTTTTTCCCCTCTTGTTGTTTGACTTCCTTGTAGATACTGGATGTTAGTCCTTTGTCAGAAGCATAATTTGCAAATGTTTTCTCCTGTTCTGTAGGTTCTCTGTTTACTCTGTTGATTATTTCTTTTGCTGTGCAGAAGCTTTTAAGTTTCATTTGTCTGTTTTTGTTGCATTTGCTTTTAGAGTTTTCATCATAAATTCTTTACCTAGAAAAATGTCCAGAAGAGTTTTTCCTAAGTTTTCCTCTAGGATTATTATAGTTTCAGGTCTTACATGTAAGTCTTTAATCCATCTTAAGTTTTGTATATGGTGGGAGATAGGGGTCCAGTTTCATTCTTCTGCACATAGCTAGCCAATTTTCCTAGCACCATTTATTGAATAGGGACTCCTTTCCCCAGTGTTTACTCTTCTCTACTTTGTTGAAGATCAGTTGGTTGTAGGTATGTGGTTTTATATCCAGTTCACTATTGTGTTCCACTGATCTGTTTGTCTATTTTTGTACCAGTATCATGCTGTTTTAGTTTCAGTTACTATAGCCTTATAGTGTAATTTGAAGTCAGGCGGTGTGATGACTCTCAACTTGGTCTTTTTGCTTTAGGATTGCTTTGGCTATTCATGGTCTTTTTTTGTTCCATGTGAAATTTAGGATTGTTTTTTCTAATTCCATGAAAAATGACATTGGTAGTTTGATAGTGATTGTGTGGAATCTGTAGATTGCTTTGGGCAGCATGGTCATTTTAACAATATTGATTCTTCTAGTCCATTAGCATGGGATGTTTTTCCATTTGTTAATGTCATCTATGATTTTTCATCAGTGTTTTGTAGGTCTCCTTATAGAGATCTTTTGTGAATTTGAAAAGAAAATGTATTCTGGTAATGTTAGGTCCAATGTTTTATAAGTGTCAGTTAGGTCCAGTTGGTTGGTAGTATTGATCATGTTTTCTATCTCCTCACTGATTTTTGTCTACTTGTTCTATCAATTACTGAATTAATAATGTTGAAATATCCAACTCTAATTGTAGTTTTGTCTACTTATCCTTTTATGTGTATTTTTTTTCTTTCATGTATTTTGAGGATCTGTTAGGTACATACACATTTAGTATTTTGTCTTCTTGAGTTAACCACTTTATCATTATGACATGGCCCTCATTCCTCGTAACACTGCCTGTCCTGAAGTCCAATTCATCTCTTATTGGCATAATAACTCTAGCATTCTTATGAATGTTTGTATATCTTTTTCTGTCTTTTTGCTTTTAACATACCTGTGTCTTTATCCTTAAAGTGGGTTTCTTATACACAGTATATGGTTAGGTCTTGCATTTTTTATGCAGCCTTTTAACTGGAGTGGTTAGACTATTTACATTTAATATAACTGCTGACAGAGTTGGGTTTAAGTCTACCATCTTTACATCCAATATTTGTTTTCTATATTTCCCATTTGTTCTCCACTTCTCTTTTACTGTAAGATTAAATGAGTATACTTTAGTATTTAATTTTATCACCATTATTAGCTTATTAGTTATGCCCTTTTTAGTAATTTTTCTAGGTTGTATCGATGCATCTTTATCTTATTGCAACCTACTTTCAGCTAATATTATATCACTACAAAAGCAATGTAAAGACCTTAACGTATACGTCCATTTAACTCCTCCCATCCTTTGAGGCTACTGTTATACCTTTAACTTCTATATACCATATAATCCTATAATAGATTATTAATTTTCCTTTAAATAATAACTTAACTTTTAAAGAAATTTTTTAATGAGGGGGAAAATGTCTTTTATATTTACCCTACACTTGCCACATTTATCTGGCACTCTTCATTACTTTGTAGAGATCCAAGTTTCCATCTGTTATCATCTTCCTTCAGCCTGGACAGCTGCCTTTAAATTTCTTGTAGTTAAGGTTTGCCAGTGATAATTCTTTTCATTTTTGTCTGAAAAAAATATATATTTCACCTTCATTTCTTTTGGTCTTCATTTTTAAAGGGTGTTTTCATTGGTATCAAATTTGAGATTGGCAGTATTTTTTTTTCAGCACTTTAAAGACGTCATTCCATTGTCTTCTGGAAGCTTCCATTGTTTCTGATGAGAAGTATATGGTTCTTCTCTTTGTTCCTCTGTAATGTGTCCTTTTTTTCCTAGTGGCTTTCAAAATGCTCTACCACTAGTTTTCAACAATTTAATTATAATTGCTTTAGGCCAGGCATGGTGGCTCACGCCTGTAATCCTAGCACTTTGGGAGGCTGAGGTGGATGAATCACCTGAGGCCGGGAGTTCGAGACCAGCCTGACCAACATGGAGAAACCCCATCTCTACTAAAAATATAAAATTAGCTGGGTGTGGTGACGCATGCCTGTAATCTCAGCTACTCAGGAGGCTGAGGCAGGAGAATCGCTTGAACCCAGGGTGCGGAGGTTGTGGTGAGCTGACATGGTGCCATTGCATTCCAGCCTGGGCAACAAGAGTGAAACTCCGTCTCAAAAATAAATAAATAAATAAATAATTAAAAAATTATAATTGCTTTAGTGTGGTTTTTCTGTTTTGGATACATTGAGCTTCTTAGATTTATGGATTTACATTTTCATCATATTTGGAAAATTTCTAGCCATTATTTCTTCAATTTTTTTTCTGCCTATTTCTCTCTCTCCTTTCCTTATGGGACTCCAGTTGCAAGTAGGTTAATCTGCTTGATATTGTCTCACAGTTCACTGAGGCTTTTTTCCTTCCATTTTTTCTATTCTGTTTCAGATTGGATAATTTCTATTGTTATGGATACAAATTCATTGATATTTTCCTCTGCAGCATCTAATTTGCTATTTATTTCTTCAATGAATTTTTCATTTTTTATAGTATACTTTTCAGCTCCAGAAGTTCCATTTGGTTCTTTATATGTCTTTCACTTCTTTACTCACTATATTCATGTTTTCCTTTCAATCCTTCAACACATTTTAATAGCTGTTTTAAAGTCCTTGTCTGCTAATTCTATAACCATCATTTCTGGTTCTGTTTCTACGGATTGGCTTCCTTCTGGTTATGGGTCACATTGTATTCCCTCTTGAAATGTCTAGTAATTTTTTGTATGCCAGATATTATAATCATTATATTGTTGAGTGTTTGGAATTTGCTGTCCTCTCTTCAAAGACTGTTGAAGTTCATTTTGTCATGCAGTTAAATTATTTGTGGATAATTATTTAAAGTCCTTTACTTTAATGTAGCCTTTACTACTAAAGTATGACCCTTCTGGAGTCTCTCTGGAATGCCCTGGGTGTTCAACAAGGGCTCACAACTCTTGCTGTAGGAACTCATATATCTCTCAGGTCTGTATGAGCTCTGGTAAGTTTTCAGCTTATAGCTCCTGAGCAGTTGTTTTCTGCCCAGCCTCACAGTGTTGCCCTTGATACATGCACAGATTCATATTCAGCCAGAGATAAGGGGAACATCTATGCAGATTTCTGGAGCTATGTCTCTGAGTAGCTTTCCTCCTCCAGTACTCTGCTCCATAAATTTCTGCCACCTAGGCCTCCCTGAGTTCCTATCTCTGTCTCACCAATTCAGCAAGATTGCAGTTCTGCTTGGGTTCCCCCTCACAATGCTGTGGTCTAGAAACTGCCTGCTGACAAAAAGTCAGGGTGATGGTAGAGCTCACTTCGTTTGTTCCCTTTCTCTCAGTGACCACAGTCCTGTGCTGTCTGTTGCCCGATGTCTAAAAACAGTTGTTTCATGTATTTTGTCTGGTTTCTAGTTGTTTATGGGAGATGTAAGGTGGAAAGGAGCAAGTCTTGCACCAGTTACTCCTTCATGGACAAAAGTAGAAGTCTCAAAGCCCTTTAACCCTAAGTCACATTAAGGTTCAAACTCTGTGGTAGGTTTTACATATTAAATGTGGGAAAACCTATCACAAATAAGATTAGTGCCAGCAGAAAAATGGTTCAGGAACATCATTCTGAGCAACTATCGCAAGGACAGAAAACCAAACACCGCATGTTCTCACTCACAGGTGGGCACTGAACAATGAGAATACTTGGACACAGGGTGGGGAACATCACACATGTCATGGGGCCTGTCATGGGGTGGGGGGCTGGGGGAGGGATAGCATTAGGAGATATACCTAATGTAAATGACAAGTTAATGGGTGCAGCACACCAACATGGCACATGTATACATATGTAACAAACCTGCACGTTGTGCACATGTACCCTAGAACTTAAAGTATAATAATAATAAAAAAAGAAAAATGGTTCAGGAAATAAAGGGCAAAAGGGACAGATCTCTTCAGCTTTGACAGGTGGTGAACTCTTAGAAGAATATAAAATGACTCAACCAATTTCAGGGGCAACACACTACTCAGAACCCAAAGGTTAGACAAGTCACTCTTAAAAAATTTCATACTGAGAACTCTAAAGTCCAAAGTAATGAAATTTAAAAGAAATTAAAGCACTCAGGTAGAAACTGAACTTGACAAACATGTCAGTTACCAGTCACACTGATATTTCCTTCTTTAAGCCCATGCCAAAAATAGCTCACTCCTCTTATACTCTCTCCATGAGTTTAAAAAAAGTGCAATCTGAATGACCTTATTCATAACTCCTAAAAGATCTTGAGGAAGTCATTAATAGTCATGCATTATGTCTAATGTATGTGTATTCTGTTATCGCTATTTTTAAAGGCCTATTTTTTCAGCTATGATGATTTAAACAATCTTACAGCACAGCTATTTACCTCACTACTGTCCTAGAAAACACTAAATTTATCATAGTCTTACCAGTACAAATCTTGTAATAACAATGCCATATCTATAGAAGGACAGTCACCTAAGGCCAGGAACCCTACATTAAGGAAACCAGATATGAAAATTTCTTTTATGATGGAACAAATAGAAAAAATAATGTGATGTGTATCATTAAATTATCAAAAATTATTTTTTAAAAATTCCTCACTAACACATCAGGCAAAGCTTTGATAGTTAAATGTTCAGAAAGTAAACTGAGCTAGTATCTAATCTGGGAGACACAAAACTAAGTAAGTTTCCACAAAAAAATTAGGATAGCAGTAAGTAAGCCAATGTCAAGCCTATGAGAAAAGCCAAATTCATGAAAGACACTGGCTGAGAAACTGAGGTAATAAGGCAGTGAAATAAGGATAATTGCTTACTTATAAAGCAGACTTCTCACTTTCCACGTCTCTTTAGGCAATCCTATATATAACTGCCTACTTCAAAGCCTATAACTTTGTAAACAAATGAAACAGAAGCTAAACAAAAGGACCACACTCCCTAGGAAGATAAGAAAGAACACAGTAGCCACCAATAAGCACCAGTACAACAACTTCCTATGTATATTTAAATACTTTGGTTTAAAAAGCCTCCAGCTGAACTGCTAGGTACATGACAGAAGACAAATCAGCCAAAGGTGGTGTATATGGTCTGGAAATGGCAGTGACCCACTCAGCTTATCACATCAATACAAGAAAGCAAAATTTGCCACCTGAGCTATTGAACATGTTTATCCCTAAAAGCAAATTTTTCTCTAGAGTTCCACCCAGTCCACTTCTTTCACCAGCAAGAACAATACCCCAAACCACTGCTTCTTAGATAAATCCCACAGATAAATGTACATGTACATGTATAAATAAACTTCATACTCAATCCAGAATTTCTACATAGCTGTAGAACCAAAGACCAAAGAAAACACAATTTCCCACAGGGACTACTTCTCACACTCCTTCTTGGCATTAAATACTAACCAAATATCCAGCTAAAGATGAAGATATCTGGATTATCTATATGTGTCTCTGTTGAATATTATTAGATTGATTAAAAAAATGCTTCATTCTTGAAAAGAAACTTTCAGTGACCAGTTTCATGCTTTCAAACTTGCCCAGATTCTTTCTTTATTCTGCCAATGCAAACATACCACAGAAACACCTGTTTCAAAAAAATGAAACAGAATAATGGAAAAACTATTGCAATTAGTTATTTAATAAACAGTTAATCAGTTAAATCCAAATTGTTTTCTATAGGAACACATTTGTGATTCTGTAATCCAGGACAGTAAAATTGCCAAATGATTGCTTTACTTAAAATAGTTTTCATATTGGACTACAGAATTATATAATACATGTAAGAGTCTAGCCCAACACGTGATTCAATAAAAGGTAGCTCTCTTTCCCTCCAAATCTTTCTGGGAGTATCAGTTTGATTAGAGAAGGCTGGATTATAAAGTTTAAAAAGAAACAAATGTAGTTTTATTATTTTTGAAGTATACTGACACCTACCCATCCCCCTCCTTCTCTATTAAAGCAGTACTTTAATAAATGAGGTAAATAATAGATGAGGGTAACTGGTTATGAATATATCAACTTTGTGTATGTAAATAAAAGTTATTTTATACCTAGAATGAAGCTGATCTTCAGTCCATCCAGCCCACGTGAATGATCAGTTACAAATATGGAAAAAATATGATTGAAAGCAAACCAGGTTTCTATTGCTGAAAACTTTTTGAAATAATTTCAAAGCATATAAGAAAAACTAATTTTATCTGAAAATAAGATAAAACCCTTCATTTTAAAATTAAAATTGTATAAAAGAAAAGGCAGATATAAAAGGGCATTTTTCAAATTATCATGAAAATATGTATGTGTATATGTGTGCATATATGCACACACACTACTAAAAATAGCCAATTTTTATTGAATATTTACTATATACCAGGCCTTTTAAAATTAAGTACTTATATGTAATAACTCTTTGAAATCCTTATAACAACCCTATGAGGTAGATACTATTATTATCCCCTATTTTAAAGAAAGGGAAACTGAGAATTAGAGAGAGCCATTAACTTGTCAGTGGTCACATAGCTGCTAAGTGGTAGGGCCAAGATTTGGACCCAGGCATTGTGGCTCCAGAGTCAACTCTCTTTACCACATACTACGAATGTGTGTGCTGTTTGATGTAAACCACCTGAAAAATAATATTCCAACAAGGAACTGAATTATTGGCTTTAAAGAAGAATACCTAGAAATTAGACCAAGCAGAGGTAAAATTGTTGACATTATGTGCCATAAAAATAAACATTAAAACGTTAAAAACAAAAATTCACTAGAAAAAAATGCTCTAAAGCTGAAAATGTGGAAAAAATTAGGTCATAATAATATAAATGGACTGGATATTCATAAAAGGCACCCTTATTGAAAGGATTAAAATACTTATATAACATTTTTATTCACTATAAATTCAATACATGTTCACTATAAAAAATTCTAGAAAATACAGAAAAGTAGAAAGGAGAAAATAAATATCATACACAATCTCACTACCCAAAGAAAATGAAAATGTATAATGTTTCCTGACACTCTTTCTATGGAAATATTTTCACATTTTTAGGATCATACTGTATGGTTTTGTATAGTTTTGTTTTTCAACTGAATTGCATAAACATTTTCCTATATGGTTAATACTCTTCAAAAATATTTTAATGGCCCCATGGTACATCATATAGGTAGACCATAATTTAGGCAACTATTTCCTTGATAAACTGTGAGGGACATCTTTATTTATTAAAGTTTATCAAGATCTCAGTTTTATTTTCTAAGGATATTTAAGAAACTGAATTACCAGATCAAAGTGTATGAACATTTTTATAGCTCTTGATGCATTTTACCAAATTGCTTTCCAGAAAGAAAGTGCCACTAAAAAGACTGACTTCACTGAGTTAAAATTTCAAGAATATTTATTTACAACCAGCACTTATGAATCATTTTAATTGGTGGCAGCTGCTTTAAATGTTCTCATTGTTAAACCAGTAAAACACCACAATGAAAACAGACTGTCTTAATTTAAGGTCAAACAGCAGTTATAGTTTAAAAATTAAACTCAAGTATATTTGCCTCATGGTAAGAATGGCTTCTTTCCAACTTGCAGACTCCCTGGTTCTTCAAAACTTTTAAAACACTTCAGTCAAAAAGAACTCATTCTACAGTAGTACACCATAAAACTAGAAGCATTTAAGGAGGCTGCTTTTTATGCTGTGTTTTGTTAACCATTGTATAGCTAAATACATATTTTGAAATACATCTCTTTTCAGTGTTCTTGATGTGACACTCTATAAGGCAACACATTACATTTAAAGGATAAATGACAAATACAACTCTAACAGTATTTGTTGTGAGACTGTTTCTCCGAAGGTGCTTTATTCCTAACAGGCTTCCTCTCCAATCTGTCTTTGTTTGGCCATGCCCTTACACTCCACTCGATCAGGGTTGCTCACAACCATACAAGAAAGCAAGATCTTAGTTCAAATAATGGAAAAGAAGGTAGAAACTGCACAGGGATGTCAGAGACAATGTTCCTTTCCTGGGCCATCTTCTCAATAACTAACTTTTTAGAAGGTCTATAAGGTCTACAAGGGGTCACTGATAGATACCACAATTTAGTAATCTCATGGCTTGGGCGAAAATTTAAAAGTGCTTTATTTTTCTTCACAGTACACATCACTACCCATTTGCTTATTTCCTATCCACTACAGCGTAAGCTCCAAGAAAACAGAGGTTGTCTTTTTGCACGGTCCTATTCCTATCCCCTGACACATAGTAAGGGCTAAATATGTTTGCTGAAAGAATAAAATAGGTTAATATAAAAGAGTGAATGAGAATACATCACACTAGAGAGTTTTGTTACAAGTCTAGGCCCAAGAAATACTGTTTTGGAATGTGTAGTATAGTCTAAGTATGGTGCACAAAATTTACATCAAAGGCATAAACAGCTTTCTCTGACCTCTAGGTAGAGTTTAAAACTCCCACACGTAAGAACTATCTCTTAGGAACATAAACATCTCAGAGATAAAATGAGGTGAAACCTAAGAAACATTTTGTCTTAGAATTCTAGTAATTTGAGAAATCATGTACCAGAACCTCAGATTAAAAAAAAAAATGTGGCATAGTTGGATAAAAGTGCTGGAATAGGGCAGGGAAAGGAGGGGTGTCAGAAGACTTAGGCCCAAAGCTCAGCTCCACTATCCATCAGTCAAAAGACCATGAAGGAATCATCCTATTCCCTTCATCCTTGGACACAGATATGCAAGATGGGGACTGCCTACTTGATGAACTGCTACAGGAATCCAAGGACGCTATCCATTAAAAAGTTCCTGGAAACTGCTAAGTATTATAATTCTGTCAATAAAGGTATAATTATTAATGCTATCATCATTTTGGGTCAATGAGACCTCTACTAGGTAGACGCCCAAAATTGTTAATTTCCTTTCTTGGATACCTTGAAGAAGTAGGGATACTCTGAGATTATCATTTTTATAATAAATATAATTAAGCAGGTAGTTCTTAAACGGATTCCATATCTGGAAAATGTAAGATTATGGTGCTGATGGGGTACACCATGAGAGATTATGCCTTGCTCAATCAAGTGTTTCAGGGCTTTAAGAACATCAAGGAGGAAAGCAAGCATTAACATTCAGTGAGAGCATATTATGATATTATGAATTAAGTACTATTAGGTGCTTTCATATGCATTTTCTTCTTCTCGGCAAGATTGGTTTACTTGCCCAAGACACTGTTAATATGGAGCAGACATGACACTACCAACCAAGGATATCTGGCTCTAAAGCAACAGAAAAGGTTTATCATCTCCAGCTATGAGTGAGCTGGCACACCATTTCCTTTTTTATTTCAGTCATTCTTATGGTTGATATATGGGTTAACAAAAAAAAAATGTTTATCCACTGTATACCATCAGGAACCAGACTAGCAGGAAGAAACTTCTGAGTCCACAAGGAAAAGGAAATTTTCAATCTGGGTAAGGTAGTTAAATCTGGCCTGTATGTGCAGATGTGTTATAAGAGACAGCCCATTTAAGCATGCACTGGATAACTGTTCAAAACATTTTTCATGTAAACTAAAGACATCTTTGGCAACCAGAAAAGTCAATTACTCATATTCCCCTTCTCTGGTTCAGGAATTTATTGAGAGAAGACTAAGGAAGTCTGCTATCCAAAAATACATACACCTAGGCCAAGTGAAATGCTCTGCCTGAAAATACCTAGAGAAATATCTGTTGTCTTAGTCTGTTTGGACTATTTACAATACCATAAAATGGGTAGCTCACAAATAACAAATTTATTTCTCATAGTTCTGGAGGCCAGGAAGTCCAAGATTAAGGAGCCAGCAGACTCAGTGTCTGATGCGGGCCCATTCCTCATAAACAACAACATCTTGCTGTGTCTCACACAGTGGGAAGGATGAATGAGCTCCCTTGGGCCTCTTTTATAAAAGGGCACCAATCCCATTCATGAGGGCCCCACCTTTGTGATCTAATCACCTCCCAAATAACCCCACCTCCTAATAGCATCATCTTGGAGATTAGAATTCAACATATAAATCTGGTGGGAGGTCACAAATATTCATACCGTAGCACCTGGTAAGGGTCTCTTTTCCTCCAAAGGAACAGAATACCAGAGAAAATATTTAATTAAAATAAAATGAGGCTGGGTGCAGTGGCTCACACCTGTAATCCCAATACTTTGGGAGGCCGAGGAGGGTGGATCACTTGAAGTCAGGAGTTTGAGACCAGCCTGACCAACATGGTGAAACCCCATCTCTACTAAAAATACAAAAATTAGCTGGGCGTGGTGGCACAGGCCTGTAATCCCAGCTACTCAGGAGGCTGAGGCAGGAGAATCAATCGCATGAACCCAGGAGGCGGCGGTTGCGGTGAGCTGAGATCTTGCCACTGCACTCCAGCCTGGGTGACAGAGTGAGACTCTGTCTCAAAAATAAAAATAAAAATAAAAAATAAAATGAAACTAGACAGCAAGGAAATGGCTCCAGAGGCAGGAGGGATTCAAAGGAAAAGCTGGTTAAGTCATGGTAGGACAGAACCAGAGGGGGGAAAAAAAGAGTAAGGCATCAAACTTCAGAACTAAAACTCTGAAGGCAAGAAATCATGATAGTTCCGTAGAAAGTCTCCTTCGAATATCTAGAATTTTTCCAGCTTTAGTCACCACAACTGGAAGGGAAGTTTGGTTTTGTGTTGCTCTGACAACACCTTCTTAGACTGCATGAATCTAGAAATCTTCCCTAGAGAAACCTAACATCAGGGTAGCTAAGGAGTTGTGGAGATTCCCACACTGTCTCCCCTTTTGAGGCAAATTTGCAAACTGGCAATTAAGACAGAATCTTAAGGTATCATTGATAGTTATAAGGTAAGGGCAGTGGCCATGAATGGCAGGTTCACAGGCACAATTCCTTAGCATATATTCTTCTCAAGCCATCATATACCAAAGAATGTGATCTAGGTGAAGCCAGAAGACAAAATTAGCCCACTCTTAAAATTCCTCTGACTTCTGTATCTATACTGGATGGTGGGGGAAGGTTGGGGTGGAGAGGGGGTAAACAATCTTAAAGGAACTATTCAGTCAAGCTTGGCCAAGGCCACACAAAGTACCAAAGAATGAATTACACAGGGGTCAGTCTGAAATTCATGGAGTTCTCCCAAGGTAGTCATCACCAGTGATGGCAACAGAAGTTGGAGCTAAGAAAATTCAAGCGTGAAAGCCATATGAGCTCTTCATATCCTTTAGGTCTTAGACTATCACCTCCTCAAAGAGACCCAACTACCATCCTTTAGACAGGGTTCTCAACCCATCTAAAGTAGAGGATAGCAACTCTGTTGTTCTCTATGGCAATCCCTGTTCACTTATCCCAATAAAATTAGTCATCTGTCCCACTAGACTATAAGCTTTATGAAAACAAAGACCCTGCCTAACCTTTTCATTATTATATCCACAGTGCTTAGAACGGTGCCTAGAACACCATAAGTACTGAATAATGATTTGCTGAATAAAAAATAATTAGTATGTAACAATGACTCAAAGTGTGGTCCCTGGACCAGCAACGTTGGCATCACTGGGAACTTACTAGAAATTAAGTCTCAAGTTTAATTTTACACACTTAATTCTCACACTTACTGAATCAGAAACTGGGAGTAACAAGCCCTTCAGGTGGTTTTCATGCATTCTCAAGTTTGAGGACCAGTGGTATACAAGAAGAATGTATAAAAATTCATCTACCAAGAGTATAGAAATACTTATTTCCTGGTGGTACCAAGTAAAAAGGTGAAATTTCTTCTATAATGGGGTTGGAGTCATTGGTAGTTCATCCACAATTCTAAGCCTGGTATGTACACAACTAATATCTTATTGGAATGTAGCAAGGATTTCCAAATGCAGAATCTTGAAAAACTCAAACTCTCTAAGTATATTTCCTTATCTGTGAAAAGGGAACACTACCAATCTCACAGGTGGTTAGGATTAAATGAGATTTTAAAAATATTTTACCCAACTTCTCATACATAGTAAACACTCAATACATGGTAGTAGTAGTAGTACTGCTTCTTACTGAATGTGTTTTCGGAGGCCTCTGAAGATGAGTATCTCACAGAACAGTTTTCAACCCCCAAGAGCACCCTGGGAAAAAAGAAAGTGTCCCATTTTTCAAAAGAGTACATCCTATTACCAAAATGCTAGGATACAAGTAGCTTTGTGAGAGTATAAGGATACACAATTTGCTGGACTCCAGAGGCAAGGAGACACCAAAGAAAAGAGATAAATTAACTCACAAAGGGTTAAAGTAAGTGTGGGAGATACAAGATGGGAGCAAAATCAGAGACTGCTGGCAGTTAGGATGGCAGGGTTGAAAGAGCAAGGCTATGCTGTGATGAACTGTTTTCAGTTGGCAAGAAGGAAGTCCTTATATGCCTGATGTCCATATTTTCCAAGCCAAAAACTGGCATAACGTCTAACGAACATAAGTATACTTATGGACACAATGGGACAAAATGAAATCAGGGCTGTCCTGGAAATCCAGAATATATGGTTACTATCTGGAAATGGTCTGTTTTTAAAAGAACCCAACCCCAGCATGACTAAAGAACTGCATAGAGTTTCACAATACCCTTATACAGTCTCTAGTTATGACTCACCTGAATGATGAATGCTCAATGGGCACATGACCATTAAAAAATTAGAGCATGGGCCGGGCGTAATGGCTCACTCCTGTAATCCTAACACTTTGGGAGGCCCAGGCAGCCGGATCACTTGAGCCCATGAGTTTGAGACCACCCTGAGCAACATAGCAAAAACCCGTCTCTACAAAAAATTTACAAAAATTAGCCAGGCATGGTGTTGTGCGCCTGTAGTCCTAGGTACTTGGGAGGCTCAGGTGGGAGGATCACCTGAGCCTGGGAGGTTGAGGCTGCAGTGAGCTGTGATTGTGCCACTGCCCTCCAGCCTGGGTGGCAGAGTGAGACCCTGTCTCAAAAAAAAAAAAAAAAATTAGAGCATGTATGCAAAGTTACTTAACGTCATCTTCTCTGTCCTCCCATTCCACCAGCTCCTTCCGGTTTCATAAATTCATTGGCCATCTGGAGACCTTAGTTAAAAAAAATCATGAGGCTAATCCCTAGTATCCTACATTAGTTACTACTGAATTTTGATACCAGTTCAAGGGTCCTTTTGGGGTATCTGATTATCTTTGATAGCCAGGAGGCCCACAAGGTGCTTCAATACTAAATTACGTTCATAAGTTAATAGTTTCTTGAGCTCCAATAGACAACTAAGTAGAATTTTCAACCACTGGTTAAAAGAGATAATGGTCTTACTGCCAATGATTCTGTCAATTATGAGACCAGCTACTATCATGTGAGAGATAGGTGAGTTTAAACAGTTTGCCTTCTTGTGAAGGTAGTGGGTTTAAGAAAAAGAACTCCAGCTATCAGAATTCAAGAGTAGGGTGTCAAAAGAGGGGATGAAGGATAAACTATCTCTTACTATTGTGTTACCTTTCCATACAGAAACATTTTTCTCAAATAGAACCAAAATGCAGAGACACACTAACTGGTGTAGTCACCTAATGTGACTGAGACTGAGGAGGAGTCGTTGAATCAGATGATCTTTTTACTTCAGGGAAGTGCCTCCAGACCTAGTTGACAAAAACTGTCAAATTGTTTTGGTTTCTTCTCCAATCCTGGAAAACACAGACCACCTTGTTGTAGTTGTAGGGAGGACATCTATTAGACCTCAGAGTTACAGTAATGAGGATGTCTTGTTCCAATTTCTATCTGCAGCAGTTCACACTTCCTTATGTAACCAGGGGCTCCCTGGTTTCCTGAGTATCACCATTCTGGGGAAGAAATCAGTGTGTATACTGATGCTCAGAATACCCGACCTCAACAATTTCTTATACCTTAATCTTCCAAGTTACTAGTCTACATGACACTGTCTAGTACAGGGTAGAGTTGTGAATACCATACCCCTGAAAGACTTAGTCTGTTACCGGGAAGCAAGTCAAAACTAGGTATTCAAAGCATAGAGTGGCTGGAATAAAAGAGACTAAAAAGAAAGCTAAGAAGTTTCCTTGCCCCATTCTTTCGCAATAGAGAGAATGGTTTAGACAGTGTACAAGGCCATCCCACAAGGATAAACAAGATGAGAAGCCAAACTGCAGTTGATGGGGTCAACTTAGTACAAGAAACCATTATTAAGCACCTTCTCTACTATTTTTGCCATGCACTTGGGATAAGAAAGGAAAAAGACCATCCTCACTCTTCAGGAGCTTATACTCTAATAAGTGAAGGAGAGAAATACATGAATAGAATTTAATATACAGCAGTAAATGATAAGAAAATAGCTATGAATGAGGAATTATGGGACACAAAGGAGAGACACTTAGCCAGTTTGGTAGTTCAGGGAAGCAAGAAAGAGGACCATGACTGCAGAAAGGACTTTAGCTCAGTATCTGTGACTTGGAGCCATCAGATAGCATAAATCAAAAAGAGTAAAGGAAGAAGGCAGGCTAGAAATCTCACAAAGAGCTGAAGTAGCACCATGGCTTTTGGCATTTTTTAGGTGGCAAAAACTTTGAAGAGTGGAGAGTTCTCCCTCAGCACGATGCCCATTCACCTACCCACCCTCATATATCTTTACAGAAGATTTGATTTGGTAGAGAAACAGGGAAGCAAAGCAGGTATGTAAAACATCCAGAAGGATGCACACCACATAATAGGTTCTCAGCAATTTCTCTTGATTTCTCCTCACAAGCTCTACCAGAATTTCAAGAGTCAGATTGTGCGCTCTCAGAAACTGACAGAATACTGGAGATCTTCAAAGTATAACTGCAAGCAAAATCATAGACATTACTGCAGGGCTTCATCAATGTATGGCTGACAGAGCTCTCCAAATTCATTAGAAATGGTACAGCCCTTCTTTTTGGATAAACAATGCTAGCCTAACATGAGCCTCTAGATCACCACCCACATTATTCAGTTAAATGCCAAACTATACCATTTCTTTCCTGTACTATTGTTTGTACTTATTCTTTCCTCACAAATCTAATCTCACAGCTAATTCTTATGTAGACTAGAGTCCACCCTGGACTAAACTATTCTGATATTTTCTTCAATAATGACTCTGATTTAAATGTGTCTAATCCCTCACTTATTCAACCATATAACTTCTACAGCATTCCCACATAGGTTAGAAAATCAAGTCAAAATGAATAAACAGATGCTTTAATTTTAAGCCACTCCACTCTTCTCTCTCTTGATTCAAGAATTCTCAAATATACTTATTTCCCAACAGCTCTCTAAACAAAACTACTTACTCAGCTCTGTTTATGATCCTCACTGACTAGAATGTCTAGTCCTCTCCCCCTAAATAAAATTCTAAATCCATATTTGAAACATAATTCAAAACTGTCCATGAATCCTTCCCTCAACAAATAAGTCCATTAACTTCAAAATTATTAATATGTCTCCCTCATTCCCATGTATTATCATAAATACCCAACTCCCCATTATCCACATGTGGCAATTTCTACCTCTTTTAGTCACCCACTTCTGACCACTTAAGGCACTGGAGCAAGGTACAGAAGGCACATAAAGCCAGTTCACAGAATGAGGGAAAAAGTCAAGAAAAGGAGGCAAGGATATTACTATTTTACACTATTTACATTAGGATCCCCCACAGAAGCAGAGATAATGAGAGATGATTATACTCATAGACACACACAAAATTTAATTACATCAATGTATATTAAAATTTGAAACATACTAGTCATAGAAATAGCCACCTGCTTAGTTAGCTAGAAAAGATAGTTTACTTACATTATGTCCCAGTGGAAGAACAAGTTGGTAAATTATTCTATTTATACTGGAAGTTTACAGGCCAACGTTGATATGAAACATATATGTACATAAACACACATACCTACAAGGCAAATGTGCCCAGCCTATTTATCTCTGTAAGAAATCCTGCCAAACCAAAAATGCACTATTTTATTCGTTAAATTCCTATTAGTCCACAGTATACTGTCAAATACACAGATGGCACTCAAATGGTAGTTGACAGTGCTCTTCAATACAAATCTATCAAGCCAAATTCAGGAAGAAATTAATCTTTAATCATGAAAACGCTCAAGAAAACATCCTGCATGTTACAGCATTCTTATAATTGTACTGGAAGATATACTGTAATTTACTTAGTATAGCCAAGAATTTATAGAACCATGATTCAGAGTTGCACACAATCTGATTTTAGCACTGAAGCTGAAAAATAAAACATACTGGAATCAACCCAACTTGCTCTATTTCCTGGAATACAGGTAGAAACCCATTATAGTTAACATCAGGAAAACAGGAACTTCTATATTACAATGTAATATCCTATAGTGAACTCACAGTACTTTGTTGATTTGGTTACAAAAAATTATTTACAGCAAATAATCAAGGAAAACAAATATTTACTCCAATGCTTTCCCAGTAACAGTCATCCCCTATAATGAAAAAATATTTATGTGTTGCTAGCAAAGCAATTCTCACTTGATGATCCACTGTGAACATTAGATCTAAAGAGCATTTCTCACCCTTGCCTCCCCCGTTTTATTCAGCCCAACTTCCCCAATGCTTACCTCCTTAAATAGTATATACAAGCAAACATAACCACCCGATATTGATCTCAAGCTACTTTTGCAACTACTATTATCTATTTTAACTTGTCACTTGTATAAGATTTATGTGCTGATTAGGCTGTATGATTACTCTGCTAATTTTAGTTACATTGCTAGTATAACGTCTATGTAATAGAAAACACATTTTTTTTAAAAAGTACATTTCCATTCTTGTGTGTTTGTAGCAGTCCTGATATGTACCACATATGAGTCCAATGATGTAAGTTTTAATGAAATATTTAATATTATTAAAATTTTATAAAATATTTCTGGTGCTTAACAGTAATGAAAAGGCCAGTGTTAAAAATGGACAATTTCCCTCCTAAATCAATGGCATACAGAAGTTAAGATCTGATGAAATCAGGAATTTTTAGGGCACAAGACTTATGCAACTTCTCAGAATTCTACTTATTGAACATGAGTGTACAATACATATAAAATACTTCCCTGCTTGCAATGTCACAAGTTCTACTACCCCGTTTTCTTCAATACTACAATGCTTATTAATGTTTTTGAAACTGTAGCACCCCATTATGAGTTGGTTGACTTAATAACACACTCTTTTTCTCTCCTATGAGTGTGGAGTGTGTGGGTACTTTAATTGAAAATAATTTTGGTTTAAAAATTTCATGACACCTCTTGAAGTATTGAGAGGCAGATTTAAAAATTCACTGCTCTTAACTTCCTCACCTTAAGAAAAATTTTAAACAAAAATTCACTCAGCACGTTTATAAAAAATGATGTTCTATGTAGATTGATAATAGTGGAGTGGGGAAGAGAAGGGAAAGAAAATATAAAGATGAAGACAGAAAATATAAAGAAGAAGACAGAAGCTTACTATCCAATGTAAGGTAGACATGTACATAAATAATAGAAAATACAAGCCGGGCGTGGTGGCTCATGCTGGTAATCCCAACACATGGGGAGGCTGAGGTGGGCAGATCACTTGGGGTCAGGAGTTCAAGACCAGCCTGGCCAACATGGTGAAACCCCATCTCTAGTAAAAGTATTTTAAAAAATTAGCCGGCGTGGTGGTGCGCACCTGTAGTCCTAGCTACTCAGGAGGCTGAGGCAGGAGAATCACTTGAAACTGGAAGGCAGAGGTCGCAGTGAGCAGAGATCGTGCCATTGCACTCCAGCCTGGGCGACAGAGTGAGACTCTGTCTTAATAATAATAATAACACAAAATATACAAGACCTAAGGTACTTGGGAGAGGTGATGACGGTTACAGGTAGGAGGATGGGAGCACATGCTAAATCTGAAAGGGACAGCTTCGAAGTTTCACATTGGAACACTGATGTTATATTGCAGAATTTAAATGACAGTCCATTATCCTGCATATGTATTCCCACTTAAGTTCAAAGAGATATATATGCAGAGGTGCTAAAAACATTTATCTAGGTTATATTCTAGTTTCCCAAGCCATGTGCCTATGGGACTACATCCACCCAGAGAGGGAACTCTTTTCTAATTCACATAAAAGCAATGTAAATGCCAGCAGTGGCCCCGAATACACAGACTTTATTTTCTCCTATCTTTCCCTATACCAGCAATACTACAATTTTAATGCCCAGCAATAAAGGACTGGTTAAATAAAACACCCATAGAATGGAATGTCTTGTAGGCATTAAAAAGAAACAGGTACTGCTGTCTAGTTGATTACATTGTGACAATCAATTTTTTAGTATTGATAATACACTATAATTATATATCACCAGTGGGAAGCTGAGTGATGGGTACACAGGATTTTGCTGCACTATTTTTGTAACTTCTTGTGAGCCTGTAATTATTTCAAAATAAATAGTTTTTAAAAAGAAAAGAACCAGGAAGTTGCAGGTGTGCTGATACAGAAGTATCTCCAAGGATGTGCAGCAATAGCAGCTCTTGTTTATTGCTGGTGGGAATGCAAAATGGTACAACCACTTTGGAAGACAGTTTGAGAGTTTCTTACAAAACTAAACATACTTTTACCATACACTCCAGCAATCATGCTCCTTCGTATTTACCCAAAGGAGCTGAAACCTTATGTCCACACAAAACCCACAGAAAAATGGTGTTTATAACAACTTTACTTGTGATTGCTAAAACCTGGAAACAACCAACATATCCTTCAGTAGGTGAATGAATAAACAAACTATAGTACATCTAGACAATGGAATATTACTCAGCACTAAAAAGAAATGAAATATCAAGCCATGAAAAGATGGAGAAGAAACTTAAATGCATATTGCCAAGTAAAAGAAGTCAATCTAAAAAGTCTACACACTGTATGATTCCAACGATGTGACACTCTGAAAAAGGCAAAATTGTGGAGACAGTAAAAAGGTAAGTGTTAGGGAGGGAGAAATGAATAGGTAGAGCACAGAGGATTTTTAGGACAGTGAAAATTCTATGATACTATACTGGTGGGTACATATAATTATACATTTGTCCAAACCCTTAGAATGTACAATACCAAAAGTGAACCTTAAACTATGAAGTTTGGGTGATAATGATGTGTTAATGTAGGGACATCAGTTATAACAAATGTACCACTCAGGTGTGGGGTGTTGTTAATGGGGGAGGCTATATATATGTGCGAGCAAGGAGTATACGGTATATCTCTGTACCTTTCTCTCACTTTCACTGTGAGCCAAAACTGCTCTTAAAACAGTCTTTTAAAAAGTATCTACAAAATTGATTGTTAACTGCAAAAAAAGATGTAGAAAAGTATGTATAGTATGCTACTCTTTGTGCAAAACAAAAAGACATGCATATGTACATAAATTCTAGTAGTATATGCATAGACTGTCTCTGTAAAGATACACAAGAAATTGGTGGCAGCAGTTTTTGCCTTTGTGAAGAGCACCTAGGTAGCTGGGCGAAAGGAGTAGGAGGGAAATCTATATCTCATTGTCCTCGTGTGTTTGGATTTCACACCATGTGAGTATACTACCTTTTTAAAAAGTTCATTCCAGGAGCACAGTTTTCCTGTCAGAAGATTTTAAAGTATCCCCACCATCTGGTATATTTTCCTTCATCTAGTTTAGAAGGTCCAGGGATCATGGGATAAGATTTAGAGATAAGTTCTTCCAATGATCTAGCATTCTGAGTTCTCCTGCTAGGCTATGAGCTACTGAAGAGCAAAGGACCATAGTATTACCTGTACCTGTCACAATGTCTGACACATTAGGGGGCCTGATTTTCTTGAATTTATCTGACCTGTTATCCTGGCCATTCCTTTTGACCTACTCTTATAAACCCAGACACAGAAGGATACTTTACCATTGATTCTGCCCCTGTAATGATGTTTTAAAAATTAACTCATTAGCCTAAGTCATCCTCAGGTCAACAGCTGTCTATCCCTAAATACCAATGCTGAAAAATATGTAGGCTTATTCTAGTGAAGGCAGGATTTTTCATGGAAATATGATTTATAAATTTCCTTTTAATCTTAATATCTGTATGTCTGTGAACCCAATGACTCATCAGACACCTTAGCTAAAATCTCCCATCTACAGTCATCATCCTCTAACTACTACAGGCTTTGTTTATACCTATATAAGGCACTTACTTATTTGTATTACAGTTATCTGAGTTGTATAACTTAGCTCTCTTACTAGAGTATAAACTTCTTAAGGGCAGGGAAGCCTTATCTATCACAGTATTCCCATAGTTACTTGTGTCTAGGTCAATCATCTCTGAAGACAGTTCATTTAATTAAAATTTCGTAATTTAAAAATTAAATAACTTTTAAAATATGATTTAAAACCAAACTAATTTGCTTAAAATAGTACAGTGGATTTGTTTTGAGGGTAAATATTTTTCCAAGCATATTATGGAAAGAAAGTATGCTATCATAACTAGACCAAGCCTCATCCCCGAGGATGTTGCTCTGACTTCACGGAGATGAGATCAGCACTTTTACTATCTATATACTAGCACTGTGTCCTTTCTCCCTTCCTCAATCATGTACAGCTTACATCTAAGCTGAAACATTTCTAAAAAACTGCTAAGCTACTCTTTTGAAATGTGGTAAACAAATGCTAAATAAGGAGACTAAGATCCCTAGTGGGGAGAGGGAAGAAGATGGTAGTCACTTCTGAGAGTACCAGTTCAATAGCTTCCTACACTAGGAATCTTGTTTTGTCTGCAGGACATCCCTGATCCTGACAGCCAGCTCCAGAAACATTGCAGTACTGGCTTGGTGCTAATAGCAGATGGTTCAAGATGCGTTAAAACCTGTTGAGAGCTTTTATTCATTTGGTTTGCCACATTAGTTCTTTCTCAAATAAACAGAACTCAAACCAAGTCAAAAGAAAAGCTGATTTTCTTCCCAGAGGAACAAATCAGTACTATAATGTAAGTTATAATGGTATTTATGATACTGAACTTTGTTATTTTGTAAGTCATTAGGTGAGATACGTTATACTTAATTATGAAAGGTAATCCATTTTCATATTACAACTCTTTACACTTGTCCTTAATGGCAAAACACGCAATTACTTTTGCACCAACCTAATAGGAAGTCTTGATGAGGGCAGGAACCACATCTCTTCTACCTTTGAATCTCCCACACTGCCTTAGGTATAAACTTAAAAAAAAAATACTTGAATTAATTTTTTCAAGGATGCATTTAATTTGCTCATTAACAGATAACTAAATTCTAAAATCCATAAACCTCTATTTTAAAAAAAAAAGACTCAGCAGTTTTATTGATGTGCCATAATTATTTCAGAAAACAATTTTCCACGGTCTATTTAGAGACTCCACCTGAGCTAAAAACAACTTTCTGGGCAATAGATGTACACATTTAGTGATAGATACTTCACATTAGACTGAAGGTCTCTTGAAATTGTTCTGAAAGAAAGGCAGGGAAGCTCAAAGAGACTTTTAAACTGTCTTCAGTTTCTTGAGAAGTGTGATGAAATTATTAAAGATATTAATTTTAATATCAAAAATATCATTAAGCACTTTGAGGAGAGTAGAGGGATATGTTACTAAACCATGCTTGAGTACTGCAACTCCCACCATATTAGAAATCATACTTGGAAGAGGCAGGCAAAGTTTAAATTCTCTTTGGTATAGTTTTCTCATATTAAAAACTGGAGCAATAATCAATTCTTAACTCATGAAAATGTTCTGAGAATTAATGATTATAAATTTTCTCTGTATTTTATTGAAGTTTATCTAAAAAGGTACCAAATATTCTACTTAGGCAATATACTTGTACATGTTTACAACATATGAAATTGTCAACTAAAGCTTAACTTTGGAAATAATCTATAACCTCACTTTCAGAATCTAACCTGCATGCCAAAGCACTGAAATTTCTAAAGCTAACTACCAATTCTTTATTCTAGTTTGAGTCACTTTCTTAATGGCTGCCTTAAGAATTACAATTAACATCTTAACCTAAAACAATCTAGTTCAGATTAATACCAACCAGTGTCAATAATATACAAAAACTCTGTTCCCCTATAGCTCTATTCCCTCCCTCCCCCTATGTGCTATTACTGTCATTCAAATTACATCTTTATATGAAATACGCCCATCAACAGTTTTATAATTAGTTTTTTATGCAGCTGCTGTCTTTCAAATCAGATAGAAGAGTTATAAACAAACATACCTTTATACTGTCTTTTATGTTTACCTATGTAGTTACCTTTACCAGTACTCTTTATTTCTGTACATTCAACTTAATAGTTTCCTTTCATTTCACCCTGAAGGATTACCTTTCATATTTCTTCCAAAACAGGTCTTCAGCAACAAATTATCTGTTTCTGTTTATCTGGGAATGTCCTAATTATCTTGCCTTTATAAAATATAGTTTTGCTAGATATAGAAATATTGGTTGACAGTCTTATTTTCTAACATTTTGAATATGTCATCCCACTGCCCTTCCGACCCAGTTTCTGCTGAGAAATTAGCTGTTAAGCTTATTGAGGATCCCTTGTGAGTCTCTTCACTCTTGCTGCTTTTAAGATTCTTTTTGTCTCTCAACAATTTGACTATCATTGTATCTGGGTGTGAATCCTTTTGAGTTTATCCTACTTTGAGTACATGGAGCTTCTTGGATGTTATACTAAGTATTTTCATCAAATTCGGGAAGTTTTCAGCAGTTATTCCTTCAAATGTTCTTTTATCCCCTTCAGGGACTCCATTATGTGTGCATTGGTATACTACATGGTGTCCCACAGGTCTCTTAGGCTTTGCTACCTTTTTTCTTTTTTTCCACATATGATAATCTCAGTTAACCTATCTTCAAGTTTCTTGATTCTTCTGTCAGCTCAAATCCGTTGATGAACCCTTTTAATAATTTTTTTAATTTCATCTATTGTAATTTCCAACTCCAGATTTTCTATTTGGTTCTTTATAACGTCTCTCTTTCTCTGTTGATATTTGCTATTTGGTGAGACATCATTCTCTTACTTTCCTTTAATTCTTTAGCCACAGTTTCGTTCCATTTTTTGAACAGGTTTACAATAACAGATTTAAAGTTTCATCTAGTAAGCACATCTAGGCTTCCTCAGTGACAGTTTTTATTGACTGCTTACCTCCCTGAATTAAGTGCCATAGTTTACTGTTGGTTTTAATTTTTTTTAGTTGAAAACTAGACATTTTAAACAATATAAAGTAGAAAGTTTGGAAATCAGATCTCTTCTCCCCTAAAGTTTATTGTTATTGTTTGTTTAGTGACTTTCCCGGACTAGTTCTGTAAAGCCTATATTCCCTGTCATGTGTGTCCACTGAAGTATCTGTTCAGCTACCTAGTGGTCAGCTAATGACCGACATATTTTCTAAAATGTTTTGAACCAAGAGATCTTTCATCCTTTGCCAAAAAGCCCTGTGTTGGGTATGCCTTCAATGCTCTGAGAGTTTACAATTCTGCCTTAGCCTTCACTTCCTGCTTGCACAGGGTCTAAAAGTCAGCCACCTCAGGCAGATACAGTATTAAACAATTGCTGCTGCTTGTTTTCAACAAATGTCCCGAGGATAGGGCTTTTCCACTGAGTCAGATCAAATAAAGACAAGCCTCGTGAATGGGGCCTTCCCAAGGAGCTACCACACAGGTCAATAGTGACAATTATCTGGGGATAAGATGTGAGGAGCTTGCAACTCTCCAGTAGCTACAGGTTTTCACAGCTACCATGGATGCAAGGTTACTAGTTTCCAGAGATATTTTGGATCTGGGGAAAGGTTGATTGGATTAGGGCAAGTTAAAATACAACAAATCTAACTTTTTTTTTTAACCGAAAATCAGCTATTTTATTGAATAAACACTCCTCAGGTTGTTGGAAGCTTTTGGTTAATTTTTAGAATTCTGAAAAACTTGTTTTTAACAATTGTTGCCAGACATTGCTTTTATAGGGGAGTAGATTTTCTGAAGTCCTTACTCCAATATTCCAGAAATACCCTCTTTACTTGAGTTTGAAAATCATTCTGGTATTGGTGTCTTCCTAAAAGGCATCAGCTCTTAAAATTGCCCAACAAAATATGTGGAATCCCTGGTGATATGTACACATAAGCTGCTAGGTAAAGTTCATAAACATCTATAGAATTAGAAGAGAGAAAATATGATCAGCTTTGATTTATATTCTACTTTACCTTTGGTGACTACAGGGAAACAAATGTATTTTTAATAACAGATGGAATAAAAAAGCATTTATTGTTATAAACGTTTGGCTGTATTTCAAGTATTTTTAAAATACTGCTTTATTTTTTTAAAGATTCACATACTTTAATTTTAAATAAAAGAACATGAGAGACTATAAATGATCCTAGTCATGGTAGGACTGACTGCACAGCATCTAGTTCAATACCTGAAGTCATAACTAAACAGAAGGAAGCTTACTAAGGTCTCAGTGTATTTCTTTGATCAAATAAGAAAATGGTCATTATAAGATCTAAGTCTTATAAGGAATCAAACATTTTTAAAATGCATTTCATTAGAACACTTACTATTTTATATCATACAATTGATTATTCATTATAATGATGCCAAAGCAAATTACAAGTTATGAGAAACTTTTACAACAATAGTAGCATTACCCTAATACTAGATTAGGAGATGTTAAACCTATTACAAGTGGTTTCCCATTTAGAGAGGTCTGGGGATCCTGAATGAGTTTAGTTGCAGGTATGATATGAAAACAACCTTATACCTTTGTGTGTGGTTGGTGGGGGAGAGAGAGAGAAGAGTAAGCGAAAAGAAAGAACACATAATACTTTCCATATAACTGCCCTGTCTCTCTTAACGTAGCACCTACAATTGTATATGAGACTCTGGGTTTAGGAGTCAGGCTGCAAGAGGAAAAATACTGATAGTCAATCACAATGAATAAAACACTGTAAGAGTGATTACAAAGTCATTAAGACCTCTTCTTGGAAAATCAACTTAAACAGAGCAGATAATATAGAGGAAATCACTCATGAAAATCAACAACAGTAGTCTCAATGATATTTATGATGCTATCAATTATGTGGAGTTCAATGTTCTATACATATTTTAAAAAACAGCATGAGCATACTATAAACATATATAACACAATACGTTTTAATTACTATGGATCTTCAGACTCCATGGACATACAATCCGCAATTTCAGGAATTTATAAGCAACCATTAAGGTCCTTAATTAATTTTCATTTAATTATTTTATTTACATTTCATTGTATTTCATTTAATTGAGAAATTAATTTGAAGAATTTGAATCTTGTGTACTTTAAAGTTAATATGTGTGAATGAATTGCTAAGTTAGTAATTATCCTATCATTTCACTAAGCTTGGATGTTTTCTTTGCATTATAAACTATGCAGTAACTCAAAAAGTGATACAAAATTTTGTTTTTGAAAAAAAATTAAGCAAATTTCTAGTGTTGGTGATTAACATAAGGAAATATTTTAGTGTTGGTTCTTAGACAAAAGATACTAATTCTGGATAAGTTAAAGTTTAACGTGTTAAATTCAGCTTTGACTCAGATCTATGAGATAAACAGGTCTGCCGTAAAACATTTCATGAGGGAAACTGCATGATAAATAGTATTTGTGCTTTCAAGGATAACTTATAATCCCTTGGCTCAGGCTTCTTCAAATCTGTTTCTCTTCCTCTAAATTACATTAATGTGAGAAAAGACACATCAAGCATTTTCAAAACAAGAAAGGTATTCCCTTTTAAAAATATTTAATTGAAAAGTAAAGATTTTATAGATCAAGGTGTACAACATAATTTGTTATATGTATACACACTGTGTATTATCACAATCAAATTATCACACCCATCACCACCCATGCTCTATATAAGATCCTAAGAACTTGTTCATCTTATAATTGAAAGTTTGTATCCTTGCTCAGTATCTCCCAATTTCCCTCACCCCTCAGACCTTGGCAACCACCATACAACTGTTTCTATGAGTTTAACTTTTTTAGACTTCACATAAAAAGTGAGATCATACAGTATTTGTCTTTCTATGTTTGGCTTATTTCACTTAGCATAATGTTTTCCAGGTTCACTCATGTTTTGCAAATGGCAGGATTCCCTTCTTTTATGGCTGATTAATATTCCATTGTGTATATTTCTTTATCCACTTTCTGTCAATGGACACTTAGGTTGTTATCTTGGCTACTGTGAATAATGCTGCAATGAACATGGGGGCACAGATATCTCTTCAATATACTATTTTCTTCCTTTGGATATATACCCAGAAGTGAGATTGCTGGATTGATCATATAGTAGTTCTATTTCCAATTTTCTGAGGAACCTCTATACTGTTTTCCATAATGGCTATGCCAATTTACATTCCAACCAACAGTGTACAAAGGTTCCCTTTTGTCCATATCCTTGCCAACACCTGTGTTCTCTTGTCTTTTTGATAACAGCCATCCTTAACAGGTGTGAGGTGATAGCTTATTGTGGTTTTGACTTGCATTTCCCTGATGATTAGTGATGTTGAGCACCTTTTCCTGTACCTATTAGCTATCTGCATGTCTTTTTTGGAGAAATGTCAATTCAGGTGTAAAGGTATTCCTTTTGTTCATCAAAGGTAGGATATTCCAAGTGTGAAAATAACACAATGGTCAATTAGTGAGTATACTGTGGAAATCGGTTTTCTATTACAGTTATCTCTTATCTGTGACATGCCCATTTGTTTCTAACATAGGATTGTCATTGGTCCACAATCACTGAAGCAACAGATCATTAGATTAGACTTCTCAAACTTTTCAACTGACGTACATCATAGGCAAAATAAATTAAAGGTGTGAAATGAGTAGGAATTGAGAGTTGCCGTAAGTGGCCCATCACAAATGGCAAATTTCATAATGCTTTATTTTTGTGAATTTTACATTCTACACTATAACATACCTATATTTGTTTCAATATCAAATTTATGCTCTCAGTTTTAATTCTGGAAAACTGACATTCGAAGAAGAGACATCATGTTTACCCTGTGGCTTCATTTATCCTCTAGCACACCACCACATAGCTATAGTTTCCAATATGTTTAGATAAATGCTTCTTTCTTTCCTAATATGTCTAATATTCTCATACTTTCTTTTATTTAGCCATGATTTCCTTCAGTTCTTTGAAGAGGTTTACAACAACTGATTTAAAGTTTCATCTAGTAAGCACATCTAGGCTTCCTCAGTGACAGTTCTTATTGATTGCTTACGTCCCTGAATTAAGTGCCATAGTTTACTGTTGGTTGTATTTTAATTTTTTTGGTTGAAAACTAGACATTTTAAACAATATAAAGTGGAAAGTTTGGAAATCAGATCACTTCTCCCCTAAGGTTTGTTGTTACTGTTTGTTTAGTGACTTTCCTGGACTAGTTCTGTAAAGCCTATATTCCCTGTCATGTGTGTCCATTGAAGTATCTGTTCAGCTACCTAGTGGTCAGCTAATGATCGACATATTTTCTAAAATGTTTTGAACCAAGAGATCTTTCATCCTTTGCCAAAGGGCCCTGTGTTGGGTATGCCTTCAATGCTCTGAGAGTTTACAATTCTGCCATAGCCTTCACTTCCTGCTTGCACAGGGTCTAAAAGTCAGCCACCTCAGGCAGATACAGTGCTAAACAATTGCTGCTGCTTGTTTTCAACAAATGTCCTGAGGATAGGGCTTTTCCACTGAGTCAGATCAAATAAAGACAAGCCTGGTGAATGGGGCCTTCCCAAGGAGCTGCCAGACAGGTCAAATAGTGACAAATATCTGGGGATAAGATATTTGAGGAGCTTGCAGGGGGTCTTAATCTAGAGTCCATTAGGAGGTCCTAGTCTAGAGTCCAAGGATAGATTTCAGGGGTGTTGTGAAGCCGACTTGTACTTTCCCAGCCAATGTTAGTTGAAACTCCTTGAATATTCTTAAGAAGCTGGCACTATAGGAAGCTTCTATGGAAACCTGATGAAAGATATGAAACTTCTAATCAGAAAAATGCACTTATACAAATCTTTGCATGAAATTTCATTATGTCTGCCAACCCCCTAAAATCCATTCTTAGACACTAAATCAAAAATCCATGACTTTAAACATATTAGAAAAAAAATTTTATTTAAACATTTTGAAACCTACAATTTAAAACAAAACAGTAGAAAAAGAAGAAAGAAATAGTGCCAAATAATTTTTCAAGCATTCCAATCTTCCATGGGAATGGAATCATAGAGTAAAAGATAAGCCTGTGCCATACTTCACTGAAAACCATAAGCACATAGTCCTACCATCTTGAATACAGCTACATATAACCAGGTCAGTCTCTAACTAACAATAATATCAAATAAATCCACAATGATCTTATGGTTTCAGTTATATGCATAAGAGAAAAAGATACCTTCTTTCAGGTAAAGCACAGGAGGAAGGGGTACAATGGGACATCTCATTTATTCTCTGCTTTAAAATCACCCTGGAAAAAATTCTAGAAACTTTTTAGATTTGTACTGCCCTGATTCCAAAATTCACCCAGTTAGACAGTGTTTATACACTGCTGTAGACACTCAAATCCAATGATTGAAAAAAAAACTTGGAAGTCATAAATTTACACCTCCCCATTCCCATCATTCTACCATCTCCCAAAAATGGAAAACCAGCAGGACCAGTAAAGAACTTTGCTAGTGATAAACATTGCTAGAATTTACACAGTAAAAATTCTATAATGAAGGTGCTACCAAGCTTTCAAATATTCAAGATTACTGCTCTTGAAAATGGCAAAGCTCCAGAGAGAAACTATATTGAAGAAGGGGTAAGAGGAGAATTTTCCTAGGCCAGGCGCGGTGACTCACGACTGTAATCCCAGCACTTTGGGAGGCCGAAGTGGGTGGATCACCTGAGGTCAAGAGTTCAAGACCAGCCTGTCCAACATGGTGAAACCCCATCTCTACTAAAAATACAAAAATTAGCCAGGCGTGGTAGCAGTCACCTGTAATCCCCAGCTACTTGGGAGGCTGAGGCAGGAGAATTGCTTGAACCCAGAAGGCAGAGGTTGCAGTGAGCCGAGATCACGCCATTGCACTCCAGTCTAGGCGACAGAGCAAGACTTGGTCTCCAAAAAAATAAATAAACAAATCAAAAAACAAAAAAAAAAGAGAGAGAGAGATTGACTGATTTTCCTAAATTTATACTTCAAATTTGGGGTGGGAGAGATTGAAGTAAAAAGTGTTTAAATATAACAATTCTGAGAAAATGAATGGACCTGAGGCCGTGCTGGACTGGTACAAACTATTTAAATTAGTTAAGAGTTAATGAAGGGTTATTATGAGATGGTGAATATAACTTAATGAAAGTGAAAGAAACCTTAAAGACTAAAGCACTCCTCTTCTGTAAGAACTTATCTGAATTTCTCTAGACTGAGCGGAAATAAACAGAAGCAAAGGTTCTATGTGTAGCCCAATGGAGACAGGAATCAGGGCCCGTTAGACCTACATCCATTTTTTTCACTTTAAAATGGGTTTGCTTGTTCTCTTGCCACAATCAAAACAGAAAAGCCCTGACTTTTTCCCCCAGTTGTGCTCTACACTATGGAGGTGCCTGCCTATTTGAGATGCACGTTGTTTGAAGTCTGTGAAAAATGAAGTTGAAATCTAAATAGTTCAACCCTGTATAAACAAAATTGCCTCCCACTCCCCTGATGAGGGCATCCACCTTTGTTAAGAAAGATTTACGGATATTAAAAGTGATCAGGAACCTCTGTGTGGTCTGTACTAAAAACCACTGGATTCCATTTGGCCTCCTATCCCATTATGTGGCAGGAGTCTATGATTATTACATAGGGTCAACATCTACCTCTTCAACAACTTTTATTCAAAAATATTGTACTACCACTATTTTAACATCTGGTATTTTTTCTCCTCACTCTAATAGTATATAATTCAAATTGCAGATTCGACTATGATAGGAGGGAGAGTTCATTTACTTATAGACATAAACTGACTACATAGAGAACACTGTTAGTGAGCATTACGCTAGTGTTGTTTTCTGTTTCCTGAGTATACTGATACAATGCTCATGCTTTACAATCTGCCAGAGATTAGTCCCATATTTGGAAAATAATTTTCTTATATTCTAAAACATATTCTGGGAATAACAGAAGGGAGTTACTAAAATAGAATTTTACAGTGATCACTGAAAAAGAAGTTTAAGTTCTAAACTTATGTCTTAAAGACACATCTTCAGCTAAAATACTGAGAATTTTGCTTGTTTTTTTCTTCAAAGCATAATCATTCCTCAACATAAACTAAAAATATGCTGCTCATTGTAATTCAGGAAACTATTTTAGAATTTTGTTTCTAAATAACAGTATAAAACCTTTACAAGTTTGCTTATATAGATTGTTTCTTAAGAGTTGTAGCATTCTTAAAGCTCATGTGAAGAACCATAAGGAACATTCCCATTAGCCTAATCTATGTTTAAATTAATTTCATAAAGAAGACTGTCATCATTCACAATCTTCCTAAAATTATTATAATCCCTAGTACCTAAATTATCTCAGTTAAATTTGCAATATCCAAGTAAAATTTCTTCATTAACTTTAGGAGGAAAGAAAGTGACCAAACCATTTAATTGTATCATAATTATAGTATTTTTAAACTACATAACTTTGTAGCTAGACAATTTTTCTAACTTCATCTTTGAGACACTGAAGTTCAGAAGAAAAAAGATCACTGAACATAGAAGGCACTCAGGCAGTGTGACATAACCAATGTTAATCTAACTGACTTAAGCTGAATGCGTACTGAAGAATGAAAGCACTTTGTCTACAGAGCAGACTACTGCTTGTGTTATTTCCTAGTCTCTTGTCAAGGTTTCATGACATTCACAACATTAAAGGTGCTGGTGAGACATAATTAAACAGACAAAGAGAAATTTTACCAAGAAAGAGGCCACTCACAGGCCATTAAAATTTTAAAATTGTCAACTGTTAGACCTTCATTTCCCAATGCTTGTTATAGCTAGTCTCCTTACAGGTCCCCTTTCTTGCTAGGTTCTCCCCCACTTCAACCTACTTTTGATTGGTACCCACTGACCACTGTATAATGCTCATCCTGACCTATGTCTAAGATGTTTCTCTGCCTAGACTGCTTTTTCCATCTATGAAAGTTCTACCTAGCCTAAATCCTATTTTGTCTGTAAAGCTCTCCTGTACAATCTTAGCCCACATTAGTCTACCCAAACAATGAGTCCTACAGACATCACTGTCTCCATCACTCATTTAGCTGTTGAATCATATGTGACTTCATTATTTGTTTCATGAATCTTGTCTTTTCAGTATGACTGCAAGCTTTTTAAGGACATGAAGCATGGTTTATGCCTATTTTATAGATTTCTCACCCATACTCATAAAGGGGTCTAGCATAGTGTTCTACCCAGAACAGCTGTATTACTTGTTGAAATGAAATATTAGAACCAGTCATAATATTAAGAGCAGTACTTGCATAGAATAAGAGATAGGTATTGATGTCAAACACAGTCTTAAGATAATACTGGCAAAAAAGACTTGAGACTTCAACAAATATTCATTTTAAAAGCCTGTAAGCAAAGGGATAATCATAGTAAAAATTCTACTTTCTTGTTTAGAACTGCAAAGCCACCTCTAAATGGAACAAGTTAGATACTGCTCCAAAACCCAAATTGATGCATTACAATTCAGTGATATTATTTTTAAAACGTCTACACCCCAGCTAATGATAGAGAGCCTCATACTGGTTGTACAGAAAACAGGGCAAACAAACAACTTTCAAGACCTGCAACTTGATCATATCTATTATTTCACAGATGCCACTGCCACACTTAGATGTAAGTTTTTCATTAGAAACAAGTGTGTATACTGTAAGAAGCAATTTCAAGAAGTGCTTAACTGAAATGGTTATATAGTCTATATATACACATATAGACTTAACGGCCTTACTTATAATATCCCATTATGCAATTTATCTTCCAATTTTCCATCTCTCTAGAAAACACATTTCCTCAGAAACCCCATCTCTACTGAAAATTAAAAAAAAAAAATCAGCTGGGCATGGTGGCACACACCTGTAATCACAGCAACTCGGGAGGTTGAGACAGGAGAATCACTTGAACCCGTGAGGTGGAGCTTTCAGTGAGCCAAGATCACACCACTGCACTCCAGCCTGGGTGACAGAGCAAGACTCCATCTCAAAAAAGTAAAAAATTGGGCGAGGCGCGGTGGCTCACGCCTGTAATCCCAGCACTTTGGGAGGCCGAGGCAGGCGGATCACGAGGTCAGGAGATCGAGACCATCCTGGCTAACACGGTGAAACCCCGTCTCTACTAAAAACAAACAAACAAAAAAGAAATTAGCCGGGCTTGGTGGCGGGCACCTGTGGTCCCAGCTAGCTACTCGGGAGGCTGAGGCAGGAGAATGGTGTGAACCCGGAGGCAGAGCTTGCAGTGAGCCAAGATCACGCCACTGCACTCCAGCCTGGCCAACAGAGCAAGACTCCGTCTCGAAAAATAAAATAAAATAAAAAATAAAAAAATTAAAAAGTTACTTTTGATTTTAATGCCTTTAGTTTATTCATAATTTTCAATAGGTTTGGAAAAATAAATACCTCGAAGCCTAAATTAGGCTCTCTTGTAAAAAGGAGCTATGCACCTCTGGTACTTTTATTTTTTTTATTTTTTATTTTTGAGACGGAGTTTCAGTCTTGTTGCCTAGGCTGGAGTGCAATGGCGTGATCTCAGCTCACAGCAACCTTTGACTCCTGGGTTCAAGCGATTCTCCTACCTCAGCCTCCGGAGTAGCTGGGATTACAGGCATGCACCACCACACCCAGCTAATTTTGTATTTTTAGTAGAGACGGGGTTTCTCCATATTGGTCAGGCCAGTCTCAAACTCCCTACCTCAGGTGATCCGCCCGCCTTGGCTTCCCAAAGTGCTGGGATCACAGGCGTGAGCCACCGCGCCTGGCCCCTCTAGTAAGTTTATAAGGTTAATTTGTGAAGGATTCCCAAAATTCCTAGAAGAAATGAGTTGCTTTAGGTAAAGCCACTATTATGTGCCTTTAAAAATTAAGCTAAGCAGAGTGCTTATAGTTAACATTACTATACACTTAAACATTTACTAACAGGGTAAAAATCTCATCTTTTTTACCACCATAAAAAATAAGTGGCTGGGCACGGTGGCTCACACTTGTAAGCCCAGCACTTCAGTAGGCAGAGGCGGGCAGATCACCTGAGGTCAGGTGTTCAAGACCAGCCTGGCAAACATGGTGAAACCCCGTCTCTACAAAAATACAAAAATACAAAAATTAGCTGGGCATGATGGCAGGTGCCTGTAATTCCAGCTACTTGGGAGGCTGAGGCGGGAGAAATCACTTGAACCCGGGAGGCGGAGGTTGCAGTGAGCCGAAATCATACCATTGCACTCTAGCCTGGGTGATGGAGCAAGATTCTGTCTCCAAAAAAAAAAAAAAAAAGTAAACTACCATCAGCCTACATGTATATGATAAAAGATAAACTGATAAACAAAAAATGGCTGACACTCCAGTTATCTGTGAGAATGTAATTTACAAATTAAATTGACCATAGTAGGTCCTTCTAAGATAAAGTACAAAAGAGATAGGTATGTACCTTTGTATGACTGTATTCTGCAGCCAGTCAGAAATTATACCTGGGTCTATCATTTAATAGTGCCTGTTCCATAATCTTTGTTATAGATAATAACTGTGAGCAAACTACATGAAACAAACTTCACACATCTAAGTAGAGGCTATTAATATAAATATACAGGCCTAAAAAGAAGATATGTCTGAATACCTGAGGATTTATAGCTATGTGCATAGACAAGTCAAGAAAAATAAGTAAGGATAATTACAGGAGAGTGGCTACATTTATGCTGTTTTGGGTAAAGCTACTTGTCCCATAGCTTCCAGAGTTATGTAGAGGCCTCATTCTGAAGACACTGTACAAATGGTTTTCAATATGGTCTCTTATAAGTATTAAAAGGACCCATAGCAGGTCCTCATATTATGAAACTTCATGATATGCATTTGCTTCTGCTAGAAACTTTTTTTTTTCTTTTTTTTTTTTTTTTTTTTTTTGAGACATGGTCTGACTCTGTCGCCCAAGCTGGAGTGCAGTGGTGTGATCACGGCTCACTGCACCCTCGACCTCCTGGGTTCAAGCAATCCTCCTGCCTCAGCCTCCCAAGTAGCTGGGACTACAGGCGCATGCCATCATGCTCAGCTAAGTTTTTCAAATATATAATTTGTAGAGATGGGGGTCTCACTATGTTGTCTAGGCTGGTCTAGAACTCCTGGGTTCAAGCAATCCTCCTGCCTCAGCCTCTCAAAGTGTTGGGATTACAGGCGTGAGCCATGGCACCTAGCCAGAATAATTATTTTTTAACAAGAATGCTGTGGCCATTGATTCTAAAGGAGGGACATCTAAGTTTTTATGATGTAAAACATAAAAAGCACTCCTGCTCCAGATCAGGTGCTCAATCTCCCTTTTCTGCCCTGAATCCATGCTTCACTTAACTTGAATACAATTCATTTTACTCCCTCCCTGATTCCTATATGCCCTCTGTCCCTGCCTCGAACCACATGTGACTCTCTTTCTCCACACAGCCAATGCCTACAATGTGGGAGAGTCAATTCCCACAAAAATTGCCAGACAGGACAATAGTTGGAGGAGTTTGTGGAGTAAAGTATACCACAAACCACATATCACCCACCTCATTAGTGTCGGAAAAATAGAATATTATTCCTTTTTGTTCTTGTGAGGGTTTTTTGAATGGACAAGTAGAAGAGTGTGGGGGTAGATGGATCTGTGAACTCAAAAAAAATTTTAACTACTGACTTTCTCTGTACCTACTCCTAACATCAAAGAGCTATTCCACAAAATCAAGTACCCAGCCAAGCTAGTGGCAAGTTTTTTATTGGCTTGTTTTGTTTTAATGCAAAAGAAGCTGTGGCAAGTTTTTTTTTTAATTTGTTTTTGTCATTATCATAGGGAAACTCATGAATTGTGTTGAGAACACATGAATTGTGTTGAGAATACCTACTCTAACATGGAAAAAAGGCAAAGACTTCATGAGATTCTTCTTTATTGAATAAATCACCAATGCCATCTTCTACTTACCATATAAAAAAGGAGGTAAAAAAGCACCCGTCAATCTAAACACTTCACTTTTGTTCAAAATCAGCACAAAGTGTTTGCCTTGCTACAATGAATTATGTACTGAGGCCCAAGTTTTACCAGCTATATAATTTATTTGCACCCCAAACCACCTAAACCTAACCGTGTGGTTGCTAGGCTACTATAAGCGATAATGATATCACAGAAAAGAAACACACTAATGTAACTAGTACATAAGCATTTATTTGAGGCAGATACAGTGCTGTGGGACCCCTAGGCTAACAGCATCAAAACCAATTTTTCAGAGACTCCATTCCATAGGAATTACTCAAAGATCCACTAACACCTGAAGCAAAGCAGAGAATCTGTTACCACCTTGCAGCAATCCAAGATCTCACTAGAAAATATGTTACTAAAGTTGTATGTAATATGCTTACAGATCACAGTGAAAGTATATCGAATGGCAAGGTGAACTATATAGGCTCTTAATTCAATCTCACTACTTTCTATTACTAGAGAACTGGTCAGCATCTTCTGGCAGGATACTGCATAAAACAGTCAACTGTGCTCTCCCGGCACTGCATGTGGCTTTGGGTAACAATGTGGATTATCTGTAAAATGAAACAGATAGGGAAAAGGCAAGAATCATCAAGACTATCACAGACTTTATTGAAAAAAACTAGTATTAGTAGGTCTTTACTCAAGCAGAACTTTTCACTTTTGCCCATCCACTGAAGATCGCAAAGATCCTAAAGCAATATGGCTGATCCCATCAGTTCATAACATCCATCCTTCATCATTGAGCAAAGCCACAAAACAGATCCAGCTTGATTCAATCTATTTTACTTTCTAAGCTTTAGGACACACAACCTAGAATCTTGTACCAAAGGCACTTCTAGTCCTTCAAAAATTTCCCTTTAGTTCTGAAATTATGAATTCCTGAGATGGCCTGCCACGAGGCTTTATCTTGCTCAAGGCTGTACTATGATATACACATAAGGAAATAAAAGGATCACTGCCTGCTTTACAAATTGATAAGCCTGAAGACTAAGAAAATGTAAAAACCTACATTAAAGAAACCCAAAATTCTGCCAGGTATTTTTACTAGCAGTACAAAGCTGAAAACTATCACTGATATCTACTTATCTGAGCCATTCAAAGTCACAAAGTGGGGGAGTGATCCCAAGGGGCCAACTAAAACATCACAATAGCTCTGTTGCTGCTCTGTGGTTCTGGTAATTCAAAAAGAAATAACATTTGATAACTGCCAACACTTGGAACTACACATAGTAAGAAATCTGATTTCACCTGCCCAACCATTTGTTTCTTCCCATATTCCCCCCATGTTTTTTAATGGCACCACCATCCTCATGGTTCCCCAGGCTTATGAACTCTGAATCATGTTCAAAGCCTCTCTTCTTTTACTTCTGCCAAGCAACCAGAATTTGTTTTTTTTTTTCCTGCAGTGCCTCTCCATGCACATGTAGTCACCTAATCACAGGTCCTCATCCAAAAGCTATTCCAGCTATCTTTATATTTGATACAAATTCTATAAACCGATGTGTCCTCTCATCCTTTCTCCCAAATTAGATACAGCTGGGAATAGGTGAAGAGGGAAAGGGGAGGAGAGTTCTTATGCCTGTGATCAAATTTCATAGCCATTTCAACAGAGCTGTTTAACAAACTTTTTCTGAGCACAAGAATAGCTAGGCACAGAGCCAAGAAAAGAAGAGGCAATGATGGAAGCCAAAAACAGGTGAGCTACAATCTTTCCACTCCTACACAAAACCTGGCCCTAGAGTATGAACCCTTGCATATGCTGATAACTTCTTCCAATTCTCAATTTTGCAACATTCCTATATTCACAAACTCTGCCCCTGGGGTGGCTTTCCCACTTTCCAATGCCAGTTTTCCTACTGCCCTCATAACCTTAAGCCTAGTTAGTCTCCCCTATCTTGAGACTCTTCTCCCAATTCATCTGATACTCTAGAGGACTCTTCTGCAAATCCTGTTCTCTTCCTAATACAAGAAACTATAAGCAGATACAAGATCTCTTATCCAGCCTCCCCAGAGGATTCTCAACACAAAGGCCACTTTTAATTTCCTTGAAGTTTTATGATCTTAGAGACCAGAGCAAGGGGAGTGATATGAAGAATGCTGAGAGTGCAAGTTGCTGACTGAAGACAGCTGCTGGGAATCCCCAAGTACTGTGGCAAGGGGTGTGGTGGTGACAGCAACGGGTTTAAGAACAACCAAGTAAGACTTCAAGATCTACTGGTCAAACAGACTCTACCAATAATTTCTGTACCTCCTCCATTTCAAAACTTGGTTCCAGTTATTCCCTCCCTATAGCCTTCTCCCTGACCACTCCTTTATTCCATGTCATTTCCATGTGTATGCATTTTATGTGTATTTTATTAATCTACAATCATGTATATATTGCTTTGTAAGTATTTCAAGCAACTTTGATAATAGTATCATATCTTGAACAGGACTGTAAGCTCTGTGAGGATAGGACTATTCCTTCTATTTTTCTGGTTTCCAACCATGAAACTCAGGATAATGTATATTTTTTACAAAAACAGGGTTTTTTTTTCCAATGACATATAATTTCCACTCAGCTATTCAACACTAACATTTTTAACTTTGAGCAAGTTTCAATGTCTGAAACATTAAGAGCTGTAGAAAATACACCCACACTTGATACAAAAGATGCCACTTATAGTTGGACTGAACATAAAACATGCTCCACCCAACCAACTATACTATTACACTGTACTTCTTCCTTTGGGTTATTTTCTTTATACTACATAAACTGTGGGTCATTTTTGCTCTTAGCAACACTAACTACAGAAGCTAAACTCTAAATAAGCTTACTGTTGGGAATCTACTCTTTCCACCTACACAACCACTGGTTTCCCACACTGTCTCCAGTGTCCTGTGAGCAACTGCCCAATTACTGATTGTGGAAAGACAGCTTACACATTGAGGGTCCATTCTTGGCAGATGCTGGGTTTTACTGCTGGTCCTCACTTACTTAGCTTAATTGATTCAGAACAGTATCAAAAAGAGACATTATTACACAAGTTTGAAAAAGAGACTATTTAACAAAATTTAAATGTAAAAGCCCTGGTCATTGTGCTGCTTTATAAGAGCCAAGCATGTGTGACATCGAGAGTACATAATAATGCCTATTGAAATCAGGAAAACTTGGGAACTGACTAATCTCATTACACAAGTTTTAGTGTTTCACACATAAATTCTCAAAAAGTAAAACTGTCTATAAATAGGAAATGCAATTCACTTCAAAAATATAATCCACTACAGCTAAGGTTTTAGTATTTATAACACAAATTTGGTTTCAAAAAGCATACAGTTTTTAAAAAGACAACAACACACATGTTAGCATGTGCCTGAGAAATACATACTTAGAAAAACAACTCATGCATGGGTTAACAGACCATTTTTTACTTTTTCAGTAGTGGTCTTTCTTCCCATTGGACTGAGAGATTTCAGCAGAGATTCCTACTTGGCTGCCACCCGCTAACTGAAACCTGAGTATAGCACAAACATAATTCATAAGCAAGAAAAATTATGGGCTAAATTATCACTCCCTTTGGCCATATGGGGGAGAAAGCAAAATAAGCATTTTCTTTTTAACTAAATATACCTTGTCCCACATACACCTTTATGCATGGATATAAAAACAATTTTGTGATTTATATTTCTCCATCCTTCTAGCTCAGTCACTGATGGCTTTTACAGAACAACTGACAACTGGGGACATGCCTGCCTTCTTTTCTATCCATAAGATACGACATCAGATTGTCTTCCAATGGGAATCAACATTGTTAAAAAAAAACAACCATATTATACCTTCAAAATGACTCAATTGTTCAGACAGTGTTTTGCTTTTATAAGAAAAACTATACATTATGACCAGAGAATGCAAGTTAGTACCGTTATGTTAGTGTGGATAAGGAAATCTGTCATGGCCTCATGGCATCATCTGCGATAGACAGATACATCTTCTGGCTATTCTGGTCAATCTTCATCAGAAAACATATAACAGAAATATAATGGCTTATATTTAAAATACAAATTTAATATCATTTTAACCTGAGCAGCACTATCAAATCATCTTTTTGATAATGCAATAGGATTGCCACAGTTCTGTTGAAACAAAATGCCTACTCCCCAACACAACCCAATTCCTCCCAAGCACACTGAAAAACAGCAACTTGACTACGGTGGCAAGACGAGAAAGAGTTAACTGTTAAAACACCTCTTCAGAGTCTCAAAATCTGCATATGCGGGAGTGGATTTTTTTAAAATACATTTTATTAATTGCAATTTAAAACCACACTTACTGATGTACTTTAATAATAAAGAATCTTCTATGTGCTATGGTCTATACAAAATGTAGTATTACGTTAACTTCAAAGGTGGTAGGATGATTAAAATAAAAAGTTCAAGTAACGTGACACGCAGCAGCATTAAAGATATAAGACTGAACAATCCCAGTGCCTTAGCAGAATCCTTTCATATTTTTGTTACAGAGGGAAAGTCTTAAAATGAAATCCAGCAACCATAGGCATAAGTAAAAGCTTTTAAAATCTTTTCACAATACTTTAGTGAAAGAATCATAAGAGCATTTTATGGGAACAAAGGGGGCTTTACTTATTAAAATCAATATAATTCACCTTAAGGTATCATATTTGTAATGCTTTTAACTCCTAAAATGTATCCCTTACATTTAACAATTTCTGAAAAAGGACCTAAAATCATACCACAGGTTTCCAAGAGTCACCCTCACCCCTCAACTAAAACCATCCCAAGAACCTCAGACTCTTATACTCTCGGCAGCACTCAATCTCCTGGGTGCTAGGTTAGAATGAACATGCTAAAGCATAGTGACACAGAAGCAGGAAGTTTTATACTGAAAACTGGCCTTGAAAATTGCCATTCCATTACAGTCGCTCAAGTACTTATTCAGGTCCTCAATTCTCTCTCCAGAGGTTCTCAACGTGTGGCCCTGGGAACTGTAGCATCAGCATCACCAGGGAACTTGTTAGAAATGCAAATTCACAGTCCCACCCCACACCAACTGAATCAGAAACTCCGGGAATGGGGCCCAACAATTTGTGTTTTAACAAGCACTATAGATTATGATGTACTCCAAAGTATGAGAACCAGTCCTTCTCAAACTTTAATGTGCGTAAGAATCACCTGAGGAGCTTGTTAAACTGCAGACTCTAATTCAGCAGGTCTGAGGCGGGGCCTGAGAGCCTATATTTGTAATGATTTCCCAGGTGATGTCTTCTGCAGACCACAATGCAAGAGTTTCTCAAATCGGTTGTTTACTGAAATTTAGGGTGCTCATAAAATTCAGATTCCAAGGCACTACCCTAGCCCAAATTATCCAAATCTCAAGAGAAAGATTCAGTAGACTATAACCAGTGGTTCGCCACCTTGGCTGCACATTAAACTCACCTGGTGAGCTTTTACTAATCCTGATTCCCAGGCCCCATCCAAGACCCCATTCAAGTCCAATTAAATTAGAATCTCTGGAGTTGGGGCTCAGGCATCCATATTTTTAATAACTTCCCAGTGATTCCAATGTGCAGCCAAAGTTAAGAATGACTGCTCTGGAGTCTAACTAGCTCAACACCTGGCACAGTGGATCCCTTTATAGTAGCAAACAGGTTCCTATAAAATAGCTATCTGGGCTCCCTACATAAATCCAAGAGTGCTGATTTTGAATATCAAAATGCAGTAAAGTTAAGTTTTCCTCATGTCTTTAACCAGATTTCTGTGCACAAACTTGCCTGTACAATGCTTTCTGCAATTGGGTAGGTAATCAAAACATGGGGGCAACAGTGAAGAATTTGTATCCATACAGCTTGTTCATATATTGACATCCCCTCAATACTGAGTGGAAGGATAACTAACTGATGGATCTACAGCTTCTAAACCCATAAAACGAGGATTTCACCAGTTACAGACATTCTGAGAGAAAAGTCCTGGGAAAGGATGAAAAGAGTGTGCGTTTACGTATGAGAAGTTAAAACTGTCAAAAGCACAACATCTGGTGGGCAGAGACATGACCTGAAACACACTGCTCATGACATGATAATAACTATGAGAAAAAAAAATCCCAATATGTCTGTTTATGTCTTATGGCACTTAGGATAAAGCAACACTAATAAGTACACAATGCTGTTAAATATGTAAAACAGAAAGACAAATGTGTGGTAGTTACTAAGGCACTGTTGAAATGCTTAGTTATGTCCCTCCCATAATCAGGAAGTTTTCCTGAATTTTCCACAGTACACCTCAAAAATGAGTTGAAGATAAATGGAAATAAGACAGTCCATTTTCCACTTAAGTGAACTTTCATTCTCCACTTGGTCATGTTTAGTGTCTACTCTACATTAGTTGTTTTATAGAATACATGACACATTCAAGGTCTGCTAGATGATAATAGTTATTATTCTTCCACCACCGTTTCAACATATCCACAGTGGTCAAAGTGTGTCCTATCATCTGCTTAATTCCATGAAAAAGAAATCCAGGGGCTGGGGTGTTTGAATAGAATAATATCTAAATACGTGTGCAAAGTGGCTACTGTTAAAATGATATTTTCAAAAGCATTTTCTGTATGAACTGGTCAAGCTCACTTTCCTTTTAAAATTCTTGTTATAGTCATTGAGTTAACCCAAACTCACTGTAAAATGTGTGAAAATAGCACCTCCTGAAAGTGTGTTCTCATATGCTTTGGAGCAATGGAGCGTGAATACTAAAGCAGCCTTTGCCAAACTCATGTTAACAGCTCAAGAACTAAACAGGAGTGAATTTTTGCAGTCCCATGACTTTGCAGAGCCAACCTAAGTATCATCCCAGGACTAGCTTTAATACATCACAGACATCCAAGAGAAGGCATAAAAGTCACAAATAAGTGACTCAAGCTAATAAATATTTCATAGATTTATTTTACATGGCAGTCTTTTCAAAATGAATTTTACTTCTTAACCAAAAAAATGAATTGGCTAAATAAAAGTGTGGACTTAGGATTTAAGCTTCTAGAATTAACACTATGAAATTTATAAAGATATTTATTTGACGAAGTGTTCTCCTGGATGCTCTTTCATGCACTTCTCATAAACCAATGCCCAAAGATTAACCAAGTCTAAAAGAAAATGCACAGACCACAGAAGAGTCATACAAAATTAAAGACATTTAAAGAATGAAAGCCAAAGAAAACAAACAGTACAAATGCACAATTTCCAGGACACTTTATTGTAATTTCCACTTTACATATTAATTTAATATTTTAGTCTAGGCAGAAATGTTTATACTTATACAACAGTAGTCCAATCCTCTAATCTCACAAAATGAAAAGGAGCAGTTTTAAAAGAACATCAATTCAGGTATTTATGATATGGGGGACAAGGGGCACTTGTCTTAGCTGGAAAAGGGGCTGATGCCTTTCAGTACGAGTTTCACTGAAATTTTTTCTGTATTATTTTTCTTGTTGATGCTAAGTACTCAAATAAAAGCAATTGCACTTTTTCTCATTCTGCCCTCTCTTGGTCTTTACATTCTGTCTAGCATTTAACGCAAAAAGTCAGTTTACATTCAGTTTACACATTAAAAAAAAAAAACCATATGCCCCACCTCCCACACATCCAAATGGACAGGGATTAGAATTAACCTGGCTTTTAGCTGTAACAGTGCTATTTTAAAATTTTTCAACCACACACTTGAAGGGTAAAATAATTTAAGATACAAAACCAAAGGAAACCATAACAATTCCTACACATTTACTATTTAACTGTTCTCAAATCATCAAGTATAACATGGATTTCTTAAAAAGTGAAATCGACACAAAAGCGAATGCACGCTTAATGTACAAACTGACCGTGGCTCTGTGGGGACAGTTCTCTTTGAATGAGCTATTATCCAGACGGTGGAATGGAAAAAAAAAAAAAAAAGGTCGCACTCTTCAAATGTGAGGAAGCCGGCAGTGCGCTCGCTACACGAGAAACACATTTTAATGGGTGTATTTGGATAAAAATAAGTAGTAAGGGAAAAATGTGTTTTAAGAAACCTCCCCCCTTCCCAGGGCACAAGAAAACCCAGAGGAGAAGATGGGTAACCTCACAAGCTCCAGAGCTAAGTTCCATCACTAACAGAAGTTGGATAGTTGCTATTTTTCATCCTGCAATGGGATAGTAGTTCTCCATGTGCAAGATACGCGGGGCGGGAATACTGGCGGGGCTTTCACTTGGGGTAATGGAAACCAAAGTGAGGAGAGGTCAACACCTTGAGTAACCCAGATCTCCAAAACCGGGGCAGGGTGAGGGGTGGTGGGGGTGGTGAAGGAGACAAGTAAAGGAGTCAAAACTCCTCGAAGTCATCGCAAAGAGAAAGCTAACACCTCTAGGAGCCACGGGGCCATTCCTTGCAGCAGCACCCTGCTCCAAGTGTGGGGTGCCTGCCTCGGAGGGCAAAAAGCGCAGGGTGCCCTTAGTTCAGTTGAGTAGCTCCGGGGACCCGGGCAGCGAGAGGGCAGGGGCATCCGCCGGCCGGGAGGCGGACTCGCACTTTGCCTCAACTCTGAGCCCCATCCCGAGCGCAAGGGAGAGGGCGGCGGAGGGCACGGTACTCACTAGGGCTCGTTGGTGAATCGGGGGGTCCGGGGCTGCTGGTATCCATACAGGTGACAGTAGAGCACATCGAAGCAAAAGCAGCACATCTCTGCTGACACCACCATCTTCCGGGAGCCCGGCGATGAGGACGAGGCGGCGGACGATGAGGAGGGTGAGGAAGAGGTGGCGGCGGCCGGGGTAGAAAGTAGGGTCCCCACTCCGCAGCTCGGAGGTGGCGACAGGGCGATCCCCCCGCCGCCGCCGCCGCAGCCCTGGGGGGGAGAGAGGGTACAGCCGCTGCCGCTACCTCCTCCGGTTAGACCTCCCAGCCCGTTGAGCCGCGTACCGGCGCCTCCTAGTCCCAGCTCCCCAGCTCGGCACTGGCTCTCTCCGCTGCAGTGGGAGGAGGAGGAGGCGCCACCACCGCCACCCGAGCCAGAGGGGGGCGAACTGGACAGTTTCTGCTTCTTCACCCCGCAGCAACCCGCCGCCATCTTGGAACAGTCTCCCCCACGCAGCGTTTCCGACCCATAAGTGAGGCGAGCTGGCGGCGGGGGCGAGCACGCTGCGGCTCAGGCCGCCGGGGGCGCGCCAGAGGCTGGCGGGGCGCGCGCGCGCCGCTCCCGGCCCCGTCTGCCTAGCCACGCGGCTGCCCCGCGCGCGCCCCCGCCTCGGTGCGCGCTCCTCGCTTTCGCGGCTGGGCGCCTCGCGCCTGTCCCGCCCGACTCGTGCCTCTTCTGAGCCGCAGCCCCAGCCCCAGCCCCAATCTCAATCTCTCCGGCCGGCAGAGGTTGGAAGACAGGAAGCCGATTAGAAAGGAAGGTGAAGGAAACAAGAGTCAGACAGCGGAAAGTGGGAGCAAAGGGAGAAGGTGGGCACGCCCGGGAAGGAAGGAGGGAAAGGGAAACTAGTGGGGGTAGGGGGGAAGAAAGGAGAAAGTCCGAAGTAAGCATCCAGGTCCCAAAGCACAGCTCAGTAACCCCCCGCCGCAAGCAGTATTAATGACACTTAAGCCCAGTTACGTGGAACCTGAGCCACCCGGCCTCAAATACACGGGTTTCTGAACTGTTGGAGTGTGAGCGAGCAGGTGCCCAGAGCTCCATACCTGAGACCGCCCCTGTAAAGTGTGTACAAAGCAATCCAGGAAATGGCCACGCTGCTGTCTTTTTAATTCCAGCCTAAGCACACACCAGGGTACTCTTTCCTTTCCTTATGGAGAAATATTCAAGTCCGACTGAATCTATGTATCTTGTACTTGTTCCCCCAACTTACCCTCCTTGCCCCGTTTAAACATTTAAAAGCCAAAAATAAAGTCCTAACTAATACTTCACTGGTTCAAAGATACTAATTGTGCTTTGGGACTTGCAGTGGTGGACTTTTCTGGTTTTGGTTTTTATTTCTTGGCTTGGGTACAAAGCAATTAGGAATATTATCTGTAGTGCTCAGATCTTAGAGATAAATAGGGAAGGTAATGTACTTAGTCACAAATTGAAAGATTTTGTTCAAGTATATAATTAGCTCTTAATATTCATTTTTAAAATTTCTCAATTAAATGCTTGGATGGATGAGGAGACATATGAGTCAGTCCCTTTCTGGGTGCCTAAGTGCAGCTTAATAATAAAAATAATGACAATAATCAAATGTTAAAATTCGTAGAAATGAACGTGATAGAAATAGAAAGCGTAAGTTATTTGCATTGTATCTACACCATGCTAAAACATCTAGATAAAGTCAGGTATCTGCATATTTAAAAACTGCAGATTGATTTTTGTCACCTTTTTTCTACATGCGTGGGATCTTGCAGATAGCTGGGGGCTGTTCATTCCACTCAGGGAATAAAAACAAAACAATTTATTCATTCAGTAATATTGAGCCTCTGCACCATACTATGTGCACAACACTATACTTCTGTTGAAATCCAGGGCGTACTCAGGAAGTATGCCTCCCGCTCTAAAAGAGTTTATGAATTAAGTCAGATACATGCACATAATCAGATAAATAGCTATTATAGTATGTATTGAACACTTTTTAGGTCTCCAATACCATACCTCGTCCTACCCCATAATCCTTCAGAATAAGATACTATCTCGTTTTATCTTCACAACAATGCTCTGAGGTTACTCATTAACAGATGAGGCTATTAAACCTCAGAAGTAATTTGCCCAACATCACACACCTAGAAAGTAACAGAGCTAGGATTGGAATGCTGGCATGTCTGATTCCAAAAACCATGCCATTATACTACATTGCCTCTCACTAACAATATATGATAACAAGGCTAAGGATGGACAAAAGATAGTGACATTACACTCCAGCAGGTGGAACCGAGGTTAAACAGAAATAAGAACTTAGTTTTTATGGAAAGATTGAGAGACACTGAAATATGTTACCAAGGAAAGATGAAAAATCTCCTTCCAAAAAGATTTTATGAGATAGATAGATGAAAATCTGGAATGGTTAGATGCAGCCTAAAGACAAAAGGGATAGTTTAATTGGTCGGTGATATGTAATTTCATCCTCTCAAACTTCATCACTGTTAGAATTAACCTTAAGTATGAAACAAATAACAATTCTTTGTCAATTACTAGTGGAGTAAAAAAATGCATTAATATTTTGTCTATGTTACAGAAGAGAAAGCAGATTGGTTTTTTTAAAAAGCACCACAACAACTGGTATGTTAGGGTGTTTTGTACGTTAGGGTGTTTTGTTTTGTACTTTGTCCTTAACTACCACAGGCTACCTTTTAATTTTTTTGAAACTAGACTGAACATAATATCAGACAATAGGTATCGATTTACTCCCCACCCCACTAAAGTGATCATTTCTAGAGTAAAAAACCAGAGCCATTTAATGACATCACAAAACAGTTTAGCACAGGAAGCAAAGTAGGATACCATGGATGGCTGCTTCTGCTAGGGGAATTTAGGAAAGCAGAATGTAATCTCCCAATTTAGAATTTGGCCAGTAGACAAGAGTCTAACGCCCCTACTCTTGTGAAAAATAGCAAGGAATCTTTAATAAGCACCAGTAGTCATGTCCTTAGTTCTGCATTTCATCTAAAAGACAAAGCACTATCATGGCTATCCTGCCAGGCTAAGGGACTGATGCAATGGGAAAACCCAAAGACAAGGACACCCCAGCTGAATTACAAAAATAGCTTTTCCCTAGAGGATTTTCAATTCCAATTCCAAACCTCACTAGCATAAAGAAAATAGACAAACACAAATGTGATAATTGCAGAAAATACATCATTACCTGACCGCTAGGGGTTATTATCTAAGTACTTTGTTGTATTGGCTGACTAAAAGGGGGAAAAACACTAACCTTTATCTTTGTGTTAACTTCTCCTGAGCCTGGCTCATCTCCCATACTAACCTTGAGCCTCAAGATGCTTTATAAATCGCTTGGCAAGTAGTGGTGATGGTGGTAATGTCTCCTTTAGGCATTTGAGGAAATGCCTCTCCTGGCCTTGTTTTCTTGTAAAGTCACCAGCATAAAAAGAAACATATTTCATTCAAACATAAACTAAATCCACAGAACAAATTCTGTGAAAAAAATTTTTTTACATCTATGCAAAGTGCACACTGGGTGGATAGAAAAACTGACCTTGCTCAGGATTCTCTTGACTTGAAGTATAAAGGTCAAAATATGATAGAGCACATGGTTTCTACCCACTGCTGATACTGGACTGCAGTGATAATACCCTCCAGAGGAAACTTTAAGTTGCCTTCCTCTCTTTGTAACTGACTGTCAATCTGGGAGCTGAAGATTCCACTTAAAAAAAAAAAATAGGCCATAGTCTCTTTGTCAACAAAGCACATTCAAATTGTGAGCATTTTTATTTCTGCAATTTAGAGGCAGCTCTAAATTGCTGTTAACTAACTCCTGTCAAAGGCTTTGTTTTACAACTGTGGAAAAAAATACTTGGACAGAGGTTATGCATATTATTTATTGTGCAGCAAAGCTAGTAATTGAATTAAACCCAATAGTTAGTTAATATATTATCATTGCCTCAATTTGTTCTCGTGTTTACAACATAGTTATTTTTTCATTTCAGAAAATAAGAATAATTATAATTCGATGAGGTGGTGAACTTAATGTTGCAAAATTATTTTCTTAGGTTTCTGGGGTTGTGGGTAAAAGGAGGAACATTCACATATTTCATTGAAAAAAAAACCTGCCATTTATGCCCAAACAAGTGTTATTTTTATCCTCTGTCATCAAACTTTCTCAACTGTCATCCTTGAACAACTGCAGAATGTAATATTCTTAGCTACCACTTTGATCTAACCTTGTACACGTATAACACATGGTTGTTGTGGTGGAGGTGGTAATCAGTTCCCTTTTATATTTGAATGAATACGTGAGTAAATACTGAAATTCTTTACCTACTTTTCAATTCAAATTCGTAAATCAGTTTTTGTTTTTCTGATTACAAAACAGATCCTTCCTTCCAAAATTCTTTCTTTATCTAATGAACACATTTATGAGCAAAAGCACCATGATCTACCTTGGATTGTTTTCTAGTTGTTTCATTTACATCTTCTATTGTCAACTTGAGTACAAACTAATTGAATGTTGTTTTGCTACCTATTTCCTTTAGAGAAAGTTCTATAAACTCCTTAATGAGATTTAGATATGCTAATATCTACTCTGAATGTGGAAGAATTAATAAAGCTAGCTAGTTGTAGATTGGAGAAAAAGGCTTTCTAGGAAGAAGATGATCAAACAGAGTGTTATTTGGGGCAGTTAGAGGAGTTGTGAACAATCAAAACATGAAGGTGTCTACTATAGTTTGGGAAAGTCTTTACTTGACTGTTTTTCTCTTTTCTCTCTTTTTAAAAGAAGAATTCATCTACTAGCTTCTGTACATATATTGGGGTTTGAAAATGTACATAATGAAACCCAATTGGCCTCACCTGAAAAGTTAATTATAAAAATATAGCTGTTTAACTAATCTCATTGTGTTCTGGGGCACCTATTCCAGTTGGTTGGAGGCACAGTTTTGGCAGGGTGAGGATTAACATTGTCAATTAAAATATAAAAGTCTGTTCTGAATTAAGTCTCTTTTGTACAAATAATCAATGTAAAGTACAAACTCACTCATGGCACCGAGGAGCAGAAATCTGATCCCTATAACCTCTGCTAGATCCCACTTGAAGTGTAGCTCATTTTGCCTCACTCTATTCACTGCTTAAATGTTCACAATTTATGGCTTATTCTCTCAGCATGAGTAATACACAATGATTGTGTCAGGAAGCTCAGTCGTCTCTCATTACTTACTATTCGGGATTCCTACCCTAGCTCCTAATAGTGCAGCTAACCCTCCAAACTTCAGCCAGATCCTCCATCTGGCCCCTGACGTTGGCTATCCACCCTACAGCCTTTTCTTTGGGGCTGTTCACCTTATGCCACAGCCACTGCCTGGTAAGTAGGCTGCTGCTTAATCCTCAGCTGACTTCTGCATCTTCCACAAGATTCCACAAGGGATTCTAGATTTCTTTCATGCCACTTGACGGTCTTCTAAAACCTCAAGCTGCTATTTCTATTGCAGATACTTCATGGTAGCATATAGCTTTTCTAAGGGGCTTGAAATTTCCCATGCTACACTCTGCTCTGTGTTTCCTCCAGAATTCTCTGGTTTGTTCTTTCTTTCTTCTTTTTATTGAGATATAATTCACAAAGGATACCATCCACCCATTTAAATTTTACAATTCGATGATTTTTAGAATATTCATGCAGTTATGCAACCTTCAACATAATCAATTTTGGACACTTTCATCACCCCAAAAAAGATACCCCATACCCATTAGCAGTTACTCTTCATTCCTTCCTATTCCTCTTCAGCCCTAGACAACCTCTAATCTCCTTTCTGTCTCTATGGATTTACCTATTCTGAGCATTTCATATACATGGAATCATATAATATTTGCCTTTTTGTGTCTGCTTTATTTCAGTTCACATGATGTTTTCAAGCTTCCTCTATGTTGTAGCATCTACCAGTACTTCATTCCTTTTTATGGCCAAATAACATACTGTTATATGGATATATCACATTTTGTTTATCCATTCATCAATTGATTGACATTTGGGTGTTTGCACTTTTTGGTTGTTATGAATAATGTTGCAAAGAAAATTGGTTTACAAGTTTGTGTGTAGATGTGTGTTTTCATTTCTCTCATTTCATTTCATTTCTCTCATTTACCTAGTGGTGGAGTTATTGTGTTATATTATAACTCTGTACTTAACCTTTTCAGAAACTACAGACTGTTTTCCAAATTGACTGTACCATTTTAGAATCCCATCTTCAGAGTCAAAGTTGGGATTACAATTTTAAACTTTTTTGTTAAATTTATTCCTATTTTATTCTTTTTGATGCTATTGAAGATGGAATAATTTTGTTAATTTCAGTTTTGGATTGTTCATTGTATTTTTTTTTTTTTTGAGATGGAGTCTCACTCCAGGCTGGAGTGCAGTGGCATGATCTTGGCTCACTGCAAGCTCTGCCTCCCAGGTTCAAGCAATTCTCCTGCCTCAACCTCCCAAGTAGCTGGGACTACAGGTGCACGCCACAATGCCCAGCTAATTTATGTATTTTTAGTAGAGTCGAGGTTTCACCATATTGGCCAGGCTGGTCTCGAACTCCTGACCTCAAGTGATCTGCCCACTTTAGCCTCCCAAAGTGCTGGGATTACAGGCGTGAGCCACCACACCTGGCCTCATTGCATAATTTAGATCTTGTATCTTGCAACCGAGCTGAATTCATTTCTTACTACTAATAGTTTTTTGTTGGATTTCTTAAGATTTTGTGTACACAAGATTGTGTCATCTGATAGTTTTACTTCTTTCTTTCCAATCTGGATGTATTTTTTTTTCTCTTGTCTAATTGCTTTGCCTAAAACCTCTAGTACAATGTTGAATAGAATTGATGAGAGCAGACATCCCTATCTTATTCCAGATATAATGGGGAAAGCTTTCTGTCTTCTAGCATTAAGTATGATGTTAGCTGTGAGTTTTTAATAGCTTCCCTTAGGTTGAGGAAGGTCCCTTCTACTGGTAGTTTGTTGAGTGTTTTTTTTTTTTTTTAATTTATCATGACAGGTTGGATTTTTTGTCAAATGCTTTTACTGTGTCTATTGACAGGATCATGTGGTTTTTGTTCTTTATGTTGTTGATGTGGCATATTACTTTAATATACCATAAAATTAATACTTTACATTAATTTTGGGATAGTAAATCAACCTTCCAGTCCTGAGATGAATCCCACTTCATCATGGTATATAATTATTTTTTATATGTTGCTGGATCCATTTACTAGTATTTTTGAGGATTTTTACATCTGTATTCATTGTACATCTACATTCAGTGGTCTGAGTTTTCTTTTCTTGTGATGTTTTTGTCTAGTTTTGGCATCAGGAAAATACTGGTCTCATAAATGATTTGGGCAGTTTCCTTCTATTTTTTGGAAGAGCTTGAGAAGGATTTGGTGTTTATTCTTCTTTAAATGTGTGGTAGAATTTAACAGTGAGGCTATCTGGTCCTGGGCTTTTCTTTGTTGGGAGTTTTAAAATTCATTTATTTTTTTAGTTTGAATTTTTTATGCATTCATAGTGTGTTTATGGAGTACATGAGATATTTTGATACTAGCTTACGATGTACAATAATCTCATCAGGAAAATGGGATATGCATCACCTGAAGCATTTGTCATTTTTTTGCATTACAAACATTCCAATTATACTCTTAGTTATTTTTAAATGTACAATAAATTATTGTTGACTATTGTGCTATCAAATACCAGATCTTATTCATTCCATCTATATTTTTATAGCCATTAACCATCTCCACTCCCCTCTCCCTCACAGGGAGTTTTTATTATTACTGACTCAATCTAGTTATTTGTTACAGGTGTGTTAAATTTTTCTGTTTCTTTTTGAGTCACTTTTGATAGTTTGTATGTTTCTAGGAATTGGTTCATTTCTTCTGGTTTATCTAATTTGTCATACAAATGCTCATAGTATTCTCTTATAATTCCCTGTATTTCTGTAAGGTCTGTAGTAATATCATCCCATTTCTGATTTTAGTAATTTCAGTCTTTTCTCTTTTTTTGTCTAACTAAAGACTTGTCAATTTTACTGTTCTTTTTAAAGAACCAACTTTTGGTTTGGTTACTTTTCTCTATTGTTTTTCTATTCTGTATTTCATTTATCTCTGTTTTAATCTTTATTTATTTCCTTCTGTTTGCTTCTGTTTGCTCATCTGGCTTCTGAAATGGCAGGTTAGGTTATTGAATTGAATTATTTCTTCTTTTTAAATATAGGTATTATGGCTATCATTTTCCCTCTAAGCACTTCTTTAGCTGCATTCCGTAAGTTTCTTTTTCTTTTCTTTTCTTCCTTTTTCTTTTGGTTTTGTTTTCTGTTTGTTTGTTTGAGATGGAGTCTTGCTCTGTCTCCCAGGCTGGAGTGCAGTGGTGCGATCTCAGCTCACTGCAACCTCTACCTCCTGGGTTCAAGAGATTCTCCTGCCTCAGCCTCCTGAGTAGCTGGGATTCCAGGTGTGCATCACCACGCCTGGCTAATTTTTTTGTATTTTTAGTAGAAACGGGGTTTCACCATGTTGGCTAGGCTGACCCCAAACTCCTGATCTCCAGTGATCCACCCACCTCGGTCTCCTAAAGTGCTGGGATTACAGGTGTAAGCCACCTTGCCTGGCCTATAAGTTTTGATATTTTGTGGTTTTGTTTACATTTGTCCCAAAGTATTTTCTAATTTCCCTTGTGACTTTTTGGCCTATTAGTTATTTAGGAGTGTGTTATTCAATTTCCACATATTTGTGAATTTCCCAAATTTCCTTCTGTTTTTTATTTCTAATTTCATTCCACGGTGGTAGATAATATATTTGGTGTGATTTCAATCCTTTTATGTTTTTTGAGGCTTCTTTTATGACCTAGCTTATGATCTATCCTGAAGAATGTTTCATGTGCACTTGAGAAGATTATGTATTCTGCTGTTATTGGGAGGAATGCTGTATAGGTATATGTTAATTCTAGTTGGTGTATAGTGTTGTTCAAGTCTTCTGTTTCCTTATTGAGGTGCAGGAGTGGATCATTCGTAGCCATGATAAATAATTTGGCTTTTATTCAAAGAGCAATGGAAAGACACTGGACGGTTTAGTGAGATCAATTTTGCTGGTATTTGGAGAATGTAATGCAGGAGAACAGAGCAGAGATAAGGAGATCAGTCAGGAGACTTCGTTAATTCAGGATAGGCCTGGACCTAGGTGGTGGCGGTTAAGATAAAAAGAAAGGAGAATTTCCATGTAAATTTTGGAGGTAGAGTCAACAAGACTTACTGACACATATTTTGTTGAGGTCAGGAAAAGGAAAGAATTTATGATTATGACTAGATTTCTGGTTTGGGTAAACAAATAAGTGGTGATGACATATTGGCATGGAAAAGATAAGGACAGGAGCAGGTCCACAGGATATCAAGACTTCTTGACAATGTAAGTTTAAGGTGTCCGCTAAATATGCAAATAGAGATATGAAATAGGTAGGCAGATATGCATGTCATGAGCTCAAATGAAAGGTCTTGACTTGATAAATAAATGTGGGAGTTAGCATACAGACAGTATTAGAAGCCATGGTCTGGACAACATAACATAGAGAAGGAATATAAAGAAAAAAGAGAAAACCAGGATTGAGTCCTGAGGTTGCACAATATTGGGATGAACTGGCTAATGAGACTAAACAAGAGTAGCAACTGACATAGTGGGAAAGCCAGCAGAGTGTTGTGTCACAATATCCAAAGAAGAAAATCTTTTAAGAAGGAAGAATGGTTAATGATGTTAAATACTGAAGGGACTTCAAATAAAATGAGAATAGAGAAGTGTCTATTATATTTAGCAACATGCATGTTGCATGTTGCAATAACATGAGTAGTTTCATTGGAGTGGCAGGGCCAGAAGTCAGACTGGAGTGCACTAAAAAGTGAATGGGGTGGTGGGGAGATGTAGATAGTGTATATAGACAACTCTGTTGAAATACTTGACTCTGAAGAGGAACAAAGAAATGAGATGGTAGCTGTAGAGGAGCACTAGGTCAAAGGAGGGTTTTTATTTAATTAGCGATAGTTCCTAGAAATATTATTTTAAGTAGTTGTTATTATTATCATTATTAGTATTATTTCTTTGATAGTCATCACTACAGTGTTCAGTGAAATATACTTACAAGCAATTCTTGAACAGAAACACTTCTATCCTGAAAAGAGCAAATACTGAGACCACAAAGCATCGATTATTATTCTCTTCTAGTCTCATAAATAAGGAGATCAATATAATAAGGCCTGCCAGAAAAGAATGATAACTGATCCGGATGGAAATGATGAACACAGAGAGAAGACAGGCAACAAAATGCTGTTTATAGAGTTATGGAGTGAGAGAAATAGTTAAAAGGTAAAGAGGAAGGGTGTTAATTTTATAAACTAGCTGTGGGTTTCCAGTGAAAATTTTGATGTCATGATATTTTTACTGCTTCAGCAAACTTTTGCTCCCCAGATCAACAACAAGGCCTAGTGATTACTTTGAGCATAGCTTGGCTGGGGCTGTAGCAAACATCTTCTTAGGCCTTTAGCATATCACCCATTCATTTACTGCACAACTTCAAGCAAGTAATTTAACTTCATTTTCCTTATCTCTTAAATTGCATATCAGTACATACTTCGTAAAATGGTTGTAAAGATTAAATAAAAGAATGCGTCTAATTAAAATGCCTGTATCAGCTAAATAAAGTATTCTAACAAGTAGACCCAAAGATATAATGGCTTAGTAAAACAAACGTCTATTTCCTTTTTTCTTTTTCTCTTTTTTTTTTTTTTAGATGTTTGACTCTTTTTTTTTTTTTTTTAACACTTTAAGTTCTGGGATACATGTGCAGAACATGCAGGTTTGTAACATAGGTATAGACGTGCCATGGTGGTTTGCTGCACCCATAAACCCATCATCTACATTAGGTATTTCTCCTAATGCTATCCCTCCCCCAGGCCCCCACCCCCTGACAGGCCCCAGTGTGTGATGTTCCCCTCCCTGTGTCCATGAGTTCTCATTGTTCAACTCCCACTTATGAGTGAGAACATGTGGTGTTTGGTTTTCTGTTCCTGTGTTAGTTTGCTGAGAAAGATGGTTTCCAGCTTCATCCATGTCCCTGCAAAGGACATGAACTCATCCTTTTTTATGGCTGCATAGTATTCCATGGTGTGTATGTGTCACATTTTCTTTATCCAGTCTATCCAACGATAGGCATTTGGGTTGGTTCCAAGTATTTGCTATTGTGAATAGTGCTGCAATAAACATACAGGTGCATGTGTCTTTATAATAGAATGATTTATAATCCCTTGGGTACATACCCAGTAATGGGATTGCTCAGTCAAATGGTATTCCTTGTTCTAGATCCTTGAGGAATCGCCACACTGTCTTCCACAATGGTTGAACTAATTTGCACTCCCACCAATGTAAAAGCGTTCCCATTTCTCCACATCCTCTCCAGCATCTGTTGTTTCCTGACTTTTTACTGATCGCCATTCTAAGTGGCATGAAATGGTATCTCACTGCGGTTTTGATTGGCATTTCTCTAATGGTCAGTGATGATGAGCTTTTTTTCATATGTTTCTTGGCCGCATAAATGTCTTCTTTTGAGAAGTGTCTGTTCATATCCTTCGCCCACTTTTTGATGGGATTGTTTGTTTTAGAAAAAATCCATTGTTAATCAGGCAGATGACTTTGGAGGAAATATTTTTTTAAAGCCATCCAGCAGAACACCTTCTCATCTTTATAGGACCCACTTCCTGGTCCTTCAACTGTTTCTGTGTCTTCTCACCTTAAAAAAATGAAATACAATGTACAGTAACCTTTTAATCAAAGCACAGCATTGTAGGTGGAGACGGAAAGCTTGCCATTGTTTGTTGTTTAACAGCTGATCCTGGTATTCTGGTGATGCCACTGTGCTGCTTCATTACACTGAACACATAATTTTTCCCTATATTAATGGTATGTCATTTTTTTAAACCGTTAATACTTATGTGAGAATAAGTGTAAGAAAATGATTGCTTGTCAGTAGCATATAAATTCAGAGTCAGGAATGATGGTGATGCCAAACAACCACAGATTGTCTACCTGGGTTGCTGAAATAATGACACCTTTGCTTTGTTCAATGTATACAAACTTTGTTTCATGCACAAAATTACTTAAAATATTGTATAAAATTACCTTCAGGCTATGTGTTTAAGGTGTATATGAAACATAAATGAATTTCATGTTTTTAGGTGCTTTTAAGCTTTTTAAGTGTTTTCCGTGGGACAGTTTGTATATCTAGTCCACCATAGTACCAGTATTGTACCATATGTTTTCTCTACTCCTGCTCTGAGGATGTAAAACTGTTAGAAAAAATAAATCACAAAATTGAGCTGATTGGCTCCATAAAAAAATTATGATTTTCAGCCTCAGCTGGGCCTTCTCTATTGTTCTACAAATCTTTAATTCATCTTTATTCAGTTCCCTTTCTGATTTCCCACAGCAGCTGTTTCAACCCGTTACTACACTTCAATCCTCCCACTCCAACCTCTTCATCTTTTAATCATTTCAGAAAATGAAGCTTCCTACTTCACGACAAAAAAAACGACTTTCAGGTGAGAATCCATTCAACCCTTCTTCATTTCATTCCAAAGTTTTCTCTGTTTTTCATCCTTTTCCTGCTTCCCTCCTCTCTTGGAAGAAGGGGTGTTCTTTCTTACCTCCTTTCCTGCTCTCTCTACCTATGGTCTAGAATAGTGTTACTCAAGGTGTGGTCATGGACCCCTTCCAATCCTCAAACTGTTTGATACTGATCCACAACAGCATAAGCACTGAAATTGAGAGTAAGAATTTAGAAACTTCCATAGCAATTTGATAAATTAATTTTATGTTCGTTGGCTCTAATAATGAAAAATTAGGGTTTATATTTTGAATGTCTTTGTTTCTGTACTGCACTTTTTCTAGTAACTCATTTTTATTATATTTCACAGAAGTACCAATCTGCAACAGCTTGAAAATTTGAAAACCTGATCCTTCACCACAGGTAGTTTGAGAAATATTGGACTAAAACCCATCTTCCACTAACTTGTCTGAGATTTGACTCCATTCATTAACCCTTTTCTCTCTCATTTCTTCACTCTCACTCTCCATAGACATTCTTCCATATTACCTTTGCCTACTGTGTTGCCAACTTATTTCTCACTTTATGTTTACTGCTAGCCTACTTGAAAGAATAACTCTCATATACTGTTTCCACCCTCCTCATCTCTTTAGCCCTCAAACCACAGCAATTTGACTTATGCCCCTACTACTGCTCCAACAAAAGTCACCAGTGATGTCTAAATTGCCCACAAGAATGGCCCTATCTTGTCCTTGTCCTATCAGACCTCTACTCTGTGTTTACTAAAGACCACCCCTTCATTCGAGGACCTCTCTTCTCCTTTGTTTCTCTAATAGCCCTCATCTGATTGTTGCTTTCTTTCTCATGGTCTATAAGGAGAACCCCAAACTCTCTTTTAGGGTCTTCTCTTACTCCAGCTACCTGTCCTTCAGGCCTCTATCCTCAGACTTTTCCTTTTGCTCTGCATTTATTGCCATCAATTTACTCAACATCTGTTTGCTGATGAATCCCAAATATCTTAACTCCAACCCTGACTTCTGTAACCAAGCTGCAGGCTGAGTTTTCAATTGGCTTACTAGATAGTTTCACATGGATATCCCAAAGACACCTGAAATTCAACTTATCTGAGACAAAAACTTATTATACACAACCTTGGCCTTCTTAGGTATTCCCTATTTTGGTTAATGGCCTCTCTATCTACCTGATTACCCAGCCCTGGGAGTCATCTTTAACTCTTACTTATCTCTCATTCTCATACTAAGTCCATCAATATTACCTTAAATCCATTCCACTTCTATTGCCTTATTTCATCAGCTCCTACTGAGAGCCATGTGACTACTCTCTCTATATTCAGTCTATTTTTGGCACCTCCGTCAGAAGGAATATTCAGAAAACATTGTTCTGATCTTATCATTTTCCTGCTTAAAACCTTTGGTTAATTTCTCATCGTCTATAAGGAGAACCCCAAACTCTCTAGCATTGCATATAGGAACATTTACAATCACACTGCAGACTAGTTCTCTAGCGTTGTCTTTCACCATTATCCTCCCCCCAAGACTTTGTACTCTGGTCAGATTATTGGCAGTTCCTTGAGTATGCTATGTATTTTCACTTCTCTATTTTTATTTTAGGAAATTTATTTTATCCCCTTCTTTGCCCATGCTGTTTCCTCTTTTTGGAATGTTCCTCTCCACTTCTTTATTAATAAACTTCAATTCATCCTTTAAGTCCTAAATTAAATATTGCCTCCTTTATCAGGCTACTCTGATATTATAGATCTATTCCCTTCTGCCACCTAGTCTCCCTTCCTTGAGGACAAGGACAATGTTGTGAATCTTTATGTCCCTGGCCCCATGACTACCATATAATGTTTCTTGAGTGACTACAAGAAGTAGAAAATAAAAAAGGAAAATACTCTCCATAAAGGGCATTCTCTAAATAAAATAATTATATCTATGAAGTAATTTTTTTCATATTCTAAAGAAAAGAGAATTTTAGCCCCTTAGGTAGTGGGATCTGAAAGTTACCAGCAACAGACTGTCAAAGAGCATATTGTGGATACATTTCTTTACATCTCAAAGATAAAAGAATATATCTTTTTCTTCTTAAATATGCCATACAATACATAGTACAGTAGTAGTAGCATTGTGTGTGTTCAATAAATACATGCAATATTGAAATTAACTGCAAAAATGTAGATCCATGATTACTGCTGCTTACTGGTGCCATGCCTCAAATTAAAAACTCCCGTTAAGAAATGTAGCAGGGCTTGGGGAAGGATTATGTATTCAAATATTATTTTTAAATAATTTGTCCTTGTTGTTGTAGATTTTTTTCCCTCCTACAAATCAAAACACAGACAAGCCTTTCTGTTCCCCTTTCTTAGGTGCTTTTGCTTGCAAGGTCAAAATCAGAAGTTCAGGAAGATCACCTGAATCCAGAGCTTTTGATTTCAGAAGCCTAGGTTCATTGAGGAAAAGTATGCTGACTTGTCCCAGAGGGTTAACAAGTGAATGCTTTTGAGTAGAGGTGGGAGAAGCTGTCTGACATAGAAGTTGAGCTTCTCCGGGACAAGAGAGGAGACGGGAGTAATGGTAGATTCCATGAGCATCAAGGACTACTTTTGCTGCCTTTTAGTGTGCTAAAGAAGATACAAGATCTCAAGAGAGAATGGAGACATGGTACACTTAAGAAAGTCTGAATACTAGTCCGTGAGGATGCCAGCTTCAGCCAAAACACCCTGCTATCACCACCAATGTGCAAGAGTGGCACAGAAGCAGCTACCCCGTCTAACTTTAAGGGGATTTGCCTGACAAACATATCAACAATGTTGGGTATGCACAAAAGGGCATAGGACCTACACTGAAAGTTGTGTTCTGGGTATCATTTGCTAGGGTCTTCATACAACCTTGACAGAAGGAGGTAAAAACCATGAGGGAGATTGAATTTTTAGCCAGCTGGAAAGGTGAAAGGCTCAGAGCAGATTGAATTTTGTTGTAGGGATATAAAGAAATGTGACATTTTTTGCCAGTTGTTAGAATGGCGATCATTAAAAAGTCAGGAAACAACAGATGCTGGAGAGGATGTGGAGAAATAGGGACGCTTTTATGCTGTTGGTGGGAGTGTAAATTAGTTCAACCATTGTGGAAGACAGTGTGGCGATTCCTGAAGGATCTAGAACTAGAAATACCATTTGACCCAGCAATCCCATTACTGGGTATATACCCAAGGATTATAAATCTATAAAGACACATGCACACGTATGTTTGTTGCAGCACTGTTCACAATAGCAAAGACTTAGAACCAACCCAAATGCCCATCAATGATAGACTGGATAAAGAAAATGTGGCACATATACACCATGGAATACTATGCAGCCATAAAAAAGGATGAGTTCATGTCCTTTGCAGGGACATGGATGAAGCTGGAAATCATCATTCTCAGCAAACTATCACAAGAACAGAAAAGGAAGCACTACATGTTCTCACTCATAAGTGGGAGTTGAACAATGAGAACACATGGACATGGGGGTGCAGGGCTCATCACACACCAGGGCCTGTCAGGGGGTGGGGGTCTGGGGGAGGGATAGCATTAGGAGAAATACCTAATGTAGGTGATGGGTTTATGGGTGCAGCAAACCACCATGGCACGTGTCTACCTGTGTAACAAACCTGCACGTTCTGCACATGTACCCCAGAACTTAAAATAAAATAAAATAAAATAAAATCAGATGGTTTGCTTTTGTTGTTGTCTGGTAGGAGTTCCTTATATATTATGAATATCAATTCCTTATCAGATATAATATTTAAAAATGTTTCTTTTTATTTCATGGATTGCCTTATCACTCTGTTGGTATTCTTTGATATACAAGAGTTTTGAATTTTCATAATGTCCAGCTTACCTCTTTTTCCTTTTGTTGTTTGTGCTTTTGGTGCCATATTCAATAAATCATTGCCAAAAGAAAAAAAGAAAGAAATGTGACATTTTTGCACCCTGGTGTGTGGACCAAATTTCATGGCTGCAATTCTAATTTGGTGTTGTTGGTTACTTACTTGCTCACTTTGTACCTTAAATTTATACTTTTTAAAAACAAAGATAACACCTTCCCTCTACCTTACAGTATTTCTATGACACAAAAATTAAATAAGGTAAGAAAAATTGCTTTGAAAAGGCACAAATGAGTATATTTTAGTAAATTGCAGAAATCAGTGTGAAAAAGAAACCATATTTGATAGCTTTAGTTCCATACTGAACCTAAAGGATATATTATTATAAAACTGATAGCACAAATATATTTATTATCTTAATCTAGGTTGCCTGTATTGAGATATGTTTTTAATATTTTCTCTACAAATGCACTAGTTGTTTTCCTTAGCTTTTCTTTAATTTTCTTGTGTTTAATCGCTTTCAAATGAAAGAAGTCCAGATATATAGTTTCCATTATGAACTACATCTTCAATAATTTGATCTTTACTGAGGACAGTGTTATTCCTAGGGTGTAATGAACTGTAACAACTGCTTCATAACATATAGTTGCTGATGCCTCATGTTCTGGACCACACAGAGTCAGACCTTGGCACATTTCTGCCTGCTTCATTGCCAGCTCCTTGGGCAAACCTTATAACCTGAGAGTGTCTGGGTTGCCAGACTCTGCAGAATCAGATTGCCTAAGTGAAGGGAGGGCATATGTAATATATAAGAGGCACCATTGCACACTGATGGTTAAGGGCACTGACTCTGGATGGTGACTGCATTGCACAACTCTAGGGAACACTTGGCCCAGCTTTGAATCCATTCTACCACATAACAACTACATGATATTAGACAAATCATTTAATTTCAGCCTTGTAAAATGGGGGTAATAATAGTATCTTCTTCATGGGGTTATTGGGAAGATTCAATCATATAATGAATGTAAAGCCCTTGGCACAGTGCCTAACACTGTGCATACCCAATCATGGTAGCTAGTATCAATATAAAAGTATCAGTGGGCAGAGGGTGGGTGGTGGAGAAATGATTCCAAGACCACCTTGGGAGCAAAGATCTGGATTTGCTGGCAAGTCAGACGATCACTAGGAAATGCCATCTGGGAAAAAAATGCCATGTAGTTATGTGTCTGATTATGATTTGACACATACATTCCTCACTACAGGGCAGGAACTTTGTCCTGATTACTGTGATATCCAGCATAGAATGGTGCTTCACACGTAGTAGTCACTCAATAAACATGGGATAAATGAATCAAACTAGGGGTTGCCGATGGCATAGGTCCCAGAGCTCTATAGCAGCCCACCACGGACAGCTTAGCACAATGCCCTGAATATAGTATGTGCTCAAGAAAGAATGAGTGATGTAAGAACCTCAGACAGTGTTGTACTTTACCATATCAGTTTCCACTTTACCTTAGTTGGATAAATTACATCACCCAAATTCAGCTTTCCTTGTTTTGCCTCTATTTCATCAGCTCCAAAGCCCTATCCCAATTTTAGAATCCCTAATTCATCATGTACATTCATTTGGCAAATACTCTTTGCGTGCTTAGTACATGCCAGGCATTATGCTAGATGCCATGAACCTCCTGGAGCTTGTTTAGTGGGGAGACTAGCAGCATGCAAGTCAACGAACAGATAAGATGATTTCAAATAGTGATAACTGAGTGCTATAAGAAAAGTAAAACAGGGTAACTTTATGGGGGATTACCTTAGAGTAGGTGGTCAGAAAAAGGTCAGAGAGAGCCTCATTTCTAAGGATGTAACACCTAAGTTGGATGATGAAGATCAGTAGCTGCAGAAATAAAAGGAGGTTGCTCTCTTGGAAGTGCCCAGTTTCTTCTGAAAAGCTGTGAAAAATCTCTCAAAAATGGAGGACAGTTAAGCAAAGACTGGAGACTGCAGGAGGAGAAAGTGAGCAAGGATTGGCAAATTACCATCCTGCCTAAACCAGTCTCAACCTTTTTGAGCTATTTTTAGAGGTTAGGTGTTTCATTGCATGTCAAGGTTAGAAAGTCACTTAGAGATCATCCAGATCCGTGCTATTCCGTATGCTGTATATATACCCCTGGTGGTACATGAGATGATTTTAGGTACTCGTAGATGAACATTATTTATTTTGATGTGTATTTTTTTAAAAAAACATCTCGACTGGGTGTGGTGGCTCACGCCTGTAATCCCAGCAGTTTGGGAGGCCGAGGTGAGTGGATCATCTGAGATCAGGAGTTCAAGGCCAGCCTCGCCAACATGGTGAAACCCTGTCTCTACTAAAAAAACAAAACAAAACAAAACAAAACAAAAAAACAAAAAAAATTAGCCAGGTGTGGTCGCATGTTTCTGTAGTTCCAGCTACTCAGGAGGCTGAGGCAGGAGAATTGCTTGATCCCAGGAGGCAGAGGTTGCAGTGAACTCAGATCACCTGGGCAACAGAGCAAGACTCCGTCTCAAAAAAAAAAAATCTAATATGGAGCCCATGATTTCATGATTATTATTGCTTTGATGAAATTAATGTAGGAAGAGCCATGCCAAGTCACTTTCCAGAGATCAATTTGGTTGGCCAAGAATGGACTCTGGATAGGCTTATGGGATGAACCTGAGGTAGGGAAGGCTGCCACCCCCAGGAATGAGAGATAGAATGCCCAAATGCCCTTCCTGTAATTTATGTTATTCTTGGATATGTCAAAAATCATGTAGGTTTTATACACAGATGGAAATATTGATTTGACTCTCTTGCCTTTGAATTCCTTCCACAAAGAAATTATTTTAGAGCCTGTAAACATCTAAGGAAATGGCAGGTCCTCTTGGTGGTTAAGTGAAAAGCCTCTAGAGTTAGTCATTCCTGGATTTGAATTCCAGCTCTGCCATTTAATTGCTATGTGACCTTGGGCAAGTAGTTTAAACCTGTCTACACCTTAGTTTCCTCATCTGCAGAGATGGGTACTCTAGGACCCATTTCTTAAAAGAGTTATTGAAAGGATTAAATGAGATAATATATGTGGGAAGTACTTTTCCTAGTGTCTGTCACATAGTAGGTGCTCAAAATACATTATAGCTTTAATTATTCAAGTTTTCTGGGGCAGTTTCCATTTCAAATATTCTGTTGTGTTTTTAGACTATTTGTTCTCATTTGAAATTCTAAAATGTCATCACTGTATTTTTCTTCAGCATTTGAAGGAGGAGGGTTTGTTTTTTCAGGTATAAAGACACAAAACTGCCTCCACTTTCTACACTTGATTTGAAAATCTCAATCCTAGTCAGAGACATCTTATTAAGACCCAAAGCATAGGATGGCTACTATAAATAAACAGAAAATAAAGAGTATTGGTGAGGATGTAGAGAAAATTGAACTCTTGTATACAGTTGGTGGGAATGTAAAACGGTTCAACCACTGTGGGAAACAGTATGGCAGTTCCCAAAAAAATAAAAAATAGAATTATATGATCCTTCAATTTTGCTCATGGGTATATACCCAAATGACTTGAAAACAGTGTCTTGAAGAGATATTTGTACACTTATTTTCATAGCAGCATTATTCATAATAGCTAAAACAGGAAGCAACTCAAGTGTCTATCAACAGATGAATGGATAAGCAAAATGTGGTATATACATACAATGAAACATTATTCAGCCTTAACAAAGAAGGAAACTCTGCAATATGCTACAGCATGGGTGAACCTTGAGGACATTATGCTAAGTGAAATAAGCCAGTCACAAAAAGACAAATACTGTATGATTCTACCTATATGAGGTACTTAGAATAGTCAAAATCATAGAGACAGAAAACAGAACAGTGATTGCCAGGGACTGAGGGAAGGCAAGAATGGGGAGTCATTGTTTAATGGCTACAGAGTTTCAGTTGTACAAGATGAAAAGGGTTATGGAGATGGATGGTGGTGATGGTTGTTTAACATGATGATGTGTTTAATACCACTGAACTATACATTTAAAAAGTTAAGATGGTACATTTTATGTTTCATGTATTCTAACACAATAAGACATTTGAGAAAAAAGAAGACCTAAAACAGACTTGTACCCACAAAGAATGGAGAAGGGAAGAAGAGTGATCTTTAAACACAGAAGTACCAGGCAGTGAAATTTTGAGTTTTCCTCAGAAGTACAAACAATGAGTGGACAGACAAGAAGCCAGGGTGGGAGAGACCTTTCATTGGGTGTGACCCTTCATTTCCAGTTCTACTTGAAGATTTTGCTTTAATTAACACAAAGGTGAAGCTCAGATTGTAGATGGCCTGACATTGCTTATGATCAGCCGTTTTTCTAAATTATCTAAACCTCATTATAATTATACATATGAAATGCCTGGTAATAAAATTGCATAGTAATTACACAGCCCGTAACATCAGTATTCAACCTGCAGGCTCCAGCTGCCCTCTGATATTCATTATAATCAGGTTTCGCCTGTTTACAAATGGCAGGGGAGGTAAATCCACTCAATGGATTTTGTTCTGGAATCTGTATGCCCTCCAGGGTCAGCTGAAACTCATAGAAAATTGTCCTTTAATATTTGAATCAATATACATGTATCCAAACCATATCCTTCTTCTTCATCAACTCTCTAGTTCTGGATACCTAATTAGATTCATCAATTCCTCCATAGCCTTCCTGAGAGAGAGGAGAATTAAGCAATGGGTCAGCCAGGGAACTGCCTGGGGTGCCAATTTAAAAGGGATGTTTAAAAATCCCTGGAATAAAACATAAATATGGTGCTGCATACCTTGGGTTTCTGCCAGTACTTCCTAAAGTAATTGGTGAAATGAAAATTGGCCACTTCTTTCACCTAAGGAGGCTGGGACCTTTGAGTAAAAAATTAAAAGCAAAAGCAAGCCAGTCCTCACTGGTGCCAACCACTCTATTTTCGTGACAAGCGCGTGCAAGTTAAAGGGTGTGCCACCAACGGTGAGATTAGCAAGATGGGAGTTGCTGAAAGTAGGCAACTCTCCACAATCACCTGATATTGAGAAACAAAATACTGCATGTTGCAATGCTCTTTATCAAGAATGAAGGGTTCATTTCCTTATCTAAATTTTAAATCCTCTACTATACCTTCCCCAAAGTTACCTGGTTTGGAGAATTGCAAAAGGACACTGAGGACAAAATAAAAACTACAGAAAAGTGGAAAATGGTTTGTTGTAAAAAAAAAAAAAAAAAAAAAAAACAAAAAAAGGAGAAATTCTAAGGTCTTTTGAATGTGATTTTATTTAACTTATTTATTTATTTTTATTTTTATTATTATTATTTTTTTGGAGAAGGAGTTTCGCTCTTGTTGCCTAGGCTGGAGTGCAACAGCACGATCTTGGCTCACTACAACATCCGCCTCCTGGGTTCAAGCGATTCTCCTGCCTCAGCCTCCCGAGTAGCTGGGATTGCAGGCATGCGCCACCACGCCCGGCTAATTTTGTATTTTTAATAGAGACGGGGTTTCTCCATATTGGTCAGGCTGGTCTCGAACTCCCCACCTCAGGTGATCTGCACACCTCAGCTTCCCAAAGTGCTGGGATTATAGGCGTGAGCCACCACGCCTGGCCTGAACGTGATTTTATAACTATATACCTGTAAGTTATCTGATTTTATAATTATATCCCTGTAAGTTACTGCCATTATATTTAGTTTTGAGTGACAAAACAAACAAAAGAAATGAAAGTAATAAATCAGTAATTTAAAATGCCAATTTAGGATTTTTTGCTGTAGTTGAAGGCAAAACATACACACACACACACACACACACACACACACACACACACACACACACAACATATTGGTTAAGCTCATAGGCTCAGATGTGAGCCTACCAGAGATTAAATCCTGGCTCCACTACTTACTAGCTGTGTGATCTTGGCTAAGTGACTTAAACTTTGGGCCTCATCTATTAAATGGGGATGATGATGGTGGTGGTGATGATGACGATGATGACGATAACAGTGCTCACCTCCTAGGATTAAATGAGATAACGCATGTAAAGTGGTTAGCATAGTTCCTGACATACGGTAAACACTCAATAAATGATAGCTATTATTGTTATAAGTGTAGGTAGTGAATTTTTTATTTCAAACATAAGGAAAAAAGACATACACTATTTAAAATAGAAACTCAGTCTCTCCCTACTCTCATTAAGTAAATGTTGACCAAATATTTTAAATATATGCAGGTGAAGAGGCACCAGAACATAAGCCTGCCTGGGGCATCCACATTGTCTCATCCAGTCTTGCTGAGGAGGGCAACTGTGGTACAATCAAAAGAATGCTAGATTTTTAGAACTGGAAAATCTGGCTTCAGGTCCCATCTCTGCCACTTAATAGTTACTAGTGTGACCATGAACAAATCATATAACCTCTCTGAGTTACAATTTCCTCATATGGAAATGAAGATACCTATGTTATAGATGGGTGGTGAGGACTGGAAAAGGTTGTATGGAAAAGCATCTGGCACATATTAGGCATTCAGCAATTGTTTATTGACTCTGAATCACAGAAAGAAAATAATTCAATGGAGATTTTAATACTTATCTGTCATCAAGGATGATGGCACAAGTTTCTGAGCAGCACTGATTTTGCCTCAAACTAGCTTCTGCCATTTCTTGTGAAAAGGTCAATATTACTGTCATATCCATAAGGCTCCAAGATGTAATTGTGTATGCCTGCTAAGACTTTTTAAAACAGGGTGATAGAGTTTGGCTTAAATGCCAGCACAGACCTTTCTACATAAATGTAGTACTGAAAAAGTGCTGAAATATTCCAAAGATGCTACTATTAATACCAACTTCAAAAATGATGAGGAAGTTGATGGCAGCAACTATAGTAACATGTTTTAGTTTTTTATGTTTTGTTTCACTTTGTTTTAAGTCACTGGCAAGATTATAGTCCAATTTGTCCTCTATTGACTACTGAACAATATTGTTTGTGGAACATTCCTGGAATCTGTTTGACTGTAACATAATCTGGTTTTGTGTACATAAAATTAGATTTAATACAGAAATAGGAGAAGTGAACAGCATCAAAATAATTCCAGAATACTCATAGGCCTTATAAAAATATTTGACAGCATTAGCTGACTTCCACTCTGATAGTTACGGAGCAAATTTAGCAGTCTCTAGAAGCTCTTACTCAAATATATAGTAATCCCCCTTTATACATGGTTTCACTTTCAGTGGTTTCAATTACCCACAGCCAACTGTGGTCCAAAAATATTAAATGGAAAATTTCAGAAATAAACAATTCATAAGTTTTAAATTATGGACGATTTTAAGTAGGGTGATGAAATCTTGCACCATCCTGCTCTGTCCCCTGAGACATGAATCTTCCCTTTGTCAGGGTAACCACGCAGTCTAAACTACTCACCCATTAGTCACTTAGTAGCCATCTCAGTTATCAGATCGACTGTTGTGGTATCACAGTGCTTGTGTTCAAGTAACTCTTATTTTACTTTATAAGTTCCCCAGACTGCAAGAGTAGTGAGGCTGGAAATTCGGATATGCCAAAGAAAAGCTGTAAAGTGCTTCCTTTCAATGAAAATGTAGGCCAGGCTCGGTGGCTCACGCCTGTAATCCCAACACTGGGAGGACGAGGCAGGTGGATAGCTTGAGTTCATGAGTTTGAGACCAGCCTAGGCCACATGGTGAAACCTTGTCTCTACAAAAAATACAAAAATTAGGCATAGTGGCACAGGCCTGTAGTCCAAGAGGCTTGGGGGGCTGAGGTGGGAGGATTGCTTGAGCCTGGGAGGTCGAGGCTGCAGTGAGCTGAGATCGTGCCACTGCGTTCCAGCCTGGGTGACAGAGTGAGACCCTGTCTCATTTTTAAAAAACAGAAAAAAAAATAAAAGCTAAATATTCTCAATTTAGTAAATAAAAAAAACTTTTATTAAAGTATATTGCTATAATTGTTCTATTGTTATTAATCTCTATATTGCCTAATTTATAAATTAAACTTTATCATAGATATGTATGTATGGGAAAAAACATAGTGTATACAAGGTACAGTACTATTTGCCATTTCAGGCATCCACTGGGGGTAATAATGTCAGACAGATGACAAAGTAATGTATAAAGAGCCTTTTAGAATCAATAACTAAAAGACCATTAAAAAAGTGGGCATACATTAAAATGAATATTCTTTTTTTTTTGAGACAGAGTCTCACTCTGTCACCCAGGCTGGAGTGCAGTGGCCGCAATCTCAGCTCACTGCACCCTCCGCCTCCTGGGTTCAAGTGATTCTCCTGCCTCAGCCTCCTGAGTAGCTGGGATTACAGGCACACGCCACCACGCCTGGCTAATTTTTGTATTTTTAGTAGAGACGGGGTTTCACCATGTTGGTCAGGATGGTCTCAAACTCCTGACTTCATGATCTGCTTGCCTTGGCCTCCCAAAGTGCTGGGATTACAGGCATGAGCCACTGCACTTGGCCTAAAATGCATTTTCTAGATGATTGAATAACAATAGTCCTTTGCTATGAGATAATGACTTGGTTTATGGCCTTAATATACTACTTAATTACTTAAGACATTTATTAATAGAATGATAAATGCATAGAGTAACCTGTAAGCATGACATACTTTTGCTTTCAGTAGTTTCATGTAAAGAAAAAAACTTGAACCAACCAAAAAAAGTCCAGGACCAGAAGGATTCACAGCTGAATTCTACCAGGGGTACAAGGAGGAGCTGGTACCATTCCTTCTGAAACTATTCCAATCAATAGAAAATGAGGGAATCCTCTCTAACTCGTTTTATGAGGCCAGAATCATCCTGATACCAAAGCCTGGCAGAGACACAACAAAAAAAGAGAATTTTAGACCAATATCCCTGATGAACACTGATGCAAAAATCCTCAATAAAACACTGGCAAACTGAATCCAGCACCACATCAAAAAGCTTATCCACCATGATCAAGTGGGCTTCATCCCTGGGATGCAAGGATGGTTCAACATACGCAAATCAATAAATGTAATCCAGCATATAAACAGAACCAAAGACAAAAACCACATGATTATCTCAATAGATGCAGAAAAGGCCTTCGACAAAATTCAACAGCCCGTCATGCTAAAAACTCTCAATAAATTAGGTATGGATGGGACGTATCTCAAAATAATAAGAGCTATTTATGACAAACCCACAGCCAATATAATACTGAATGGGCAAAAACTGGAAGCATTCCCTTTGAAAACTGGCACAAGACAGGGATGCCCTCTCTCACCACTCCTATTCAACACAGTGTTGGAAGTTCTGGCCAGGGCAATCAGGCAGGAGAAAGAAATAAAGGGTATTCAATTAGGAAAAGAGGAAGTCAAATTGTCCCTGTTTGCAGATGACATGACTGTATATCTAGAAAACCCCATTGTCTCAGCCCCAAATCTCCTTAAGCTGATAAGCAAATTCAGGAAAGTCTCAGGATACAAAATCAATGTGCAAAGATCACAAGCATTCTTACACACCAATAACAGACAAGCAGAAAGCCAAATCATGAGTGAACTCCCATTCACAATTGCTTCAAAGAGAATAAAATACCTAGGAATCCAACTTACAAGGGATGTGAAGGACCTCTTCAAGGAGAACTACAAACCACTGCTCAATGAAATAAAAGAGGACACAAACAAATGGAAGAACATTCCATGCTCATGGGTAGGAAGAATCAATATCATGAAAATGGCCATACTGCCCAAGGTAATCTATAGATTCGATGCCATCCCCATCAAGCTACCAATGACTTTCTTCACAGAATTGGAAAAAACTACTTTAAAGTTCATATGGAACCAAAAAAGAGCCCGCATTGCCAAATCAATCCTAAGCCAAAAGAACAAAGCTGGAGGCATCACGCTACCTGACTTCAAACTATACTACAAGGCTACAGTAACCAAAACAGCATGGTACTGGTACCAAAACAGAGATACAGACCAATGGAACACAACAGAGCCCTCAGAAATAATACCACACATCCACAACCATCTGGTCTTTGACAAACCTGACAAAAACAAGAAATGGGGAAAGGATTCCGTATTTAACAAATGGTGCTGGGAAAACTGGCTAGCCATATGTAGAAAGCTGAAATTGGATCCTTTCCTTACACCTTATACAAAAATTAATTCAAGATGGATTAAAGACTTACATGTTAGACCTAAAACCATAAAAACCCTAGAAGAAAACCTAGGCAACACCATTCAGGACATAGGCGTGGGCAAGGACTTCATGACTAAAACACCAAAAGCAATGGCAACAAAAGCCAAAATTGACAAATGGGATCTAATTAAACTAAAGAGCTTCTGCACAGCAAAAGAAACTACCATCAGAGTGAACAGGCAACCTATGGAATGGGAGAAAATTTTTGCAATCCACCCATCTGACAAAGGGCTAATATCCAGAATCTACAATGAACTCAAACAAATTCACAAGAAAAAAACAAACAACCCCATCAAAAAGTGGGCAAAGGATATGAACAGACACTTCTCAAAAGAAGACATTTATGCAGCCAACAGACACATGAAAAAATGCTCATCATCACTGGCCATCAGAGAAATGCAAATCAAAACCACAATGAGATACCATCTCACACCAGTTAGAATGGCGATCATTAAAAAGTCAGGAAACAACAGGTGCTGGAGAGGATGTGGAGAAATAGGAATGCTTTTACACTGTTGGTGGGACTGTAAACTAGTTCAGCCATTGTGGAAGACACTGTGGCAATTCCTCAGGGATCTAGAACTAGAGATACCATTTGACCCAGCCATCCCATTACTGGGTATATATCCAAAGGATTATAAATCATGCTGCTATAAAGACACATGCACATGTATGTTTATTGTGGCACTATTCACAATAGCAAAGACTTGGAACCAACACAAATGTCCAACAATGATAGACTGGATTAAGAAAATGTGGCACATATACACCATGGAATACTATGCAGCCATAAAAAATGATGAGTTTATGTCCTTTGTAGGCACATGGATGAAGCTGGAAACCATCATTCTCAGCAAACTATCACAAGGACAAAAAACCAAACACCGCATGTTCTCACTCATAGGTGGGAATTGAACAATGAGAACACTTGGACACAGGAAGGGGAACATCACACACCGGGGCCTGTTGTGGGGTTGGGGGAGGGGAGAGGGATAGCATTAGGAGATATACCTAATGTAAATGATGAGTTCATGGGTGCAGCACACCAACATGGCACATGTATACATATGTAACAAACCTGCACGTTGTGCACATGTACCCTAGAACTTAAAGTGTAATAAAAAAAATATATATATATATATAAAAAGAAAAAAACTTGAAAATAGTAATACCTGAGGACACATGGGAACAACAGACACTGCAGAGGGAGGGTGTGGACCAAGAGCTGTAAAACTACCTACTGGGTACTCTGCTCACTACCTGGGTGACGGGATCATCCATACCCCAAACCTCAGCATCACACAGTATACCCAGCTAACAAGCCTGCCCATGTGTTCCCTGAATCAAAAATAAAAATTGAAATAATTTTTTTAAAAAGAAAAATACAATAGTATTACCCATAGGACAAAATTTGTACTATTAGCAATAATTATTTTGTGTCTCATTTAGAAACAATTTGACTTTTGTTCCAGAGTTTAAATTTTGACAAAAATGGTTTTGAATAGATCTTTATAACCTGATGCCATAAATACAAGGTTCTCTGATACCTTCATTTATTATATCAATATTGGGCCTAAAACAGTATTCTGTAAAGCTTAAGTTGGTATTAACTATGATCATCTTGATGTCTATGATAGATAATAAACAAGGTCATACATACCTTACTAAGCAATTTTGGTTTTTCACCAACATTTTATTCTTTAAAAGATTTACAGTAACACAATTATTTAGCATTTCAAGTTGTGTGCTTTATTTAGCAAGTGAGAAAAAATTGGAATATTGAAGTATTTGCATAAAAAATCAAATGGTAGTGTTTTATAATCTCTATTGTATTTCCTATTAAATTTTTATATGTTACTTTCCCATTGTTCCTGAATTTGTTATCCTGTATATAAACAGAAACATGGATGAGTCAAAAAAAAGTGGACATAGGCTATGAGTAGATTATTCAAAAAGGAACTACAAATGGTCATATAATCAATAAACATATGAAAAAGTGTCAAATATCACTAGTATTCAAAGAAATAATAAACCACAATAAGTTACTAGTTTTCACTAATATGATATTGCTAAATATCATTTTTTAAAACTTGCACACTAAGTTTTATTGTATGCTGCTGCCAATGTATATAAAACAATTACCCTTGTGAAGTAGAAATTCATAAAAATTCAGAGGTAGATGTTAAGGACAGACAAAAGTAGAATTTTGTATATTACAGCACATGTGTTACAGGGATAAGCTTTTGTACAGGCTTCAAATGTATCTCTCTTGAATATTCACTGGATCATAAGAAGTGGTTTGGGAAACCTTTGAAAGATTCATTGTACTACAAAAAGGAACAGACTTTCTGGGGTCTGAAGGGATTTGTACTTGAAGATACTCCAGTCAGCAGAGGGTCATGTTGAGCATTCTGCAGACAGAATTGTTTCAAGTCTGCAGCTGCCTGGGAAACTTTTACGCTGTTGAGCCCGGCCTCCAGCTGGAGCTGTTGAACCACTTTCTTCGTAGCGGCGACGCTGGAGAAGCCAGACATGGTGAACGCGGGGGCCGGGCCGATTCGTGGGTCGGTGGGTCGTGGGCCGTGGGTCGGCGGGGCCGCTAAATATCATTTTTAAGATGCTATTAGAAGGGCTCAGGAATACCAGCATTCCTATACATTGATGATACAAACTTTATAGCAGGCAATGTGTGTATTGGTACCTGACATATAGTATTCCCTCAGTAAATATTTCTTCAATGAATGAATAATTTTGTTGCTGACATTAAAATAAATTTTCAGACATTTTGACAATGTGCCTTGGCACAATGCTCTGAATTCATAAAAACTGCCACTGAATCTTACTATTGTTGGCTCCCAACCTTGTGGAAGTTTATAATGCCCTGCTATTGTTAGCTTGCTTTCATGCCATCTTTCCCCTTTCTTCGAAATGCTGTATGGCATATATATTTTTAATTAAAGTGCCTCATGTATAATTTTGTTTTGAGATATTTTCAAAAAAACTCATGGTGAACCTCAGGATAATTGTAGCCACCTTAGAGGGTTGCAGATTTTGGGCTGGGAAGCAGCCCATCTTGGCAGCCATCTGTGTGATGCTTTTCAATTGTTAGTTCTTCGCTAATTCTGTAATGTATTCTTCTCACAATGTGAACAGATCTTTTCTGTCAATAAGGAAAGCATAATTTTGTTAATGATAGGTAAGCACCTTATTATCTGTATTTGGCAGGCTTAGACATATTGCTGTCTTTTGGAGAAAAACAGCTGTTTCCAGATGTTATTAAAGCAGGCATTACCACTGACAAAGCTTTCTCACAAAGTATCTTACAACAGTTCTGTGTGCTGTCAGAGCTGCTTGTAACAAAAATTCTGTGGGAGTTAGGGCCCTGTACTTTCTAATTGCTAAGTGCTTTGATTACAACCTCCTGCTCAGATATTACAGTGAGTGACATTTCCATCTATACACATGATTCCATCTATACAGATTTTCTTCTCTTATAATCACATGGCTTCAGTGTTATGACACTTCTGATCTTTGTGAATACTTGCCCAGAATTCTGACACTTCCATTAGTAGCACACAGACAGTTTGGACCTGTTGGAAATTGACACAATGTATTTTGCTTATTCTGGAAGCATTAATTTTAATTTCTCTTTTGTGAATTTATGTATGTAAACGTAATCATCTGACTACATGGTTACCTTTTTTTGGCATTTCTCAATTATTTTGGCCCATTTCTCATCCAAAAGAATTATTATTATAGCAACTTCTCAGTACAAAAGATTAATTATTGTAGTAACTTCAGTGCTCTTTTTCCACCAGATCAACAGTTACTTTGTATTTAATAAGCTTTTCAAGGCTTTTGTTGAACTTACTGATTTCGACTTCAGTCTTCTTTTTCATTTATTCTTTCAACACTAGAACCCACCAGGAAAAATTATTTAAAAGCTGGTAATAATTTAGATGACTTGTTTTTCCTTCTGACCTATCTAAAGAAGTCTCTTTTTGACTAAGTACTTAGCTTTCCATTCTGTCCCTATAACCTAGAATTCAACAAAACACTCACGATCCATGCAAACTATGAATTTGCTTTAAACTACACATTTACATACTACATTGTTAAACACAGGCTTTGAGAGAAAAAGCACACTGCAACTAGAGACTTATGATATTATCTTGAGAGCAATTATTAAAGATTTTTAAAAAGTAAACCAGTGATACTTCCATCTCTTGGGTTATTGTATTGCTATTAAGAAGAATGAGGTAGATTTTTATTCAAATGGAAAGATATCAAAAATATACTGTCGAGTAAAATTAGAAAATCACAAAACAATATATAATATGGTATAATTTATGTAGAAATATATATGTATGTGTATGTGTTCTTATGTATAATTCACATTTATGTATATGCATAGAAAAAGGTCTGGATGGATATAAGTCAAATTCTTTTCCTTGTTGCTAACCCTAAGAAAGGGGAAGTAAAATGGGCAGGGAAATGCATATGAAAACAGGTTTTTACTTTTCACTTTTTGTAAAATTTGAATTTTTCACAAGTATATATTACTTTTAAAAAACTAAAAGCCCCTTATGCCATTTGCTGTTATCATCCCCAGGCCTGAACTGTTAAATGAGCAAAAGAAATTCAGTGATAAGATCTCATTGGCCTTAAAAGAAGAAAATAAAAATAAAGTAACAACAATAATAGTTGCCATTTGTCCAACAATTATCTTGAGTTAGATATTTCACAGGAATTATCTAATGCATGCCTTATAATAACCTTGAAAAGTAGGTTCTGTACCCGATTAGGTATGAAAAAACTAAATCTCAGAGAGATTAATTCGTCAGAGGCCACATAGCTGGTCTCTTAGCCTGTTGAGGCTGCTATATCAAGAATACCCCAGATTGAGTGGCTTAAACAACAAACATTTATTTCTCACAGTTTTGGAGACTGAGAAGTCCAAGATTGAGATTAGGGTGCCAATGTGCTCAGTGTGGTGCAGGCCTTCTTCCTGGTTTCCTCACATGGCAAACCCCATTACCTCCTAACCCCAGTTGCCCTCTCAAAGGTCTGACCTCCAAATACTACCACATTGGAGATTAGGGCCTCAACGTATGAATTTTGAGGCAAACAAAGTTCAGTTCATTTGTGTTTTTATACCAAATTCAGCTGGTAAAAGCAGTTGGGCAGGAATTTCAACCTGGATTTATCTGGCTCTTAAACCTGTGTTGTTATTACTGAACAACATAGCCTAATTGGAAGTACATAAATGGAGTTTACGATGGTGTCAGGGACTGTTTTTAGTATTTTTATACTGTTCTTAGTACTTTTTGTATATAATAATTCATTTATTCCTCACAACAATTCTGAGTTAGGTATTATTATCATTATAGTTTTATCATCTTAATTTTTCAAAATGAGGAAACTGAGATACATACACATTACTTGTCAAATGTGTAAGAGGCAGAGCAAGGATTTGAATGAACCCAGGCAGTCTTATCATACATGCCACTGCATCTCTAGGGATCATGTATAAGAAAGTCCTGTATGTGTCTCCCATTTCGCATTCTCCCATCAAGGAGATTAAGGAAAAGATGACGTATACCGGTAGAACACAGACTTAATCAAGCTAAATAAAGTCATGGCTCAAAGAAAGCCTGCCATCTTATGTTTTACAAATGAATTCTTAAGTATCTATACAATTCTCAGTAGGCTATCTTTCAAAAACACTTCCATCTGAAGTGAAATGTTCCCAGTTTGAAATCCAGAATAAGGTATAGGTCTGTCTCTTAAGGCATTCTCGCCCTGTTTTGAGAATATGAAACAGAAGAATTGTGCCATACCAGAAGAGAGAAAATAAAAGTGGGCCTGAGGTTTCCATCTTTGGTGAGGGGCTTCTAGTTTCAAATAAAGTTCACCTTACTCTTCAACCTGATAAAAAGCACCTATAGAGACCCAACAGATAACATCATACTTAATGGTGAAAGACTAAAACTCTTCTGCTAAGATCAGAAACAAGAGGAGGATGTTCACTCACCCCACTTCTACCTAACACTGTACTGGAAGTTCTCAACAGGGCAATTAGGGAAGAAAAAGAAATAATAGGCCTCCAGTTTGGAAAGGAAGAATTCAAATGATCTCTATTTGAAGATAGCTTGATCTTATACATAGAAAACCCTAAAGAACCCACAAAATAACTATTAAAGTAAATAAAAGCATTCAGCAATTTGCAGGAGAAATATACAAAAATCAGTTGTGCTTCTACACACTAGCAATGAACAATCTGAAAATAAAATTAAGAAAACGATTCCAGGCTGGGCATGGGGGCTCATGCCTGTAATCTCAGCACTTTGGGAGGGTGAGGTGGGAGGGTTGCTTGAGCCCAGGAGTTTCAGAACAGCCTGAGCAGCATAGTGAGACCCCCGTCTCTACAAATAATAATAAAAAAAATTAGCTGGGCATGGTGGCACGCACCCTGTGATCCCAGCTACTCAGGAGGTTGAGGCAGGAGGTTCACTTGAGCCTGGCCAGTTGAGACTGCAGTGAGTCATGATTGCACCACTACATTCCAGCCTGGGCAACAGAGTGAGACCCTGTCTCAAAAAAGAAAAGAAAAGAAAAGAAAGGATTTCATTGCATCAAAAGAATAAAATAGGAATAAATGTATCCAAGAAAGTGTAAGAATGTACACTGAAAACTATGAAACGTTTTTGAAAGAAGTGGAAGAAAACATAAGTAAATGGAAAGAAATTCCATGTTCGTGGTGTGCAGGAGACAATATTGTTAAGACAGCAATACTACTCTAACTGATCTATAGATTCAACACAATCCCTATCAAAATCTCAGTGGCTTCTTTGCAAAAAATGACATGATGATCTTAAAATTCATCTGGAAATGCAAGGGCTCCAGAATAGCCAAAACAATCTTAAAAAAGACATTAGTTGGAGGATGCACACTTCCCAATTTCAAAACTTACTAAAAAGCTACAACAATCAGTATGGTACTGACATAAGGATAGACATATAGATCAGTGGAATAGAATGAAGGGTCCAGAGATAAACTCTTACATTTATGTTTGATAGATTTTCATCAAGGGCACCCAGACATTTCCACGAGGAAAACAGAGTATTTTTAACAAATAGTGCTGAGACAACTGCATCTTCACATGCAAAAGAATGAGGTTGTACCCCTTCCTCACACTATATACAAAAATTAACTCAAAATGGAGCAAAGATCCAAATGTAAGGGCTAAAATTATAGCACTATTAAAAGGAAACATAGATGTAAATCTTCATAGCTTTGAATTAGGCCATACTTTCTTAAATAGGACACCAAAAAACACAAGCAATAAGAGAAAAAAATGATAAACTGACTAAATCTTAATTAAAAACTTTAATGAATCAAAGGAAATGAAAAGACAACCCAGAGAATAAGATGTGAAAGTGTTTGCAAACCATGTTTGATAAGTACTTGTATCCAGAATATATAATTCTTACACAACTCAATAAAAAAAGACAACCCAATTTAAAAACAGGCAAGGCAAAAGATCTGAATGTATGTTTCTACAAAGAAGATACACAAATGGCCAATTAGCACAAGAAAAAGATGTTCAGCATAATTGTTAGAGAAATGCAAACCCAAACCACCATGAGATACCCCTTCATACCCTCTAGGGTGGCTATAACTTTTTTTAAAAAGAGATAATAACAAATATTGGCAAAGATGAGGAGAAAATGGAACCTAAAGGGAATATTAAATGGTGCAGCCTCTGTGGAAGATTGTCTGGCATTTTCTCAAAAAGTTAAACATAGAGTTATTATATGACCCATAAATTCTATTCCTAGGCATATACCCAAGAGAAATGAAAATACATGTTCACACAAAAACTTGGATATGAATGTTCATGGCTGCATTATAGCCAAAATGTGGAAACAACTCCAATATCCATCAACCCATGAATGGATAAACAAATGGTGGTATACCCATACAATGGAAATGAATGGAATACTGATACATTCTACAACATGTAATGAACCTTGAAAATACTATTCTAAATGAAAGAAACTAGTCACAAAACCCATCTATTGTATGAGTCTATGCATAAGAAATGTTTAGAATAAGCATATCTATATTGGCAGGAAGTCATTTGGTGGTGCCCTAGGGGTGGGGTGGAGAGAGGGTTTGCCAGGTAATGGGAGTGACTACTGATGGGCATGGAGTTTCTTTGTGGGGTGCTGATAATGTTCTAAAATTAATTATGGTGATGTTTGCACAACTCTTTGAATATACTAAAAACCATTTAATTGAACACTTGGAATGGAGAGAGTATATGGTATGTGAATTATTTCTCAATAAAGCCTCTTTAAAAATTTCACCTTGAATTACTCATGCAGCTGCCAAGTGTGATTAGAAGCAGTGGAATAATTAATAAGCAGTTCCCCTAAGTCTTTCAGACAGATAACTGCCACATAAATTAATTCACCCAACAAATATTTATTGAACATGCACTATGTTAGCCACTGGACCAAACAGAGAAGGTGGAAAAAAACTGCCACCATGAAGCTTACATTCTGGTAGAAATAATAACAAAAACTTATAGCATTCATTATTCACTTAGCACAATGCCAGACATTGTTGTGAAACGTTTATATGTCTTCTGATTTAGTCTTGGTAGGTTGCATTTTTCTAGGAATTTATCCACTCGTTTTAGGTTATCCAATTTGTTTGTGTATGGTTGTTCATAGTAGTATCTTATGATATTTTGTATTTCTGTGGTATTAGTTGTAATGTCTTCTCTTTCATTTCTGATCTTGTTTATTTGAGTCTTCTCTCTGTTTTTCTTTGTTAGTCTGGCTAACAGTTTGTCAATTTTATCTTTTTAAAAAACCAACTTTCAGTTTTGTCAATGTTTTCTAAATTTTTTTAGTCTCTATTTTGTTTATTTCTGCTTTAATCTTTGTTATTTCTTTCCTTCTGCTAAGTTTGGGCTTACTTTGATCTTCTTTTTCTAGTTCCTTGAGGTGTAATGTTTGTTTATTTAAGAGCTTTCTTCTATTATGATGCAGGCATTTATTGCTATAAACTTCCCTCCTACGACTACTTTTGCTGCATCCCATAAGTTTTGGAGTGTTATGTTTCCATTCTTGTTTATCTCAAGATATTTCAAAATTTCCTTTTGAAATTTCCTTCTTTGACTCATTGATTGTACAGGAACATATTGTTTTGTTCAATTTCCACATATTTATGAGTTTTTCAAGGTTCTCCTGTTGTTGATTTCTACTTCCATGCCAATGTGGTCAGAAAAAATAATATAATTTCAATCTTAAATTTGTAAAGGCATGTTTTGTGGCCTAACATGATCTATCATGGAGAGTGTTCCATGTGTACTTGAGAATGATAGAAAACCTTAAAGACTCTACCAAAATCTGTTAGAACTGATGAACAAATTCAGTAAAGTTTCAGGTTACAAAATATGCAAAAATCAGCAGTGTTTCTATATACTAACAATGAACTATCTAAAAAAGAAATTAAGAAAATCCTATTTATAATTGCATCAAAAAATAAAATGTTTAGAAGTAACTTTAACCAAGTAGGTGAAAGATCTGTATAGTAAAAACTATAAAATATTGATGAAATAAATTGAAGAAAACACAAATATATGGAAAGATATCCCATGCTCATGGATTGGAATAATTAGTACTATTAAAATTTCCATACCACCCAAAGTGATCTACAGATTCAATGAAATTCCTGTCAAAATTCCAGTGTCATTTTTCACAGAAATAACAACCTAAAATTCATATGGAACCAGAAAAAACTCTTAATGGCCGAAGCAACTTTGAGTAAGAAGAACAAGGGTGGAGGCATCACACTCCCTGATTTCAACATACAGCGAGCCCTCTGTATCCATGGGTTTTGCACCTGTGGATTTGACCAACTGTGGATCAAAAATATTCCCAAAAAAGTGTCTGTACTTTACATGTACATACTTTTTTCTTGTTATTATTCCCTTTAAACAATATAGTATAAGAACTCTTTACATAGCATTTACATTGTATTAGGTATTATAAATAATCTAGAGATGATTTAAAGTAGGCACGAGGATGTGCATAGGTTATATACAAATACTATTCCACTTTATATCAGGAACTTGAGCATTTGTGGATTTTATTATCTGTGGGACGTCTTGGAACCAATCACTTATGGATACCAAGAGATAACTGTATATTAAATAAAGCTATTATAATCAAAACAGCATGATACTTGCATAAAGACAGACATATTGACCAATGGAACATGACAGAAAGCCTAGAAGCAAACCCAAGTATTTATGATAAATTGACTTTCAACAAAGGTGCCAAGACTATACAATAGGGAAAGGACAGTCTTTTCAATAAATGGTGTTGGGAAAACTGGATATCCACATGCAGAAGAATGAAACTAGACCCCTATCTCTCACCAATTCGAAATAAATAAACTTGAACATACGACCTGAAACTGTAAAACTACTAGAAGAAAATAGGGAAAAAGATCCACAGCATTGGTCTGGACAATGATTTCTTGGCAACAAGAAAAAGCAGAGGCAACAAAAGCACAGACATAGGCGACAAAAGCAACATTAGACAAATGAGATTGCATCAAACTAAAAAGCTTTTGCACAGCAGATGAAACAATTAATAGAGTGAAGGGACAGCTCACAGATTGGTAGAAAATACCGGGAAACATGTATCTGACAAGGGGCTAATATCCAAAATACATAAGGAAATCAGACAATTCAATCACAAGAAAACAACCTGATTAAAAAATGGGCAAGGCAGGAGTTCAAGACCAGCTTGGGCAATGAAGCAAGACCCCTGTCTCTACACAATTATTTTTTAATTAGCAGGATGTGGTGGTGCACACCTATAGTCCTAGCTACTCAGGTTGGTGAGGTGGGAGGATCACCTGAGCCCAGAGGCTGGAGGTTGCAGTGAGCTGTAATTGTGCCACCACACTTCAGCCTGGGCAACAGAGCAAAACCCTGTCTCTAAAGTTTTTAAAAATTTAAAAACATGGGCAAAGGATTTGGATAGACATTTCTTAAGAGTTGTGAATTGCCAACAGATATGTGAAAAAAAATGCTCAACATCTATACTCATCAGGGAAATGCAAAGTAAAACCACAATGAGGTATCATCTGTTAAAATGGCCATTATCAAAAAGATGAGTGATAAGTGTTGGTGAGAATATGGTGAAAAGAGAATCCTTGCACACTGTTGATTGGAAGGTGAATTCATATAACCATTTGGAAAACAGTATAAAGGTTCCTCAAAAAACTAAAAATAGAATTACCGTATGATACAGCAATGTCACTTCTGGGTATAAATCCAAAGGAATTGAGATCAGTATGTCAAAGAGATATCTGCACGCCCATGTTCATTTTAGTATTATTCACAATAGTCAAGATGTGGAAGCAACCCAAATGTCCATCAACAGATGAATGGATAAAGAAAATGTAATACCTATACACGATGGAATACTATATAGCCTTAAAAAATAAGAAAATTCTATCATTCAAAACAACATGGATGGAACTGGAAGATACTATGCTATGTGAAATAAGGCAAGCACAGAAAGATAAATATTGTGTGATCTCCTACGTGAAATCTTAAAAAGTGGATATCATAGAAACAAAGAACAGAAAGGTGGTTACCAGAGGTTAGTGGGGAGGAGGAGGGTTGGGGAAAGGGAAGATGTTGATCAAATTATATAAAATTTCAGTGAGACTGGAGGCATAACCTTTTTTTTTTTTTTTTTTTTGAGACAGAGTCCTACTCTGTTGCCCAGGCTGGAGTGCAGTGGCAGCATCTCGGCTCACTGCAACCTTCACCTCCTGGGTTCAAGTGAGTCTTCTGCCACAGCCTCCAGAGTAGATGGGATTACAGGCATGTACCTCCACACCCAGCTGATTTTTGTGTTTTTTTAGTGGAGACGGGGTTTCACCATGTTGGCCAGGCTGGTCTCAAACTCCTGACCTTAGGTGATCCACCTGCCTCGGCCTCCCAAAGTGCTGGGATTACAAGTGTGAGCCACCACACTGGCCAACTAGAGGAATAACTTTTAGTGATGTATTGCACTACATGGTAACCACAGTTAATAATAATATATTGTGTATTTCAAAATTGGTAAAAGAATAGCTTTTTAATGTTCTTACCACAAAATAATGATAAATTAGCGAGGTGATAGATATGTTCATTAGCTTGATTGAATCTTTCTATAATATACACATAGATCAAAACATCACATTGTACCATATATATATATACACACCTTATCATTTGTCAATTAAAAATAGTTTTGAAAGGAAAAAATAATAATATTTTGTAAGTATTATCATATTTAATGTCCACATCCCTTATGACATATAATATTATTATCCTCATTTTACAGATGAGATAACTAAAGCTCAGAGAAGTGCAGTTACTTGCCTGAGGTTGCATAGTTAGCAAGAGAGCAGAAGGAAAATGGAATCACTTCTCCCTGATTTTCAAGTCTGTGTACCTAACTACTACATTACAAATTTTGCATTCTTATATTAAAATATTGAAATGAGTAGCTCAATGAATTTAGCATCTATTTTTAAGCATTTTGAGAATTACTTTTCAAAATTCTTCATTTCTTTCTTCTTTCTTCAAACTAATTCATTAGTTTGAATTTTGCAAATAGAAAAATGAGAACTGAGTATGTATACATTAGCTTAGATCTATTAGTATAGATCACACATATACATGAAATTTAACACTCTATTTTTGAAAGATTTAAATGAAAATTTAATAACATTTTTAGATAAATACATGGGAAAATCAAATATTTGGTGGTCCTCCAAAGTAACGTAGGTGTATCTAATATGTTTCACAGCAAGTGTTGAGTGATAGATATACATAAAATCAGAAAAGAAAAAGTAACCACTTCATAAATCTTATAAATTGTGCCTTTTTACACTTTTTACTTTTTTAAAAGTATTTCAGCTTTTAATTTATTTGATTAGAACCATTTGAGAGACTGTTTCCTTGATATGAAATGCAAGCACACTCATTAGTGATCATGGTCAAGACCAAATGGCCAGTTTCTGCCAGCAAACGATTAACTTTGATGACAGATGTGTAAACCAAAAATAATTAAATTATTTGGTAATCATTCTTCCTTGCTGTAGGCTTTAAATAGTATTAGATCTTTGGGCATGAAATATATTTAATCCAGTTGTTAGATATAGTTACATTTTCAAAGCTGGATGAATCTTGTATTCTCACTGAGTACAGTTCTCCAACTGATGTGTCAAGGATGATGCTTGTATAACTATAGGAGGGAAATCCTCTGTGATTAATGCATGCAGGAGAAAATACTATGCTCTTCCCTGTGGGTGCAGGGCATGTTTCTACATACCCACATTGTGTGGGAAGCAGAGTGGTTATACTTGCCCTTCTTGGATTTTTTCTCAAGGCAAGACCCTGGCCTCATCCTCCAAATGCATGTTCCAGTCCCTCTCTCACATCAGGGGTGTTTACGAGACTGACTTGGATAACTTTTGCAAAATATACTTGCCTGGCCCTCTGTCTCCCCATTGGACATTTGTTTCATGAGGAGTATCATTTCTAGGGTAAAAGCAAGGATTTTGAAAAAAAATTCTTTGCCATTTTATCAGAAGAATTATATTTAATGAAATTAAAAATAAAAATAGGTGATTTTGATGTTCACCCTAGGCTAAGAGGACCACTGCTGTCTTTGAGGCATTTACAGACATATGGAAATCTGAAGCATACTTAGAGTTGCGGGTTCTTTCTCTGTAATTCTTTTAAACTGGGCATAAACCTCAAAGGGAGTGTAAAATGCAGAGTGTTGTCAACTTATCACACCAAGAATATTTTTTTGCACCTTTTTAGTTTGGAAGGGTCAAATTGAGATGACAGAGGAATAGTGGATAAGAGCTATAGTGCTATTAAATTACATTCTAGAGTTGGGAAAATCGAGACCCATAATCCTAGGAATTATTAATGATAAGAGCTAACACTTTCTGAGTGCTTACCACATGCCAGGCCCTATACTGAATGCATCATGTCCATTTTCTCATTTGATCCTGACAACCACCTGTGAGGCCTCATTTTGAAGACAAGCAAGCTGAGGCTCAGACCTTGGATTTGTCCAAGGTCACTCAGTTGGTCATTTACAGAGCCCTGATTCAAACTCTCTTTTGCTTGATTACAAAGCCATTGCTCTAAAAGATTAGATTATACTGTCTGTATTTGCTTCTGGGAGCTTATGGAATTCACTCCTATCTGTTCTCACAAGGAACTCTATTGGGTTTTGAAAAAGGCTAAAGAATTGAAAAGAAACTTTGTAGGCTGGGAAACATAGTGTCCTTTGAGCAGTGAGATAGGCTAAGCTCAGAGGACTGGGCTCTGGAATGTGGAAAGGAGACGTGCCCACTGGAGAGCAAGTCAGAACTTTCGTGAGCCCTGCTCCAGGTCCCAGGAGAAAGTGCCAGCCATGAGGACTGGAGTATTGCCTGGTAAGGAGAAGATTATTATTTTATCTAACACGTTCTTCTATAACGCTCTATATGCTAGGCACTGGTCTGCACTGCTCTAAGTACTTTATAAGTATTAACTCCTTTACATCTTATAACACTTCCCTGGAAATAGGCATTATTATTGCCCCCATAATACATATGAGTAAACTGAAGTTCAGAGATGTTAAATAACTTGTTCAAGGTCACATAGCTGGTTAAGTGCCAGAGCCAGGCTTTGAACCTAGGCAGTCTGGATCTAGTGGCTGTGTTATACTGCTTCGCAACAGAAACTTGATTTTTCTTTCTTCTGTGTTTATCATCCTTTCTCAATCACTCCTGGGCAAGTCTACTTTGCTAGCAAATTTCCCTTACCCCTTTGGCTTTTTTTTCACCCATGAACCCTCTAATGTTTTCTGCAGCTTCTTTGAGCTCATTCTTTATCTTCCACACTGCCTCTTTTGGCATTACTCATGAACGACATGCTCTTTTCATCTGCCAAATATTTTTTCCATAAATTATCCCATCTCAACTTGGGAAGTCACAATGGGAAGTATTGTTCCTATTTTGTGAATGAGGCAACTAAGGCAAGCAACTTTCCTGAAGTCTCACACAACCATCTAGTGGCAAAGTGCACTAGAATCCAGATTCTCTGATTCTGAATCTAATGTTCTTGTCCATTGCACCATCTGATGGAATTTAACTATCTATTCATTAATTAATTTATTCATTAATATTGTAAAAATATACTGAGTGTCTTACTGTATGGTAAGGCCCTGGGTGCAAAAGTCGGTATAAAAATTGTTGCTCTTAAGCAACAGACAACACAGAGAGATAAGGTCTCACCATAAAAAGTTAAATAGCAGCACATATACTAAGTGCCAAATGAGTGGTCTGGTCACATCATACAAGAATTTTGAGGTTGGATATGTAGCATCAAAGACTGCTTTATCAGAAAGGTGAGACTTGAACTTGGCATAGAAGGGTACTTAGAACTTAGAGAAGAGAATGGAGCAGCACTTTCCAAACTCTGGGAATGGTGTGCATTAAAGCAGTCCTTCACAACCTTTATTGTGTCATGGCATGCAGAGAAAAGCATAGTATTTGTAAAGCACACTAGGCTGAATGGAGGAAGCAGTTTGACATCTAGAGGCAAGCATTCTAGGAGTTTCAACAGCACTGTCTCTGGGCTCAGTTGAGGACAGAGAAGAAATCTCATAGCCTCAGACACTTGTAATATGTTTGGGAAGGTCTGCACTAGGTATTGGGGGCACACTGTGGTCATGGTGGGTCTAAAGACCACTGACAAGCCCACAGGGATGAAATGAGGGGAATTTCCAGAGAAGCCATAGTAGATACCATTGGAAAGAAAAGTTATGGGCAAATGATGAAGGGCTTTTGAATTTTATTCTGTGGACCTACAGAATAGGTAGGCAAAATATGCATAGCACTGTTTTAGAAAGATTCCACTGGTTTTCATATGGGAGATTAACTAGAGGGAAGAAGAGTAGTCAAGAGGCTATTACCATTGTCCAGGTGGGAGGTGATGTTATCTTGAACTAGATTGATAGTAATAGAGACAGAGAATGGTGGACAGAATTGAGTTATATTTTGGAGGTAAAAATGTCAGGGTTTGGTAATAGAATTGCATAATGGAGAGTAGAAGAAAGGGAGGTGACAAGGAGGATTTCAAATTTTCAAGTTTAAGCAAATGCTTATGAATAGTGATGCCATTCTTTAAGATAGAGAGCCCAGGAGAAGTAGAAAGATTTTTTTGGAGGGGAAGGACAAATGAGATGATGAGTTTCAAGTTGACATTTGGAGGCAAGGAAACCAGTTAGGAGGCTATTGTAAAAGCCAAGTAAGACAAGGTGAGATCCTGGACTACAATGGTAGCAGTGGGAATGGAAGGAAAATGGTGAATTGAGAGACATTATACAGGAAGAATTGATAGGATTTTGTCACGGACTGACTTCTGGAGTTGAAAGGTAGAGGAAGGCTTGAAGCCTAAGATATCTTCTGTCCTTTATCTTCTTAGTGATGCTCCGATCTTCGTGGCTTAATATACTATCTATTTGCTGATGAGTCACAAATTTGTATCTCCATACTTTTATGCCCAATTGCCTGCTGGACATATCAACTTGCATGCCTAATAGGTATCTCCAACTTACCATGTTCAAAACTGCCCCTGCCCACAACCCCCAACAAAACCTGCTGCACTCACAAAACCTGCTCCTCACAGTCTTCCCCGTCTCCCTAAATACCAATTTCATTCTTCCGGTTGCTCAGGCGGAAGACCTAGGAATCAATCTTGATTTTTCCCTCTTTCATATCCTACATTTATTTGATCAGCAAATCTTATTGGTTCTACCTTCAGAATATATCTAGAATCTGACCACTTTTTCATTGCTACTATCCTGGTTTATGTCACAATGATCTGCTTCCTGGATTATATTGCACTAGCCTCTCAACTGTTCTCCTTGCTTCTGTTCTTGCCACCATCACTCAAGCCTATTATTCTCTCACTGTTTTTTGGAACCAGGATAATTTTATTATGTGAATGTCAGATCATGTCACTCCTCTGCTCAAAACTCCTCCAATGGCTTCCCATCTGACACTCAGTAACAACAAAACCCCTTATAATGGCCCATAATGCTGTATGCAACCCAGATATTGACATACTCCTGTCCTTCAGGTGATGGATCAAATATCCCACTTGGTAAAATCTTCTCTGATTACCATATTTAGTATTGCAAGCGCCTTCTCGCCATTCTCTATCTGCCTTCCATGTTTTATTTCTTTATACTTTGAATACTAGCAGATGTTATATGTTTATCTATTTATTTGTTTATCATCTATCTCCTTCTGCTAGAACAGGAGCTGGAAAACTTTTTCTGTAAAGGTCCAGATAATAAATATTTTAGGCTTTGTGAGCCACGTAATCTTTAACACAACTACCTACCTCTATCATTGTTATACAAAAGCTGCCATAGATGAGCATGGCTGTGTTCCAATAAAACTGTATTTACCAAAACAGGGAGCGGGCTAGATTTAGCTAATGGGCCATAGTGTACTGACCCCTGCTAGAATGTAAATTCCAGGAGGGCAAGGACTTTTGTTTACTGCTGTATCTCCAACATCTAGAATAGTACCTGGCATATAGTAGGCACATGATTTATTTTACTGAATGAATGCATCAGTGGGAGATTGGAAAGCTGTGGAATAAAAAATATATATATATAACAGAGCCATTGATGGTGCAGAATCCTGAACAAAATCTAGCTTTGGATGGGTTTGCAGCATATCAACTCTCCTTCCTTCTTTTTCCCCTCATCCCTACACTAAAACTTAAGCTTGTTATATAAAGTAAAAGTTGCTTTCATTGCCTGTGCAATTCTCCCAATGTGTGAAATTTCATCTGACTTCCTTTAATGTTGTCATTTGTCTATTTAACCCTCCTGACTCAGACTCCCTCTAATAACAATAATAACTCAAATACTCTGTACTAAAACCAGAACGCTGAAATCAGTATTTTTAATTAATTTGAAACAACTGCTAGCAATAGCTTCTATTGACAACTCTACGCTTTTCAACACTTAATCATATTCTGAAGTACTCCCAGAAGCTGGGCGACTGTTACTCTTATGATATGAGATGATATTTTCCTTCCATGCATTCAATGTGAATGGTTTGTTCTGAAAAACTTCAGCTTTCATGTACTCCTAATGGTAAGAATCACATGGTAGGAAATATGATAAATGAAGTATTTACCAGTTCTTACTGACTGTTCTTTCATACTTCCTTGGATCTCTTACAGGCACTAAAGATATCCTGTAGTTATATGACTTCCTATTGAAAATGCACTTTCACTCATTCATTATTTTATATAGTCTTCCACACATTGCTAACATTTACCAAACATTCACTACGTATGTGGTATTGTGCTGGGGGATTTATATATATTAATTCATTTAATTCTTATAAAACACCTAAGTGATATATACTATCATAATTTTATAGATGAAGGAACTGAAGTACTAAAAGCTGAAGTAATTTGCTCAAGGCCCCACAACCAGCAGAAAAGGAAGCTAGCATTTCAACTCAGGTCTGCCCAACTCCAGAGCCAAGATTTATCTATTGTTTTTTGTCACCTCAACAAATATTTACCATATGCCATGCAGCACACTAGGCAGTACCTACAAAGATGAATAGGGCATGATCTCCTTGGCCTTCCAGAGGTAACACTAGTTGGGGCTATATGGGTGGGAATGGAGTGTCAGATGCAGAAGCTAAGGAATTTTCTCTTTACAAACAGGTGGGTGAGAAAGTAGACACAGCACTGTGAATTTGTGGAGTTTTGAAAAATGGACAGAGGGCTACAGACTGAGAGGGAATAGGGCCACCAACTCTAGAATTAAGGTCAACTGATAGGGTAGAAACATGCCATTCTCAGGGGCTTAAGCTGACAAAAGAAATTGCCCACTGTAGAAATGAGATTGGCTGCCCACAGAAAAGTATTTACTGATAGATAAGGGACCTCCCTATGTGTCATTAAGGAGTAATGCTCTAAAATGTAATCAGTGGAAAACACAACTGTAGCCTTGGAAATGCTATGGCTGGGAAAGTCCATATAACTAAGACGGGGTTCATGATATTGTGACATGTACAAACAAGTTATTTGACCATTATAGAGAGAAAAATAAAAATAATTAGAAAGAGAAGTTGCTTTTATTACTCTGTGCCCTGGCCTACTGACACATTTATTGACTTTCTGATAGGGTGATGCATGGATGCATCAGACTGAATAAACTACATGACTCCATCTCTTCAGATCATCCCACACCATATACTATCTCTTCACTCACCAGTAATAACAGTCACCATATAACAAGTGCCTACAGAGTCAAACACTTTACATAAATTATCTTATTTAATCCTCAAGGCAACTCTATGATATCATAGAATTCTATTATTAGTTCCATTTTCAAATGACGGAACTGAGGCTCAGAGAGGTTATGTGACTTAAGCCCATAAAACGGAATGAGTGGTATATTAGTTTTCTGTGACTACCATAACAAATTGCCACAAACTTGGTGGCTTAAAACAGCAGATATTTATACTTTCACAGTTCTGGAGGCCAGAAGTTCAAAATCAAGGTGTTGGCAGGGCCATGCTCCCTACAAAGGCTCTAGGGGAGATTCTGTTCCTTGCCTCTTCCTAGCGGTTCCAGGTGTTGCTTGGCTTGTGGTAGCATCATTCCAATCCCTGCCTCTGTCTTCAGATGGGCTTCTCCCTTGTCTCTGTGCCCTGTCACTTATAAGGACACTTATCATTGGATTTACAGCCCACCCTAATCCAGGATGATCTCATGTAGACATCCTTATCTTACATACATCAGCAAAGAGTCATATTCTAAATAAGTTCACATTTTGCAGTTCCAGTTGGATGTAACTTTTGGGGGCGGTGACACAATTCAACCCACTATGTATAGCCTAGCTGGGACCCTAGCCTATCTGACTCCAAAACTCTGGCTCTTTCCACTAACTAAAGCAGGCTGCTCCCACCAAACAAACAGCCTTTTGTCTTTATTTGGTTTCCTAAGTAGATTTCCTACTGGGATTTATCAAGATGAATTAATAAATTGACATTTTGGCTTCCAAATTATTGCCTTATAAGTTTAGGTTGTGTGAAATTTGTCCCCTAGAGCCTGATCAATCCCTGGCTAAAATGGAAAAAATTGAGTTTTGGAACCTGTGAAGCTGATGAATGGATCCTGAATAGGACCAAGGTCCATTTAGAGTATAAGCATCCCACAGCCTGCCAGCCATACTAATTTCTTTACTATATATGTGACCATAATATAATGGGATAGCATAATATTCTAAGTCTACCGAAGAATGTCTAATCATCTAAGAGCTTACAGGGGGAATTTTTGTGTACCTTAATATTATATCCAGAAATATTCCCTGTAGTGCCAACTATATTTGTTCCTGAGCCTCAGCTCCCTGCATCAGGTCACAAGGAAGATGTCTCTAGGAGTTCATTATCACATTAAGACAAGGATTCTGTAGGAAAATGGGAATCTAGAAACAGTAGGGACTTCCTGTACCTCTACATCAGTGTCTTTGCAGGGGAATTGCCCTAGCTGACCAGTTGACACTGGCCTGCTCACACCTTAATTATGAATAGAATATTCCCAGGGATGTCTTTCTCAGATTGTGGTCAGTTTGTGGGCCGCCTATTGTGGTGGTCCACTGAGTGACACCTGGGGAGCTAGTTAAAAATGTCAGTTTCCTGGTCCTTTATAGCAGACTTACTGAGTTAGTATATCTGAAGATAGGGTCAGGAGCCTGCATTTTAAAACAAGATTCTGGAATAATTCTGATACATATTCAAGTTTGAGAACCATTGCCTTCTGGTGAAATCAGGCTTCCATGACGTTGAAATACAGAATAAACTCCAAATGTTCATTTACAATTCCAGCCAATAATCACTTACCTTATTGCATTCTTGTAGCGTGATCTATATGCTTTAGTTCATGTGACAATATCATTTCATATGGCTTAATTTAAATGAAAGCAAAGGCAGTTATGGCAAGATTTCTTAATCCTGCTCTCCTGAGACAATTTACATAATAACTTTTGGGGAGAATGCAATAATCTCTCTCTAATATCTTAAACTGATCTCTAAGGTTCCTTTTGGCTCCAACATTCTGATTCTATCAGTGTTCCTAGGGCTTCAAATCTGTCTGTGCAAAACACATTGCTTGTTACAGACTAAACCTATTTTCCTTCTTCCAGGCAACAAGTTTCTGAAGAAAACTGGTTGCTCATGATCTTTCTGGGTGTTTTCTAATAATATATACCTTCTCACAATATTATTGCAAAGAGTGAGCGAGGTGATCTATGCAAAGTGCCAAGCATAGTGCCTGACACAAGGAAGTGGTTAGTAAATATGCATGCTGCTTCCAGTGCATTGTGACAATACTATCTCTTGAATTATTGAAAATATAACATCAGGAAACTTCAGCTGAATGAAAACTAGGGAATTAGCTGTATTGACAATATTAGGTTTATTTGGCTTTAGGGGAACTAGATAGAACCGAAATCTCTGCAGACTGGCTCAGCTGCAGAATAGAGAGATGGCCCGGGGAGGACATGTGTTGGTTCCTGCCATGCATATTGTCTTGGAGAAAAGCTGCTATGACTCTGGCCCAACAAAGGTTTTATCCTAAAAGTCAGCTTCCAATCCCCAACATGATTCCTAAGCTAGCATTTCTCAAAATGTATTCCATGGAGTACTAGTTTCTGAGGATTGATGTTGATAGTATTACATAAAGAGCTCCATGAACAAGCAATGTTACAAACCACTGGATTAGTCAAATGTGGTTTCCTGGCTGCGAGAATATTCAGAGTCCTTAATAGGTCAACAGGTAATGTGAATCTCCAAAAACTAATGGGGTATACCGGATTTGAAAATTTTTGTGACCTCACTCACAGAGATGGTGGTGAGGGACTAGTGGTTCTGAAAAATGCAATTATGAGAACACTACTCCAAAATGACTAGTGACTTGCTAACAAGAATGGACACTTTTCAGCCCTTACATGATAAAAGTTAAGAGAACAATTACGTGCTAAACTATAGAGTACTGTCCCTCAGCCCCCTAGTGTCTCCATTTTCTTCTTTGATCAGCTTAGATTCTATAACCATCCTTAAAGTCACTGTTTAGCATACACCCTAGATTCCCTAGGCTCTCTCTGCTTTCATGTGATTTGAATAACAGACATCCAATCGTTGTTAAATCCTACTCTCTTTATTCCCAACCTGCCCCAGCAGCCGAATGAGATTGGATAAAAGCTTATAACCGTGCTAACCAGTCTCGCTTTAGATTCAGGACCACTAACTTCAAATGGGCCCTTAGTACTATCTGCTAACTTCACTACATTCATTTCATCCATTCATTCTTGAATGCTCCTGGGTGGCTTTTTTACATCTTTCCTTTCCTCAAACTTCCGACACTTGTTTCTACATTTTCCCTTTCAGCTGCTACCTTGTTTCCTATTTCACTGAGAAAATAGAAGTTGTCAGAAAAGAACTCCCACCAATCTATTTGTATTTGTATCCATAAACTCTGCCTTCCCTCTTGTCACTGTGAGCGAACCATCTGGGATTCCACTGAATGCTGACTCCTCTACTTATGCACTAAATTTTATTTCTTTTTGCCTAATCAAGGTCATTACTCAAGTCATTCACTCTTCCCTCATGGCATCAATTTTTCTTTCATTGAACAACATCTTCAATGTTTAAAAAATCTGTTCTCTTCACCCAAGTCATAGCCCCATTTCTCTCCTCCTCAGAGCAAAAATTCTGGAATGAGTTGTCTCTGCTCATTCGTTCCAATTTCTCTCCTCTCATTTTCTCTTGAATCCTCTCCAGTCAGGCTTTTGCCATCATCACTCCACCAAAATGATTCATATCAAGGTCAACAATATCTCCTCAGTATTAAATTCAATGGTCATTTTACTGTTCTCCTTTTTTTTTCGCCCAACAGCGGCATTTGACACAGTTTATCACTCTCTCCTTGAAACACTTTTTTCTTCCACTTGGCTTCCAGGACACCATGTAATTCTTGGCTCTTTCTACTTCACTAGCTACTATTTCTTAATATCCTTTACAGGTATGTCTTCATTTTCATGATAACTAGGTTGTCTGATTGGCATCTCAACTTGAAATTATCCAAGGTCAAAGTGACTATTTTCCTTATACCTGCTTCTCCCACAGCCTTCTTTATCCATTCTTCTGGTTATTTAGGCCAAAGCCTTGGAGTCTGACTTGACTCCCTTTTTCTCTCACACTCCAGATCCTATCTATCAGCAATACTTTCAGCTGAATAGTTAAAAATTTATTTGTTTAGAAACAGCATCTCACACTGTCACCCAGGCTGGAATGGAGTGGCACAATCATAGCTCACTATAACTTCAGACTCCTGGGCTCAAGGGATCCTCCCACCTCAGATTTCCCAGTAGTTGGAACTACAGGTACTCACCACAGTGCTGGCTAATTATTATTATTATTATTATTATTATTATTATTATTATTATTATTTTGTAGAAACAGATGTCTTGCTTTGTTGCCCAGGCTGGTCTTGAACTTCTGGCCTAAAGTTATTTTCCCACCATGGCCTCTCAAATTGTTGGGATTACAGGTGTGAGCCACTGCACCTGGCCTAAAAGTATATTTAGAATCTGAACACTTCTCTACTGCTATAACCTTAATCCAAGCCAGCATCATTTCTTACTTGGATCATTACATAATCCATTAAACATGTAAATCAGATCATGTCATGCTCCTGCTCAAAACCGTCCGTGGCCTTTTATATTGTTCACAATAAAAGCCAAAGTCTTTAGAGTGACCTACAAGATTCTACATGATCTACCTTCATTCCCATTACCTCTCTGACCTCATGCCCTGTCACTCTCCTCTTTGATTACTGAGATCAGCCATATGGCTTACTTGCTGTTTCTCAGACATACCAAGAAAACTCCCAGAGGTCCATTGCTTTTCTCTCTAACTAGGATGTTTCTTCCTCATAGAGTGTCATGCTTATTCACTTGCTTCTGTCAAATCTCTGTGCAAATGACACTTTATCAGTGATACTTTCTTTATCATCTTATTTAAAAATTGCCACTCTCTGCATGCTTCCTACAACTTTACTCTGCTTAATTTTTTTCCATAGTACTTGTCATTTTCTGATATATTAATATTGATTTGTTTGTTTACTGTCTATCTTCACCACTAGAATATAAGCTTCAGGAAGGCAGGGATTTTATTTTGTTGCTGCTGTATCCCTAGTGTGTAATGTGGTAGCTGGCACATAATAGGTGCTCAATAAATTTCAAATTATTATAATAAAGAATGATTCCAAGTGCAATAGGAATTCCAAGATTCCTGCCATCTTCAGATGGACCCAGATATCCTTCATCATCTGCAGCAATCCCCCACCCAGTGCCAAACTCTGTGACACTGCATGTCTGGTAGTGAGTTTAGTCTTTACATGAGGACTTCCAGGAAGTTCCATAGATTCTTAAGCAAAGTGCTCCATTATTGAAGCTATTTAACTCCTAGAAAGATCTTTGTGGCTGTGTGCGGTGGCTCACGCCTGTAATCCCAGCACTTTGGGAGGCTGAGGTGGGCAGATCAGGAAGTCAGGGAATTGAGACCATCCTGGCTAACACAGTGAAACCCCGTCTCTACTAAAAATAGAAAAAATTAACCGGGTGTGGTGGCACGCTCCTGTGGTCCCAGCTACTCGGTAGGCTGAGACAGGAGAATTGCTTGAACCCGGGGGGTGGAGGTTGCAGTGAGCAGAGATGGCACCACTGCACTACAGCCTGGGCGACAGAGCAAGATTCTGTCTCAGTAAAAGAAAAAAAGAAAAAAAGAAAAAGAAAGATTTTTGCCAAGGGTCCTTTTCTGATACATAACATTTTTTGAATAGGTATTAGGTGTACACGATACAAAGTGCCAAATGTTCAAAGAGCAAGTAGTGAAAAGTATATTCTACCACTCCCACTGCTACCAACTTATTCCAAGCCACCCACATTTCTAAACTGGAATTATAGCACAATTTTTTTAGAAACAGAAGTTAGATGATGTCGCTCCTCTGCTAACATCAGCCTGGGGCATGTCATCACACTCAAGGTAAAAGCTAGAGTCTCCCTCTGCCCCCAGCCACCAAGATCCCTTCCTGGAGGCAAACACTCTTACTAGTTTATTGTGAATTTTTTAGAGATAGCATGTATATTATACACACATATCTCCATGTGTATAATTCATTTTTAAACTGTACACACTATTTTTTATATTTCTTTTTTTCTCACTTTATTCTACCTCATTCTTTTTAATAGCTACAGTTGTATCAGTATGGCTACTGTATTCTCCAGAGATTCTTAGTCTGGAGTCCATATATGGGTTTCAATGGGTCTATGAATCTCCTGAAAGTGCATGTTGACACTTGTGTGCGTGTGTACATGTATATCTTTTAGCAGAGCAGGCCCATATCTTTGATCAGATTGAAAGGAATCTGAGACCCAAAATGAGTAAGAAACCACTATATTGAGTCTGAATCTGCCTTCCTGAAACACCTACCCTTTAGTCCTAATTCCACTGTTTGGAGCAGTTCTGTCAGGACCTGGTACATAGAGGACATACAACAGGTAACTTGTGAAATGGATGAAGGGACAACATAAAATGAATCTATTCTGTCTCTCTCTTTTTAAAATTTTTAAATTTTTATTTATTATTATTTTTTAAAGACAGAGTATCACTCTTGTCACCCAGGCTGGAGTGCAATGGCACAATATTGGTTCACTGAAAACTTCCACTCCCAGGTTCAAGCAATTGTCCTGCCTCAGCCTCCCCAGTAGCTAGGATTACAGGCACCTGCCACCATGCCCAGCTAATTTTTGTATTTTTAGTAGAGACATGGTTTCACCATGTTGGCCAGGCTGGTCACAAACTCCTGACCTCATGTGATCCACCCGCCTAGGCCTCCCAAAGTGCTGGGATTACAAGCGTGAGCCACTGCGCCCGGCCTATTCTCTCTTCTTTATGTTAGCTTTTGGTTAGCCTGAGGAAACTATCATATTCTAAGTCATCCCTTTTCTAAAGTTAATTACTTAATTTTCTTAACTTTTCCTAATTTGACATGGTTTCCAAACCTGTAGGCTTTCCCTACATGCTGTAATGTGGGTTTCTTCCTCAAATGCCATCGGGGCAAGCTGGTAATTTAAAAAAGTGAAGTGGATCAGATGTGAGACAACGGCAAGTGGTGGGACCTGTGGAGTCCACATGGCTAAGATGTTCACATTCAAACTCACATATAACACATCCATAACCAAACAAAAAATATTTTCAGGCCAGTTTTGGACTATGGGCAGGCAGCTTGCAAATATAAAAATTTGGACCTCGTACAGTTTGTTGATACTCTTTTCACATCTTCTGCACTCTATCAATTCACTTTTGTCCTCCCCATAGGCCTGACAATTTAATCAAACTAAGGTAGTGCCTGCATCTCAAATACCCCTTAAGATTCCTTGCTATTATTCCTTTGCCAATATGGCTCTGTCTGTATAAAATGCCTTTGTGGAATATTCTCTACTTGCCCCTCAAGATCCACTTTTAAAAATAGACTATTTTTTAGAGCAGTTTTAGGTTAACAGCAAAATTGAGAGGAACATACAGAGAGTTCCCGTTAGCCCCTAAAGATCCAGTTTTCACCCTTCTTCATCCTCTTTGTGTACCCCCCGAGACTGACCTTTATAGACTGCATTTAAAAACATATTTTTAGTTATTGTGGGTACATAGTAGGTGTATATATTTTTGGGGTACATGAGATGTTCTGATACAGGCATGCAATGTGAAATAAACACATCATGAAGAATGGGGTATCCATACCCTCAAGCATTTACTCACTGAGTCGCAAACAATCCAATTACAGTCCTTAAATTATTTTTAAATGTACAGTTATCACTGGCTATAGTCACCCTGTTGTGCTATCAAATAGCAGATCTTATTCATTCTATTTTTTGTACCCATTGACCATCCCCAACTCCCCCCAGCCCCCCACTACCTTCCCAGCCTCTGGTAACCATATGAATTGGCTTCCTTGTCCTCTGAATTCTTCTTGGATATGGCCAATGTAAGGCACTAACAGGGGACTGGAGATCAGAGACAGGTTAAAGTCTGCGTATTTATTCTCCTGGCTCCCTCTTTATGGAGTGGGTGCAGCTTGGCTGAATCCTGTTAGAAGGATCTGCTGTGAGCCACAGACTTTTTTTTGGCAGTCATCTTCTAAAGCTATGGCTACTCTGTCTAGGTTCTGGTTAACTGCTTTCTCCCCTTGGCTTTTCAGGTCTCAGGGTGGTAAGTGCTCCCTGGGGTGCTTCACCATCCTTTTTGCTTTCCCTTAACAATGCTCACACTGTTATAAACAGTCCGTTCATTAAACTCCACTCACTTCCCTGTTGAATATGCTCTCAATATCCTACTAGATCCTTTACTGTTACCAATGCCTTCAACTCCCTTGTGTACTTGGTGTACTCCCCATTGTTAAGGTCCCAGCTCCTAGGACAATGTGGTGCATTCCTAGATATCACTCCCTTTGAGAAAGTTAGCTATTCCCCCACCTCTTTGAGAACATTTCTTGCAACACTCTGTGTTTAGATCTTGGGCTTCTTATGATTGGGAATGAAGCCTATTCGTTATTGTTTCCTGGCCAAGTAGATGTTTGGTGAGTATTGGTTATCTTTTTTGCTTTGTGAGGAGGATATAAAATCAAGGAAGGAGGATATTTGCTTTTTATTTCTTTCAAATTATTTGATTTTAAAAGAAATGCCTACACATTATTTTTTAAAAATTAAAATGAAAAGAAAAAAGTAGTAAAAGTGGCACCGTTCTTCACATCCGTGCTGGAAGTAACAGTGGTAATGGTTTTTGTTGTGCATCCTTCCAGTATCTTTTTATGCACATAAAGGCTTAAGTTTGTGTACATAAAATGTAGACTCACATATTTCTCTGCTCCTTGCTTTTTTTTTAACTTAACAACACACCTGTCTTTCTATATCAGCCAATGTAAGTATACAGCCCTACTTCATTATGTTTTATGGCTGCATTGTATTTCATTTGATGAATTTACCATAATTTATTTAACAAGCCTCTATTATTAGCTAGTTTATCTAATATTTTCACTGTTAAAAGCAACACAACTTAAAACACAGAGACATACTGGATCAAATTTAAGCCCAAAAATATATGGCTGAGCTCCAGAAGCAAGAAAGGAAAACTGTCAGATTCCAGAGACAAGAGAAAACTCACAGTCACAGCAATGAGCATAAATTGACATTTCACCACTCACAGGAAAAATGGGACCAGGTATATTCCTTAAAGGATGAGATTATAAGTCCTCTGTAGGGCTTAGAATTGAGTTAGAATTGTGCTTCCCTCATAAAACAAAGAGTAGAAGGATGCTGCCCCATTTATTATTTAAAAGCAGATTTCCCAAATAGTCAGGGGTACAATAATAACAAATCTTATTTAGTACTTACTATGTGCCAAGCATTGTTCTACATGATTTACATGTATTTATTTATTTAACCATCACAGAAACCCTATGATATTAGGTACTATTATAAACCCCATTTTATAAGTAGGGAGTAAAACGTTTAAGTAACTTGCGCAGCTAGGAGGTGGCAGCTCTAAAATTCAGACTCAGGCATCCTGACTCCAGGACCATGCCTGTAAGTAAATGTGCTATATTGCTTCTCTACAAACAGGATGTAGGTCATCTTCCTTAGGATGAGGTGGAAATAAACTCACCCATAAGAAGTTTAAAACTTTAAACCTGAGCTGCACACTAGTATGAAACCAAAATTCACAGTACCCACATAATGCAGAAACCCTGGGGTGAGAACTTAACATAAAACCTGGCTCAGAGCAGGAACACAATGAAACTCTAGCAGAGGCAAATGAAAAACCGCCTGTAGACCCACCTCCATAACTCAGAGTCCAATTCTTACGGAAGGGTTCTAACAGAAAACAGTTCCTGCAGAAGATAAGCTCACATGCAAAAAAATGATAAAGCACATGAGGAAATTGACTGGAATGAGTTAGTTGGTATATACAAGAAATGGGAGAATTATGTCCCAAGAAACTACAGATAATACAGTAATCTGAAAGGACTTTATTTTTTGGGTTTTTCTCATCTTTTTGTAGCCCTCATGTATGAAAGAACTTTAAAATGTTGTATGTTTGAAGGTTTCAAGATGTAAAAAAGGAACATAATACATAAAGCAAGAGCACAACTTTCCTCGGTGTGTGTACACCAAATAAATAGGCCAGAAATGAAGAATATAGAAAATATGGGATGAGCATTGTAAGATTTTAGTTCTAGCCCCAATGAAATATTTAAAAAGTCAAATGACAGTTTAAACTACAAATAAGTTATGAGTGAAGAGAGAACAAATGGAATAACAAATAGAGCCGAGATAATCATAGAATATAGCATGGCACTATAAAAATGCTAAATATGAAAGGGAAAATAGAAGACACACATGATATAACAAGAAACTTCACATTCATCTAATAAAGCTCCAGAAAAAAAATAGGAAGAGATAATATTCAAAGAGAAATAGCTGATAATTTTCTAAAACTGAACAGGACATGAGTCCTGAGATTAAAACCATGTACCTAGTTCTAAGCAGAATAAAGACAAATTGATACCCTGTAGATGCAACAGGGTGAAACTGTAGAACATCAAAGATAAAATGAAAATCTTGAAACCTACTATAGACAAACAATGTTGCAAAATATTTCTGTAGAATAGATTCCTAAAATGGAATTTCTGGGCCAGGGTATATGCACATTAAAAAAATGAATATGTTTTAAATGCATGAGTGAGTGAATTAATGAGTCTAGTAGTATTTCTCTCAATCTGGACATATATTTATTTTAGTACAGCCTGAGATTGGATCCCCCAGCTATCTATTTATTTATATATTTGTGACTGCATCACCACTATTGATTTCTATTGAGCATAAGACCAATTAAAATCCCCAGGACTTTTTCAAATGAAAGGCTGTCAAATGAGGTCCTCTTTAACATGTACTTAGGCAATTAATCTTTAAAACTTAGAAGTAGGGCTATTAAGACATTGGTGAGATCACTGAGAGCTAGAGCTGTTAAAGAAGGTTTCATAAAGGAAGTAGGACTTAGGCTGCATAGAATTTATTTTCGGTGGAGGGTGCAAAGGACAGCTTCTATGTTTGTGGGATGGAGGTAAGAAGAGTGATAAGGTGCATGAATAGACCATAGGATAGGAAATGAGCTTGGGGTGGATATGTGGAGGGTGGGTGAGTAAAGAGATAAGGTTCAAGGGAAGGGGTGGGGCAAGATTATGGAGGGCCTAAGAAGCCAGGGAGAGTGTCTGCATATGATATTATACATGGGCAATTGGAAGTCCCTTCAGCCTTTTTAAAGGAAATTATATGTTTTCTGACTGGCCAATGAAAGGCTAACTAACCCAGGAAAGAGCAAGAAGGCTGGGTGAAGTAATGCAGGCCCCTAGTTCTCCTGTTTCTGGGTTACTGGATAGGTTATATAGCAAGTAGGCAAGCTTAGCAAACAGCTCAGGGACACTAGGGTGACTTGATGTTAAACTGCCTGACTAGTGAGAATTAAATGTAATAAAACTGGAATTGCAAGACTAAAAATGGTATTTAGGCAGAATAATCTACTAGCAAATTCAGGATTCTTTAGAGTTGAGTGGGAAATATAAGAAAGAAAGAAAGATGCTGGATGCAGGAGAACAAGAGATGGAATGAGAAAGTGGAATATACACTGGAATGAGCAACAGGAAACTTTAGTTCTAGTCTCAGCTCTACCCCTACTAACCGCACAACTTTGTGCAGATTACTTAAACATTGAGGCTAGTTTCCTCCTCTGCAAACAACCTAGAATACAAACTCTAAAGGGTGGTAACCAGATCTGCCATGTTCATCATTGTATCTCTAGCCACTGGTACAGGGCCTAGAACGTAGTAGGGGCTCAGTAAATATTGGATGAATAGATGAATGAATGAATGAATGAATGAATCAATCAATCAATCAATTAGAGCCTGCCCTGCCTGCCTCACAGAGTTATTATAAACTTCAAATGAAATCAGGGATGGGGAAATATTACATGAACTTAAAACACTGAGCAATCCGATGGTAAAATACTACAGCTACTACTCACAATTATTATTTTAAAAATTAAATTAGAATGCTATTTGTAGTACTTTAAGGGTGAAATCATAAGTGGGCTAATGATTTCAAGTTTTCTTAGCATGGAAAGTAAGAAGAAAAGGAAAAGTATAAGACATTTTGAGTGAGGTAAATAAAACATCAGAATCTGTGTTCTGAACCATGTTCTGTCATTTGCATTCAATGTGCTTATGGTAGGGCTAATATTGATGTCAGTTATAGTTAGCATTCATTGACTACATACAGTAATGCTATGTCCTGTCTGTCCTTAAAAAAATAGAACACCCTTCAAAGAAGGTAGTCACATTCTCATTTTAGTGATGTGGAAACTGAGATTCAGAAAGGTTAAATGACTTGCTTTTAAAACCATGGTAAGGTGGTTTCAGAACCAGACATTTTCTCCCAGATATTTTTGTCTCTGAAGCCAGTGGGAAAAAAACTGCAGATAAATAGATTTCTTTACACCATAAGGATGCCTTTGCTAAGAGACAGCAATTCAAAGAAGGAATGGGCTGCCTCCTGAGCTAATGAGTTTCTCATCACTAGAAGCAGGATCGCTATGTAATTTGCAGGGCCCAGTGCAAAATGAAATGGCCTTATGTCCAGGAAGCTGGTCTTGGCTGGTAGTTTGCAAGCAGAAGTTAGCCTGCCTCCAGACAGGGATGTCAGAGTGAGGCGTCAACATGAGCTGATGCACAGGACCAGATGGCCTTAATCTGAGACACCATGGCTCTATTCTATTAGCCCAAGTGAGTTAAGGGAGCATCCCAAGGTAGCTGACATGACACCTTAGAGGCTTCAGATGAGAGAGAATTCTGCAAGAGGATTTGGAGAGAGCCATGGTGCCATGATCATCTGGGGCACTGAAAACATGCTCTGCCCTATGAGGCAGCACCAACACTCAGAAGAAAACAAAAAAGAAACTCTTTTAGTGGAGGTGAAGTGTAATGAAAAGAATTAGACAGATGTGGGTTCAAATCCTAGCTCTGGCAATTACTAGCTAGCTATTTGCCTTTGAACAAATCACTTAAACCTCCCTGCGACTGTTCTGTCATCTAGAATATGATCACAGTACCTGCCTTGCAGAGGTGTGGGGAAGGAGGCAAGTCAAATGTATCTGGCACTGGGTAAGCCCTCCATAAATGTTAACTGTTGGATGTGTTTATAAACCACTGGGAGTGGGGACGGTATGACGTTGGGTCATTTGCCTTTCCTTGAGCACTTCATGGACGAATAGCCAAATCTGCCGGACCCACCTAGGGGCATGGAAACCACTTCCCGCTCTAGTGCTACTAACTACAGCACTGCAGTAGTGGTAGGCAGTGGGTGAAAGTGGAGTGGGGCCACTAGTAGACAGTAATAACAATAAACTCTCCAGGAGAACAGGGCCCTCAAGCTTTTCCCCTAGCCTTGAAGATACTTACAGGAGATAACTGCCCAAGTCCAATCTTGGAATCCTGCTAGTTGAGTGTTTTACCCACAAGGACATTTCATGAGATCAGGACTAAGAATAAAATTCACTTCTGCCCAGTAGCGCTATATGCATTAGTCACTTGGAATAGCAACAATCTTAATATCTTTCTATTTGTCCGCAAACCCCACCATCCCACCTCTTTAAAATTCCGTGAAATGGCCAGAATAGCGAAACACCGATACCTACAGTCTTCCAGGAACTTCATTGTCCCTTATGCAACATAGAAGGAATGGTATGAGAACTAAGAGAACATTGCAGTAAATCACTGAATTTCTTGGCTTTCTTTTTTTCTTTTAATAATAAAAAGCACTCCAATCAAACTATTAATTAACTTGTAAAAGGCTCGAACTATTATGTACTATTCCCCGCCCATGTCCATGTGCTGCACAGTATTTTCTTACTCAGGACTGGTGGAACATTTCTTTTGCTTTTGTTTGAAAAATTACTTTTTATTTGGCCTTGGGCTGCTATCATAACTTCTGTTTTCACTAGATTGCATAAGCCATACATCTGCACACATTTTTGATTTGTACAGGGAGTTTGAATTTTAATATCTACCTCCATCTCAATCCCAGCACTTTGGGAGGCCGAGGCGGGCGGATCACGAGGTCAGGAGATCGAGACCATCCTGGCTAACACGGTGAAACCCCGTCTCTACTAAAAATACAAAAAATTAGCCGGGCGTGGTAGCGGGCCCCTGTAGTCCCAGCTACTCGGGAGGCTGAGGCAGGAGAATGGCGTGAACCCGGGAGGCGGAGCTTGCAGTGAGCCGAGATCGCGCCACTGCACTCCAGCCTGGGCGACAGAGCGAGACTCCGTCTCAAAAAAAAAAAAAAAAAAAAAAAATATCTACCTCCATCTCAAAAACCTCTCATCTTTTGTCCTTTTCTTCAAGATTCTGATTTCCTTGTGGACATTCATTTTGATACTTACATAAATCTTGCGTTATTCTGCCCATTTTTTTGGCTACAAGGCTCAGCTTTGGGGCTGTAAATGTGAAATATTTCCATCATAACCTATCTTTGGGTATGGGAAGGTCCTTAATGCTGGAAGTTCATTGAATAATTGCTTATTTTAATAGATGTTTATTTTCATTCACATTTCTCCCTCCACTCCATCCCTTGGGGCAGTACCCTAGTTCAGTTCTTCATCTACTCTCTCCTTGACTGTTGCGATAGCCTCCTAAGCAGCCACTCCACATCCAATCTCCCCATATCCAAAGTATCCTAAACATAGCTACCAGTCATCTCTCTAAACCACAGCTTTTGGCAAAAGATCCTTGAAGTTTCCCTTTTGCCTAATGAGTAACGTACTAGCTCCTCATCCTGGCATTCGAAGCTCTCTATGTTTATATGTTTGCCTATCTTTCTTTTCTAGCTTCTTTCCCATTACTTGTCTTCATATAGCTTTAGCTTTTGCCAAACTACCATTCTTTGTTTTCAGAGCACACCCTATACTTTCCAGCATCAGTGTTTCTTTCACCTGGAATTAACTGCCTGCCACAGAGATCTCCGTTCATCAGCCTATTCATTCTTTAATGCCCAAGACACATGCCACCAATTTCATTTGAATGGTCCTTAGAGACACTGAAATGGCGCCTGCTGTACACCTGTCCACCCCGACCCCCGCTGCCCACTGCTGGCTCTTCCAGTCTTGTGAAACATTAACCTCTCCTAACAGCAAGCACAGCTTCTCCATGGAGAAGACACTGAAATGGCACCTGCTGGACACCCGTCCACCCCCCACCCCTGCTGCCCACTGCTGCGTCTGCCAGTCTCGTGAAACATTAACCTCTCCTAACAGCAAGCACAGCTTCTCCATGGGGCCTGCTCACTCTGGCCCTCTGGTCCCACCATTTTTCTCACTACTCAAATAAAGTTTGGAGACCTTTCCCTGATTTTTTAAGAACATGCTAGCTCTTTCATGATACTCGTTATCATACCACCCCCATCTGCTTTTCAGTGTACCTTTCAATTGCTCTCTAGTGCTCCATTCTTGATTGTTTTCCATTTCTATTATAGCTTTCAAGGAGAGTCTTTACTTGGCCTACTTTCTTAGTAAATGGTTTGGTGAGATTCTGATTTTCATCTGATATTAGTTCTTTCTCCAAGAGGGACAGAGAAAAATGAAAAAAATATCTTGCCTTCAGTTATTCTTTTCATATTCTTTGAAATTCTAAGCCACAGAAGTCTTCTGTTAGGCTGCTACCTTCATTTTAAGAGACTCTTCCCTAAATGACAAGTTGTGACTTCAGAACTAGAGAACATGGCAGCCTCTCATGGCTTTCTGCTCAGTCCCATTTTTCTTTTCTGGATCCACTCTGGGCCTTCTTTAAAGTGACTCAACTTCCCAAGCATGTGATTTTACGTATTTTAAAAACAAGTCTGGTTTTTTCAACTCATTCTGAAATGTGGCTGCCAAAGTAAATACCCAACCCTCTCTAACACATACATACCCTCTTTCACACACACATGCACATGCACATGTAAACATACTCCTGAAGGATGAGGAAAGCAATGGTAAATGGGGAAGCAAAAAAATACCATTTTTCATTTAGACAGACTTCCCAATACCGATGAACTAAAATTCAGGGATTTGTGATTTGAAATGCATGGATGGCCTTTGAGTGGTCTTTTCAAATCCCCTAAATATATCAATTTAATAACTTATTGAGCATCTACCATTTGATGAGTGCTGTGTAGATGTATCTATATATATCATAAAATTTATTTCTTGCTACAACTTTTGGAAGAGATTATTATAATCCTCATTTACAGATGAGGAAACTGAGTCTCTGTGAGAGGAAATGATTTGCCCAAGATCCCTCAGGCAATAAGTAGTAAATCTGACTTTGAAACACAGGTCTGATTCCTTATCCCCATCAGATTTCCCAGGCATTCTGGTACAGGTGGTGTTTCAACAGATGGGAATGGGGCAGGGTGAGAAAGATAGTATGAATAAAGGTACAGACATGGGAAAATGTAGCTACACATAGGACAGTAGTAGGAATTAAGGTTGCAAAATTGTGTTAGGGACAGAACACAAAAGGATTAGAAACTTGAACTTCCTTCCATTGTCCTGAAGGGACAATAAAAGATTTTGTAGTAGGAAAACAATATAATCAGAGAGCCAAATCAAGAATGCAATCCAATTTACAATAGCCATACAAAAAAAATTAAATACCTAAGAATACATCTAACCAAAGAGGTGAAAGATCTCTACAGGGAGAATTAACATACACTGCTGAGAGAAATCAGAGGCAACACAGACAAATGGAAAAACATTCCACACTCATTAATTAGAAGAATCAATATTGTTAAAATGGCCATACTGCTCAAAGCAATCTACAGATTCAACGCTATTCCTATCAAATAACCAATGTCACTTTTCACAGATTTAAAAAAAGATTTTAAAATTCATATGGAATTTAAAACGAGCCCAAATAGTCAAAGTAAACCTAAGCCAAAAGAACAAAGCTGGAGGCATCACATTACCCAACTTCAAACTATACTACAAGGCTACAGGAACCAAAACAGCATGTTGCTGGTACAGAAAAAGACATATAGACCAATGCAACAGGATAGAGAATGCAGAAATAAAGCCACACACCTACAACCAACTAGTCTTTGACAAAGTTGATAAAAAATAAGCAACAGGGACAGGACTTTCTATTCAATAAATGGTGCTGGGATAACTGGCATATGCAGAAGATTGAAACTGGACCTCTGGCTATCACCATATATACAAAAATTAACTCAAGATTGATTAAAGACTTAAATGTAAGACTTCAAACTATAAAAACTCCAGAAGGAAACCTGGGAAATATCCTTTGGACATCAGCCTAGGCAAAGAATTTATGACTGAGTCATCAAAAGCAATTGAAACAAAACCAAAAATTGACAGGTGGGATCTAATTAAACCAAAGAGCTTCTGCACAGCAAAAGAAAATATCGACAGGCACCCTACAGAACTGGATAAAATATTCATAAACTATGCATCCAACAAAGGACTAATATCCAGCATCTATAAGGAACTTAAATCAACAAGCAAAAAACAACCCCATTGAAAAGAGGGCAAAGGACATGAACAGACGCTTTTCAAAAGAAGACATACAAGTGGCCAAAAGACATGAAAAAATGCTCATCATTACTAATCATCAGAGAAATGTGAATCAAAACCACAGTGAGATACCATCTCACACCAGTCAGAATGGCTATTATTAAAACGTCAAAAACAGCAGATGTTGAAGAGGTTGCAGTGAAAAGGGAATGTGTATACATTGCTGGTGGCAATGTAAGTTAGTTCAGCCCCTGTGGAAAGCAGTTAAAGATTTCTCAAAGATCTAAAAATAGAAATACCATTTGATCCAGCAGTCCTCTTACTGGGTATATATCCAAAGGAAAATAAACCATTCTACCAAAAAGACACCTGCACTTGTATGTTCATCGCAGCACTATTCACAACAGTAAAGACATGGAATCAACATAGGTGCCCATTGATAGTGGATCGGATAAAGAAAATGTACACGTACACCATGGAATACTACCCAGCCATAAAAATGAACAAAATCATGTCCTTTATGGGAACATGGATGCAGCTGAAGGCCATTATCCTAAGCAAATTAATGCAAAAAAAAATCACATATTCTCACTTATAAGTGGGAGCTATACCTTGGGTACACATGGACATAAAGATGAGAACAATAGACATTAAGGACTCCAAAAACTATCTGGGTGATGGAATCAATAGAAGCCCAAACCTCAGCATCATGCAGTACACCCTTGTAATAAACCTGTACATGTACCCCCTGAATCTAAAATAAAAATTAAAAAAAATTTAAACAGCTGCATTTTAGACAGATTAATCTAATTCAAGTCTGAATCTATGCTGTTGACAGTATTTTTAAAAATTCTTTCCTAAGAATTCTTTATTCACTCCAGGCCTATGCTTTGGTCAGAATTCTCTCTTTGTTTTTCAATACTTTAGTGAAAATTCAGAAGGCCATGTGGAAAAAAACAGAGGAAACAAACCACACACAAACACAAGATAATTATATACAAGTCTGGGAAGAAAGAGCACAATGGGTCATGACGAACTTTATTGAACAGAAGGCGAATAAGCAACGTTCCAATTGTACAGGAAAAAAAAAACCCAGCAACCCAAACACCACCACCAACAATAAGAAACAAAGGCAGCCAGGATCTGGGAGACATGGATGAAGCTTGTGAAAATGACACTTTCTTAAAAGAGCAGAAGAGAAACTAAAAAGGATGAAGGGGAGAACCATGGATTTGAGGGTTAAACTAAAAGGAAAAATAGAAAGGAAATAGGAAGGAAGGGTGTAACTCATAGCTGGTTTTGATATATCATCCCAGTCTGACAACCAAGGCAGTCTCCCTGCATTAGAAGGCCATGCTAAAAGTAGATGAGTTGTAAACAAGCCTCCCACTGGTCATTAGTTTGGCAAATTAGTGGGTTATCTCTTAGAGTCCTCTCTTTTTCTCCTTTCCCTTTCCTCTGCATTCAATTTGTCACTCATTCCTACAAGTCTACCCCAGAAGGGTTGCCTGAATCAAAGCCCTTCTCCCCATTTCCACTCACGGGGCCACTGTGTTAATTAAATTCCATGTCGTTTCTCAGCTGGACCAGGCTTCCTGCCTCTAATTCGTTTCTTCCTCCCTCTAATTGAGGCTTAGATCTGCCCCAGTATTGAGCTTCCTATACTCTCTTGCTTATAAACCTTCTTTGGTGGCCCATGGCCTATAAGGTACAGTAGAACTCACTCAGTTTTACATGATGCAGTGGGAGTGGAATCAAAGGGTTCCCCTAGACCCATGGATGAAGAGACGACTAAGGAGCTAAGTCTGGGATGAGAAACTCTTGCAAAAAGCCAACTAATAGCTTTTTCCTCCTCATCTCAGAACCACCCCTCTTCCCAGAGTGTGTGTATACAAGATGAGTTACTTAAGATTGCACCCAACCTGATGGTAGATTGGAGAAGGCTATCTGTCCCTTTCTCAGTTGAATATATGAGGGTCTTCTTCCCAGGAGGCTTGCCCACACCAGTCTTCTTTCCCACCATGGCCCATCCCCTTTCCAAAGAGTATAAACTTCATACCCTCCTCCCTTCAAGAACTCCTATCTTTGCTTAGCAAAATTTGTTTCCCAAGCTTGGAGAGAGGAAAGGGGCCTTTTTCCAAATCAGGGGTAAATAAAAAGTGGCAGAATCTTACAGTAGACATCATATTAGAGCTCATTTTTATGAATTCTTCTACTGTATATAAGGTCCTCACTTTCTTATTACTCAGCCTACCACTCCAGTTTCATCTTCCACTTTTACTGCTTCTCCCCACCCCTTCACAATCCTGACATACCCTAAACTCCAGTCATACTGAACTTTCCAACATTCCTCAGATAAATCAAGCCTTTGCAGAAATTCATGCACAAGCTGTTCCTTCTGCTTAGAACATCCTTACTCTTCTTATCTCGCCAGTAAATTCCTACTCTCCTTTAAGACCCTGCTCAACTATTGCCTCTTCTGGGAACTCTTTCCAGACTGTTCCAGATAGAATTAATTAATCGTCCTTTGAGCTCTCATAGCATTTTTCCATATCCCTTTGATAGCACCATCCTTATCATGGCAAAACAATATAACAACTAAAGGGATGGGCTCTGGAGGCAGACTGCCTGGGTTTGAGTTCTTACTCTGCCACTTATAAGCTATGTGATGTTGAGCCAATTACTTCGCCTTTCTTTGCTTCAGCTTCGTCATGTATAAAACAAAATAAATAAGATGATACTTGTAAAACCTTTAGAACAGAACCTGACACATTGCAAATGTTAGTAAATATTATACATCATCATTTCTTCTATTGTTTTATTGTTATCGTATATATAACCTACTTGTATATGTAATATACATGTGTTATTATATAGCACTATTATAGCATTACTTAACTTTTGCTGTGTCTGTGTCTTGTCTTCCAAGCTGGTTTATAGTGTTTTGAGGGCAGAAACCTTGTATTACTTTCTCCCCCATAGTGCCTGGTGTTAAGTATGGGCTCATTAAGTATTTGTTGGGGTCAGTATATTATACTGAAAAAAGCACTGAAATCTGAGAGATTTGGGTTTGGATCTTGATTCTGCTCATAATTGTTGTATGATCTCAATCTTCCTGAGCCTCAGTTTCCTCATCTATAAAATGAGGATGATAATAAGAGTACCTACCTCACAGGGATATTTTAAGAATTAAATAACTTAGTACATGTAAAACCTAGCACATAATAACATAATAAGAACTCACTAAATGGTTTTTATTATCAGCTTTGTATCCCTTTGCATTTAACTTAATAAATACTTTTACTTGAATGAATGAACCCAGCCATTTTCTGGAACTTGAGGATCAAGGGAATCCAGGCAGATACTCTATTTGTTCCTAAGAATCCAGAGGAAAATGTGAGTCATCTCCATTCTGTATCATGGCTCACTCTGAACTGGGTCACCATCCTCCAGAAGGTGACAAATGTGGCTGGCTGAGTCACTATAAGAGCTTTTCTGTAAGGATTTGCCCGAACCCCCCACCATAGCTCATTGGACATAGTATCTTTCATATTAGGTGCGAGGTGCATACCCTTCCTGAAATGGGCAGAATAAAGAGGTGCAAAACTCCTGGGGAATCAGAGTGGCTATGAATTCACTCCTCTTTCTTATTCTGTTGCCTCTTCCCTTTGTTTGGTTTATTTGCTAATCAACTTTGCCCACACTCACATCTAGTGTAGCCCAAGTCTGTGCAGAGAAGACACTTTGAAAGCCTAAGACTATCATAGTTCCAGCAGAATAATAGAAAAATAACAAGTGTTGACTATTCAGTTCTGATGTAGCACTGTATTGAAGAACATAACATTCTAGATCCAGATGGCCTGAATTTGAATCCCAGCTCCACCACCAACTAGCTGTGAGACCTCAGGCAAATCACTTAACGTTTGCATCCTTTCATTTCTCCATCTATCAAATAGAAACAATAAAAGTACTTACCTACCTCTTAGGGTTTTGTGAGGGTTAAATGAGTTAATACATACAGAACACTTAAAAGAATGTCTGGCACATAGTAGGTGCTATATAAATATTAGCTTTTAAAAACAGCTTTATTGAGATATAATTCATCTATGTGAATTATATCTCAATAAATTCACCTATTTAAAGTGTACAGTTCAGTCATTTTTAGTATTTCACAGAGTTGTGCAACCATCACCACAATCTAATTTTTAGAAAATATTCATTACCCCAAAAAGGAATCTCATACCCACTGGTAGCCGTTTCCATCCCTGAAGCTCCCTCTCCCCCTTCCCAGCTCCAGGTAATCACTAACCTACTTTCTGTCTGTATAGATTTGCCTCTTCTGGACATTTTATATAAATGAACTCATACAATAGGTGGTCTTCTGTGACTAGCTTCTCTCCCTTAGCATAACTGTCTTTTAAAAAATTGCAACTTCCATTTTAGATTCAGGGTGTACATGTCCAGGTTTGCTACATGGGTATATTGCATGATGCTGAGGTTTGGGGTACAGCTGATCCCATCACCCAGACAGTGAGCATCCAATAGGTAGTTTTTCGGGCCTTGTCCACCTCCCTTCCTCCCCTGTCTAGTAGTCTCCAGTGTCTATCGTTCCCATATTTATGTCCATGTGTACCCAGTGTTTAGCTCCCACTTACAAGTGAGAACATAGCATAATGTTTTTAAGGTTCATCCATGTTGTATATATATCAGAGCTTACTTCCTTTTTAAGGCTGAATAATAGTTCATTATATGAATATATCATATTTTGTTTTTCCATTTATCAGTTGATTGACATTTTGGATTGTTTCTATCTTTTGGCTAGTATGAATAACACTGCTATCAATATTCATTTACAAGTTTTTGTGTAAAGATATGTTTTTAAATCTCTTGGGTATATATCTGGGAGTGGAATTGCTGGATCATATGGTAACACTATGTTTAATGGTTTGAGGAACCACCAAACTATTTTCCAAAGAGCCTGCACTATTTAAAATTCCCTCCAGTAGTGGGAATGATGGTTTCAATTTTTCCACATCTTCATCAACACTTGTTATTTTATTTTATTTTTATTTTATTAAATTATTATTTTTATTATATTTATTTTATTTTTTATTTATTTTTTATTATAGCCATCCTACTGTGTGTAAAGTAGTATCTCATTGTGGTTTTGATTTGCATTTCTCTGATGGTTAATGAGGTTGAGTATCTTTTCATGTGTTTATTGACCATTCTTATGTCTACTTTGGAGAAATGTCCCTACAAATTCTTTGCCCATTTTTAAATTGGGTTGTCATTTTATTACTGAGTTGTAACAGTTCTTATATATTCTGCATGCAAATCTCTTGTCAGATATATGTTTGTGAATATTCTGTCATTCTGTGTAATTTTTTTTCATTTTCTTGAAGCTATTATTATTAAATAGAAATTTGTAAGTTCGCATATAATAAAGATGACAGATTGTATTAGAAAGAATGAGATCTAAAATCACCTGATGCACCCTATGGTACACTACCCTGCTCCTGCACTCCTTTGAAATTAAATTCAAAACAGATCAAGCTTCTCCTCTGTGCCAGGCACTGTGGGGGAATAAGACCTAACCTCTATTCTCAAAGAGCTTCATAACACAGAAGAGAAGATGCAAACATGTGGAAACTTAAATAATTATAACATGTTTAAATAGCAGTTCAGGACCACAACAGAAAAGATGCCACAGAGCACTATATGATTAATTTCCAAATGAATTGCATGGAAAAGAATTGCTATGGGAACTCAAGGGAGGGAGAAAGCACTTGGGGCTGAGGTGGTCAGGGGAAGCTTTAAGGAGAAGGGATCTAAGCAGTCTGTAATTAACTACCGCCATGCCTGTGTAATACTAAACAAAGACTTGGAGAGAAAAAAATATTGACTGTTTTTGAGGTGAGGCATCTTAGTGATTAAATTGATACCACCATTTCTTTTCAACCTCTGCAGGAATCCCCACAGTCCCACCTTTCCAATGAAGACTTACGTGGCCTCTGTCTAGTCCAGAGGTTACCAATTAACAAAGTTAACAAGCCACATCTGGCTTACAGACACGTTTGGTTTGGTCCAATTAAAATATTAGAACTAGCTGCTAAAACATTTAACTGGACAAATTTCACATAAAATATTAATTTCCAGTTTCTCTAGAAAAATCAGAAGACCTGGCTACCCTGCATTGGAACATGCATTCTCTGGGACCATGGCCAATGGCAACCCTGCTTGCACATGCAGAATTCAGTTTGAGACTTCCTAGAATCATAGTTCTTAGACTAAAAGGTATCTTAAGAGTGCATCTGTTTCTATTCCCTGACTTTGGGAATGTATGGTATTATAATATTACCCTCAATTTACAACTTGATTTAGAATATCAACTAAAACCCACAGAGAATTTGACTTGCTGCAGGCCACAGGGCTATTAACTGGAAGAGGGAGGGCTAAAACCCATGTTCTCTACTTCTCAACGGAATGTTCTTTCAACAATCTGTCTTTACAGTCTGGATGCATATTGTTTAGTAGCATTCTTCTGGCACTTCCTAATCACTGCTTTGTGTTGTTGGACGATTTTTGATATGATCGTTATCTCCCTCTCTCTTTTTTTTTTTTTTTTTTTTTTGAGACGGTGTCTCACTCTGTCGCCCAGGCTGGAGTGCGGTGGTGCGATCTTGGCTCACTGCAAGCTCCGCCTCCCGGGTTCACGCCATTCTCCTGCCTCAGCCTCCCAAGTAGCTGGGACAACAGGCGCCCGCCATCACGCCCAGCTAATTTTCTTTTTTTGTATTTTTAGTAGAGACGGGGTTTCATCATGTTAGCCAGGATGGTCTCGATCTCCTGACCTCATGATCTGCCCGCCTCAGCCTCCCAAAGTGTTGGGATTACAGGCGTGAGCCACCGCCCAGCCTGATCATTATCTCTCTTAAATGACATTGTAACATCCCAAACTGCAAAGGGGCCCACATCAAGTTTTTCTATGAAAGCCCATGACGTGGAGCACAATGCTTTGTACTAAATAGGCACTCAGGTGGTATTTGTTATTGATTGATAGGATTCTGAAGAACTCAGTATGTAACCATCCTTCCAAACCTGGGTGTGTTAAAATGTGTTCATTGTTCAGAGACAAAGGTCTGGTACCTTTAAGAAGTCTCAGCTTTGCAATGAGTTTGTGGGGCAGCTGCTTGGCATAGATACTGGGGAGGGACAGGGAGGAGATCATTATGTAGGCACATGGCGCTAGGATGTACCTTACTTTGTCTTGGCTGTTTTCTGAATGTTAAGAGGAAGGATGAAATAATAGCAGATATAGGAAAAGTTATTTAAAGCCTTGCCTTAGATCAGTGGTTCTCAGGCGTGAGGATGCATCAAAAGCCCCTGGAGGGCTTCTTAAAACACAGATTGCTATATCCCACCCCTGAGTTTCTGGTTCAGTAGGTCTGAAGTGAGTGGGGTCCACAAATATGCATTTCTAACAAGTTCTCAGGTGATGCTGATGCTCCTGGTCCAGGGACCACACTTTAAGAACCATTGCTCTGCCAAGTAGTTGGCTCAAGAGTAGCTAATTAGAGAAATCTGAGCACAGTTAGCAACTGGAAGCAAAAAGTCCATGAGGAAACTGTGTGATGTACGTAGTGGGGAGAGTGTGAACTGGCTAGGAAACCAGAATGGTCAGATTCCAGTACCAGGGGTATCATATCTTTTTAAGCAGTGTCCAAAGAATAAGTATATTTTAATTCACATATTCCTGATTCATTTTACTAGTGTTTCCCAAAATGTGCACTGTGGAACCCTAGAAGATATTAATAGGTAGGCAATGAGATTAAAAAGGATCCATAGAGAAAGATGTTGGAACATTTTGAATTAAAGAAAATTGAACAGGATTCTTTACGGCTTCTAAGAGCCTTTAAAATGTGAATGAATGAATGCACTGCAAATCTCCAAGGAAATATAGAATATGCAGTATTTATTTTATTAATTTATGCAGAATATTCAGAATTAGTTGACCAAAGATCCTTCGTTAACACTTGGCTGTTTTTTTGTAAAATGTTGTTTAGGAAACCTTCATTGGTTTACACCTGAAATGCCACAATATTTTATCAATAGATGAGGTTGCTTGCAACAGTGGAAACAGCACTGCACTGGGAGTCAAAACATCTGGGATTTTGTTCTGTCTCTGCCACTTAGGTCTGCCACAAGTTGGCTTGCTCCCATGAAAAAGATGGGTATGATTGAAATTTATCATCCCTTTGCAAATGGTAGCAGCCAGTAGCTCCACCCAAAATAAGTAAATAAAATCTCACACAATCAATTTTTTTAAATCTAATTTACCATACCCTTAAGGTTATTCAATCTTTTTGTTTTTTTTTTCTCATGTTACCTTGTGTAACAGGTATTCAACCTTCAAAGCCAGAAATATGAGAAGCCTTATGCTGAGAGTTTGATAGAAAGGAAGGGAGGAAGGGAGAAAGTAGAAAGGGAGAAAAGGAAGAAGAGAGGAAGGGATGAAAGGAGGAAAGGCGGGGCAGGGAGGAAAGGAAGAACAGCAGAAAGAAGGAAGGAAGGAAAAATAAGAAGTCAGACAGTCAGGTCATTGCAGACCATGATTCCATCTGAAAAGAAAAGGCTGAGAAGCATAGACACATCCTGTGTTTATTTGATTCCTGGCTCTAGGAGAAAGTTTTATTTCACCAAGGACAGAGTCAGCTCGCTTGTTTACCACAGAGTATTGGAAGTGTGTGAAGTGTGTTTGTCCCCCAATTAACCATTAGTTGTTTTTTTTTCACTTGAACAAGATACAAACTTGACCCAATGGAGAAACATTGCAAGTTGTATGTGGGAGGATGCCATAAAATATCTACATTGATATTTAAATAAAATACCTGCCTACATTAAACGATCTTTGAAAAGAAACTGATGGGATTCAAGGCTGAATTATATTTACTGAATTCCTACAAGGTACATAAATATATGCAACATGGAGTCCCTTGTAGATCCATGATGAAATCATATTTCTTTTAAACACAAGGGTCAATTCAAGTTAAAAAATAAAATAAATGTTTACAAGCTTTCTGCCTTTTTTAAATTTCAAAGTGAAAATAATATTTAATTGCATTTAAATATATACATATATTTTAATAACTCTGATTACCTATTTGATTGCATAAAAGAATGACGAGAACATCAACACTGCTTTTAGCCACAATATTTGAGAAGTAGCAGCCAGAAGTGTTTTTTTAAATATTTTATCTTGAAATCAGATCTCATGTACCTAGGTGAACTGAATATGCCCAGAGGATATCAGGGGACTCTCCACTACTGTAGATCCAAAAAACAGAGGGCTAAATAGAAATTCCACTTGCTGTCATCCAGCAAAATAGAGATGGCTTTGCTGAGTCCTTAGATCATGTTTAGTTTCAGGAGGGGTTGAGCTGTAATGACTAAATTATCTGGTCACTCTAACCAAGCAGCTAATTAATCCAGTCAAACAAACTTATCAGTCATGAAGGTGAAATTGTTTTTTCATCTAGAATTTGATCATAAGGGCTTTCAAGAAGGAAGCTCCTTGAGTCTCCCTTGTAAACCCTTTCTGCAGTATGCCTTTCTTTCCCACGTCTGTTGAAAATTATTTATTCTTGAACCAGCTTCAGTGGTGAACAGCAGCTGGTTGCTACCCTCTCATACCCATTTTTTGTCATCTGGAACATGGTTATTCAGCGTAGCTTCATCTTCAAAAGGTGCCTGATTTACTCTGGGATTGGGAATGGAGAGAATAATTTTGAAGCTCTTTCTCTTTGCCTGTTTCCTTCCTTCCATGACTTTGGGTTATTTTCTAGTGATCTTCAGTATTAAAAGGCATACTGACAGCTCTTTTCTCCCAGGCTGATTTTCAGCTTGTCTACTGAGCTTTTTTGGGTTTGGTTTTATGGAATGAAATCCCCTTGTTTGGTTTTCCCCACATTCACACTGAGGCTGTGAATGTCCACCAACTCAATTCTGAGCTACAATTGAGTAGTGTATTAAGAATACATGTGACTGCCACATGGGCCCTGGACTGCTGAATTCATGGTCAAATCATTGTTTTCCCAACCATCATGCTTGGGGGCACCACATCAGCCTACAGTGAACATGGATTAATAAGTGCTGATTTAGAGTAAATAGTTTTCTGGTAAGTGGTACATTGAAGATTTCTCTTCCCCTTTCTATGATTTGTATAGTAGCCACAATTTTCTATATCATTATTGCAGCTTCCCAGTACTACTTTATGTAGAAATCTTGCACATTCCTACCTCTGGCTTTTGCTCAGGCTACGACTCTATGGCAGTGGCAGAACCGTTTTAGGAATGTCTTCTGCTGTAATTTTCTCTTTGTCCCACCACTTCCACTTTAAACTTCTGGTGTATTCCCTAATCAAAGAGGCATCTAAGTTGTCTTTAGTGAGAAACCATCTATATATACAAAGCCATAACATGTGGATGAAAAGGACATACTGTCAACTCTCTTGTGCCAGACACCCAGATGTTGGCAAGTAGTACTTGGACCGAACAGCATAGTCGTTGAACAGCATCATCTTCCCCTTTTTTAATTCATCCAGATGTTTTGGCATCACAGACACATAGCCAGATTTCATCCCTGATTTTGTCAAAGGCTTAAAAAAATGTGAAAAAATAATATGCTTCTCCTCTGATGAACAATTACCAATGAACTCTGTTCAAAAGGGAAAACATAATGTTTCATTTAAAAGACCAATAATATTGAATTAAGATAAAGTTCCCATGAGAGTATATTTTACATTCTCATGAATCACGGATGAGTTTATTATGATCCATGCTTGTATGAAAGACTGACAAATAAATTCATATTGATTTGACATTTAAAATAGCATGTCTAAAAATGTACAGCATCACATTAAGTATCAAGTAATTATTCAACTATCAGCTTCAAATGTACATGGGAGAAAATGGGTCCAGAACCCAAAATGTAGTGAAAGATTTAAATGCTCAAATTTCTACCACAGGTTTTTTTTTTTTTTTTTTTTTTGAGACAAGGTCTCACTCTATCACCCAGTCTGTGTGCAATGGTGTAATCATGGCTCACTGCAGCCTCAAACTCCTGGGCTCGAGTGATCCTCCCACCTCAGCCTCCCAAGTAGTTAGGACTTACAGTCATGTGCCGTCATGCCTGGCTAATTTATTTTATTTTTATTTTTGTAGAGACAAGGCCTTGCTTTGTTGTCCAGGTTGGTCTTGAACTCCTGGCCTCAAGCAGTCCTCTCACTTCGGCCTCCCAAAGGACTAGGATTATAGGCGTGAGCCACTGTGCCCAGCCTTCTACCACAATTTTTAAAGAAGCCAATACCATACATTAATCCATTTACAAGGGCTCACGCAAGAGTGCCTTTTGAGCCTGTGTTTGACAGGAAGTTTCTATTCAGATCATTGTGCCTAGAGTATATAGAGGGGTTACAGCAAAGTGCTGTACTTTGGGTTACAGTAAAGTGACTCAATTGATGTACCAAGATATTGATCATTTACACCCTTTAGGCCTGAAAAATATACTTTTCTTTGTGTTCCATGAAACTAAAAAGGCAGGGAAGCATTAAAGAGACAGCAATAAAAAGATTTGATGGTATGTATATGTGAGTTTGAGTGTTTGAGCTGGCGTTGTGAGTTTGTGGGTGGATTAGAAAGCATATGGCTAAAGACATGTGCAACAGATGCAAGGGCCTGGGCTTTGGCCTTCCCTTTGAAACTTCTTTATGGGGACATGTGCTGCCTTGCTTCCTGGATTAAGACCACATTTGCACAATTTGCACATTGTCCCTCTTGGGCCTGCTTCCCACCGGAGACTGCATCTTCCACAAAAACAAGGCAAGAAGTAAAGAACTTAAGAGAGCTGATTGTGAAGTCCAACTACATGGGTTCAAATCCTGGTACCATCATTAATTAGCTGGGTCATTTTGGACCACTTAACTTCCAGGACCCTCATTTTCCTCATCTACACAAAGGGCTAATAACAGTATTTACCTCATAGTTGTTATGTAAAGTGCTTATCCCAGAGCCTGGCAGAGAGCAGACACTAGTTGATCATTATGATTATTGAGCAATTACTATGTACCAGGTGCTTTATTTTCATCTCTGATCCTCACAACAGCCCTACAAGGCAGATACTATTATCTTCAGTTTACAAGTGAAGAGGCTGAAGCTCAGTGAGATAAAATACACTGCTCAAGGTCACACAACCAGGAAGAGCAGAAACCAGGCTCCAAGTCCCTCTGTCCCTCACTCCTAAGGCCTGTGCTATTTGCCATATCATCATCCCACTGGTGCCTCTAAAAGTTTCTTCTTCTAGGGTTCATCCCTCTTCTCTCTTCATCCTCCTCTTGGCCTACCCTGGCCTGAGAACTGCTTGGCACAATCCTATACAGCAGGTCCTTGAATAACATTGTTTTGTTCAAAGCCATTTAGTTATCACGTTAATGGGGAAAATTTGGTTTTCCCCAGGGCCACTGTCCATGGACAGGATGGCGTCCTGACCAGGGTGGTTCCCACCTTTTGTGCTCCTTGTGCTGCCAGGATGGGCTCCGGCCACCTGTGACCCTGAACTGGAATCAGCGGGTTAGAAAATAACTGAATGAGTGAATACAAATTATTGGAAAATGAAAACTCGTAAAGTACACAATGACCATACGAATCCATGATAATAAATGACACGATAGGAAAGCGCTCAATGAGCGCTTTTGTGATTCTTCTGGAACTGCTGGGTGGCAGGAGGTGCTCCTTATGATTTTGCTTTGCAAATGTTTATTCCTTGACCTGACCCGCCATTGCTACAACCGCTGTCACTCATTGATTCACCAAAAATTAGGCAAATAATTCTCTTACTTGTTTTTATTAATCTTTCCTAAATGTATGTGTAGCTCACACTTATTGTTAATGTTTAATTAACTTATTAATGTTTAATATTAGAAGTGTTTGGGTGGTTTTTGTTTGTTTGTTTTTTTGTTTGTTTTTGAGACAGGGTCTCACTCCTCTCGCCCAGGCTGGAGTGCAGTGGCGCAATCACGGCTCACTGCAGCCTCAACCTCCCAGGATTCAGGTGATCCTCCCACCTCAGCCTCCTGAGTAGCTGTGACTACAGACGTGTGCCACCATGCCTGGCTAAATTTTTGTATTTTTAGTAGAGACAGGGTTTCACCATGTTGCCCAGGCTGGTATTTGGATCTTTATTTAGAAGTTTGGTGATATTTTTGTGACCAGAAATATGCTGTGGGTACTTAACTCTTGTTTATATCAATTAGCCTACAGTAAAATTAGTTTTGTTATTCGTTGTTTCACTTAAAGTCCAGTTCCCAAGAACCTGTCAAGGACGTTCAGTGAGGACTTACTGTACTCAGAGACAGCAGAGAGCAAAGGGCAAGAAGGCTGGTTGGAGGACGAGGAGGCCTAGAGCCCCTTGCCTGCTTTTGCACATGCATCTGCTCCTGGTGGATGACTCACTTAACCTCTCCGTGCTTCTGCCTCTTCAACTGGAAAATGGAATCTGTAAGTTGCAGCACTAGCTTCTGTGACATTCTACTAGGCCTCCAGGAAGAGGAGGCCATCCCTCTATATGTCCAGTCAGCATATGGGGAACAGTGGGGCTGTGTGTGACTCACCCTGTGGTGTGCCAGCCTCAGGCTTATACTAGCCTAGGCTTATACTCCCAGATCCTGAGCTAGCAGCTGGAGCTTTGGGATCTGGAACTGTTACAGGGCCAAAGAACCTGCTTAGCTTCAGGGCTGCTTCTAGATAAACTGCCAGGATGTGGGCAAAGCATTTGTCATGGAAGGTGGGGAGTGTATGTAGGTTGTTTCAGGGGCTGCTTTGTGGGAAGCCAAACCTTTTGGCAATGGGCTCAGAACTGGCTTTCCTTTTTGGGTGTCCTCTAAATTCCGAGGGTGCCCCCACACCAGAGGGTCTCCACTTCTGCCATCCCTAACCTAGTGGGGAGATGAATCTGATCTTTTGTCTCAAAGCCCACATTAAAGAGGACCATTGCATGCTTCATCACCAGGCTGTGACTCCCAGACCTCAACTCATGTCTTTTTCCCTCTTCACCAGGGCAGAGGCTAGACTGTTTCCTCTCCTCTCCCTGAACAATAGCAGTGCCCAGATTTTGGAGGGCATACCGCCTACCTGGCACTGTGCTAAGTACTTTGCCTGCATTTCCTTGGTAATCCTCATGTAATCCTACAAGGGAAGTACCATTTTGTCACGATTTAACAGAAGAGGATACAAAAGCTCAGAGCCTGGAGGTGACTTGCTCAAAGTCACATTGATAGTAAGTGGTAAAGCCGGGACTGAAATACAGGTCTAACTTTTGAGACAACCTTTTTTCTTTTTCTTTTTTTTCTATTTCAATTACATAATCCTAATCCTGTGCGTGTTTGAAGGGGAGAGACAGGGGAGGGAGTGAGATGGCAATTTGCTTGTGACCTAAGGAGGCCCTGAAATCTCCTGGGAATGAGGATGGGGGACCTACATGAGTTGCCCAGGGCACTGGTAATGCAGCCCACACCAGCAGTCAGTGATCTCCAACATGGAGGGCTCCAGGCCTGCCTAGCTGCTGGCTGCTACTGGAGGCCAGAAAAAGACAGCTCCAGTGTCCTTCTAGGCTGGGGGTGGTTCTTGCCTCCAGGGCTTATGGAAGAACTTATCAGACAAAACTCTGCCCTTTCAAGCAGAAAAGTACTTTACAAAGAACATAGAGAGGTGAAGTGGGTACTTTTCAATTTTTGCCTGATTATCTAATATCTAAATGCTTTTTCTTCACTTTGGAATCCTGACCTGACCTGTTTTGTGCCCTGTCCACCCACCACCACTGAGTCAAAGCTCAGGGCCTGGCATCCAGTATTAGTCATACCTATTTGTTGCCCGAATGAATGGGGCTGAACCCTGGTCTGACTCTAAAATACATGCTTGAAAAAAATTATTATGGAAATTTTCAAACACATACACAAAAGTAAAAAATATAGTATAATGAACCCCCAAGTATCCATCACCCAGATTCAACATCTATCATGATTTTCCATGTTAGCTTTACCTATCTCTCTTTCTTTTTCCCTCTTATGCTTTACCCCACATGTTTCATTATGCAACTCAAAAATAGGGATATTTTTATATACAATGACGAAATTATTATCCCCCCCATCGCCAAACTAACAATAATTCCCTTCAAACCATGCTCTTGAGCACTACACTGGAGTTCCTCCATTCTACTTTCTTTCCCAGTCCCCAACAGGAAGCATTTCTCAGGCATCTGCTCTTGCACCTCCTCAGAGCTGGAATTACAGTTTGATGTGTATTGGGTACTCACAATGTGCCCTTTTAGGTAAGCAGGGGGCCAGATTCCCCTCTCCCTGTTTTACAAAGAAGAATGGCGACACACAGCTATTAAGTGCCTTGTACAAGGTCACACAGTCAATTAGTGGCTGATAAATGGGACTCAAGCACTGTGGCTGGGTCTATACAGCCCCAAATACAGTTTGCAAGGAAATTAAATGAAGGGACTCGTGTCCTGGGGACAGTACCGTGTGTTTTCTGTTGCTGTTGAAGTCATTGCACTTAGCCCATCAGGACAGCCTGATTGATGGGATCAGTTGGACTCCTATGTTTGTTTTCCTCATCTGACTGGATTGCAACAATCACCTACAGGCAGGCTGGCCACACCCGTGAGTTTTTCTCTTCTTTTTTTCCATGTTCCTGGAGCTGACTCCGGAGCCCACATTTCTCCTGTCTTTCTAGGCTTGGACTTGCTCTCTGCCAAAGCAGATGACTCCCAGAGCAGCCACAGTCTGGGACAGGGCAAATGTGAGAAGCAGAAGGACTAGCTTAACTGCTTTTCTGTTCCTGCCTCCTTCTTGTTCCAAAGACTTACTCTTAGATGCTTGGCTCTCCTGAGCTTGATCTCCATGTCTAATTCTCTAGACCTCTTCCACTCCCCTGATATCCCACCCACATTTTCCAAGTAAGTCTCTCAGAGCCTTGTATTCCAAAATACAAACTGGCTAGTGGAAAGAAGGAATCATTGCTGTTGGCTAGTGGATGACTGATCAGTCTGAGTCCAACCAGGAAAATAGAAATCACTGAGTATTTATTTAAGGGAAAAGGGATTCAGTGCAGGGAATTGATCACACAGGTGATGGAAAAGCTGTGATGCCAAGCAGAGGACAATGAAGCAACCTAGAGATTAGTCACAGCAGGGAGCTGCTACCATTCCTTGGCTAGAACCTCAGGGCTGGGACACTTAGTAGAAACTTGAGCCACAGTAACCTGGTCAGCAGTGCCAGAGCCACAAAGAGACACAGTCACTGCTGGGGACACCACATGAAGCAGAGGGGGAGGGAGAGAAATACCCTGGTTTCTCTCTCCCTTTTGCTTTCTAATATCCTAACAGTGCCTTCCATTGGCCAAACCCATCAGAGCCTGGGGAACAGCCTGCAAAGGCCAACCTGCCCCATCAGCTTCCCTGCTACAAGAGCAGAGATGTGAAAAGGAAGTAATGGACTTGGGGGGGCAAACAGGCCTGGGGACAGCACAGATCTCCTCCTCCCTGCCACCCCCAACTAACTTATTTGGATATGTCAGGGTCTATTTGGAAACAGTGCATTTACTCAACAAAATGATTCTAAAGCTGACAAGAAAGACCCTTAAGGAAAAGGGTGTGGGTGGAGCACGAACCCGCTTCCTTGACTACCTGCAAGTCTTAGCATCCAGATTCTAGCCCAGTCCTCTTATTTCACTTCCTCCTGCATGCTCCATCCCTCCTCCTCCCACGCATAGGCTGACTCCAACAAAGGCAGGCCGGCCATTTTGCTTTCTGGCAATGTGTGATGCATTCATTGGCTCCCAGGACTGTGTAAACCCAACCTTCTTGCCTGCAGGGTTTCAGCTTGGCAGCCAGGCTCTGAACTGCAGTGCTGTCAGGCAGGTGAACCCGCTGGCACCACAATCCAGAAAACATATCTCCTGATTCCTCAGGTGTTCTACACGTTTGAATGTGTAGATGAAGGGAGATGGCTGGGAGGGGGAAAAGAAAGACATCAAACTATTTATGTGCTTTCCCACACCTTATTTCATTTACTCTCCACAACTCCTCAAGGCAGATGCCCTTCTTCCCATTAAAAAATAAATTTTTAAATCTTAGAATACTTTTAGATTTACAGGACAGTTGAAAAGAGAGTACAGAGAATCCCTATGCATCCTTCACTCAGTTTCTCCTGATGTTAACATCTTACAAAATCATCTTTTGTCTGTTTTTACAAATGATGAAACTGGGGCTCAGAGAGGTTAGTGACTTGCCCAAGGTCATAGAACTAGGACACAGCAGAAGAAACAGGCATAAATCCAGTTAGATCTTAACTGTATCACACCACCAAGTTGAATTATTTGTTTCCGACTCATTATATTGGAAGTCACTCTCTGAACCTTGAACCCTTCACTTCACCTCATAGTTGGGTTGTAAACATTATCAGAGAGGATTTCTTCCATAGATCCATAGTATGTTAACACTAAAAGATACATCTAAGACCATTTAATCTAGGGAAGGCAAATAAGTTTCATTTCATTTGCCGACTTTAATTGAGCAGTAGAGGCTGTTTGGAATTCCGTGCTGAGAATGATTCTAAATCTATGTTTTTGCTCATTAGGAAAAAAATGCTATGACTGATTATTGATACCTGCCATATATGTTGACTAGGAGAGTGGTGGAACTCATGTTACCTATTAGCCGTTTCTCAGTGAATGTCTCTGCCTCATTAGTGGTACAGCTAAGAACAGAACTCAGGCTCCTGACTCATGGTCTCTTGTTCTTTCTGGTTTACAATGGACTCACAATAACAACAATAATATAATACAGTGTATCACATAATGAGTGTCTACTCACTGCCAGGCACTCTCCTAAGCACATTCCACTTTCTGTACCTTACTTTTAATTCTCAGAACAACCCTTCAAGGTAGGCACATTCAACCCCAAACTTAGAAATGCAGAAGCCTAGGCTCAGTGAATTTTAAAAACTTACCTAAGGTCCACAGTGAGCAAGTGGTAAAACTGGAATTTAAACCTACGCTGGTCTGGCTCCAAAGCCTAAACCCTGTGGTCTCACTTCCTGCAAACACAATGTTGAATTTGCGCTCACAGCAGGTGGAGATGACCCTGGTCCCACTGCTTTGATTAAGACTAAACTGGAGTGAAAAAATCATTTTTGTTCTTACTAATTTTCTTAAAAAGATTTGTTCACAGTTCCTTACTTAGATGGAACTGATTTTTTCGGGCTGTCTCATATTAGATGTGATACAAATTGACATGTTAGGAGAGCTGATGTGAAAGGCGACCTGGTTCACTTACAAATAAATGATTAATATAATCTCATTGTGCGGCTAGCCTGCATTACTGATTCTCTCACTTGGGAGGCTCAGAAAAACAACAGGTCAGACAATAAAACCCATGCTAGCATAAGACTATAGTGTGGGATGACCATGGATGAGTCAGGGAGAATAAGAAGATAATTAACTAAGAGGGAGTTCTATGGAGTTCGAAGATAATTAAAAAATGTTCCTTCTCTATCCTAAGAATATCTGACATTATTAGCGAAGGCAATGAATAAGATAAGGGGAAGAGGTGAGTTAATTAGAATTATGAGATACAACATTTTAAAGAAATTGACAGGGATCACATTTCAACGGAAAGACATTCAATTCAACCGACTTCATTATAGCAATTCAACATTGATTAGGGACATGTTATGTGTGTGGCTGTGCTCTGTGTGCTTAGAGGACTACTGAGATGCTGTAATCTTCCTCCCTGACATTCTACTGAATAGATACCCAAGTTTTGGCAGCGCAGTAAATAATCTCTTACACACACATTTGGGTGCAATTTCTAAAATTGTTTCTGCAAAATAGTATTATGTGCCACTGAGTAGATATCTTGTATGCCAGATATTACTGTTCCTGCCAGGCTAAATGTTCAAACAACATGGAAGCCTCAGTGATAGCCAATCCATTATTTATCTACCTATATTCACTTCAGTTGCCAAAACTATTCTAAATATAAGGAATCCCTTCCTTAGAGGCCCCAATATGGCTTTCCGTATTGTTCTGAGTCCTTTCTAACTGGTTAATGCCCATGCCATATTGGTTATCATAAATTTTGAATAGCATCTTTTCTCTGCTCAGAAGTGTCGCTCAGTAATACCCTACCTCTTCTGACTCCTCCTACAGTGTAATCTCTCACCAGTCCTCACTACATTCTGAACTGATGTTCCAGCTCCACTTAAATCTGTCATGTTTTGTTCCTTAACATATGCTATTCCCTTTACTTGGAATACACTCTCTTTCCTTGTCTGCCTAACAATTGCTGCTTGTCTCGCAAATATTTTCTCTGTGAAGCTTTCTCAGTGCCCTTAGGTACCCTCATGGCCCTCCTGAATTTATCTCTATTATAATGTTTTATATTTTATGGCAAGAGTTTGTTGGATCTTTGCCCACTTGAATGTGAGCCCCTTGAGAACAGGGACTATTTTATTTATGTCTGAGTCTCTAGGGAACAAAAGAGGGATTCAGGGCTTATGTGGTAAATGAATCAATGAATGCTCCCAGTTCTTCGTCATCTTTAGAGGCTACTTCCAGGGCTTTTAAATTTGGACTCCCTTTTCTTCCAAGAGGTGGTGAGAGCAGGGTAGGTGGACATGATATTTAATGAATTTCTTTTAAGTGCCAGACATTGTGCTGAACCATTTACACAAACAATCTCACGTCTCAAGTCGATGTTTTTATTTTCATCCTCGTTTTACAGATGAAAGTGGAAAATTCAGACCAGTGACTTGCCACATTCAGAGGAGTAACAAAGATACATAGCAAGTAGGCTGCAAAGCTAGGATTTGAACGTAGGCTCCAATACCTGCATCAGCTCCCTTGCACTGTGCACTCTTCCCTCGCTTGTGTGTATGGTGAGCAGAGTCAGCTCTGGGCAAAATGGTGAAATAAGCCAAGTTTGTCTTTAGTGTCTTCAGACTCCCAGTGTGTCTCGGGGACTCAGTACTACAGTGCCACCTACATGCTGCAACACCTACTATGGCTCCTACAGGCAGCCCATCCTGCTGAGAGCTTCTCCTTCCTAACTCCTCTAAGACCTTGACCTCTGGTTTGTGTTTTCTGAAGGTAAACTGCCTTAACCTAACCTTTTCCAGAGCACATATTATATTTATTGGTGCCTTCCCAGAAAGCAATCTTTAGCTTAGGAGCAGGTAGCTCCCACGGGAGGCATGTAGGTGTTTCTGTGTTGTGGTAAGGGGAAGGGGTTGTCTGGGGGCCTCTATCAAGATACACCATGGAGGCTTCTCCTACAACCAAAGGGTGTTTGGCCCCTTTCTCAGATGGCTGAGGGCCCTGGAGTCAGATCAATAAGCATTTGAATCTTGGCTCTGCCATTCACTGATTGCATGATTTCCCACAGTTAATCTCAGTGAGCCTTCGTTTCCTCCCCTGTAAAATGGATCTAATAATAGTTCTCATCTCCTAGACGTGTTGTGAGGATGACATGAGATAACACACTTACGGTGTCCAGTACAAAATAAGCATGTAAAAATGTTAACTGTTCCCTTAAATCAATTTTTAGTAGTCTTCTGCCTCACCCCCATAACCATCCAGGTCTCTCTTCGCTTCCTTGTTTCTCTTTTCCTCTTCTCACCAACAAGTCTCTTTCTTCAAAGTCTCCCTTTCCTTTCCCAACTCCCTCCCACCAGTACGCTCAACCTTTGGCAACCCTCTGTCCCACACTTTCCAGGTCAATCCCAATTTCAGATAATCTCTCTTGATATCAAACTGCATGACCTGATTTGAATCGGAAAACAGAGTGAAACAGAGTCCCTTGCTCTGAGGAATGTTGCTATGGTCTATCTTAGATCAAGAAGACAAGAGCTGCCTTGGCAGCCCTACATCATAATCTGATGAGCATGAAGAAGGCTCACCTTGCCTATAAATATTTGTTTTTTGCCTATGAGTGATGCCAGAAACCGTCATGGTCGGCATACAATTCCTTTGAGTCAAATTGCAAGGTTTGTCTGTCAGGGTTGCCTTGGTAAGGCAGGGTTATTATTTATATCTGAGTGCAAATTCCTTGATCAGAGCCTTTCCTGTCAGGGAGAGGAGACGGAAGGGTTCCAGGGAGCCTACTCCCCACGGAAGAGGAAGGCTGTGCTAGCATGGATGGGGTATGTGAGTGTGGGAGCTCAGCTGACTGAGAGCTGTGTCCCCGGCTCCATTTTGCCTAGGGGCGAGCCCTGTGTGTTGCAACAGATGTGTGCTTTGGAATCACCAAGGTTGGGAAGCCAGGCCTCAGAGGGAGTGGCTGGAGGCTGATCTCATCCTGAAATGATGTGGGCTTGGATTCCCAGAGGGTGGAGAGGAGGACCAGTCCAGAGAGAAGGACATGCTTTTGGAGGGAGGTCTAAAGACAAAAAGAGGGCTTTAGTTATTTTTTGAGCTTAGGTGTAGGTGATGGTTGGGGGTAAGTGACAAAAGAAAATAGGTCCTGAAAGGGGGGTGTCTCCTTTCATGATTAGGAACAGAAGAATGAACTCAAGGACTGCCCCCTTTTCTTCAGGAAGCAAACAACTTCTGAGGGTGTGACAGGGTTCACTGGGTGTTCCCCTTTAAGGGAGGTTAGCCCCTACGTGAAGCTGCTTGGCTGGTAGAGGATAATTGGGTGTTCCCCAATCCAGATAAGCAGAAGCTCAGGTGCCCCTCCCTGTAGGCTTTTCAGCTTTCTTTATCACTTGCTAGGCAGGCCCTGCCATCCTTGGGAGTAGGTATGAGAGAGGGAGTTGAGAGGCCAGGCTTTCCCTGCCCCTGTTCTTCACAGAACACAGCTGAAAAAGGAAGGCCAGAGATGTGACACCCCCCAGCCCCAGGGATTCTACCACACATTGCAAACCTCACAGAGGATGCTTATTCTACAAAATTTGTGGGCATATTCATAGGTACTATGGAGCTAAATAATTTGAAAACAATAACAAAACCCATTTACTGATTATTTGGTTAATAAAGACCTCATTCCTTCAAAGTATGTTGCTAGGAGCCACTGAAAGTGGACTTGACCTGAGGAGCAGCAAGGAGCTTCCTCCTGCTGTATACACAGACACACACAGACAGACAGACAGACACACACACACGCATGCGCGCACACACATGCACATGCCCGGATCCTTCTCCAAACACGTCCATGATACCAGGGCAGCAGAATTGGGGCACATTAGAGACACAGGCTCTGCCCACATTCTGAAGCTCCCTGTCATTCCCAGGTCTTGGTGCTTGGCCAGACTCCCCTTACCCAGACTCATAGCCTCATAGCTATCATTCCAAAACCCCAAAAGCTCTGGAAACTGAGAGCCTTTGTACGTTTATGACAAACTCATTTGGCAGCGCAACTTGAACTGACATGAGGTTATTTATAGTCTTTATTTTTCACACCCTGTGTGAATATTCATGTGTTTTTGCTCCAGAAATATCAATGTACTTGATTACTGGGTACTGCCTCAGACCCCACTGGAGGTGATATATATGTGCTGTATACACCCAATCGCCTTTTAAAAGTCCAAAGCATTCTGAATTCCTTCAATTATACTAAGCCTCCCACTGTCTTATAATGATCTGTTTGGCATGTCTCCCTCATTAGCCTGTGAACTTCTTCTCCAGTGCTCAGCACACAGTCCAGCATGGGGTGGAAGCTCGACTAATGTTTTAGGAATGAAGAACGAACAGTCTTTAGTGATTCCGGAGACTTGTTGTCATGTTCTTTCTTACATCTAAACTAAAGTACGTCATGCTACCATTCGTTTATTCTGTGCCATCAATAGCGAGGAAGAACAGTTGGTCAGGCTCCTTCATTTTTTTTCCTCTTGAGGCTAAATCGTCCTTATAATCCTAATACCTTTAACCTTTTCCCCTAGATCCTCTTTTCCAATCCCTTAATCGTCTTCATTGCTGTCTTCTGAAGTCTTTACAGGTTCTTTCCTTCCGAAATTGTGGCCTAGTGCTTAGGATAGGGCTGCAAAGAGCCCAGCTATTACACATAATAGGCCTCTGGTTTCTATGGTGCTTTTCCGATCAGTTTCATTTGGCTGGGCTAAGAAGCTTTGCCTTTAAAAATACACTCGCAGGACAAACTCCAGGGGCATGAACAACTTTCACCTGAGCATGCTGGTTGGTAATAGGAAGGGAAAATAGCACTGTCTGATCATAAGAAACTGTAATTACGAAAGCTGAAAGCAACAGGTAACACATGCAGTAGGCACCTGTATACAAAAACCACTGTTGATAATTACGGTACCTCAGCCTATTATTTTTACCTTGGGAGAACCGGCCTTGTTTGTGCGCATCATGTGCCTTTTCTCTCATAAGGTTGCTAAAGGCCATTTCTGACCACTTCCCATTAAATTCAGGGAGTGAACCTGACTCTGTCAGGGTTGCTGAAAATCACCGGATTAAGTTAAACTCACTAATTAAGCCTGTTAGACTTCCTGTAACTCACGATTTTTCTTGGCATAAGTAAAAACATTTCACTCAGAGGCAAAATGTGTTATATTAATAACCAGGAAACAAGAAAATACACATAGTAGCATTTTCGGAAGCAAATTCTGTCATCCGCATTCTGTTGAAACGGCCATTGTCATTTCTCCTAATAGCCTAAAGTGTTTACTTTTGGGGTGGAAACTATACATACTGTGATGGAGATTCAGAGATACGCTTTTGTCAGTTAAATTCGAAAAATATATTCAGGTGTGCTTGTTGTGTCCCCCCCCCCCCCAAGCATGAGTCAGAGCCTTTCATGGGGTTTTGTGTAAATGTATTTTCTAAGAGGTGCTGTTGGGATTTTGCATACAGGTCATTCTTTTTAAAAAGGTCACGTTGCAATTTTTCTATCCTTTCTTGTGTTGTTATCCCTCAGGGAAGAAGATGTAGAATGCCAAATTGCAAAGGGAGCTTGTAAAGAGGGGAACATTAAAATTGGATAACCAAGAGCTCCCAGAGAGGGCCTCAATGGCTGAAAGGAGCCCCTTCTGAGCAAATGGGTAGCAGCGTAAAAGCCAAATTAACCTGGGAGGAGAAGGTATGGAACTTTTGGAGAAACACTTTGTTTACCTCACCATCTTACCATATCCAGCTGGCTGTTTCTCCAAGAATGTTAGTGCTCCAGAAGGGAGGGAAACCTGTCCCCACTGCTAATAGAAGAGGCTGAAATTTTCTTTCAGAGTTTCCAGATGTCCTTGGCAAATGCTAGCAATAGTCATTCTCTCTCTTTTAATAATTATAATAAGCTGCTTTTTAAGGGAACATTAACTGTGTGGTAGGCTCTATGCTAAGTGTTTTATATAAGGTATCTCTATTAATCTTCACTATGATCCTTCCAAAAAGGTATTGCTATTACCCTCAATTTCCATAGGAGGAAACGGGCCCAAAGAAGTTAGACAACCTGGGCAAGGTCACCCAGCTAGTAAGTGGAGGAGCCAGAACTTAAACGCAGATCCACCTGACACCAACACCTGGTTCTGAACCATGGTGTGCAAGTCCTTGTAAAGTCAAACAGTCTCTTTAATAAGCTTGACTATATTTTCTCTTTTACCAAATCACAGAACATCTGGTCTGCTTAATTTTATGAGACTGTAATTACAGCAATGAAAAGGATGTTAGCCTACTCTGAAAACCCTAGCTGAAGGGCTTTCTATTGCTTTGTTTAGAGATTTGTTCTTTTCTCTCCACCTCCACCCCCGACTCCCCAAATTGGATAGTAAGTTCTTCAAGGAAGGTTCTGGAAAGTGGTTTTTTTTTTTTCTTCAAGTTCTGTGTTACATGTGCAGAACTTGCAGTTTGGTTACTTAGGTATACAAGTGCCATGGTGGTTTGCTGCACCCATCTACCCGTCACCTACATTAGGTATTTCTCCTAATGCTATCCCTCCCCTAGCCCCCCACGCCCCACAGGCCCCGGTGTGTGATGTTCCCCTCTCTGCTTCCATGTGTTCTCATTGTTCAACTCCCACTTATGAGTGAGGACATGCGGTGTTTGGTTTTCTGATCTTGCGATAGTTTGCTGAGAATGATGGTTTCCAGCTTCATCCATGTCCCTGCAAAGGACGTGAACTCATTCTTTTTTATGGCTGCATAATATTCCATGGTGTATGTGTGCCACATTTTCTTTATCCAGTCTATCATTGATGGACATTTGGGTTGGTTCCAAGTCTTTGCTATTGTGAATAGTGCCGCAATAAACATAGGTGGGCATGTGTCTTTATAGCAGCATGATTTGTAATCCTTTGTGTATATGCCCAGTAATGGGATCGCTGGGTCAAATGGTATTTCTAGTTCTAGATCCTTGAAGAATCTCCAGTGTCTTCCACGATATTTGAACTAATTTACACACCCACCAACAGTGTAAAAGCATTCCTCTTTTTGGTTCTGGAAAGTCTTATGCTCCTCTGCTTTCTATAGTTCTCATAGTGCCTGGCATGTAGTGTGTGCTCCATAAATATTGACTGATTGATGAATGTGTGGATGTTTCATGCAATAGTTTTTGGGTTGTTCAACACCATTTCTTAATGCTAAGCAAACAGGTTAGAACCTTCAAGATGTCTGTTGTCTTAATCTAGTTGCTTGCACTGAGGTAACTTTTTAATATCATCTCTGCACAGGAGCTGAATGCCTTCTTTGGCACCTGGATGATTGATTGTGTTTTCTCCTTTTCCTCGGAAAGCTCTGGTATTGCGCAAACGCTGCTTTAGGTGATTAACAATGCCGCCAACTTCACCAGTCACCTTTGCAGACAATTCTTGAATTTTATAGGAAAGTGGGAACCTGTTTAAGTATAGTTTCTAGTTAATTCTGCTTCCCCATCCTGGTTTGCTCAATGCTACATAAAAGATTTTCTTTGTGGAATGAGACAGAATAGAAAAAATAAAAATACATTCTCAATGGCTGGGTGAAGAGAGTCCTTGAGATTTTACCAGCTTGGTATTTCTCACTGTTGGAACTTCAACCCAGGATGCAGATTCATCCTAGTGAGCCTCACAGGAAACTCTGCCTTGGTCTAGAAGATACAGTGCAAATATATAGGATAGGACAGGTAAGGTCAGCAGAAGCCACTTTTCAGCACATACCATGTGATTGCTAGAATAATACAAATAACAACCATTTACTAGCAGATTACTATGTGGCAGGTACTGTGCTAAGCATTTTCCAGACATTCATTATTGTTGCCATTTTTCCAGGTGAGCAAACTGCAGCTCAGAGAGTCTAAGTGAATTTCTTTGTCTTTAAGCAGTATGAGATAGACCCTGGACTTGAACTCAGGTCCATCTGATTCCAGAGTACATAGTCCTTTTGCTACAGTGCTTTGCAGGGAGCTGTGCTGGCTTCTCAAATGGTTTGGGGCTATCTGTGTGAGGCTGACAAGAAAACTATTTAAAGGCTGGTAGAAGAGGGCCCTAACAGAAGGTCTGACTCTCATTTTCTTTCTATTTGCAGAAGATAATTCTTTCCTGTTTCAATATCAGAAGGGGATCTAGCTGAAGGCAAAAGGCCACAGGGTTCTGGTGAGGCACAAGTTCAAACCTTGCTGTAGTTGGACCTGTTCTACTGACTATCAACGGCCTGGGTCTGTGGGTGATCATAGTGTCAGGGGGCTGGAGATTGGAAGTTCAGAGTGGAAGAGCTGGCATATGCCGCAAAATGCACCCTGTTGGGATGGAGCAGGAAACTCAACTGCAGCTGAGTTTAGTGGGGCACCCAAAGAGAGTGGCAACAACAGGTATCAATTTAGAGAAGCACTTGGCTTTGGTGAAAGCAGAAGTCCTGCCCAGCCTAGCTGAACTGAGCAGGAGCAGGTGAGGCTTAGGAGTCCTGCCAGGTGCTAGTAGCAAGGATGGGACTCTAGTCCTTGGAGGCAAGGGTGAAGGAGTTGGGAGCCTGGGAAGAACCAGACAAAATCCCAGTTCCACAGAAACTGAATGACTAGACTGGTGGCTCTCAACTGAGACAATACTGCCCCCTAGGGGACTTTTGGAAAATGCAAGAGGGTATTCAGAGGACTGGAAATGGGGATGCTAGATGTTCTCCAACGCCCACGACAGACTTGCAAAATGAAAAATAGTCTAGCATCCCGAATAATTTTTGAATGTTCTGCTGGACTTCCATGGAGCTGAAAACTGCTTTTCTAATTATCTAAACTTTTACTATAAATGTTTTATACCTAAGCATAAAGGGTTTTGCTTCCCCTGCCCCGACCCCACAGTTTTAATCAACTATTCTGTAAAGATATGGAAGATTACATGGTTACAGAGGATCACACAGACTCATTCACCATTTCAGGAAATCATGTCAACAATTGTGATGTTGCTTTTGGAATTAATCAATATAACATATCAGTTTGTGTCCATAACTGTTGCATTCATGGGGATTCTATATAAAGGCACAAGCTTCTGACTACTTCATTTAATCATTCAATGTAGTCCTGTGTGAGCATTTACAGAGTTAAATACATAGTGTTTTATTATGTATTGCTTTATTTTCTCTTTATGTGGCAGGACATATAGCTATCTTTTTGAACTTATGCGTGTAGGTAGGTTATAGTACCTAGAAATTTAATTTCAGGATAGTAAAGGGGTGAAGCAAAAGCAGATTTATTATAAAAGAGAGGATGTTAAGTCTGATAAGGTTGAACACCACTGTGCTAGCCTGATGGCTTCGTGAGGGCCAGGACCATGTGTTTTGCTTCCGTTTGGCCTAATTAACTGAGGTGCTTATAAATAATGAATAATGAATGTGGATGCAAGCACACAGCTGGAGTCAGGCATGTAGGTCAGCATAGTCGGGGTATATAAAACTGGCAGGAGATGGGGACTTTTTTTTTTGAGACGGGGACTTTTGATCACCAAAAGAAGGCAGGATCCCAGTTATCAGAAGAGAAACCATAGTTCAGAGTTTGCCTCAAAGCTAGAGCGTCCTAATGTCAAGGCCCAGGGCTTCCTACAGTCCTCTTATCTTGAGACATGCTGGAGCCAAGGGACTGACGTCAGATGGTCCCAGTGGTGAAGAGAGTTGTGTTTACATTCTCACTTGCTGGTATCAATCGTAGGGGCCCAAAGACCTCACTACCTAAAAAGAGGGCTGTTTTCCAGCTTAGCTGTACCTCTTTGCATTGTTTTGTCTGGCCAAGACAGAGAGGATACCAGGGAAAATGAGGCTCGAGTATTGTACGTATAATCTGTCAATGCCCTCCATGCCCCCATTAGGATCTCAGGCTGTCTTGGCCTTCAGGCAGATCCAGCTCCCCCATTTTTCTGTTGTTGCTGCTGCTGTTTTTTTTTTTTCACTCCCCTGATCCCATCAATAATACGTGTACTCCTTCCTTCTGGGTCCTGTCCTCAAAGGTAACTGCTAAATATCTGACAAAGGAATGGCTAAAGCCTTCAGGGCTCCTGATAAGAGAATGGGCTCCCACTTAGCAAGAAGGGCAGGGGGCAGCACCTCACTTAGAGATATGGTACATAAGTACAGAGGGAGGTATTGAACCACCTGTTGTCAGGAGCAGAAGGGACCCTGAGGTCATCTGGTTCACTAGATCCCAAACCTGGCTGTACAATGGAATTACCAGGAATGCTGTTGAAATACAGATGCAGTGTGGCTCCTAATCCTCAGAGTCTGATTCAGTAAGTCCGAGATGAGGACTTGAATTATCTGCATATTATTAACAGTATCACTGGTGATTTTGATGAGGAACCCAGTTAGGGAAACCACTCAGACTGACTTTCTCGTTTTATGGGTAGCCAGCTGAGTCACCGACAGGGATGATGACTCGCCTCGGGTCACAGAGCAAGTCATGGCAGAGTTGGAAATGGAACTCAGGGTTTTTCCTCCCCTGTATTGGTGGTGGGACGATCTGACATTATTAGTGTGGGAAGAAGGACCTTAAATTTCACTGTACAAGCTGCTGCTCACTCTGCCTAGAGGTAGAGGACAGAGGGCATCTTAAAGGTTGTTTTTCGTTATAATAAGCAGTACATTTACTTCAGAGTTTGGAAGTGAATCAACAAAATACCCATCAAGATTAGTAGGACAAGAGGAACTCGCCAATATCTTTGACGATGTCTATCCATAGAAAGCCAAGTGAAATAATGGAGGTAATTATCCACCTATTTTCTTTGAACACTTTGACCGAAAATCTCCTGGTAACTGAGGGAAAATAGGAGCTTTTAAAAATTGTTGTCTCAAGTAGCCTGAATGACTTCAACTCCCACTTTACTTTTCTTTTTCTGTGGAGATGCTCTCCCAGATGCTTGTCTCCTGGGGGTAGCAGCTTTCCACAGACAAAATGTCCACAGCTTTGGGAAGCATGGAGGGAGAAGGGAAACATTAAGTGAAATGGGATGTCAGGTCAAGCTGCGTTGGTGGTGATGTAGTCACCTGTCGTTTCAAGATAACCTTTTGGATCCTAGATATGTCGTAGCTGGGGCCTTGGGACAAGTCCCAGCAGCCTCCAAGCCACAAGCTTATCATTTTGGCGCAATTCAAGGCAGCCTCCTTGAAAAGCTCCACGATGGCAGCTGCTCCATCAGCAACTGGATGAAAACAATGCCAAATCTCTTTATTTAAAATTAGGCACTTCCTATTTTGGTTCCTAAATGGCAAATCTATCTGCTCTCTGCCTCCAGTCTTCTGTGTCCAAAGCTGCCTTAATGTGAGGTATTTCAGCAGCGATCAGCAAGTGTCTTCCTATTTATAAGCAGCAGAGCTGCCATGGGTCACTGCACTTGTATCTCTGAGCAAGAGAAGTCAGGGGGCCTATTGGAAAGGAAAAATACTGTGGCCTCCGACAGTGAACCTTGGCGTGGGTCAGGGAAGACTGTTCAAGTGCACCAGAGAATGGAGCTGTGATGAGTTCAGTTTTGTATCACTGGCATGGAAGTCAGTAGCCTCAAGATCTGGGAAGAGTTTGGTCACCACTAATTTGCTACATGACCCTGGGCAAGAGTCGTCCCTTCTCTGGGCTTCAGCCTCACCATTTCTGGGGAAAAGGATGCACCATTTAATACATGGTGCCATTTACTGTGACAACCGGCCTGCCACCAAAATATAAAGCTGAATCTTTATCTCACTCCTTATTCCAAAATATAATCCAATTAGGTCAGATTTAGATGTTAAAAAGAGAAACCATTAAAAGATTAGAAGAAGGCATAAGAGAATATTGAGGTAGGGAGTCTTTGCAAAGCAACGAGAAACTGTAGAATCTATGAAGAAAAAGAATGATAGATTTGACTATGCAAAAATTTAACAACCTGAGTATGGTGAAAGATATCTCATGCAAAGTGGAAAGGCAACATATAAACCAGGATAAAGTCACAACATAGAAGGAAGACAATGGTTTATTATTCAGAATACTCCACCAGCTCCAGTGTAAGAAGTGCATTATTTTCTTTACAGCACTTACCATGATTTACAATGACATGATTTAGCTACTTGTTTTTCTATTATTTCCTCTGCTTACATGTTAGCTTCATGAAAGCTCAGGTTTTGCTTACTCACTATTATATTTCTAGTGCTAGACTGGTGCCTGGCATACAGTAGGTACTCAATAAATACTTGTTGAAGGAAGGAATAAACGAGCTTCTGTAGACCAATGAGAAGATAATGAACAATTCACTAGAAAAATGCTCAAAGAATAATGAACAGGCAATTCACAGAGGAAAGGCAAAGGGCCTATGCCCTATTAAAAGGAACACCAATCAGTAATAATTAAGAAATGCAAATTAAAACAATATTGAGATGATTCAGATGTCAGCTTTTACCTCTCAAATTGGCAAAAATTTAAAAGGTCACTAAAACCCAGGGTTTGTGAGAATCTGGTGAAACAGCACACTCATTCACTCTTGATGCACATCTGGAGGGCAACTGGAAATGTTATTTGAGTCAGCAATTCCTGTCTTAGGAGTTTACCTTTGCAAAATGCTCCATGTATAAGGATGTTCATTTAAACATTATTTGTAAATAGGAGCAAATTGAAAAAACTAAATGACCTCGGTGAAGGACTGGTTAAATCATTTATAATACATCCCAATAATGACATACTAAGCATTACTATGCTAATGATTAAGAGTTTGAGCCTTGGTTAGACTGCCTAGGTTTGACTTCCTCCTCTAGCTTTTATGAGCTGTGTGACTTCGACCAAGTTTCTAACCTCTCTGTGCCGTTTCTCATCTGTAAAATGGGAAAAGTAACAATTCATGAAGTTGTGAAGAGTAAATGAGATAATTCATATGAAATATTCAGATAGGACCTGGCACAGAGCATTTAATAATTGCTACACATTACTATTCCAACTACTAGTATAATGATGACAATGACGATGTAGCCACAAATAAAGACAAGCTAGATCTTTAAATACTGATGTGCAATGATATCTCCAATATAGTATTGTGATAAAAGCAAGTTGCAGAAGAGTAAGTATAGTAGGATCTGATTTTTGTTAAGGGTATTATATGTTACACATACAGGAAAAGACTGGAAGGATAGACAGACTGTCAACACTGGGGAGTAGAATAGGAGAGGTAGATTTTCCCTTGAGCAATAATTAGAGTTGTTTGAAACTAGCATGTGCTACTTTTATAATAAACAAAAGATGTAAAGGGAAAAAAAAGCTCCGTTTGGAATTCCGAGGACAGTTAATCCCACCAGGCTTCACATCCCCCAGTTCTTGGCCACAGCCCAAACGTTAAGCCTCCCTGCTCGTCATCTGTCCTCTCCCATACCATCCTCATACTGCTCAGTGCTCCCATCCCTGCCACCCCGACTCATCCACCTCCCCACTACCGCCCTCTCTCACTCTTCTCAGTACCCTCTGGAAGCCCCCACCTTGCAGTAAACAATTCCCCCTACACCCTGGATAAATTTTACAGAGCACTATTGTCTACCTCCGGGCCTGGAAGTGCTGAAACCTGAGTCTCCACGGCGGATCTCACGGCTTTGCCACCAGCGCCCTCTAGTGGACACTGTCCACACTCCCACACTACAGGCACCCTAGGGCTGGGAGGTGGGGTCTGTGCTCTAGCTTCCCCTGTTTGCTTCCAGGCTGTTAGTCCTCCGTCCTCAGCCAAGAACTCCTCCTTCTCATGCCATCTGGCTACTTCTCTCCTCGTTGACGCTTCTTTATAACCATCCCCTCCTGGTCAACCCCCCCCCACCCCCACATTCAACGAAGAGTTCGACATCTGGCTCATTGTCTTCTTCTCCACCCCAAGTCCTGACATCATTCTGGGTGAGTTGGACATCCGTGATCCATGTACAGGACACACTCTCATCCTAGCCTTACCATGCTTCATCATCAGTCAGAACCCCCTACCATCTACACCTTGCTGGCTGGCCTCAACGCTCTTCTTTTTACCTCAGGAGGCTCTCCAGTTTTTTGAGCCCCCTCCATCCATTTCTTCCATCCCATCAGCCCCTTTCACCTTACTACCTTCCCTCTCCATCCTGGAACATGATGATGATGATGATAAGAATAACAACTAATATGTATGTGCCAGGCATATACTACCCATCTTATGACATCATTTCAGTAATCTCATGTTATCCTCACAATAACTTTATGAGGAAGATACTATTGTGGTTTTCCTTTTAATGAGGTGACTGAGGCTCAGAGAGGTTGAGTGACTTACCCAAAGTCCCACAGCAGAGATGAGATTTGAAGTCAGGTCTGTTTGCTTTCAGAATCTTGCGTATATCCCCAATTCCCTTGCCCTGTGTCTTTCTGCTGCATCCATGAGGCAAAATCCTAAGTCTGGATAAATTTAACTGACAGTTTCCTCCTCTGTGCTTATGCCCAGATGGAGGAACATTGCTGGAGAAAATCCCATCACTTTGTTGGTTAGTCCCACCAGAAAGTCATAGTTTCCAACCTCAGCGGGGCCCTCAACTCAGCTAAACAATCCTTCTAAGTAACTGTCCTGACAATAGCACTTGCAAACTTTCTCCACTGCCCTCTGGAGTCAGACTGTCTGGGTTAGAGTCTGCTTTGGCCACTTCCATGCTCCATACCATGCCAGCCTTTAAGAAAGGGTGAAGTGGAGGAAAAAGGATGAGGGGAAAGGGGAAGTGATATGTATCGAGTGTCTTCTAGGTACCAGCCACTGTGCCAGGTGCTTTGCATGCAGTGTTTCATTTAATCCTGCCAGCAGCCCTGCAAGGGCAATACTCTTGTTATTTTTGCTTTACAGAGGAGGAAGCTGAGGCACAGACAGGTTAAGTCACTCACTAACGTGACACAATTTGTATGTGGAGAAGCCATCTCATTCGTTTAGACCTTCCTTATCTTGATGAATTATTGTGACAAGCTGATAAATGGGTCCCCTGTTACCTATCTCATGCCCTACAATCTACCTTCCATTCTGTTGCTGGGACAATCTTTCTAAAATGCACATCTGACAGTGCTACTACTCTGCTTAAAGTCCTTCCAGAGCTTCCCCTCAGTCTTCAGAATGAAACAGAAACCTTTGATCTTAATGATTTGGCCCTGTCCTTCCTTTCTCACTGCATCCACTACCACTTGCCCATGCAGTCACACAGTACTATTTTTGGCCACCTGATGACACCTTGCTTTCTTCTGAAGAAAGAAGAAAGCATATATATATATATTCTCTGCCTCCCCATCCTCCACACCCTTTCCTGCCCACTTTAAATGCTCCTCTTCTGTGCTTTCACAGCATTCATGTTTATCCCAGTGTGTTATAATTTCCTGCTGTCTTCTCTGTTTCCCCCATTAAACTGGAAGCATCTTGAGAACTGGGATTGTGCCTTAGTCATCTCTGTACTCCCCAGGGCCGTAGCACCAGAGCCATGGTTAAATCTATGTTTGTTGAATGACTGAATTAATGAATGAATAGAGTGAATGAGAGAAGAAAAAGCTCTCACTTGGAAAGTTTAGTGACATGAGCTGTATGGTATCTGATTCTTGGCTGAAGCTGCTGCAGTTTTTCCCTATGACTACAGTGCTATAAAAATATGTCTGCACATGGATAAAGACTGGAAGAGAACTTTCCACACAAAACTAAGAGTTGTGTTAGAGTGGTGAGTGATGGATGCTTTTTTCCCCATTTTCAAAATGTTCTTTAGTGCTGCTTTTGGATTGTTTTGGCAATGTAGCAGACATTGTAGAAATGGAATTTGGGGCTCCCATGGAGGAATCGACAACCAATATGTATTGATGCCCAGTGTACTCTGCTGGGTTCTGGGTGCTGTGGGGAGATGGGTGGGTAAAGGCGACTCATTCTGACTCAGGTTTGCATGGTCAGGAATCTTGCCAATTACGTTGGATTTGCTGGAATAAAAAGATAACTTTCAAGAATTTTCCAAGCTCCTGGGTTGAGGTATTTCTTTTCTCCCAAAGCTGGGCCGCAAACAAAGATGGCTTTTGTTTGCAGTAAAATACTCATTCCTTCAATTTTGTCCTGCAAAGTGACTTCTATAGCTTTGGGAGTCAGGTTTGCTGAGTGGGGAAACTGATTGTCCATGCTTCATTGATTTAGAAATGACCAAAAATGTTTGCCTTTTCTGGCTCTTGAATAAAATGTTTAGGAATTTCATTGGCAAAATGATGAAATTGTTCCCTTTACTGCTGCAAGACTTCCAAAACTATATATCGTGGGTTAACTTAACCCAGAAGAGGCAAAAAAAAAAAAAAAATGGGAAGCAGACTCAGATGATTAACACTCTGCCTTAATTGGGTGCTTACTCACTCTGCCGTGGCAAGGCACTGTGTTCTGGACTTTGGAGATATCTCATTTAAAACTCTCAACAGCCTGTGGGTAAGGGACTGTTATTGTTCTCATGGTAGAGATGGTCAAACTGAGTTTCATAGAGGCTCAGCTCTGAAATCATGAGACCAGGATTTGAAGCCGAGTTCAGCTGGTTCCATGGGCACACACTAACCATTTGGCAACAGTGCCTCTAGACTAGTCTGGCTACAAAGGGACAGAGGTATGTATTTATTTTGATTTAACGAACCGTTGTTTAATGTTTACCATGTCCCGGGCACATGGTAACTGCTTTAAAAATGTTAGATTATTTACTTCTCATAGACAACCCTGTGAGGAGGTACTATTATTAATATCATATGACAGGTGGGAAAATGGAGGCACAGGGGTGTTGAATCACTTGCCCGGGGTCACTCAGGCTAGCATGTGACAGAGCTAGAGTTACAATCCAAGTGGCCATGTTCAGGTGTGTGGCCCATTACCTTGACTCTGTGCTGGTTAGCATGCTACCCCCTGTGCCCTGTCTGCATAGCTCTGGCTCAGAAACACTGAAGACATGGGCCTCTTTTTGTAGTTTTGTAACAGATTTGTACTTTTTAAAGTATTTTCCACCATTAAAGCCATACGCTCTGCTTCTAAGCGTCCTGTGGGGTTGGTGGGAAGGGTGAAAACATACTCCTGTCCTTCTATAGCAAGACTAGCTTAGAGGCAAGGTGGCCCAGTGGTTAGAGCATGCCCATGGTGCCAGTGAACTCAGCTTCAAATCCTGGCCTTATGATTTCAGAGCTGAACCTCTCTGAATGTCTGTATCACTATCTTTGCTAAAGGAAGAGGAAGCTTTCTCCCGATATCTTCATTTACTTCCAATTTTCGGTTTTTGGGGGAGAGCTGGGTTTCCTCCACAGCTAGGCGCTGGGTGGCGAAGGGCTTTTGGACTGTCACTACTTTTCATTCGACAGAGACTTCAGGATAGCCCCCTTCAAAGGCAGTCTGTTTGGGGTCATCAGGAACAGACAGAGTGCTCTTCCCTACCGCACTCATCCCACCTAGTGCCATCTATCCTTACCCACTCTGAATCCCTCCTCTCGGCAGGCACTGCCTCATTCCCCAGAGCCAGGCCTAGACAATGGCGGCTGCTCAGCTTGGAGGGAGGGGGAGTGAAGAGGCAGCAGGCCCAACCTGCCAGCTTGAAAGCTTCATTTGACAGGGGAGGAGGCACATCTGGTTTGGGTTTTCAATTCAATTCAACAATGATTTATTGTGGGTCTGCCAGCTGCAGAGGTTCTGGGCTAGGCTAGGCAGCAAGAGATGCAAAGATAAGTAAAATATTGTCTGTGCCCTTAAAGGAGTTTTCTAGGTTGTAGGGGTGTGCAGACGCAAATGAGCATTTTTTTTTTATGCGATAAGCCCTGTGCTTAGCAGTTTACCTTGCCTACATTATTATGTCTTTGCATCTTCCCAGCAGGTTTTGTGATGGAGGTGGGTAAACTATTATCACTTCATTTTATACACATGAGGAAACAGAGCCTCAGAGTGGAAGAGACTGGCCCAAGGTCACATTTTTAAGAATGGACCAAACCAGTTCTGGAACTATTACATTCTTCTGCTCCCCAGAGGTGATGAAGATGATGATGATGACAAAAAACACTTACTGAGCTCTGGAGGCCAAGTCTTGTGCTATGCAGGCTGCAGATATTATTTTACTGGCAACTTCCAACATCCCATTGAGGCTGATGTTGTTATCCCTTTTTCTAGAAGAGAAAACGGAGGTAGCCTTGGGAAGTGATGGAGTTGGAATTTGAAACCAGGTCATTCCAGTCCACCAGCCTGTACCATAAAAGAGGTAGACACAGGGTGCCATGTTCAGGGGCAAGAGCAATGAATTGTGCCTGCAAAAGCTTCATGCCAGAGATGGCATTTACATTTGGCCTTGAAGGGTGAGATGGGGTTATGATTGGTAGAGTTGGGAGAGAGGGCATCCCAGTCAGAAGGGATATTCTGAGCAAAGAACCCAAAGAGATGACTTGTGGAGCATTTTGATTGAGAGGCTGTAGGTTCATCCGGCATGCAGGCCGGGGACTCTGGGTGTAGAGGAACAATGTGAAGGAAACCAGAGATACGCCTGATGGTCTAACACATTTTTGTCAAGTTGAGGTTCTTATTTTTTTAATTAAGAGCAGGTACTCTGCCCCAAAGGCTTTTCAAATGATACTATCTTGCAACCCATGAGCAAACACACTCGAGTCTCTCACTGTGTAAATTCTACTGTGCTGAGAGCTGCGGTGAATACAAAAGAAAACAACTCAATTCCTCAAGTGTGTGCCGATGGCCCCCGTGTGGTTGAGGAGGCAAGATACACACAATCAGGAAAAGCAGCAGCTAGCATAGGCAGTTAGTGATCAGGGCCAAATGAGTTTTTCCAGCCGTCAGATTTCAAGGAACATGAACGAGAGGAAGGCCGGCAAGCTTAAGGCCGGGTGGGGCAATCAGTGTAGCTAGCATTAAGGGCTCTGGCCAGGCCTCCCTTCCCCAAACTGCCACGGTCTCCAACCATGTCTTGACCTCCCAGAGTTTGTTAGGGAAGATGGGACCTTATGGGATCAGAGACAGCGCATGGGAGCTGGGAAACGGAGCCGAATACCTGATATTCCTGATCCTCCAATTTTCTACACTTATTCTCATTTCCTGGCAGCTCCTCCAGCTGCTGAATTGTATGTGTATGTGTGAGCCGTATTTTAAATTAAGCAGTGAGTTCTTTCAGCTCATCATAAACATGCTAAAAAGCTTCAGCCGCGGCCTGAGCCCACCCCCGCCCTTTACACACACAGGCAGCAGCTGGGGCCACTCGACCCCACACTCTAATGTGCATTGCCTATGACTCACCAACAAAAACGACTGTATGTTTCAGTCTCCCTGGGTAGCTGATTCCTAGTTGTGGTGGGAAATCTCAGTCCGATTTGGAAGGCAAAGGGCCTCAGCCCCGCCCTACTGACTGTGAATTCTACAACATATGGAGCGCCTACCTTGTGCAAGGCATTGTGGGTAAGTCCATTCATCTCTCTGGGCTTTCCATTTCCTCAGCTTCAAAATGCATGTACTAATCCTGCCGGCTTTACCTCCCTCCTAGGGCTCTGTGTCTCAGCCACACTGGTCTTTCAATTTCTGCAACATTCTCGGTCTTTTCTCGCCCCAGGGCCTTTGTTCGTGCTCCTGCCTGGACTGCCCTTCCTCTTGCTTTTGGCATGGAAGGCTCCTTCCTAACCTTTCAGTCTCAGCTTAACGTTACCTCCTGAGAAGAGCCTTCTCTGACCACCCACAGTTAGATGCCTCCTGTTCCTCTCTTACATTTCTTTTATTAGCAATGCTTCCTTAACCCCATTTACTGCTCTGGGTAATTATGTCTATTTATATTTGTCTATTTATGGTATGTCTCTCCCACTGGAATGTAAGCTCCAAGAGGACAGGGACCTTGTCTGTGTCACTCAGCAATGTGTCCCTCTCCTCTAGAGTGGTGCTTGGCACATAGTAGGCTGACATAAGCAAAACCATCTGGAAAATATTTTCTTCCTGAGGTTCTTGCCAGACATATGGTTGCTGAGGGAAAAATTATGGCAGAACTGTGTCATTCCATAGGAAAAAAAATCAGGCTAAAAGGGAAGAGTTTGTTGAAAACAGTTCTGTTTTAGAAACCAGTCCTTGGAGTCTCATCGCCAGACACAGTCTTATGAAATTAAACAAAAGAAATAAAAAGCATAAAAAGCTAAGTTTTTATTGGGTATTTACTATGTGCCAGGAACTGTTCTAAGTGTTCTACACAGATTATCTCATTTAATCCTCATCATAACCCAATGACGTCAACTCTATTATTAGCTCCATTTAACAGATGAAGGAATTGAGGCTCTGGGATGTTAAGAAAAGTGCCCAAGGTCACACAGCTAGCAAGAGACAGAACCAAAAGTTGAACTCAAGGCAGTCTGAGTCCAAGTCCACAAACTAAATCATCTATGCCACCTGCAGCCCCCACCTCATGTTACCCTACACCTCCCACGCCACCCCCAGGCACGATTCTACTACAGCACTGGCCACATTGCAGAACAGGGGTTTGTTTACTTGTCTGTCCTTCCTACTAGACGAGGAGCTTCTCAAGTGCAGAGACTGGATCTTATTCATTTTTGCTTCCCCTGTGCCTGGAAGAGAGCTTGTTCTGGAATAGCTAACCAAGGAATATTCGTTGAATGAGCAAATGAGTGAGGGAGTAAGTGAATCCATATTCCTTAATATTTTCAGGCTTCAGGCTTATGGGCTCATGTGTATTTCCCTGGTCAAGCATAGCACTGGGCACAAGGGTATTCTGGTGCAAGAGGTGCCTCTCACCACAGGGTACAAGAAGGACTAGCTCTGGCTGGGTAAACCAAAGCAGTGTTCCACAGAGCAAGGGGCTTGATCCAGAAGGTTTCATTTTGTCATCGGTCTAAAAAGTAGCTGGACCTGTTTAGGACTTAAACAAACTTTCAGTGTTCCAATCCCATCTCAAATCCTTTGCAGAATGAGGCAGGGTGTGGGGAGGTGGTGGTGGGGCAGTTATAAATAAACAAATACCCACAAACCGGCTGGTTTTTTAAACAGAATTTGCTTCAGTCAGTGCTGCACCACATTTTCCCAACTGGCCTCCGTCGTGAGAACAAGTGGGAACTTTCATACTGAATGGCTTTATTTTTATTCTGACCAGATGAATGGCAGGAGTTTTGGCTCGGGAGGCAGGTTTCCGATCCTCAGCACACAGTTTGCTGCCCTACTGTGCCCCGTCCATCACACACAGCGCCCTGCACAACATACCCAGTCATTGCATCTACTGCCTCAGCCCTTGAAAATAATTGGGTCATTGTTTTATTACACCAGCGAGAGAGCTGCAAGCCTGTTAGGATTATGTCATTGATATTTGCGTGAAAAGGCAATCATGATATGCTGGTCATTTAACACAGCTGGGAATGCAACTGTGTTGTCATTGTTTAAGGTTCTCATCCAGCCCCTCTGACTTTTTTGCACAGCCCAGCCCGTGAAAATGGATCACTCTGATGTATGTCACCTTTAAAATGCTTTCTAGCCCTTCAAGGGACCAAGCAGGATTTAACTCTTTTCATGCACTTGGACTTTGCTGCTTGTAGGCACAGCAGTCTGAAGGTGAGAGATGCTTGCTTTTCATACTTGTGGGAGTTGTACACCCTAGTGGCAGGATGCTGCCATACAGTGTCATTTGTTCACTAACTGCTGATCAGAGCCAAGGACAATTTTGGCTCAAGAACAAATGAGACCTAATGTCTGTGAGGGAAGACTATGTAGATAAGTCACGGGTCAGAGTTGTGTTGCGACTTGTATTGTGTGCTAGTTTCAGTAGGACTTGTGCTTTCATTGCAATTGTCAGTATGCTTAAGCAGGGGTCTCTGCTAATGAAATTCGAGCATATTTGCATTTATCGACAGGTATTACTGATGGTAGAACATCTTATTTCCACACAAGGCAATGAGTAACATTGATTATAGAAGTGTAAACAAAGCTCAAATTCATGTGCCAATTTGTCTATTTCAACTCATCGATCCTCTTCTTCCACTGGCATGCTAGCCTGAGTTTTATGGCATAAGGCCATTAAAGTATTCTTCAAAGGAATCTGTTGCAGACACCTGTTCATCCCTCTTCTGGTCCCGGTCCTTGCCAAACCAGCTCTGCCTTTGCCAACCACCTTGAGGTGTGACAGGAAAAGCTGACCCAATAAGGGAGTCAACTGAAGGGATGGAGTGGCTTAGATGCAAATGGCCAAATCCCAATGGCCATGGCTATAAGGAACACAGGTTCCTGAAGTTTTCTTGGCAACTAGCTCTAACTGCTTTGCCTTCTGAGTGCTTTGGTATTTGTTTTATTCTAAGTTCCCAGTTTTGATCTATTTTTGCCTTATGGCTGCAGATTCCCTTTCTGGAAAATGGGGCTCTGGCTGGGATCAAATCAGAGAACACACCCAGACTTGGCATAGTGCCTGGCACAGAGTAAGTGCTCAACAAATGGTAGCTGTTGTCTCTTTTTCCCTGTCCAGGTTTCTTCTGGTTCTGTTCTCTGTACCTCCAGTATTGGCCCAGAACCAGGAACTGTTCCCTCCCCTGACTGGCAAGTCAGATTACCTGGCCCTCAGACAAGCTGGGCTCCCTTTTCTGGCAGCCTTTTGTTGTCCTTACCTGTTGCCATGTGCCACTCAGTGTAACCACAGGCAGACCTCTGCCAATTGCTGACATTAACCTATTGAATCCTGGCAGAGAAGAATAAGTTTGCAGACTGGAATTTGCATGTCTGGGCCAGATACGAGACCAGGAGGCAAAGCCATATTTACCTGTTCTCCCCAGTTGTGGCAAATCACCCACATTCTGGTTAAAACCAGATGTTTCACACCCATGACTGCAATGCCACACATCAAACAGTTGCTTACAAAGAACACAAAGTGGTTTTCACATCGCAAATGTAACTTGCAGGTCACTTCTCAAATTTCCTCGCAGCAGCTACCATGCCTGGGTATTTTTCCCTTAAAAATGACAACCTTGTTGGGTCTCTTGTAGGGACTTTCATTTGGAAGCCCTGGGAGAACTTATATGCTCTTTCCAAGAGGGTCTCTGATGGCTTTAATTCACATGGAGTTAATATATTGGAAAAGAAAAGAGATCTTCCCCAAACTCACCTGCTCCTTGAAAATGCTATTCTGTTGCCTTGGCGAACAGCCAATCCAAACATTAAAAAAGAGATAGAGAATGCAGGAATCCTAAATGCTATTCTCAGTGCATGTCCAAACAAGAACTGGGGGCTGAGGGGCAAAGAACAGAAAGAGGAGAAAAGAGTTTTTGTAGCCTAGGCCGTGAGTTGATCCCACCCCGTCATGTCCTGTACCCTTCACGCTCATAAAGAAGACAGAGGAGGCCGGGCGCGGTGTCTCATGCCTGTAATCCCAGCACTTTGGGTGGCCGAGGCAGGCGGATCACCTGAGGTCAGGTGTTGGAGACCAGCCTGGCCAACATGGCGAAACCCTGTCCCTACTAAAAATACAAAAATTAGCCGGGGGTGGTGGAACATGCCTGTAATCCCAGCTACTCGGGAGTCTGAGACAGGAGAATTGCTTGAACCTGGGAGGTTGAGGTTGCAGTGAGCCAAGATTGTGCCATTGCACTCCAACCTGGGCAACAAGAGTGAAACTCGGTCTCAAAAAAAAAAAAAGAAAAAGAAAAAGAAAGAGGAAGGAGAAGGAGAAGAAGGAGAAGGAGAAGGAGAGAAGAAGAAGGAGAAGGAGAACGAGAAGATGTGGTGGCATCATGACTTCTCTGCTAGGGTTAATTGCTCAGCCTGAGAGGCTCTCCAGGCTGGCAGGTCACACTAGAGCCAAGAGTGAAGGGTCCATTCAGTAAGGTCACTGCCATGATCAGTTCTCAACCACTTTAACTCAGTTTTTCTGTTGCTGCTTTGTTGGTTAGTGGTTTGTTTGTTTCTACCCATTTGGGAGAAGGGTAGGAAAGGAACTAAGGTGATCAACTATTCCATATGTGTCAGGCCCTGTACTTGTCTTTTCAAACACTTATTCACACTCTGAGGGACTCTCTCAGGTCCAGCAACTGTGTAGCTATGATGTGAAATAGCAGCTTCTCTCTATGCATTCACTGGGAATGGTTTGTTCTGATCACACAATTTTTTCCAGTTCTTCCGACGTTAGGTGTTGCATGGTAAGAAACAGGTGGTTAATTATTGAGACAGTTCTTATTTGGAATTGTCTCTTCCTCCTTCTCCTCTCAGGCAGATGCTAAAGGATGTCTGTAGTTTTTTCATGGCATTTTGCTAAAGATGCACATTCATTAATTCATCAAATAGCTTTTTTTGAGACATTATTATGAGTGAGGTGTTGTGCTATGATATGCTTTATATACCATATCTTATTTCATCCTCACCACAAAGCTATGAGGTAGGTACTATCATTATCTTAATTTTACAATGAAGAGACTGAGGCTCAGGAAACATAATGCAAGGTCACACTCAGTTAATAAGTTGAGAGCTAGGATTCAAACCCAGGTTTATCTGACTCAGTTACACTACACTTCCTCCACATAGCACATTGTGGGCCCGTCACAGCTCTTGAGGACAAAATTCATCCTTAGAAAAGTTTTCTTACTCCACTTTTTGCTGATACTACTGCTGCTGTTGCTGCTGCTACTACTATTACTACTACTGCTACTGTTTCTCCTCCTCTATTTATCCAGAACTGCATTTTTCCAGCACTCCTAGGTGCTTTGAACCCAGCTACCAGTTGTAGAGTTCAAACCCAGGCCTGCATGAGTCCCTTGCACCCATTCTACTTTTCTGCACTGCTTGTAATGTAACACAGGAGGTATGGGACATCCATAACTCAGGTAGGTAATTGACTTCAAGCTTAACATTCACTCACCAATCATTTATTGAGCACATATTAGATAAGCAACCTATGGCTCCTGCCCTGGAGTTGTTCATAAGACCTTCCAGGCAGACAGCTATGGGACGAATACACTTGAATTTATTAAATCTACCTCAGGCAAAAAACCAAGCATGTAATTATAAGTAGTATATCAGAGTATGTGTAAATGGGGTTCTGTAAAATGTTTGAAAGAGGCAGGCCTGGGTTAGTGGTGAGAACAAGGATCAAGAAGGCTCTGCCACCAAATAACAACATGAGTGTTGTCCCGTTAATCTCTCTGGGCTTCTGTTTCCAGATCAAGGACCTCAAAATAATAGTCATAGTCACCATTTATTGAGTGCTTTACTGTTAACCAGGCAGTATGCTAGGTGGTTTTCATTTAGTCTTGACAACAGTATTCTCGCTTTCCCTTTTCTACAGCTGAGACTCAGAGACATTAGGTAATGTCTAGGTCACACAGCTCTTCAGTGACCAGTTGTTTCTATGTCAGAATCCTCTTATAATCACTGAGTTGTATCGCTTCCCTTGCCTCCTGCTCCCAAGTCAAGTATTCTCTACTATGTCGCCTGAAAATTAAAATTAAAATCAAGGTTAATCTTGTTCAACTGAGCCAAGAGGATAAACATTAGAAATAGCAATTAGTAGGTAGAAATGTTGCCAGGAAGAGCTATACAAAAGCATAGAAAGGCAACCAAGGGAGTTAATGATGGGGGTGTGGCAGGGGTTGCATGTTGATGGGTAATTGGATCCTGGCCAGCTCTTACCTTCTTCCTTCACCTTCCCACTCCGCAATTTCTCAGGCTTCTCTAGAGAGCACAACCCACCTAGAGACAGCCTGTGTTGCCACAGGAGGGCACCAGGCCAGGAATGGCAGGCCTAGGGCAGTGGGGCTCTGGGCTGGGAACCATAAATAACCACTTTAATGAAAACCAGCTTTGGCCAAAAGCCTTATCATTTCTTAAGAGGTTCTGTGCTTCTTCTAATGACCTAGTTACTTGAGAAAGGCCTAGCCTAACATATACAACAACAATAATAGTTGCCCTATAGTGAGTACTTACTATGGGCCAGGGCCTGTGCTAAACACTCACTAATTCATTTAATCCTCACACAGCCCTACAGGAGCAAGTACTATTATTTCCCCCACGTTACAGAGCAGGCATCAGGCTGAGAGAGGCTAAGTCATTTGCTCAAGATCATATAGCTGGTTGGAGCTGGAATTTGAAGCCTGAAGCATCTAGTTCCAGGGCCTGAGCTCTTTAATTCCTATATTTAATGAATGTCTGTCGAAGGAATAAACAGATGAATGAATAGACAAATGTATTCATTTCATTTCACTTTAACAAACATTTATTGAGTGCTCTGTGTCAGCTCCTGTGCTAGGCATTGAGGATTTATAAGTTTAGTGCGTGCGTGCGCGCACACACACACACACACAAACGCACACACACACACACACACATCCTGCATGGCCCTTGCTCTCCAGGGGTTCACAAAAGCATTCTCTATTGTGGCTTGATTTCTTCTGGAGAGAAGTAATTTGAATGTCTTGAACAGCAGTTTTTAATGATGCTATTAAATTTAACCTAAAGCGGGGGTTTTGCACCGGTGAGCAAAGTGTTTCAAATGAGAATGTGTCTTTGATTAATCATCGATTCAGCCAGAGAATAGTTACTACCAGAATGGAGCTGCAACTCCTATTATATTAGCTAACTCTTCTTCCATCTATCATGTCTCTATCTTGTCGAACCCTCCCACGATACAAAAGTTATCTGTACCCTAATGGACAATTATCCCATCCATCATTCCTGCTGGTCTTGTTGATTGCTGGTAGTCTGCTTGCCCACGGAGGAGACTTACAAATAGTCATGACCAGTGACGCACTGGAAAACTGCTCATTTTTAGACATTTTAAATCTATGTAGAATGAATTATTTTTCAGGCTGTACTTAAGCTGCATTTGCTTTGTTGGTTATGTAAGAAGAGATATGAATTCCTTACCTATGCGTGAGACATGGCGTCTGAATATTTTTAAGTTCCTGTGGGCAGCAGCCCTATACATATTTGTTAAAATGATGAAAGAATAAAGTAAACATACCTAGAGTAATTCCAGAGGAGCAGGCTTCATACCTGGAGCTCGGGTGGGTGGCCATCATGTCAGGGTAGTCACCGTCTTCCTTTTCCTTTCTAAGTACTTTGAGGAGAATCCCAAGTTGATTAGGGTCAAGGTGAGGACTCATGGTGCTGAAAATAGGGATTGAGTGGACAATGAGAGATGCCTGTTGAATTCCCTGGGACTATTGCTATGAGATTTGAGGGCAGAAATGCCCCCCTCTCCCATGTCCTACCCTAAGCCTGGTAACACATTTAACTTTTTGTTACAGTAACTACCATGCCTAGTAAAACTGGAGTCACTGGTTGCCCAGGGCAAAAACCCAAGAGTTGTAGTTCACTCATCTTTATTTCTCACCTCTACATTCAGCCAGTCACTAAGCCCTGCCAAGTATATTTCCTAAGCATTCCTTGCATGTCACCTCTTTTCTCCATTCCTACTGCCAGGGCTTTAGTTCAGGACTCCTCCCACCTCCAGACATCTCTTGCCTTGATTCCTACAATACCTTCTGGTTTTCTCACCTTCTCTCCTTAGTCCTCTGTGACCATTCTCCCCAAAGTGGCCTGAGTGATCTTTCAAACATGCAAATCAAATCATTTCACACCTCCATCCCCTCCACTTAACACTTGTAAATAGCCTCACAACACCTGAGACTTGAGGCTCTCAAAATGTGGGTCCTGGGGCCAGCAACACCAGCATCTCTGGCAACTTCTTAAAGTTAGAGTACGTACTCATTAGAGTACCTACTGAATCAGAAACTCTGAGAGTGCTCACCTGACTCTGTGTTTAACAGCCCTACAGGTGATTCTGATGAGCACTCAAATTTGAGAACTGGCACCCTAGAGCCATGGTTCTCAATCCTGGCTGCACATTCAAATAAATGGAGGGAGCTTTTAAAAGTTCTAATGCCTCTCCTGCAGAGTAATTAAATCAGTTTCTAGGGGTGGGATCCAGTCATAAGTATTGTTTTTAAAGTTCCCCAGGTGCTTCTAATATACAGTCAAGGCTGAGAACTACTGCTCTATAGGATGAAGTCCAAACTCCTTAGCTTGGCATTTAAGGTCTATCTCTTTGGTCATAACCACCCCCAACACTATGCTCTTGCTTGTTCATTCTAGAATTCAATCACAGGGAGTCATTTGCAATTCTCTTAGAGCCACACATGGTCTCTTACCTCTGTGCATTTGCACACATCATTCCCACTGCTGTGCCCATCCCTTCCTCCCTCCCTTCACCCAGCTAACACCATCTCATCTACAACACATAGCTCAGAAGACACCTCTAAGGAACAGTTTTCCCCGCCTGTCCAGTCTGGGTTAGATGCCCCTCCTCTGTACTCCCACAGCGTCCACAACATAGCACTGGATACATTCTCTTGTTCTTCTCTGGTTAGTTGTCTACTTTCTCTACCAGTCTGAGAGCTAGGATCCCCACCTGGCACACAGTAGATGTTCCATGATTCTGTACATCCTGTTCCCTCTTTTTGGAGTGACTTTCTGTGCCTTGTCTGTGGCCTTCAGGATGCAGCTCAGATATCACTTCTTGGGAATCTCAGAATTCTCTGTCTGGACCCTTTCTCTAGGCTCCCGCAACAATCTAAATGTAATCTGATCCTAGCCCTTAGCACACAGGGCTATCAGGCTGCCATAGTCTGTTTACTTATCTGCCTCCCTCACTGAACTGTAAGTAACTTGAGGTTAGGGACAGAGCCTTGTACATTCCTGTATCCCAGCTCCTAGCACAAAGACTCACACATTATAGGTGCTCAGTAGCCATAACCATCTGCAGAACGAATAACTGAATCAATGATGACCTTTTCCTCTTCTCCATATCATCAGCCACTATTTCTGTCCAGGCCCCCGTTGCTTTATTGCAATAGCCTTCTGACTATTTCCCATCTCTCCTTTCTCTGATGCCATCTGAACACTCCCCCCCTCTCCAAGATGTGGCTTTCTAAAACCACAGTCACCCTATCCCTCCCCTGCTCAAACACTTTCAGTCATTCCTCATTGTCTGCAGGGCAAATATCAAAGTGGAATTCCAGATCCTTCCTTCCCAAGAGTGGTCTGCCTTCCCAACCATACCTCCCCCCATTCCCCTATGGAATACCAGCCACATCATCTGAGGGTCCTGGTGCAAAACGAAAATGTGGAACCCCGTGTTAAAATATAATCAAGGATTTCAAGATAGCAGCAAAGGAGAGCATTAAACCAAGCATAGGGCTCTTCTGACTTCAGGGTCCGATGCGACGGCACAGGTCTGCCCCTACGTGTATCCAGCGCACTGGCCAAATGCACTTGCTCCTCCTTCAACTGCTCTGTAGGTTCACTTTCTCCACGGCTTTTGTCAGGCTGTTCCATCTCTTCTACCCCACTAGCCAATTCAAAGCTTGTCTTCCCTGTAGATCCACCCTGTTCTTCAAGAATTGCTCAATTCTCATCTCCTACTGTTCCAGACCACAGTAGTTTCTACCACACAGCCTGATATTAATAATTATTTTTATATGTGTGTAGTCTTGCCTGTCTACTGAATTTTAAGCTTCTTGAGGGCAAGGACTCTATTTTGTTCATCTTTTTTTTTTATAGACTTAGCATAGTACTTTGTAATCATCTCACTTGTTGAATGACTCAGGGAAGAAATAATACAACTCCAGTCACTGAGTTTGCCAAAAAACAGTAGACACTGCAAACCTGATTTAAATCCCTCATTATTAGCTATGCAACATTGAAGGAGTCACCTCACTTCTCTTTGCCATCTATAAAACGATGATACTTAGAGAAAAAGTGTTTTTTTTTTTTTTTGTTTTGTTTTTTTGGTTTTTTTGTTTTTACAGAGGCTTGCTCTCTTGCCCAGGCTGGAGTACAGTGGCATGCAATCTCGGCTCACTGCAACCTCCGCCTCCTGGGTTCAAGTGATTCTCCTGCCTCAGCCTCCCAAGTAGCTGGGATTACGGGCCCATGCCACCATGCCCTGCTAATTTTGTATTTTTAGTAGAGATGGGGTTTCACCATGTTGGCCAGGCTGGTCTTGAACTCCTGACCTCAAGTGTTCCACCTGTCTCGGCCTCCCAAAGTGCTGGGATTACAGGCGTTGAGCCACCATGCCTGGCTAGAAAAAGTAATTTTTTGTTAGTATCTTGTTCTTTGGCAATGTTTTCAAAATCTTTTGTTTTTTAATACATGTAAAACTTATTTTATATTTTATATCACCTAATTGCAATACCTGAGGTCTTTGAAGACCTGATTCTGTTTTCATTGTTTCTGGCTTCATCGTGTTCTTTGTAATTTTGGATTATGAGTTCATGTTCAACCTGACTTTATCCTTGGTAATCCTATGAAAACTGGGTGGTGGGCATGTTCTTCCAGGGAGGATTTGTGTTTGGTTCTTCCAAGTGCATCAGGGCACTATTAATCCAGGAGTTCTTCCAGTGAATTGTTTAGTCCCAAAGGCAAGGGCCATGTCTTCTTTGGCTATATGATCCCAGGGCTTAACTCAGGGACTTGTAGATGCTCAACATATATTTGCTGATTGAGTGGATGAATGAATGTGGTACTTTACCGCTTCTTTTGGAAGCCCAATAAGAATTGTGACCTCTGGTATTAACAAAGAACAGTAGGCACATCAGGAAAATAATAATTACTAACATTTATTGAGCAATGATTATGTGTCAGGTATCATTCTAAGTGCTTTGTGTGTATTAACTCATTTAATTCTCACTATGATGCTGTGAGGTAGGTTACTATTATTATCTTCACATTACAGAGGAGGCACCAGACTCAGACAGGCTGAATAACTTGGCCAAGGTCACATAGCTAGTGAATGGCGGAACACAGATATGAACCCAGGCACCCTAGAGACACATCTACTTACCACCTTGTATTGGAGAAGAGGTCAACAGTAGTGACAGAAGCAATAGAGTGGAAATTTTCAGTACTGCCAAAACTATGAGAGCCATATAGTCCACACCAGGCATGAAAAGGAAGCTGGCATGGTCTTGTGTTGTCAGTTAACCCTTGTATATAGGGTTTTCATTTCCTAACTAGAGAAGGAGGAGTTTGAAAGCAGGAACCATGAATTACAGCTCTTTGAAATGCTCAACATAGATTTGCTGAGTGAATAAATGACTGTTTTGAAATTAAACACAGGAGTGCTTTGAATAAATTACTTTGCATCTTGTATGTCAAACTGAAATTGGTGAGACATCTTTCACCTTGTGTTAAAAACTAAAAATCCCTAGATGTGGTCATAACATGGCTGGTTATAATGACACCTTGCATTTGTACTTGTGTATGATACTCAGGACTCCCTGAGAAAAGGAATGAAGAAACTTGGATTTTGCCTTCATAGGCCCTGAGGCTGTCAGGAACCAAGGGCCACTGTGTTTGTAATCCATTCCTTTGGCTGCTCTCCAAATCTAGGAAGACCTGGAGGAAAGGGGGGCTTTATTTTCTATCTTTGCCAAGATCAGGAAATAATTTGTGAACTCTCAGTAAACATTCTGGGGGCCTTCCCTCTAACACTGCTTTGGTGGAATAATATCTCCAGTTTTCACCAATCTTGGTTCAATATTTACCTGGGGGTTTGCAGTGATCATGGGGACAGGGCTCCAACATGAAGTGAAGGTTCATGAGAAGGAAAATGAGGGGAAGGCTGTGTGTGTGTGTGTGTGTGTGTGTGTGTGTGCTGGCTGAGGGATGAAGGTGGGAGGAATACCAGGATTCTGAAGCAATGAGAGTGGGATTGGGAGAGAGAGCTCATGTTGAAGAAGAAATAACTCACCAGTTCACATGGGCTCCTTTTCAAGGGTTTTTCTTTATATAAACAATTTGCCTGGTTCCAATTAGAAGCCCACATTAGGCAGTTAGCTCCAATTTGGCAGTTCATTCTTAATTTGGCTTTCCTTATGGGTGGGAGGGAGGGCTGACAGTTAAAAGGTTGATGGGAAAAACCTTGGTATCCTGGTGTGAAGACAGACCCTGGGATCAGAAGGTTGCCCTGATGACTTTGCCAATGTGTTCATTGCCCCTGTCCTGCTGGGGCGCATACAGCAGGCCCTTCTTTCTCATACGCCCTTGACAGACCAGGACTCACTGCTAGAAAACCCCTGGGGAAGTCATTGCTGAAGACTCTAGTGTGGGGCACATTAGGTTTGAGGAGCAGGGGAAACATTCAGGCAGCTGGCAAGGTCTGGGCTACCAGGAGAGATTTGGGAGTTAGAAGCATATTAGGTGAGAGTTGACACTGTCCAAAGGGAGTATATAGAAAGAAAAGCAGAGGAAAGGGCTCATGGAGTCATTACAGCCTGTGAGGTGGGAACAGGGTTTGGGAGTACTAAGGGTTTGGGGAGGGTTTATGTGTTTATTCACCCATTCATTTATTCAACATTTCTTGAGCTTTATGGCAGATGCTGAGTTGAAGAGGAAGCTGGGGATTTAAGAGGGAGAAGAGTTAAGAGGGGATCCCTGGGTGGATCCAGATGAAGGAGAAGGGAGGGGCTAAGTGCCTAGGCTCGCTCTTGCCAGGAGAGCACATCTGTTAACACAAAGCTGCATCTGTATCTCAGCCAGCTCTCTTCCATTTCATCTCCTCCTCTCTACCCACACTTGCAAGACGGGGAGCCACATGGCGGCTTCCTACTCCCTTGTACCACTACACCCCCTGCCGGGTTCTTTCTAGGCATTTAGCTGTGGCATCAGCAGCACCCCTTCTGAGAGATCAGGCAATCCCCAAGGGTGAGTGGTAGTGGTAGTGGTGGGGAGGGTTGATAGCTTCGAGAGAAGAGCTGGAGAAGGCGCTGTCTGGCTGTAATTAGCCCCAGCTGCTGTTGTGAGGCAGCGTTGGGGGCCGTCAGGAGTGTACATGCATGTGTATGAACCTGTGAGCGTGGCACCTCATTGCTATCACTCTATTTTTCACTGTATTGTGTGCTGGCTGCAGCCTCGCTGCTCTGAAACCCCTCCTGTCCCTGAGGATCCCGAAAGACAGAGTGTTCCACAGGCAGCACCAGCTTGAATCACTAATGCTATTAAGCAGGAGGACAACAAATATAGGCCCCCATATGTCCTGGATATGCAAGTCCCTGCTCTCTCTTTCCCCACCCCTGCTTCCTGAATGTTTCCAAGTGAGTGAAGTCCCAGCACTTGAAATTAGCAACACCTCACTTCTGCACAGCCTTTTGGCAAAGAGCTTTCACAGCTGCCATGTCATGCATCCTCAGACGCTTCTAGGAGAAGCATTTTATAGGTGAGGACCCTGTGGTTCAGGGAGGTGGAGAGATTTGCACAGGCTAACCCAGACAGTCAGTGGCAGACTTGTGTCCAGGAAGCAAGTCCTCGACCTCCTGGCCTGGTGGCCCATCCCCAGCAGAGCACTGCCAAGAGGGCTGCTCCCGGGTGGCTCCAGCTGCTGCTGTCTGTGAGCTCGTGAGAACCTGTCAGCTGTGGCTCCAAGACCTGCCTCAGTGATTGCTGAAAACGCTGAGAGTGCTGAAAACCAGGACCCTCAAGCCGAGCCTGACGTCACATAGTTGATTGAGTACCTGCTATGTGCCCACCACTGTGCTGGTGCTTATGGGAGACAAAACAGGGGTAGTGCATAGCCCGTATCCTCAAAGAAGTGATAACTTGAATGGGGAAACAACTCTTAGATACCAAGTCCAAAGGCAATTCCAAGCACTTCTCTCTCTTCCACTAAGCAGTCTGTTGTCAGTGACAATGACACAGGAACCCCTTCTGAATTCATCTGTCTTATCGCAGGCCTGGGGTAGGAGAGGATGGGAGGATGACTAGGAAGGGTAATGAGGAAGGGCAGGGAGATGGGGGAAGGAAGGGAAAAACTGGAGCTCCTAATAAACACCAGGCACATTGTGAAGTTTATATGTTATACATAGGTCATTTGTATTATGCTTATCATACATGTACATGAATATATACACCCAAACACATACACAAACACATACACAATCACTTTCCAGGGATTGACTCATCTATTTGGCTCACTCTCAATCATGAAAAGAGCTTAGGACAGTGACACTTTTAGAAAGCCCTGAATGAGTGTTAACTAGCCTTTCTTCTTATCATGATCATCTTCATTGTCATTATCGGCATATTATATAAATTATCTCATTTATTTCTTCTAACTACAGGACTTAGCAACTATTATTTTTATTTCCAGTTTACAAATGAGGAAACCAGTATCTTATTTTATCCAAGCTTGTGGGTACTGAGAATATAAAGAGGAATTCAATATGGTTCTAGGCAAACTTTGGGGTCTTCCCTATCTAGTGGGAGGGACCGAGGCACACATAAGCCCTCATGGTCCAATAGGTGCTGTGGTAGAGGAACGTATCTGGGGAAGTTGAGGAAGTCTCCACGAATGAAGGAGGCTTGAGCAGCATCTTGAGGGATGGCAGGTTATGTCAGGAGGAACAGTGGAGGCAGGGGAAGACATTCCAGGCAAAGTGAGCAGTATTTGTGTGACAGGGCCTAGTGCATGTTTCAAAGGGCAGGACAATTGTAGCTGGGTGCACCACTGGCAGCAGCAGGAGGGGAGTGGACGAGTATTTGGGGTCAGCTATTCAGAGCCCTATTGGCCAAGCTGAAGGTTTTGTTCTGTGAGCAAGAGGGAGCCACTGGAGCTTTTTATTAAGGCAGATTCGGGACAGACTAGGAAGACAGTCCTTACCAGGGTGTTGAAAGATTGGAGGGAAGAGAGGCCAGCTGCATGCGGACCAATTGGGAGACCATCTCCAGGGTCTGGGCAAGAAGTGGAACAGGCTCTGAACCACGACCGTGGCAGTGAGAGCCGAGAGGAGGGGATGACTCAAGGCACATGTCAACAGGTAGAAACCTCAGGGCTGGCTGTCATGGGGTCAAGGAGAGGGAAAAGGTGACAAGGACCCTGAGGTTCCAGCTTGGGTCCGTGGTGATACTGTCAACTGAGGCAGGGAACACAAGACTGTTAGTAGAGAGGGAGAGTGAGGGGAGACAGATGACAAGGTCTGTTTGGACTTGCTGGGTTTGGAGTGCTGGATAGCGGACATGTCCAGCAAGAAACTGGGAATCTTGGCTTTGAGCCCAGCTGAGACATGGGGGCTGGAAAGCCACCACAGTCAAGGGATATTAGTTGACCTCAGGGGACTGGATGGGGTTTCTCCTCTCCCATTTTACTCATCCAGGGCAAGGGCTAGGGACAGAGCCAGGTGAATACCAGTATTTAATGAGGGAGGTGGTGGGGGACACCAGCCCGGAGTGAGAAGACACTCTTCTTTGGACCTTCCCAGAAACATCATCCCTTTCCCCTCATGATCATGGTCCTTGTTCCAGGGCTGCACTCAGGCCAGTGACAGAAGGAAGGGAGGGACAGAGGGAGAAAGGGAGGAAAGAAGGGAGGGAAGGAGGGAGGGGGGAGGAAAGAAGGGAAGGAAGGAGGGAGGGGGGAGGAGGAAGGAGGGAGGGAGGGGGAAGAAGGAGGGAGTGAGGGAGGAAGGAAAGGGAGGAAGGAGGGAAGGAGGGAGGGAGGAGCTCTGTGCACAGAACTCATGCCTGCACAGGGGCCATGAAGCAAGGACAGGACAGTCACTTCAGCTCTGGAGTTCTTTAGTGTGGGAGTATCTTCTAACAAAACCTAATAAATTAACAGCTGTGGGTTTGGGGCAGCAAGGACAAAGACCACAACTCTACAGTGACCCCTGGAGCACTCAGTGCCACTGACTGCGTCTCCACTGCTGCAGAGCTGGGAGCACATTCATGACAGCATTTTTCAAGCTCCTGTCTGTGCAAACCACAGCTGGTCTCCTAGGAGTCCTAACACTTTAATTAGACCTAGCAGGTCCCAGAACAAAATCCCATAATCCCCAAATCTATAGCAACAAGTTAGGCATGAGAGTTTTAGTTACATTCTGGATGTAAGAGAACCCTAACTGCCACTTTCTTTCTGAGTCTCCAAATGACCTTTGACCAATCTCTTTACCAGAAATATTTATCTAGAATGGCCTTGGTCTCTGACACCTTGAGGACTTCTACTGATTTCTCTGTTAAATCCCTGGAACCACACCAATAATAGTTCTGAACATTTTACACTCATCATCTCATTTATTCCTCACAAATATTATAAACCCTGTTTATATATATGTGTAATATTTATAGTAACAAGAGTAGCAGATATTTTGCTGAGGGGAGGCATGGTTCTACACAGGTTACATGAAGTAATTCATAATTCCACATGAACAGCACTATGAGGTATTATTACTGTCTCCATTTCACAGGCAAAGAGCAAATCACAGAAAGAATGAGTAAGTTGTTCAAGGTCACACAGCCTATAAGAGGCAAAGCCTGCCGGTGTGGCTCCACTGTGCTATTAACCAGTAAGGTCTTCTATAGCCCCAACTAGCTCAAAATGGTTCTAAATGAAGAATCGCTGTGCGTTTTGCACCTCAGACTGCTAGCATCGCTGATTTAGGTCTGGAGTTTAGATAAGTGAAACTACTCAGGGTCTTTGTGAAGTATCTTTAGAGCTGCTGCTTGGACAAGACTGGGTCAGGACTTCGAAGGCATTTCCATGTGCTCCTGGAGAGTCAGGATGTAGGCTGGGATTCATTATGCGACCCAGCTGTGTGACTTTCCTCCCCACCCCTTACCCCCATTCACCAAGATAGAATGCACTGTTTCTTAAGGTGTGGCTTAAGGAGAGCTCTTTAAACATGCAGATTCTAGGGCTGAAGCACAAACCCACTCTGTATCTTTATAGAGATAACTGCTGGAATATGCATTTTAGTAAACTCTCAGGCTGAATTACTTTGAGAATCATCAGAGTCTACTTTGACAGGATATAGGCTTGTCTTCTGATTCTAGAAGTACCATAAGCCTAACTAGGGATGCTTCCCACTCCTCTTTCTTGCTGAGCAGAGAAGCAAGGGGGACTGGAATGCAGAGAACATGCTGAGGGCATGCCTGCACAGAAAGCTGAGCTCCTTGTCACCACATACCTTGAAAGAGTGGACTCTGTATCCCCAGGAGAGGATGGGGAGGGACAGAGAGAGAAAGCTATGGAAAGCCTCTGGAAGCCTTAGTACCCTGGGGCCCAGACAAGGGAGTCCCCTGAGGGAGGTAGAGAGTGGGGCTGTTGGAGGAGGAGAGCAGCTATGGGCCAGCAGCCTGAGGAGCTGAGAGTCACAGTGGGAGTGACTGTGGCTTCAGAGTGATGCCATAGCTGCAGTGAGCTGTACAGGAACCAGAGACCCAAAGTTTTCTGTAGGGCTTCTTTTGCTTTGTTAGTGCTTCAGGAGTTGGATCCTTCTGGACCCTGATCTCCCAGAAGTGATTCCATTTCGCCTCTAGGAGGTGGGTAGCAAAGCTCAGTCTGTGGCTGGGGAAAGCCAAGGAAGTGATTTCACGAATCTTTAGCAGTGAATCCACCTATTTAGTTAGCAGGGGATGGAGCAGATCAGAACTAGCGAGAGGAAAGGCTTAGGAATGCTCTCTAGTGGGACTGAGAAGAAAAGGTGAGAGGGTGACATTAACTGGAGGAGATGGTGAGCCCCTGACCCCTGCAGTTGTGAGACTTGCACTGAGTGGGATGATCTGCTGCTATAACCTATCCTCAGGCAATGAAGCATAAGCAGAGAGCCAGGAGTGTTAATCATTGCTGATTTTTATTAAGCATTTCCTTTGTACTGGACACTGTACTGGGCTGTACATGCATCATCACATTCAGTCTTCACAACATTATATGATAGCTCCTATTACTGTGCCCATTTTACAGATGAGGTTTAGATAGGTTATACCACTTGCCCAAGGCCACACAACTAGTAAGTAGCAGAGCCAGAATTTGCACCCAAGTGGTTTTAATCCAAACTGTGTCCACTAGGCCTTAGGAAGGAGCCCACATAGAGCTTTGGGGATGCTGCATTCTTGACCTGTGGCTGTAGGTGGGCAACTCCTCTTCATACCTTATAGCTCTTGGTAAATGAAGTGAATCACTGTATCTACCATGAATCTCCTTGGGAATGAGTTCAATGCGGGTATCAGAGGAAGCAAAGGGTGGGAAGGGGGTCTCAAAAGTCTAAATCTTAGTGTGGTCCCCTCCTTTGACCTACTCTCTCTGGGCTGAAGAAATGCCAGGATTGAGGGGGCAGCAGATTGTTAGATCTGTTTGTTCCATCTACTGAGGCCTCATAACATTTTTGGAGCCCTTGTTCAGTGACTCAGGTAATTCAGCCTGAGGGTACCTTTGCAGGGAGTTCCCCTATCTCTTATCCTGTGTTAGTACATGAGATTATTCCTCCTTCTTGTACCCCAGTTACATTAAGTGGGTCTTATTCCCCAAATCCGTAGTCTCTGCCCCAATAAGTTGCCTGTACCCCATTTTAGCAAGAATAGAATCTTCCCTTTCTGCCAACAGAGCTTCTTGGCACTTTGGCCTTGCCTGGTTCCTGCTTGCAGACTCCTGTTCTGAGGCTCATGTTTGTACCTAGAATGATTTCATGTTCCTCCTCTCTCTTTGTCCCTCTATCAGAACCTGCTTTCACGATGGGAGATTTAAGAGGCTGATCCTCCCAAGAGGTTGGCATTTTAACTGATGCCAAAGCCCTGAGTCAAAAGAATTATATACTTAAAAATTTTCAAGCCCTTGGGAGCGGATGGAGAGATTGGAAAGGCCAATGGAACATTCTTAATGCTCCTGGAATGCCACAAGGTGGACATAAAATTCAGGCTTCTGCCAAGACAGGACTTGGATTATTTTTGTTATAATCAGAATCCGTAATCTGCCCCCACCCCAGCACTCAGGGCTTTGATCAAAAGTCTTCCAGACAATGAACCTCTATGATCCAAGTATCATTTTCTCAGAGCTCCTTAGAAGGAGGAGAGCTAAGAAACTTCATGAATTACCAAGGACCAAGCAAACAGGCGGTAGTGAAGTCAGAAACAAATTCCTCCCGAGACTAGTTTTGTCCTATAGCCTGAAAACAAATCCGGTCTCCACCAGACATAAGGTGGAATTCCTGTCTTGATTTTTTTTTTAGCACTGATATTAACATTTTTCTTCTCAAATCCTCTTCAGAACCAGCCCTTTTAGAACACAAATTAGAAGCTGTTTATTTTGTCAATCAGAGAAACTGAAGGCAGCCAGCCTTGGCCAAAGGAACATCTTATCCTTTGCCTTTGCTAAGGACAATGTTCCTTCTATTGTGCTCTGTGGAAATAAAAGGGCAAAATATGCTTGCCTTCTTTTATTCTTATTCATGGCTGAGGGTCATATGAAAGTTCAGAGAAGAGCACAGTTTTTAGTATGGGTCGTGGCAGGTTTTCCAGATGGCTTCCTAGCCAAGATATTTCTCCCGCTCACCTCCAAACAAGTTATGTACCCCTAAGAATGATTTGGTCTCAGTGTTAGGGGAAGAGGGTAGGTAGCAGGGCCTGGCTTTGTCATCCTGGGCTATTTTGAGGGGACTTCAGCAGTCCCCGACAGAAGGACAAGAGGGGCTGATTCTCCCTTTGTGAGCAGCCATTGGAGCTGCTTCAGGGACTGACAAGCCGGCCAGAGACAATGTCCTCTCTCAGGAAAGCAGTAAAAACATCAGAAATGCTCCTTTCCTGGGGAGCCCTTAGTTATTTTGGCCTCTCTTTCCATTAAAATAGGAAAGCATTGAAAGGGACCATTCGTGGGATAGCGTGGAGCCTCCCCATTGTGGCAGCATTTCTAACTGCGTTGAGAATTAACCATATTGCTCTTCCTTTTTACCATGGAGGAGTTTCTAGATTTTTATTTATACCCTACCGCTTAAAACATCTTTCACTGTTTCAGCAAATTGCAGCATAAAAGATGGAGAAGCCAGCAGGGGCTGTGCTCACAATAATAGCTGTGGTTGCATTTAAGACATTCAAATGCCAAGGGTGCACTTCTCCCATTAAGTCCAACATAAGAAATCAGGTGTGCACAACATTGATGAACAGAAGACCCCAAAGGACAGGTGGAGTTTCTGGTATGCTGTGGTGGGGGCGGTGGGGTGGTGAGCTTGGGAAAGAACGAACAGGCATTTTCATTTTCCAAACTAAGAAGCAGTTTCGGGCGAAGGGGAGCCGTGGGGATGTCAGAAATTCTTCTAACGCCATGGACCTGCCCACACCTGAGTCAGATAAAGATGACCTTCCCTAGGCCCTGCTTTCCTCTCCCCCTCCCCAAAAGACAGCATGAGCATGAGTAAGCCGGGTACTTACAGGTGCAGAAGAATTTGGAACAGGAAAATGGAGCTTACAGGCTCCCGAATGCCTGCCGAGTCAGTTGCATCAGATTAGGAAGTGATGATCCTAAGAATAAGATGTTTGGAAAATCTTGTCCCCCGAAAGCCCCCTGCTTTGTCTTCTCAGCCCACATCCAAACTCAGACCACCCCCAGGATGTCTCTCATCCTGCCAGACTGCCTGGTGCCTCCGTGCCCCTTACCGTGAGGGTGCTGGCAGCCACACTGCTTCTTTGAGCCTGTGGCCCGGCAAGGTAGTCAGGCTCATGGGATTAGGTTGGCAGGAGCGACTGTCCTCTAAACGATTAGCCCAGAGAAAGAGAGAGAGAGAGAGCAAGCAAACCCGAAAACGGGTCCAGGGTAGAGAGCTCCAGGTCCTTAGCATGTTCCTGGCGTATTCCAAAAGTGGCATCCACAGCAGAGAAAGTGTCCCAAAATAGCTCAGGCTGCCAATGCCTTGCTGAAACCTGAGAAAGAATTGCTGAATTTAAAGATCTGGGTCGCTGTGGGTGTGTGATCAAAGTGCAGATTTGTTGGTAGGAGGAACTCAAGCCATGAGCTTAGGAGTGACATGAGGTCACTTGGGTCACGGCCTGCCTTCTTGTTTCCAACTTGCTGAAGTTGGTGGCAGTGTCAGAGAGCTCCTCTGTGGTGAGGCAGGGGTTTGGAAAGAGGTCCTAAGGATGCTGTTTTCATGCCCAGGTCTCTGATGCGCTAACAATATGAAATAGCAGTGCCCTGTTTTCTGCATTTCAAACAAAGGAACTGATACTATGCAAAGGTTTCTTTAGGTTATTGCTCCATGTCTGATGAAATTCCCTTTTCAGTAGATTTTTCATTTCTTTTGGCCTTTGGCATAAGTAAATGTCAGCTTCTTAAAAATCAACAGAGAAGAGCAAACAGTAGGGTCTCTGTGATTTTCTTGGGATTTGAGAAATCTTCCCTCCCTAGCTTCTAACTGGATCATGTCTGTACATTGCTGCCTGTGGTCCTGGAAAGGACGAGGTCCACCCAGACATGCTGTCTCATTTTTATATTTGCTGAGATCTTGGGACACTCTCCTTTCATCAGGTATGTCAAAAACCTTAGGATTGTCTGCAGAGAGTGTGGTTCAGTATGTGGAAAGGTCAGCATATGTCATTCTTGGACTGGCCCTGGGGTTTAAGAAGAAAAAGCCCAGAATTTGGTTTCCAATTCCAGCTCTGCCTGTCTTTTGCTGTATGAATTTGGGCAAGTCACTTCTCTTCTCTGGACCTCAGTTTCCTCTTCTGTAAACTGAAGACAATAATCTTCATTCTAATTCTAACCCAAATGTTGTAAAGAGTAACTCAGAGAGTTGAAAGAATGCTATAAAGGGCAGGGTTTGGCACTCTCAGTAAGTGGTGACATTTTTCAGTTCTTCAAAGGTCCCTGATTGGTAGCCACTACCTGCATCCACATGCCTATGGCGAGCCCAAGACATCCCACAGTACTAGGCACTATGAGCTTCATGTCTAGGAGTCTAAATAGTTTCCACTTTCAGTTGTGGGAATTTTGGCAAGTAGCTCAATGCTTAGTAGCTCAGTTTTCCCATCTGTCAAGTGGGTATACAAACTAATAATAATACAGGTCCACAATCCCTTATCTGAAACTGTTGGAGCTAGACATGTTTTACAGTTCAAAATATTTGGATTTTAGAAAAGCAATGTGGTAGATATAACATATATATCACACCTTAATGAGATCCAAGATAATACCCAGTGATCAAACTCACTAATATTTCTAAATGGGATAAATGAATAGCCTCATGTCAATTCAGGCCCAGTTTTGCCACCAAATGAGCTTGCCACAGAATTTCAGTTTTCAGAAGCTTTGGGATATCAGAGAGGCACATAGGAAATTGTGGACAATGAAGGAAGTTAATACTTATTTCGTGCATGTAATGTACCAGGCATTGTTCTAAGTATACATTAACTCATTTAAGTGGCCCAATAAGCCTGTGAGGTAAGCAGTATTATTATTATCATCCCCATTTCATAGATGAGAAAACTGAGATTCAGAAGTTAAATCACTTGCCCAGGGTCCCAAAGCCAGTTAGGAGCAATGCTGGGATTCCAACCCACACAGTTCAGCTCTTATCCACCTTCTCTGCCTAACCCATGGGGTTAAATTGAGGCTTTAAATGCCTACAGGGACTGAGCAGGTCGCTGAAAAAGTAAAGGTGGCCTTATGGGTACTGAGGCAAACTGGTGAGCACGTGCCTCACCTACAGGGAGCAGGTTGTTGAGCTCTGGCTGATTGTTGCTATATTGGAATTTGGATCGAAGTCTTTCTCTCTCTCTCTCTCTCTCTCTCTCTGTGTGTGTGTGTGTGTGTGTGTGTGTGTGTGTGTGTGTGTTTCAGAAAAGCCAGAAATCCAGCTTTCTATCTGAAATTTCCTGACTTTTAAATGTTGGCAATTAATTTTAAAAAATGTTTAAAACGTTGTACGGGTCAAATAAACTCTGTCTGCAGTCTGAATTTAGCCTGTGGCTGCCAGTTTGCAAGCTCTGCAATGAGTAAATAGATGTGAAAGTGCTTTGGAAACTTAAAAACGTGCTCTAGAAACAGAAGAGTCTAATTTTAGGGTTATATCTTGTTTTTTCCTTGACTGTGGTCTAGTTTTTTAAAAACTTGTATTCCCGACCTGATGGAGATGAAAAGTCAGAATTAAATAGAGACTTCAGTGAACTTGAGTACTTCATTCCTTTGGCAGGCTGGATAAATGAGAAGCCTAGGTGTACTGGATGGACTAAGCCTCAGAATTCTTGCCACACCCACAAGCCCCTTCTAAGGAGTTTCCATCCACAGACCCTAGCTGAGGGAAGTAGCAGTTTCTTATGAATAGGTGACTATTCTTGGTACCACGTGACCCTGCTTCCCCCAGCAATAGCCACTTGAGCCAGGAGAGGGCATCTGATCCATGAGCAGTCACTCTATAGGCTGGCAAACAGCCTATGAAGGAACCTGGGATGAGAACTTTGCCCAGCAAGTACAGTTACTGAATTTGGACCAATGAGAGTTTCTCTCTTGGGGAGTTTGAATACCAGACCTAGAAAGAGTGAGCAATTGGCAACAGGGGCAGAAGCTGAACACAGAGAAGGCAGGCAGCAGGGACCCCGGATAAGCAGGACCAGGAGAGATTACTGAACTTCAACTATGTGCCAGATTCTTTACACGTTGTTTTGTTTAAAACATTCAAAGAACATGCGAGGTAGGTACTGTTATTATGCCTGTTTTACAGATGAGGAAACTGAGGTGAACTAACTTGAAGTATTGAGGTTCAAGCCCAGGCCTGTTTGAAGTTAAAATGAGAGTGTAGGAACCCCAAAGCCAGTGGTTCTGAAACTCTAGTGTTTCAGAATCACTTGGGTTAAATGCAGGTTCCTTGGCGTCACCCCAGACCTATATTGAATCTGACTCTTTGTGGGTAGAGTCTCCCTCCCCCTACAAATCTGTGTTTTAGCAGTTTTCCCAGGGAGCACTTGATGCAGGGTTTCCCCACCACACTTTTATTTTGAGAAATGCAGTTTCAGAGGGTATGGCAAGTACTGTGTACTGTGCTACCTTTACCTACACAACCAAGGTCAATGTCAACAGATGTGGTCAAATTCCAATTTAAAGTCTTTTGGAAATGGGGCCAATTATGTAAAGAAGAGGGCATTAGTTTGTTCTCTTCTCTCATCAAGGAAGTCTACATTATTACCAGTTATTTGAGAGAACAGAAGATTGGGATGAATGCTTAGTAGTTGTAAACACGATCGGATCTGCACTTCAGGGTGGGTGCAAAGCTAGCATATGTTCACTAAGCATTTTCCATGAGGTGCGTAAACTGTAGAAACTCAGTGCTCTGGCAACAAAGAACATGAGAGAAAATTACCAAATGCAGATAGACATATTGTAAACCGTGGAGCTTAAAATGTAAACCTACTTGCTAGGCTGATCATAGAGGTTCTTCTCAGCCCCAGAGAATTTGTGTAAGAATCCTGTCCATGCCTTTATTTACACCATTGATTAAAAATGCTAATCAGGAGAGGATCAAGGCTATGGACCTCCTTCTAGGTTGTTGCAGAACTCCCACTCTGGCAATGGTATTCAGCTGGTTTTGAATTTTTCTGCTTTAAGAACTATCCCTGGGAAGACTAGTGGTCTGAAGTTTGCTTGGAGAGTCTCAAGCCGGAAACTGATTTGTGGTCCAAATGCTTAATGGCATCAGACACTTATTCCTACAAGAGAGGCATGTGGTCCAAGGGGTGGCACAGGTCAAATGTGATGGCCAAGTCCCGCCTCAGCAGGGCTTGAATCCGCACTTGGCAACTTTTATTTCTCTCTGTCCATTCCTGTGGATACTTTATCTGTGTTAATGTCCTCATTTAGGCTAAGGTCAAACTCTGTTCTTCTCTCTTCTGGCCAGAAAGACTTCCTGTTTTACAGGTATATGATCTTATCTGTGTTGATACCTTAACTGTGAGTGATTCCCTAAAGCAGGTCCTTGGACAAGTGCCCATCCTCCAGGAAAATTGCAGCAGTCCACCGTGCAATGAGAAAGCCTGAGGACTAGGTAGTAAATGTTTCGCAGAGAAGAGAAATCTATTTCATGTATTATTCTTTATTCTGAGGTTATTTCCTTCTCTTTTGGTGTTGAAAGGAAGCCCCTTCTTTTTAGAAAATGATGATTTGTGGTTGTTCTGTTTCTTAATGATTTTACTTGGGAAAATAAAAATCTGGAAGTTCAATATCAGTCCCTGAAATTTTGGGTTGCATTAGCTGCAAGTCTGGGAACCTGGTCTAATTTTGAGTGTTCTGCTAGTACCTCTAGGTACCTCCTATTGCCACTTGTGTTCTAAGTGCTTATAAATTACCTGCTTCGCAATCTGCAGCAGAATCTCTCCGAGGATTGACATCAAGCTTACAGCTTTGGAGTTTACGGTATACTGGTCTGTAGTTTCCTTATTTAAGAAAATTGGGACACTGCCCATTTGCAGTCCTCTGGTATCCCTCCTGTTCTCTCTGATTCCACAGATCCTTCAGACCGGCACCTAATGCAAGGCAGTTCCGTTTGCTCTTCTTATAATGTTCTTTTCCCTATAGAGTTGGACATGCATATACATGTTGTTTGGGGAATTTGCAGCACATCCAATGAAAGCATAATTCCCAACTAACAGTCAAATCCTTTTCTTTGGAGCTACCCAGAACACACCTACCCTCTCTTCCATATGACAGCCCTTCAGAGACTTGAAGACAGTGTGTGACTCTCCTGTGAGTTAAGAGCACTGGCTGAGTCAGACAGACCCGAGTGACAAGCCCAGCTTCGCTCCCTCTCAGCGGTGAGAGCCAAGGTAAGTTACTTCATTTTAATTTCTCTCTAGTTCAGTTCTTTAGCTGATTTAGAAAATGGGAGTAAAAAAGCCACTTTGTTTGTTTATCGTTCAATAAATAAGATGAGGTATGTAAAGTGTTTAACATAGTGCCTGGAATAGTAAGCACTCAGTAAATGCTAGCTATTTCCCCCTCTTTATTTATAAAGAGCCGGTGCGCATTTTAAGTGTCAGGGCTGTGGGGGAGGAAGGAAGTGGGGAGGGCTTCTACTTCCCTGAATGATCAAGGAAGGAAGAAGATCCTAAAGTAGACCAGGTATTTCTTTAGCCTTAGGTTGTCTGTTTTCAGTTATCTGGATGCCTATTTGCTAGGACTTGGGGAAAGAATATTGTTGAGAATCTAGGGAAAGGCTTATTTTCAACAGCTGGAAAGCTATTTGTTGACATATTGAACCGTCTCTTGTTTATTCTTATTTCCCTGAGCAGCTAGCCATGCAATCCCCTAAACTCAATTACCTTTTGTGAGGCGGCAGGAGCATGACACCTCCTAGCCGTATTGATCAGTGCAGACTGGGTGGGACGTGAGGGACCTGAGAGATGCTAAGCGGTAAATTCTGGGCTTTTCCTTCCTTAGAAGGCCTCTCTTCTCTGTGTTCCTAGAGACTCTGGCTTTAATAGAACGGAAGTCTATGCCTCACATGGGCTGAGCATGCAAGAACCCTCTCTCAGTAGCCTCCTTAGAAGCAGGCTGATGAAAATAGTCACAATGGGTCAGAACTTGGAACCCTGGGGTGACCAGTGCTAGCATGGTTTTCTAACTGCAGCTCTTTGCACACACTGGGTTTTGCAAGCAATTGAATGATATGAACTCTGAATGCCATTGCAGCTAGAGAAAGTTTGGAAGGAGACACACCCAACTGTGAACAGACAGAGGAATGGGACTTGCGGGGAATGGGGGGTGGGGCATTTTCAGGAGTTTAGCTTTGTCTGTACGGAGGATTTCAAGTCTTTATCCTAAGAATATATTCCTAGATTACTTATGGAATTACTAAACATAAATAAAAGTTAGAGAAAGAAGAAATTATTTTTAAAAACAAACCAAAAATAAAACACAAAATAAAGTGGTACAACCATTAAGCTTGTCGGGGTAGAAAGATTGCTTGGGTCGGGGGGTGGATGTCCGGGATTCCTAGAGAGAGCTTGCAAGGAGAGGAGTGAAAAGGGCTTGAGAAAGAACCCTAGGGAAACATATCTTTAAAAAAAATAAAATTAACTTTTATTAGTTTTTTTCTTTTCGTATTATGGGTCCATTATAGACCAATGAGAAAATACAGATAAGGAAAATGAAAATTAAAAATCCCCTCTAATCCCATCATTCAACTGTGGTCACTGTTGGCGTTTTGGTATATATCCTTCCAGATTTTTTTTCTATGCAGAAATCTACATATTTATCTTTATGATAATCAGATCCTCATGTACACATTAGAATATATTTTCAATGGCTACAATAGTGGCTGCTACAATTGCACCATGATTCGTTTAATCATTAAACAAGTTGTGTTCTAACATTAGACACTTAGGTTATTTCCAAAATTGTTGCATTAGAAATAAACAACAGTGCCCTGTAGCTGTGTGACATTGGGAAAGCTAGTTAACCTCTCTGTTCCTCTGTTCTCATCTGGAAAATGAAGGTGCTAATAGAACCTACCTCGTAGTATGTTGTGAGTGTCAAATGAGATCATATAGGTAAAGCACTTAGCACAGGGCCTGGCACAGTAAACGTTAGCTTTAATTGTTAGGTGTGTTAATAATAATAATAGTAGTTGTTGTGAGGCCATTGTTAATAGAATGGCTATTCTGTGACTTTTTTTTTTTTTTTTTTTTTTTTGCTTTGAAGGGAGAGGAGAGCGACTGGAATTTTTCTTTTGAGTAGTATGCTATAGTGAGCTCTGGAGTCACACAGAGCTGTGTGCCTTTGGTCATGTCAATTCATCTCATGGAGGCTCAGTTTCCTTACCTGTATACTGAGAATTTAAAGGACCTAGCTCACAGGGTAATTGTCAAGATCAAATGAGATAATGCTGGTGAAGCCCTCAGCCCCATTCTTGGCATATGGGAAGAGTTCAAGCAATATCAGTTGTTGTTGTTATTATTACTACAAGGATTCAGCCATTTGTAGTAAGAAAGTTTCCTTGCTTTGTGGTGTGGGGATGTAGGGGAGATGGCAGTGAGAAGAGTACTCCGAGTTTCTAATCACTTGTCTGATTACAAAGAGATAAAAATATTTTGGAAACAGAATGGCCAGGGCTGAAATCTGGGATTTAAAAAAAATTATTATTATTATTTTATGTGACCGTGGTCACATAGACTTCTCCAAGCCCATTTCCTCATGTATAAAATGGGAATGATCTCAGTGCCTACCTTACAGGTGTTGCTGGGAGGTCGGAATTATATAATGCATATGTAGTGCTTAGCCCAAGTGCTCAGTTGTTGTTGGTCGTTAATTATGAGGTTTATAACGACCTGAATGCCTCCCTTGTCAAACTCTACATCCCTATACCTAGGCTACTTGAACTTCACCTGGAGGCTTTGCCCTATCCAAGGCTCAGGGACCAATTCTCCCCTTAGACTGAGGGTTTCTCCCCTTAGACTGAGTGCACCAGTTCAGGAAAACTGGAGTACTCTGGTAAACCTTTCTGCTAGCTCTACTCTGACCTTGTGCCCCAGTTCTAGAAAGCAGGCTGTAGCCATGTTTGTATGAACAAGCCCTCAGCTGGTATGCTCAAGGCTGGTGTGCTTTTCTTGCTAGCTGTCTGAAATCCATGGAGCCTTTCTGTTGAATCCTAGCCCTATGGCAGGGATACCGGTCGCTGGATTTTTCTCCGTGTCTGTGACCCTGGGGTAAATTGTCTTCGTTATGATCACCATTACAGGGCTCTATTAAGGTGTTTGCTTGCCAGCCCCCACTGTCCATCCTCCCAAACCCTCTTTCCCTGCACCTGAACCTCTTTGAACGTTTCTGATGCTGCTCCACTCAATCTCCAGCCTCAGTTTCTTTCCCTCGAGCCCTCTGCCTGTGCTTCCATGTCATATCAGTTGCAGTGCCTGGGTCCCAGGACTCCTGTGTCTGTTCAACTGCAGAGGGCACGTATCTTGTTTCCTGAGCCAGGACCCTTTTCATCTCATCTTTTTAATTGTGTCAATCTCCTCTTTTCTTTGGGCAGAGTGGGGTGGGGCATAGGCTGGTGGGACTGTTGGGGGCGACAGGGAAGAGGGGTGGAGTTGCATAGGCCAAGTGCTAAGGCGGAGCTTCTGGAGGACTGTCAAGTGAAAGGCGGCCAGAGGCAAATGTCAGAGCCTATATAGAGGCAGGAATCTGGGACCAGAGAGACAGAGCAAGCAGTAGCAAGTCAGGAGCAGTGGGGCGGGTGGGCGGGCAGGCTGGCTGGCGGGCAGGGGGGCGTGGCAGGGGATAGCAAAGGGAGATTGCAGAGAACAGCTGTTGGTACTGGGTCTTACTTTAATGAACTGGCTGGGCACGAGGTATAAGTTAATTGGCCAGAGTGAAAGAGCTAGGGGCGCAAAGGATACTCTCTCCCTCTTCTCCGTCACTGGCAAGGTAAGATCTTTCTGGGTTTTGCCTGGTGGGAAACTGTGGCATGTTCAGATATTTTTCTGAAGATGGGAGGTGGAGGTCTATGGCTGCTTTTTTGACTCATCTTTCCCATTGCACCAATTATTACAATTATTACAATAACCAGGGTGTCAGCAGGAGGCCAGCATTTCTTTTATGACAACCCATCTTGGGGTTGTCCAGGCTGGAGACAGAGGCAGGGGTCTCGGTAGTGTGACTGAGTAAGGGGGAGAGGTGGATCTTTATAGCACCTTGGTGAAGAGTAGGGGGCTCTGGAACTGGATGGACCCAGGAATCTATGTGACTGCAGGCAAACTATTAAGCTTCTCTGGGTCTGAATTTTCTCATTTGTAAGATAAAGGAAGAGTACAACCGAAATCTCTTAGTGTTGCTATGGGAACCACATGAGATGATACATGTAAAGTGCCTAGCAGAGTGTTTGCCAGTCAGTGCATGCTAAAGAAATGTTCACTGTTAGCGTTTCTGTTGCAGGTTTTCTCATTATTATGGAATCACAATTCCATGAGGTTGATGACTTTTGTGACATTGTCCCAAAGTAGCAAGTTTTCTGCTTTTGGCATGGGCAGGCTGTGGGGACATGTCAACATTGTGTAATATTTGCATTGGCTTCCAAGCCGTGTGTCCAAAAGCCCCTTCTGGGCTGCTTATTGGAGCAGGCTGGAGGGGTGAGGCTCTGGATTGCCCACCCCCATGGCATCAGAGAAACTTGAAACTTGGACATGCCAGACACTGGGCTTTAAGTGACCCATGATCTGGGATGTCAGAGAAATAATTGAATGCAAGCTCAGGGATGCCAAACACTAGGCAACCCCCAGGAGGGGGTCAGAGTCAATGCTATACAGTTTGTTACTGTTGCAGTGACCCTATTTTAGCCTTGACCCTGGCTAATCTGAGAAAGCTTGTAAAATGGGGATAATAATATCTATTGCCCAGGAGATTGTAAGACCCAAATGGGATAATGCTTACAAAGGCCCTCACGTTATAGGAAGTTGTGACAGTTGTCTAAAGTACAGTGCCTGGCACATACTACGTGAAGCAATAAATAAATAGTAGTAATGGGGTGGTGGTTGCTGTTATTAATAAGAATAATGAAAATAATAAGCAGAATTTTCAGTTCATGGAATGTTGCTCTCAGTCATTGATTAGATAAATGTCTCCCTTTTCCTGAGAACATTCAGGGCCATCAGAGTAGTAAAATGAGGATTAAACCACTGGCAGAATTCAATGAGCCCCAGGAACTAATAATTATCCTGGGGCAAAGGACTTTCCCATTCAGGCTTGCCAGTACCTTGGCTGGCTTGTGAGTACTGCCGTGGGATAGAATACAGGCCAGGAATCCGCATTTCTCACATTTGGCCAGAAGGTGGTGCTGCTGCTTTATTTGAGTCAGGACTGCCCAGGCTCCTGGCTGCGGAGGCTGCTGGCGTTTATAGCATTTACAAACTGAGAGGCTGGGTTGGTTTGAAAAGGATAGAGGCAGAAGGGACATTTGCTCCAGCTCCAAAGTTGTTCATTGCTTCACAGCTTCTTTAATCTGATAGCCTCACCTTCAATGCCATATACCTGACAACGCATAAAAACAGGTCTCCACCATGAACAATTTGTCTGTTTCCAAATCTTCTTGATACTGGCTTTTGACCTCTAAACTTGTTTCTTGTTTACAGATTTTCTTGCCTCCTGGGCTCCCTCCACACTATCCTGTGGCTGTGGCAGATATGTCAATACCCTTACATTCACTGCGATTCAACAATACAATGAGGGAGGAAAATGTTGAGCCCCAAAACAAGCAGATGGCCTTCTGTAGACCAATGACAGAGACCAGAGCAGACGTACAGATTCTGCATTCTCATGTACAGTTGCCTATAGTCTCAACTTCAGCCTCAGACCCTGGAGGGACATCCACACAGTTGATGACATCTCCAGTCTTTGACACCATGTCTGCACCTCTAATGGGAGTACCAAACTCTGGAGCATTGTCCCCACCCCTAATGCCAGCCTCAGACTCTGGGGCACTTTCCCCATTGCTAATGCCAGCCTCAGACTCTGGGGCACTGTCCCCATTGCTAATGCCAGCCTTAGATTCTGGAACATTGTCCCCATTGCTGTCCACTTCAGAGTATGGGGTAATGTCCCCAGGGATGATGACAATTCCTGATTTTGGAACGATGTCCGCAACGCTAATGGTAGCACCAGATTCTGCAGAGATATCACCATTGGCAATGCCAGCTCCATCCTCTGGAGTGGTGTGTACACCTATAATGAGCACTTCATCCTCTGAGGCAATGTCCACACCATTAATGCTAGCCCCAGATTCTGGAGAGTTATCCCCAATTCTAATGCAAGATATGAATCCTGGAGTGATGTCTACACAGCCAGTGCCAGCTCCCAGCTCTGAGGCAATGTCCCCATTGCAAATTACAGATGAAGACACCGAAGCAATGTCCAAAGTGCTAATGACTGCTCTAGCCTCTGGAGAGATATCTTCGCTGCTAATGTCAGGCACGGACTCTGAAGCAATATCCTCACTGATAATGTCAGCTGTAGCTTCTGGAGGTACATCACCCCAGCCAACAAGCACCCAAAACTCTGGGGGAATACCTACCCCGCTCATGTCAGATCTAGACTCTGGAATAATGTCATCGCTTTTAATGTCATCTCCAGGCTCTGAAGTAATGTCCACACCGCTACTGTCAGTCCCAGATGCTGGAGAAATGTCCACATTACCAAAGCCAGCTCCAGATGCTGAAGCAATGTCCCCAGCACTAATGACGGCCCTACCCTCTGGAGTGATGCCCACCCAAACGATGCCAGCCCCAGGCTCTGGGGCGATGTCCCCATGGTCAACACAAAATGTAGACTCTGAAATGATGTCTAATCCGCCAGTGAGAGCAACAGCCTCTGGGGTGATGTCTGCACCACCAGTAAGAGCTTTAGATTCTGGAGCAATGTCCACACCGCTAATGGGAGCCCCAGCCTCTGGAAATATGTCTACATTGCAAAAGACAGTTCCAGCCTCTGGAGCCATGACCACCTCACTGATGACAGTCCCAAGCTCTGGAGTGATGTCCACAGAGCAAATGTCAGCCACAGCCTCTAGAGTAATGTCCGCACAGTTAACAATGGCCAAAACTTCTGGAGCAATGCCCACAGGCTCTATGAAAGCCGTGGCAAAACAATACAAGAGAGCCACAGCCTCTGGAAAGATGTCCACGCCACTGAGGAGAGCTCCAACTTCTGGAGCAATGTCCACCCAACCAGTTACGGCAACAGCCTCTGAAACAATGTCCATGCCACAATTGACAGTCCCAGCCTCTGGATCAATGTCCATGCTGCAAATGAGAGCCCCTGTCTCTGAAGCAATGTCCATGCCACAAATGAGAACCATGGCCTCAGGATTGACATCTGCAGCACAGATGAAAGCCATGACTTCTGGAGCAATGTCCACCCCACTAATGACAGCCCAAACCTCTGGATCAACATCCACGCTGTTAATGAGAGACACAGCCTCAGGAGTGATGTCCTGTCCACAAATGAGATCTCTGGCCTCTGGAGCATTGTCCAAGCCACTAATGACACCCAAAGCCTCAGGAACGATGTTCACGGAGAAAATGACAACCACAGCTTCTGAAGCAATGCCCACACTGCTAATGAGAGACACAGTTTCTGGAGCTCTGTCCATGCCGCAAATGACAGACACAGCCTCTGGAGGGTTGTCTGCATCGCTAATGAGAGACACAGCTTCTGGAGCAATGTCCACATCACAAATGACAGCCACAGTCTCTGGAGGGATGTCCATGCCACTAATGAGAGCTCAAGACCCAGGAGTAATGCCTGCCTCACTAATGAGAGCCAAAGTGTCTGGAAAGATGCTCAGTCAGCCAATGAGCACCCAAGATCCTGGAGGGATGTCCATGTCGCCCATGAAGTCCATGACCGCTGGAGGGATGCAGATGAATTCCCCAACCTCTGATGTGATGTCCACACCAACAGTGAGAGCCTGGACCTCTGAAACAATGTCCACACCACTAATGAGAACCTCAGACCCTGGAGAGAGGCCCTCACTGCTCACAAGAGCTTCATCCTCTGGAGAGATGTCCCTACCACTAATGAGAGCTCCAGCTTCTGGAGAGATAGCCACGCCTCTGAGATCCCCAGCTTATGGAGCCATGTCTGCTCCACAAATGACAGCCACAGCCTCTGGAATGATGTCATCCATGCCACAAGTGAAGGCTCCCATCTCTGGAGCAATGTCCATGCCACTAACAAGATCCACAGCCTCTGGAGGGATGTCCATGCCACTGATGAGAGCCCCAGACTCTAGAGTGACATCCACATCACAAATGATGCCCACAGCTTCTGGAGACATGTGCACACTACCAGTGCGAGCCCCAGCCTCTGGAGGGGTGTCCTCACCACTAGTAAGAGCTCCAGCCTCTGGAACTATGTCCACACCACTAAGGAGACCCTCAGCCTGTGAGACTGTGTCCACAGAGTTAATGAGAGCTTCAGCCTCTGGACATATGTCCACTGCACAAACAACAGCCATGGTCTCTGGAGGGATGTCCAAGCCATTAATGAGAGCCCCGGCCTCTGGAACAATGCCCATGCCTTTAATGTCAGCCATGGCTTCTGGAGAGATGTCTATGCCGCTAATGGAAACCATGGCCTCTGGAGCAACGTCCACATTGCAAACCAGTGTTGCGAACTCTAGATCTATGTCCTTGTCACAAACAACATATACCGTGTCTGGAAGGATGGCCACAGCGCCAATTAGAGCCTCTGCTTCTGGAGCAAGGTCCACATCATTTATGAGAGCCTCAGTTTCTGGATCGATGCCCATGCCACTACCAAGAGCCACAGCCTCTGGATGTGGCATGGGTATGTCCATGCCACAAATGACAGCCACAGACTCTAGAGGGATGTCCACACCACTAATGAGGGCCTCAGGCCCTGGAACAATGTCCACACCACAGACAGCCTTTGGAGTGATGTCCACTCCGGAAATCAAAGCCACAGACTCTGGAGAGGCATCCACCTCTCACATTAACATCACAGCCTCTGGATCAAAGCCCACATCGCACATGACTGCCACAACTCCTGAAACTGCGAAACCACCACCAAAGGAAGTGCCATCCTTCGGAATGTTGACCCCAGCACTCTGCTACCTCTTAGAAGAGCAGGAAGCAGCCCGGGGCTCATGCTCTGTGGAGGAAGAGATGGAGATTGATGAGGAGAAGCAAATGAAGGGGTTTTTGGACGATTCAGAGAGAATGGCATTTCTGGTATCTCTTCATCTGGGAGCAGCAGAGAGGTGGTTCATCTTGCAAATGGAGGTAGGAGAACCTCTCTCACATGAAAATAAATCTTTCCTGAGAAGATCCCAGGGCATATATGACTCCCTATCTGAGATAGACATCCTCAGTGCTGTTCTTTGCCATCCCAAACAGGGCCAAAAGTCAGTCAGGCAGTATGCCACTGACTTCCTGCTGCTGGCCCGACATTTGTCTTGGTCTGATGCCATTCTACGGACCAGGTTTCTGGAAGGACTCTCAGAAGCTGTTACCACCAAAATGGGTCGGATCTTCCTGAAGGTGGCTGGCAGCCTAAAGGAGCTGATAGACAGGTCTCTGTACACCGAGTGCCAGCTGGCTGAAGAGAAGGATTCCCCAGGCAACTCAAGCCAGGTTCTGCCAACAGCCTGTAAGCGGAATAATGAGGAGGCCATGGGGAATGAACTGAGCTCTCAGCAGCAGACTGAGGAGGTAATGAGGGGGAAATCCGCTGAAGGTTTTTGAGCAGAGAAATGAGGAGGTCACGACAGGGAATACATCCTGCTTCCTTGAGTAGAATTGGGAAGAGGCAAGGGGGAGGCATGGAGCTCCTAGACCATTAAACCCCAGCAGTTTCATCAAGTGAGCATGGCTCTGCAGTTATTTTGGGTATATTAACTACTTTGAGGAGCAATGTCCTGCCCAAGTTACTGAGAACGTGGGATAGTTGAAGTACTAATTCTTCTCATTATGAGGGAACTGGATGGGCTCAGTTCCAATTCTCCCCTTGTTCCAAGTCCAATTCTAATAAATGGGTCTTTTGGGAGCTGGGGCCCATCTACAGCAACATGTGTTGTGGAGTCAGGTCACTAGGGAATTAGAATAGCCTACTCCTTGGTCACACTGTATGCAAGTGAGATAAATTAGCAAAGTGTCTTGATCTGCTAAGTCACAGAACTTATCCAGGCAGAACACCCGTTGCCATAGTAAGTGTGGCTCTTACCTCTGTTGTCTTTTTCTCACTCCCAGCACCAGCATGTTTCCAAACGCTGTTACTACCTGAAAGAGCATGGAGACCCCCAAGAAGGTCTTCATGATCACCTTGGACAGAGCACAGGCCATCATCAGAAGGCCCATACCAACAAGTAAAACTCCATGGAATCTTCTCCTGTGATATCTGACTCGACCGCTAACTGGAGGACTGGTTCCTGGACCCATTCCATTAAACTACATTATAAACCTTGTTGCCTTCACCCTTCAGCCTCCCGCTCCAGGCACATCCCACCTTACCTCTCACTTGGCTGATTTGACCTTCTCTTTCACCCACATGCCTAAGACCTGCCCTGACAATCAGAGTAGGGACTACAAGAGTGTATGGTGTATGAGGTTCTGAACTCCCATCACCACCGAGGCCAGTCCTAGTTCTTGGTCCAGGGAGAAGTCTAGGCAGGATAAATCATATCTTACCTCAAAAAACCCTTAGCGTATCTTGCCATGTGTCAGCAGGCAAACTTGAGGAAGCCCTGGTTCTATTTCACCTGGCAGGGGAGCCTATAAGGAGAGCGATGCCCACTCCTATACCACCCTTGTAACCCAGTAGACTTGCCCCATATGCCCCAACTCATAGCACCTAAAATGGGTCTCCAGGGTCCTTGCCCTGTTTATAGTATCCATCCTGAACCATTCGTTTTGACCCATAATAATAGTGATAGTATAATGGCTACCAGTTATTGATAATGTATCATGTGACAGGCATTGGGCTAAACTCTTGACAAGCACCATCTCACTACATTCTTACAGTAACACAACTTGTTCTTGTGTTGTCAGCTTCTGACCTCTTGATCTGTTGTTTATGGCCTTTGTCTTGTCCCTCAGTGGGGGTTCTCTAGCTCTGACCTCTGGGTGACCCCCTCAGTTGTTGATTGCTCTCACTCCCCTTGGCTGTTGTGCTTCATGGCCAGCACTCTTGATGAGGGTCTTGGTCTATAAACAGGCATAGATAGCTAGAACATAATGTGAGCAGTGTTTGCCTTCAGGTGGTGGGGTTATGGGTAGTTTTTATTTTCTTCCTTCTACTTCTCTATACATTTCAGATTCTCTACAGTAAGCATGTGTTACATTTGTAATTATAAAAGTAAGTAAACTTCATTTATGAAAAAAGAGTTCATTGTGGCTCCTAGAATTTGATTTACTGAGTCCTTTATTCAACCAATATTAGTTATGTAACTTATGTCAGCTACTCTTTGGGGGACAGACGGATAAGAATCCTGCTGATATGAACATTCCATTCCAATGGAGTGGGGAGAACAAGAACACACTGAACTTAGATTGGAATTGTGAAGGCTGTGAAGAGAAGAAATCAGGACAATGGGGAATTTGATGCAAATAAGACCAATTTATGTATTCAATAGTAGTCCATATAATTGAGTTACTCAAAGATCTTTCAACAATAGTAGGAGAGACATGATTAGAAACTTATTTTATATAGTTAAATTGGCAACAGTTTGGAGACAGGATGGAGGAAGGGATCAGAGAGCAGCTGAGCCCTCTACTGCAATAGTCCAGGTAACTGACTGGCTAGGTGACTCAATCTAGGGTGGTGGCAGCAGAGATGATAATTCAGGAACAGAGACCTAACCTTCTCTGAGGACTCAAGTCCACTGCTCCAGGACTCAAGTCCACTGCTCCATTACCCTAAACTTTGTGTCTGATTTCAGGAAGAGGAAAATGATACTCAGGAAAGACAGATTGGCAGATAAATCGCCAGCCCCATGATACTGTACATAAGAATCTGGCTGTGTGGGTTGCCTGCAGCTGCCTCAATCACCAGTGCTTTTACCTCAGGAAAAAGAAGGTGCAATAAGTCAGGAAATATGAATTCCAGAAAGAGAGATGGCCAGCCCCTAGGGACCCAGCTTTCCCCTTCTTCTCTGGGTCTGTTGGCTTACACCTAGCCCAGTCCAAGACTGAGTGGAGTTTGGACGTCCTTTTTCAGCCAGGCTTGCTTTTAGCTAGGAAAAGCACTGTCGAGTTTTCTCTCTGCTGAAAAAGAAATGGAAAACATAGAATTCACAACCTATGCCTGGAAAATGTATACAGAAAGGACAGTGTCTTAAAAATGAACCTGATTTTCTTATAGCCATGATAATGGAGAAGGATGGCAATTCTTTATTTTTCTCCCTAGCCATTCTTCTTCTTTTTGTTTTTGCTGTCCTCTCCTTCAAGCTAGCATCACTAGAGATAAATGGAACAAATGAAGCCCAATCATACCCTGCCAGAGCTCAGTCCCTGTTCTTCTACCCATCCTAAAGGTTTTATTTAGAAATGTTTCAAGAGCCCCTCAGCATCTACGTGGAGCTGGGCTATCATATGCCCAAGTACTTGACACCATTTCATCTGCTATAAAATGGGGTTTCAAGTTTCTCCAGGCCTCACTGGTCCGTGGGTAAAAATAAAGTCCCATAAGTAGGAAAATCTTGGATGTCATGGACCCCTGTCCCCACCTGTGTTACAGAATCTCAATCCCTTGAAGGTTTCCCCCAATGATTTGTGGCAGATTTCAGAAGTTTCACATGCTCTGAGATAGTCCTCTCCTGTTGTTCTTTGACTCCTACCTTGCCCCATGGGGGTCAGCTGCCCACATTGCCACCTGAGGGGAGCCACTACACCCCACCTAGATACTGGCGGGTGCTTCTGGCTGTGAGAACACAGAAATCCCTCCTCAGAGGAGGCGTGGATTCTGGAGTGCTCACAGCTGCACACCTGAGTGGAGCCTTAGTGGTGCTGCCTTCTCTTTGGTAGCCTTGGCTGATGGAACTGATGGCTCCCCCAGAAGGGTGGAAATGCCTCTTTGAATTCCGTGCCACACATTATTACCTGGACACCAAAAAAACATTGCTTCTACCACGCGTCTCAGTGAGGCCCCCGTGAGAAAAACAGCTTCAGCTTCTACCTGCAACAACATCTCCCTGCCCTTGCTCAAACGTTCAGACTTGGTTCCTGTGTCAAGAACAAAGGCCCTCAGGTCCTCTATCCAGACCCACACTTCAGCCCCCATTTCTGTGTTTTTCTACCCGGTCTCTACTCCCGCTGAGTAGAGACTCACCCAAGGTGCTGTAAGTCCAGATCTCTTCCAAATCACTTTGTTCCAGGTGATGAAATGCCAGGAACACTCTCCACACAACCAATCTTTGGGGCACAGCTGGAGAGCAAATGTCAACCTTTCCTCTTCCTTCATCCTTCTACCATCCTCTCACCCACCAACCTCATCTCTGTTTCTGCTCCTCAGGGAACAGTATAGAGAACTTTCTCTTAAAGACCACTATTCCCATACAAGTACAGGCTCAGGTTGCTGCTGAATGATGAATTCCTCAGACAGTTTCAGGTCATTTCTGAGTTTCACTTTGGGCTCAGCCAGGCTCAGTCCACTGGACTACTGGACTACACTGGACTACTTTGATCAGCTCAAATGAGGGACCCTTCCCCTCCATTTCTTCCAATACGCCATTGCTTCAGACATTGAGGCACTCTCAACCTCATTCTCCAATCAGAATATTACAGATAAAATAACTCATGCTATAGAGAGACTGGCCCCCTATGGATTGTGTGTTTTCTTCCTCCTCACATGGTCTGAAAGCAACTTGAACAACTGTGGGACAGGGGAAGCAAGCTGCTAGATCTCTTATGACCAAAGGGAAGATTTGTAGGAGAATAGACATTATAGTAGTTTGAAATGACACTGGATGGAGAGACTTTTCTTTTTCTTTCCTTTTCTTTTTCTTTTTCTTTTCTTTTTTCGTATTTTTTTTTTTTTTTTAGACAAAGTCTTGCTCTGCTGCCCAGGCTGGAGTACAGTGGTGCAATGTCAGGTCATTGCAACCTCTGCCTTGTGGGTTCAAGTGATTCTGGTGCCTCAGCTTCCCGAGTAGCTGGGATTACAGGTGCCTGCCACCTTGCCTGGCTAATTTTTGTTATTTTTAGTAGATATAGGGTTTTGCCATGTTGACCAGGCTGGTCTCGAACTCCTGACCTCCAGTGATGTTCCCGCCTTGGTCTCCCAAAGTGCTGGGATTACAGATGTGAGCTACCACGCCCAGCCAAGACTTGACTTTGAGTACTTCTGTCTCTCCCTCTAACAAGCTGGATAGTTTTAAACACGTAGGACACTGTATCTCTTGAGACTTCAGTTTCCTCTTCTCTAAAATAGGAGTAATTATCATTGTTCTGCAAACCTCACAGCATTGTGGGGTAAAGATTTGTGATAGTGCTTGGAAAAATCAAATGCAAGACATACAAATGTAAGATCTTGTTATTGTCTGTTGAGGGGGATCAGAATATGCCACCGCCAAATATGTCACTTTAGCATTGTGATTATTTTGAACTGAGGGCAATTAAGAGGTGCAATTAAGGAGTAGCAAATGCAGAAAGAGTTCTTTGCACCCCCATATGCGTTAAAGTAGGACATAAATTTCCCTTTGTGAAGATGTTTTTCCTTTCCTCTCCTGTACCATGAAAAAACAATCATCATCACTAGAGACAGAAAGTCAGCATGAACATAGGTCTGCATAAACAAACTTTTCTAAAATAACCTGTATCTTCTATTAGTTTCATATATATTATATATAGTACATATATTATATATTATATATATATATTTTATATATATATAGTTTTTGAGGGTACAAGTGGTTTTTGGTTACATAGATGAATTGTATAGTGATGAAGACTGAGATTTTAGTGCACCTGTCACCCAAGACACTCATATATTTACCTTCCCACAATTTACTTCCCCTAGAAGCCCAAGCCTCTTTTCCTTTGTCTTGTCACTTCTCCATAAATTGTCACCCTTTGTTAAAATGGCATATAAGCCTCTGGATCTTACCACTTCTTTGTGTCTTCAGTTATTTTCTCTGAAAGCCCCTGTGCATGTAACAATTGAAATATTAATATCAAACAAAATTTGTATTTCTTTCCTCCTGTTTAAATCTGTCTTTTATTAGTGTAATTTTCAGGTCCCAATTACAGAACTAAGAAGGTAGAGGAAAAGAATGTTTCCTCTCTTACACTTGCTTGGCCATGAGGGTGTTGGGAAGTGGATGGGTTAGGATAGGACTAGTTGGGACATCTTCAGAATCCAATCTCTTTAGGGGTTCTATTTAAACTGTGAAGGCAGGTTTAAAAGTAAATCCAACACAGAAAACTGGCAAAAGCCATAGTTTAATATTAGCACCTATGGAGCACTTAACTACTGAGCACTTAACACAGGCTCAAGCTCTGGACTAATTACATTATCTAGATTATCTCATGTAATCTTTACAACAACCCTGAGAAGTGGATGGTCTCATTAATCCTATTTTACAGACCAGGAATCTGAGTCACAGAAAGGCTAAGTAACTGGCCCAAGGCTGCAGAGCTAAGAGGCAGCAGAGCTGGGATTTGAGCACGTGCAGTCTGACCCTAGAGCCTATACATGCAATGCTCCACTGTATGCACAGCTTTGTTATTCAGAACCAGATGGCTCTTGTAAGCATTCACCCTCTTCTCCCGAACAAATTTGCCACCGAACAGCGACCGATATTTGAAGTTCATAAAGTTGGAGGCCTGAGCAAAAATGGCCCTGCTTTTCTCTTTCCCTGTCTTAGATCCAGATGTGAATCTTCCTGGAGGTATTTGGGGAATGTCTTCAATATTCAAGGAAAAGTATCAAAAATTGTGGAATTTTATTGAGCTCAAGAGATTCTGCCAAGGGTCTCACTGTAGCCTCAGAGTGCAGTAGTCTCTGTTCTGAGCTCTGGCCTAAGAAGGAGGATAAGATTCTCTCCTAAACATCTTCCCTTTGAGCAGATATACGTCTTGGACCCAGATTGTGTGTGGAAGGGTATAGGATTCTGAAAGTGGAAGGCATTTTTATGGTTACACCAATAGCTGACACTTCTTTCTCATCACTTATTTCTCCCTCCTTTTCACTTCTCCCTCAGGAAAGGGGAAATGTGGGTAAGGAAGAAAAATGATTAGTCCTTTAGATACTCCATATTGCTGCCTTCCAACAGCACCCCTCTCCCACGGATGGTTAACCTAGTTTTAACGTCGAGGGGGAATACACACACTAAAAAGGCACCAGACACTTCTGGTTTTAGCAACTTGGTAGATAACCTAAAGTGGTTTTTCCCATTGGAGACTCAGAGAAATGTTGGGTAAAGTGTGAGAAAAAACTCACAACTGAGCCTGACATAAAGAAGGAACATCCCCAGGGACAAAAAACAAAGAGGTATCTTAACAGCAGACCAATAAGTTGTTGAGCTCTCTAAGGCTTGTGTAGTGGAGTGAGAAGAGATCTAGGCTAACTACATACAGTGTTAGAGGAGCCAAACTCTGGACCTCTATATTCCATATACTCTGCTCTGCTCAACTATCATGCAAGAATACGAATGAAACAACAACATTTTCTGACAAAACTGAGACAATTCACCATTCTTAAAAAACGTGCTGTACTTTGAACTAGGCTGGGCCTGGGACAACAGACAAAATTTTTAAAAAAGAAGCCCCTGCCCTTTGACAAACTTTGCTGAAAATTTCACTGGTTTAAGCACTGATGTGTAAGTGGATATTAAACAGAGTGACCCTTGCTTTCCCACAATTTCCTCTAATAGCTTTTTAAAAATTTATTATATTTTGGTAACAGCTTTATTAAGACATAATTCACATTCCATATATGTCACCCATTTGAAATGTGTAGTTCTGGCTGGGTGGAGTTGTTCACACCTGTAATCTCAGCACTTTGGGAGGCCTAGTAGGGAGGATCACTTGAGGTGAGAAGTTTGAGACGAGCCTGGGCAACATAGTGAGATCCTGTCTCTAGAAAACAAAATTTAAATTAGCCAAGTGTGGTGGCACATGCCTGTAGTCCTAGCTACTTTGGAGGCTGAGGCAGGAGGATTGCTTGAGCCCAGGAGTTTGAGGCTGCAGTGAGCTATCATTGCACCACTGTACTCCAGCCTGGGTAACAGAGTGAGACCCTGTCTCTAAGAAAATAAATAAATAAAAAGTAAAGTGTATAGTTCAGTGTTTTTTAGTGTATGCACATAGTTGCAGACCATCAACATAATCTAATTTCAGAACATTTTCATCACCCCAAAAAGCAATCCCATACAATTGCATTTCTGTGATGGATAATGATGTTGAGCTTCCCTCTGATATGTTTTTATTACAAAGATAACCATCCTGCAACATATTGACATGAATATTGTTGGGAGGCTCCGCTCTGGAGAATATGCTGGGAGAAGCCGTGGTACTCTTTGCTCTCTAGCCCACCCCTAAATGTGCTATTGCCTCAAACCACTTTAGGATATTGGTGAGTTTAGAGAGGCAGATACTCCTGGCCCTGCTTAGACCCATAACAACTTTCAGCTGCTGCCTTGTGCAACAGAGATTACCTAAGAGCAAAGGTGAGTGTGGGCTTATATTAATATTTTAAGGTTTGCTGGAGGCCCAGGAACTTGAACTGAAAAGAGAATTCCCAGGGAAATGTGGCCTCTGTCTTGCGGATTCTTCCTCCTTCCACCAAAACCTAAAATAACCTAAACGCAGAATTCATTACTGTGGTCATTCATTGGAATAGGACCCTTTTTTATTCTGACACCACTCAGAGTTTCTCCATAATTCAATCCCCCAAAGTTAACCACTTCCACTCTGAGAGGGAAGGGAGGAAGAGGAAGAGGGAAGAGAGGGAAAGTGGGGAGTCGGGAGAAGAATAAAATGACTTAAAAATCTGGGTTCCAAATTCCAACTGTGCCAGTGACAACCTGTGTGACTTTGGGGGGAAGTTACTTGACCATTCTGGGCCTCAGTTATCTCATCTTTACCATTGTTTGACTCTCATTTGGGAGCCAGACCAGGTGATAATTCCCTTCACCTTTGGACATGCACCAGGTGTAGGTAGGAAGGTGTCTAAGTGGCCTGGGGAGAGGATTGCTGGGGGAAGCCCACTCTGAGCCATTGCTAGAGGGCAGCATTGTTTCAGTAATTATTCTAATAATGCTGTCTGGGGTGTGACTGGCTCAGAATTCTTTAATTTAAAAATATAATTTCTTCCTCTTCCATAAGTGGCTTTCTTACAAAGGGCAGGTAATTTCTGAAAAATTGTAGAGAAACCAGAAGAAGAGTGCTTCTAGCCCCCTGCAAATTTCATTTTCCGTTAACAAATTTAAGGCAGAAAAATGAAGATTTTATACTTTTATTTCTAATCAAACCTATTTGATTTTGGTCTCCTTTGGATACAATTGCACAAATATATTTTCCTCTTGGAAATTTCCACTAGCATCACCAGAGAAATGCTTAGGTTCACTGGAAATCTCTTCCAGAGGTTTGCTTCACAGGTTCAGTGACAAAATTTCTTATCAGGGCATTTATTATTTTCAGACTCTTCCTTCTTTGGTTTATATTTATTACAATTCAATAATGGAATACTTAGGAAATTGATTTGTTATAAATAATTATCCAGGCCAGGTGTGGTGGCTCACGCCTGTAATTCTAGAATTTTGGGAGGCCGAGGCGGGTTGACCACTTGAGGTCAGGATTTCGAGACCAGTCTGGCCAATATGGTGAAACCCTGTCTGTACGAAACATACAAAAATTAGATGGGTGTGGCAGCGCATGCTTGTAATTCCAGCTACTTGGGAGACTGAGGCAGGAGAATGGCTTGAACCTGGGAGGCTGAGGTTGCAGTGAGCTGAGATCACACCACTGCACTCCAGCCTGGACGACAGAGCGAGACTCTGTCTCAAAAAAAAAAAAAAAAAAAATTTGGAAGTTCCCAATTAAATCTTTTGATTACTTGCCACATTTTACAGTCCGTAAGTTTCTTTATGTCAAGGTGGCATCCCAAGCCACTCAAACCTGGGGAAAACAATATACTGTGTATGGCCACAATAACTGTTCAAACCATGTATTTCTAGCTCTGTCTCCTTTGGCATTGCAGATTCTTCAGTCACCCTCTGAAGTCATGCTCTTCCCTCAACCTCAGTATGCACACATACTATTTCTAGGAGAGGTAGGGGTTGCCTCACATGTGATGTGCTCCGAAAGACAGGTCTATCACCATTCATCAAGGGAAAGAAGAAAATATACACATTGCAACTATAAGCAGGGGGGCAGATATATTTTCACTTACACATGTATTCCAATTATTTGGTAGTGGTAGAGCATTTTTCAGAAGGATCCTCAGGTCACATTTACTATCCATAAGAAAGTGCAAGCAAGCAATTAATTACTAATGTCTGCTAAGAACAAGGGTGTGGGTGTATAAATTTAAAAAATTGCCATCCTTAAGGTAAAGTCATGCAAGTAGTTTTAATTTATTATTAATAATGATAATAATAAATAATATATATTGAAAATAGCAACATAGGATATTATTTTTGAAAACCTGGGATGCCTCATAGACTATCCAGGCAATGGCTGGTCCTGGGGGTGCGGAATGTACAGCTGATCCTCAAGAACTCCTAGAATCAGGCACTTGAATGCCACCAGTATTCTTGTTTTTTCTTCCTGCTTCGCATCTCTGCATCTCTCTGAACATCGACATCTTTTCATTCTGCAGGCTGACTTTCTCCACGTGGTGGACAATCTAGGCCCCTAGTCCTACACCAATATGGCAGCCACCAGTCACATGTGTATATTGAGCACTTGAAATGTGACTAGTTCAAATTGAGATACACTGACTGTAAGTGGAAAGCATTTGCTGGATTTTGAAGGTAGGAAAAAAAAAGAATGCAAAAACATCTCATTAATTAAGAAAACATTGATTGCATGTTAAGGTGATAACATATTGGATGTATTGTGCTAAGTAAAATACATTATTAAAATTAACTTCACATGTTTCTTTTTGAATGTGGCAATTAGAAAATTTAAAATTACATACTTGGCTCACATTATGTTTCTATTGGACAGCGTAGCTCTACAATGTTACAACTTATAGCTACTTGGGGAGTGATTGAGTTCTCTGGGACCACAGCACAAAAAGTGAGCAAAAGGGGCCTTATTGGTGAAGTTGAGCCAAATGTTCACCCCCTAGAGCATTTCTTTATGGCCCAAGGGAGAGGGTCATGTGGAAACATCGCAGCTCCTGCTGGGACAGAAAATTGGAGTGGGCAGAGAGACAATTCCCAGAAGAATAGAGGAGGCTGCTGGGTGGATAAAGCAAGACGTATCCTCTAATTCAGAATCATTCTAAATGCCTTTTGTAAAACCATCAAGCTCCCTCAGCCAATGATAAAGCAAGTTCCATTGATTTTACCTCCACCCACTTTTCTCTGTCCTTAATGTATCCACTACTCTGTTAGTTCAGTCACTGTCATCTCAGTCATTTGCAATCACTGGCAAGTGACATTAAAATAAGCATATGACAACCAAATGACTGTTTCTTCCTTCAAGATAGGCATTTGGGAAGGCATATACCCATTTGCAAGCAAAAGAGTTTGAATTATGTCCAGGTTCTGCCACTCATAATGCATATGACCAGAGCTAAGTCATGTAGTTTTTCTGGTACTCAGTGTGCACATCTCTAAATTGAGAACAGTATGAACCCTACTTACCAGGGTCATTGGTGATACCTATGGAAAAACTATTGTGAGAATCCTTTACATGAAAAGGATGTAACATGAAAAGTACTATTTTACAGATTGGATTAAAATGCAAAAAACAGCTGTGCAATGCCTCCTTTAGAACCGTCTTTGTTGCCGAGACACATTCATCCAATACCCTCAGCAGATCTTCTTGCTTTGAAGGTAGATTTGATTTTGGAAGTGTTCAGAAATCTTTAAGAATCAAGTCTAGTGAATGATGTATGCTCAAGCTGAGTAATACTAAGTGTGGTTAAAAACAAGAGGTATGAATGTAAAGCAATGGTGCTGGTTTTATTCTCTCCCCAAGAGAGGTTCCAGAATTTTTTATTACAGTGGCATTCATTGGTAGACTAAGTGGATAATCGCTACTATTGGCTCATCTGATGTACCAGGCTCCTTGCTCATTTGCATGTGAAGGCACTGAAGTGTTGTTTTTTTTTTTTTTTATGTACACTAAAAGCAGTTTGATTACTGGGGAATCCAACCTCTATGATATCATTTTAGGCTTTAAAAACTCTTTCAAAAATTATTTCTCTTGAATATCACCAATAACCCCATAGATAGAGTATGTCCTATGCCCAATTTAGAGATGTGAAAACAGAACCAGAGATAACAAATAGTTCTGATGACAAAGCTGACAGAGGTGAAGCCTGGATGTGCTTAGACTATTTGGCTCTGAGCCTGATTTTCCTGTTGGACATGCTGTCTTACTGGCATCTCCATTTCTACACGTGTAAATTATAACAATTATAATAATAAAGATAAGACAAAAGTACAGGGAAGTGAAGTGATTTGTCCAAGGTCACAGCTGGTAAAGTGTTAGAGCTTAGGTTTGAATGCAGAAACTACTCTCAGTCTGCCTGCTGACCTAGGCATTTCCTGAAGCATTCAATTTCTTTCACAATCAAATCTTCCTTTTTTCTTTTTATTTTTGTATAACAGTTTTATTGAGATATAATTGACATATTACATAATCCACCCATTTGCAATGAACAATTCAATGGTTTTTAGTATATTCACAGAGTTGTGCAACCATCACCACAATCAATTTTGGAATGATTTTATCACCCCCACAAAAGAAGCCCTGTGCCCATTAGCAATCACTCCCCATTCCCCACCACCTCCCCAGCCTCCTGAAACCACCAATCTACCTTCTTGTCTGTATAGATTTGCCTATTCTGGACATTACATACAAATGACATCATACCTTTAGGGCTGGCTTCTTTCACCAAGCATTTTTTTCAAGATCTGTCCATGTTGTAGCATGTATCAGGACTTCTTTTTTGTTTTGTTTTGTTTTTTTTTTTACTTTTTAGAAAAAATTTTTAAATTATACTTTAAGTCCTGAGATATATGTGCAGAACGTGCAGGTTTGTTACATAGGTATAAACGTGCCATGGTGGTTTGCTGCACTCATCAACGTGTCAACTACATTGAGTCTTTCTCCTAATGCTACCCCTTCCCTAGCCTCCCAACCCCCGACAGGCACTGCTGTGTGATGTTCCCCTCCCTGCGTCCATGTGTTCTCATTGTTCAACTCTCACTTATGAGTGAGAACATGGTGTGTTTGGTTTTCTGCTCTTGTGTTAGTTTGCTGAGAACAATGGTTTCCAGCTTCATCCGTGTCCCTGCAAAAGATATGAACTCATCCTTTTTTGTGGTTGCATAGTATTCCATGGTGTATATGTACCATATTTTCTTTATCCAGTCTATCATTGATGGGCATGTGGGTTGGTTCCAAGTTTTTGCTATTGTGAACAGTGCAGCAATAAACATAAGTGTGCATGTGTCTTTATAGTAGAATGATTTATAATCCTTTGGGTATATACCCAGTAATGGGATTGCTGGGTCAAATGGTATTTCTGGTTCTAGATCCTTGAGGCATCGCCACACTGTCTTCCACAATGGTTGAACTAATTTACACTCTCACCAACAGTGTAAAGTGTTCCTATTTCTCCACATCCTCTCCAGCATCTGTTGTTTCCTGACCTTTTAATGATCGCCATTCTAACTGGCGTGAGTTGGTATCTCATTGTGGTTTTGATTGGCATTTCTCTAATGACCAGTGATGATGAGCTTTTTTTCATATGTTTCTTGGTTGCATAAATATCTTCTTTTGAGAAATGTCTGTTCATATCCTTTGCCCACTTTTAGATGGGGTTGTTTTTTCTTGTAAATTTAAGTTCTTTGTAGATTCTGGATATTAGCCCTTTGTCAGATGGATAGATTGCAAACATTTTCTCCCATTCTGTATGTTGCCTGTTCACACTGATGATAGTTTCTTTTACTGTGCAGATGCTCTTTAGTTTAGTTAGATCCCATTTGTTGATTCTGGCTTTTGTTGCCATTGCTTTTGGTCTTTTAGTCATGAAGTCTTTGCCCATGCCTGTGTGTTGAGTGGTATTGCCTAGGTTTTCTTCTAGGGTTTTCATGGTTTTAGGTCTAACATTTAAGTCTTTAATCCGTCTTGAATTTTTGTATAAGGTGTAAGGAAGGGATCCAGTTTCAGCTTTGTACATATGGCTAGCCAGTTTTCCCAGCACCATTTGTTAAATAGGGAATCCTTTCCCCATTTCTTGTTTTTCTCAGGTTTGTCAAAGATCAGATAGTGGTAGAGATGTGGCATTATTTCTGAGGGCTCTGTTCTGTTCCATTGGTCTATATCTCTGTTTTGGTACCAGTACCATGTTGTTTTGGTTACCGTAGACTTGTAGTATAGTTTGAAGTCAGGTAGCATGATGCCTCCAGCTTTGTTCTTTTGGCTTAGGATTGACTTGGCCAAGCAGGCTCTTTTTTGGTTCCATATGAACTTTAAAGTAGTTTTTTCCAATTCTGTGAAGAAAGTCATTGGTAGCTTGATGGGGATGGCATTGAATCTGTAAATTACCTTGGGCAGTATGGCCATTTTCATGATATTGATTCTTCCTATCCATGAGCATGGAATGTTCTTCCATTTGTTTATATCCTCTTTTATTTCATTGAGCAGTGGTTTGTAGTTCTCCTTGAAGAGGTCCTTCACGTCCCTTATTAGTTGGATTCCTAGGTATTTTATTCTGTTTGAAGCAATTGTGAATGGGAGTTCACTCATGATTTGGCTCTCTGTTTGTCTGTTATTGGTGTATAAGAATGCTTGTGATTTTTGCACATTGATTTTGTATCCTGAGACATTGCTGAAGTTGCTTATCAGCTTAAGGAGATTTTGGGCTGAGATGATGGGGTTTTCTAGATATAAAATCATGTCATCTGCAAACAGGGACAATTTGACTTCCTCTTTTCCTAATTGAATACCCTTTATTTCCTTCTCCTGCCTGATTGCCCCGGCCAGAACTTCCAACACTATGTTGAATAGGAGTGGTGAGAGAGGGCATCCCTGTCTTGTGCCAGTTTTCAAAGGGAATGCTTCCAGTTTTTGCCCATTCATTATGATATTGGCTGTGGGTTTGTCATAGATAGCTCTTATTATTTTGAGATACGTCCCATTAATACCTAATTTATTGAGAGTTTTTAGCATGAAGTGTTGTTGAATTTTGTCAAAGGTCTTTTCTGCATCTATTGAGATAATCATGTGGTGTTTTTCGTTAGTTCTGTTTATATGCTGGATTACTTTTATTGATTTGCATATGTTGAACCAGACTTGCATCCCAGAGATGAAGCCCACATGATCATGGTGGATAAGCTTTTTGATGTGCTGCTGGATTTGGTTTGCCAGTATTTTATTGAGGATTTTTGCATCAATGTTCGTCAGGGATATTGGTCTAAAATTCTCTTTTTTTGTTGTGTCTCTGCCACGCTTTGGTATCAGGATGATGCTGGCCTCATAAAATGAGTTAGGGAGGATTCCCTCTTTTTCTATTGATTGGAATAGTTTCAGAAGGAATGGTACCAGTTCTTCCTTGTACCTCTGGTAGAAATCAGCTGTGAATCCATCTGGTCCTGGACTTTTTTTGGTTGGTAAGCTATTAATTACTGCCTCAATTTAGGAGCCTGTTATTGGTCTATTCAGAGATTCAACTTCTTCCTGGTTTAGTCTTGGGAGGGTGTATGTGTCAAGGAATTTATCCATTTTTTCTAGATTTTCTAGTTTATTTGGGTAGAGGTGTTTATAGTATTCTCTGATAGTAGTTTGTATTTCTGTGGGATCGGTGGTAATATCCCCTTTATCATTTTTTATTGCATCTATTTGATTCTTCTCTCTTTTCTTCTTTATTAGTCTTGCTAGCGGTCTATCAATTTTGTACCACCACCACCTTCTTTCCTCAGAAATGCTTTGGGACTGCACAACTTCAGATGTGGCCAAAAGAGGTATTTGTATTTCCATGTATCTGTGCTCTCTGACAAAATTCTCCTTCCTTTACTCACCTCAATTCAAATACTTTTTTCCCCAGAGTCTCTGATTAGAAAATTCACTGGATACCTTAAAATAATTGAGATACATGATCTTTGATAAAAACACTTGACCCTATGAGGAACCCCTGGTGATGGCTGCAGAAAAAGGTGTAGATGTTAATTAGGGAAGGAATCCAAGTATTAACAAGACCAAGATCTCAATTCTTCTCATGGCCTTGACTCAAGCTTTTAATTTCCCTCTGGAGAGAAGACCTTTCACCTCTTAGCCAATACTTGGGAAGGACAAAAAGATCAACTTTATATAGCAAGAAGTTCCATTCTGAGTTTAAATTGTGCCCATGTTTGGGACTTAGATGTATCCTTGCATGCAACTCTACTTGCATGAGGGACTGAGAAGCATCCGGGAGAGAATTTATTCTAACTGGACAGGGTACCAGGCTGGCAGGCTTCAATTACACAGCATTAGCTGGGGAGAGAAGGATAAATCTGGAGAACACTGTTTTATGTCACTTAGATGTGTTTGTAACTCATCACTCCTTTGACAGAGTGTAAATAAAATGAGAGACTCATTCCTTTCACTTCACCATAGAACTCGATGAAGCTTTGATGCCTTGAGGACCAAGTGGCAGCCCATGGAAACAGAAGCAGTGCCTAGCAGAGGTGACAGTGGCCAGCGAATACAGTGGTACCCAGCAAAACCCTGTTATGGAGGCAATGGAGTTGAATCTCAGAATGGCAAAGTGAGTTGTGAACTATGAAGAATAAACCACATTTTGCTGACTCTGGCCTCTAAGACCTTAAAAGGTTTTTCTGAGTGTTCTGGAGGATGCCTCACAGGTATACAGAAAGAATACAGTCAGGAACCATTTAGTGTCTGCCATTTTTCCCTTTAGCACTCTAGCAGACTTTTGCAGACATTACCGCAGCCCAAATTCTGAAATGAGAATACAATTAGGTTCCCGGACAGGAGCAGAGGTCATTCACTAGTCTTTGAATTAGCATCAGCGTTTCTAGACCCTAATTAAAATGGCCACATTCTCAGGATCCAAGGTGCATGAACATATGAACCATATGGAAAAGCCAAATTATTTTGAACTGGAGAGACAAATGTTGGATGAATACTGGCCCAGGCAGAAATGGGATTGCACGGATTCAGAGCTGCAGTTCTTGAGTATTATAGAGCCAAATGCTGATAGCTTAATCTACTAAAGTAACTGCTTCATGTTATTAATTTTCAGGGATTTTGTTTTCTACCGTTTGGTTTGTTGAGCTAATAAGCCTTGAAGGTGGTACAGAACATCAAATACTATCTTCATTTCTGACACCAGGAAGAGGAGGTCATGTGCCACCAAAGGCAGTGATGAGGCCCAGAAGTCATTAACCACTATTCCTGCTGCTGCTGTTGTTCTCACTTGGCCTTGCTACTGAGGATTCTATCCCTATCATGGGTACCTCAGCCTTTAATATTTCTCTTTACCCAAACTGTGTTGTAGTGAAGGTTTGACCTTGACAGGACAGTGATGCTCTTTTGTTAAAAAAAAATCTGGGGCAAAGATAATTCAAGACATAGATGTGTAGACAACTTGAGGAAATTCACATTCAGAAACATATAATCAGCCATTCATTCATTCATTCATTGGGCATTTATTGAGTGACTAGTGTATATTTACCTCAATCATAAATGTTTATTGACTACATATATTGCTAAATGAGCATGTAAACACAAATGTGTGACTGTGTCTCTCTTCAGGTGCTCTGAAGGTAAGCAAAATTGATTTAGCTATTTTCTCTTTGTTATGCATTTCTCCACGTAAACCCTTCACCTTCCTTGGAGAATTATTATGGATGATCCAGGAGAGACCCAAGTATGATGGACACGTCAATGACTCCACAAAGATATCCATATCCTATTCCTTGGAAACTATGATTATGTTATGTTAAATGTCAAATGGGAATTAAGATTGCAAATTAGCTGGCCTTGAGATTGAGCGATTACCCTGGATTATATGTGTGGGCCCATTGTAATCACAAGTGCCTTTATAAGAGGAAGGGAGAGGCAGAACAGGGAGAACCAGAATGATGTAGCATGAGAAGAACTTGGCTTGATGTTGCTGGCTTTGAAGATAGAGGAGGACCATGACACAAGGAATACAGGTGGCCTCTAGAAGCTGGAAAAGGTAAGAAAGTAGATTACCCCCTAGAACCTCCAGAAGGAATACGGTTCTGCTTACACCTTGATTTTAGCCCAGTGAGACCCATTTCAGACTTCTGACCTCCGGAACTATAAGGTAATAAATTTGTGCTGTTTTAAATCACTAAGTCAGCATTAATTGGTTACAGAAGCAGTAGCAAAACAAGTACACAAATCAGTTGTCTAAATCAATGGTTCCCAACTTTGATGGTGCAACAACCGTAGAGCTTTGAAACTCCTGATGCTCAGGTTACTTCCCAGACCAATCAGAAACTCTGGGGGTAGACTCAGGTGCATAAGGTTTTTTTTTGTTTTTTTTTAAGCTCCACAGATAATTCCAATGTAGAACAGGATTGAGGACCACTGGACTAAATACAATTTTTGTATCACTATATTTTAACCGTGAAAATCACATTTGGCTGAGAATAATCTCTTCTTGCCTATTTCTACCAGTTTGTCTTCTAGCAGGACAAGGAAAAGTGAAAAGAGACAAAAGCTCCAGAATCTTTGGACCATGAGGCCCAGAGAGAAGAGCTTAATACAGCCTCCCAAACAGTTGGAGTGAAAGGTAAAGCATGGCTGGATGCTTGCCTCCAGCTTCTGTTTTGGCAGATTCAGCCTCTTCTAAATGTCTGAGTATGTATTTCTACATAAAATACCATTTGTTTTATCTTCAGTATGGCACCTAAAAGTCATTGGAAAATGGACAAATGTTGCCAACTGAATTTTAAAGGTGACCTATCAAGACTTCCATGTGAGAGAGTAAAGTCAATTGAATGCCCAACCAAGTAATTTCATCACTCACCAGAAAGCAGTGTGAGCCATAACTCACTAGCACCAGCCAGTTTGAGTTTAGAGTTCTGGATATAGATAAAGTAAATCTGAGAGTTGTTTTCTGAAGAATGAGGACTGAAGAATAGGCTGTATATGAGATTAACAGTGCCTTTAGAAGGAATGGATTATACAGACATCCCCTCTATATCCATGAGGGATTGATTCTAGGATCCCCATAGATAACAAAATCTATAGATGCTCAAGTCCCTTATATAATATGGTGCGTATAACCTACGCATCCTCCTGTATACTTTAAATCATTTCTAGATTACTTATAATACCTAATAAAATGTAAACACTATGTAAATAGTTGTTATACTGTATTTTAAAAATTTACATTATTTTTATTGTTGTTATTTTTATTATTATTTTCAAATATTTTCTGTCTGCAGTTGGTTGAACGTGTAGATATGGAGGGCTGACTGTACTCTGAACCTAATCCCTCCTCTTGATTCAGGAAGAATTTATTTACTCTGGCAGATTGGCCATGACATATAGACAATATGGGTACAAAGAGTCACATTAACTCTTTCTGACCACTAGAGAACATGGCATTGAATTGACGATCTATTGAGAAAGACATTGTAGATCCCCAATTGACTCTGTTTTCTGCTTTGGCAAGGGGCTGATGAATTTCCATACATTCATGGAGAGCAGAGGGTGAAGAATGTAGAAAGCCTACTTTCATTCAAGGAGGTGGAACATGTTATCCCATGTATCCTGGGTTAATGTCTGGTCTTAGGTAGATCAAATACTTGCTGTAGAGTTGACTCCAAAGGCCTGAGTAGGGATAAAGGGCCAAGACCAGTGTGCCGAGGCTGACTTGCAGCAGTTGATTAGCAATAATTACGTGCATCTCTTCCTAACTCTGCGTTCAGCGACATCATTTTGGTAGCTTAAAATCAGCCATGATGGAAATATTTACACTACAGAAATTGGCAAATACTACAAATCAACACCCATCCACCCCCATCCTTCCTCCCCCAGAAAGGCAGTTATTAAACATTTACCAACACATTGGGACTTAATATACAGTGAAACAAGCTGGGTCTGAGAGGTGTGGTAAAAGAATGAGGAATGTTTTACTTGGAGAAGGGAAGACTTGGATGGACATTGTTGTGCTATATGGGAAGAGGGATTAGATGTCATCTTTATTTCTCTAAATGGTAATTCATATCACTGCACACATGTGTATGTGGTGGAGGGATTCCATGGCAACTGTTCTTAACTCAATATAAAAAATAATTTATTAATGTTCAGCACTATTTAAAGAAGAAAAAAATTGTCTCAAGATGTGATGAGCTCTCCCATCACTGGAAGTGAGCAAACAGAAGTTGAAAGCTCACTAGGTAGATGTATTGTAGATGAATTTGAAGTGTTAGATAGTACTGGGATTGGATTTTATGAAATCTAAGGTCTCTTCCAACCTTGAGTTACTTTTGATTTTTGTGAATATATAATTGATAGGTTTAGAAGAATTTAAAGAGGTCTTAGCATTGATAAGGGTTCAAACCCAGTGTAAGGGGAAATGTTTTGTAACAGCTCAAAGAAGGCTTCTTACTCCATTCATACCATTCTCCTTCCCGATTGGTTGCCTTCATTCCTCTCCATAGCAGTAACTAATGGTAAAATAAGCAGAGCCCAAGTGTCCTCATGCCCCCACTTTTATCCTTCTTTCTCTACTACAGATTGACACTGTTAAAGACGGTCTTGCCTCTATCAGTTGACTGTATGTATCTTAGAAAAAGGCTTACATATATTTTGTTTTTGCCAAGTGCCTCTGAAACTCAGATGCTACCTCAAAGTGCTTCCCAAAGTGAATTGAAACAAGAATTCTACTCAAGGCATGAGGAAAAAAAAATCACTCTAAATTAAGTAGGCATTGGAAAGAATTATACTAGTAAGAAGAGTAGTTACATATTTACGTTGCTTGAAGCTATGTTCTATAAAGTCATGTCAAACATAGAAGCCATAACAATAAACAGAAAAGAAACAGAGAGGAGGTTAAGTATATTAAAAGTCTTTCCCTAGCAGCTCCTCTTTAGTGTACTGACTATTTTCATTAAGCCAACAATGATTTCTTTAAGATCTGAGGTACATGGGTCACTAACAGTTTCCATGGTTTAGATAGTTATCTACCTGCATGGGGTGTTTGAGGTATTCACAGAATGAAGGCAAGAGAAAAGCTGACTTTTGAAGCACCTCCCTCCTTTACCTCAATCCACTTGGCTGTTGATTGAATGGAATGAAAACTCTTTTCTCTCCCCCTCTTTGTGTGTATGTAACTATTAATGTGATATATGTGGGTGTGAGTGGTATATATATATAACAGGTTTGGGGGTACTTGGACCTTGTTCATAAAATAACAAACATTTTATGATTAAAACACAGCTATAAAAGAGTACTTCTGGATTGGTAGAGTAAGAACTTCCAAAAATCTACTCCTTCATAAAAGCAACAATAAACTAGGAAAAAATGTCAAAATCAACCTTTTAAAAGACTCTGGAAATTAACCAAAGTTTTGATAACTTCATTCAGGAAAAATCAATAAATCTTGACAAGAATAGTGAGCTTTCTGGCATTTAAACTTGTTCTATTTCCATCTCTCTCACCCCAGCACAGAGGTAGCCTTGAAAATCAACAGCTTCACAACTATGGCTGTTGTGAGAACCAGAAGCCAGGCGGCCATGAGGAGGCAAAATGGGTTTGAAGCTCCCCCATAAAGCCGTATTTCCAAAAAATCTTAATTGCTGGGCCCGGTGCTGTGGCTCACATCGGTATTCCCAGCACTTCTTTGGAAGGCCGAGGTGGGCAGATTGCTTGAGCTCAGGAGTATAAAACCATCCTGGGCAGCACTTTAAGGTAGCATCTGAGGCTTCAGAGGCACTTGGCAAAAACAAAATATATTTTAGGCTTTTTCCTAAGATACACGCAGCCAACTGATAGAGGAAAGACCCCTTTAACAATGTAAATCTGTGGTAGAGAAAGAAGAATAAAAAGCGGGGCATGAGGTCACTTGCACTTTGCTTATGTTACCATCAGTTATTGCTATGGACAGGAATGAAGGCAACCAATTGGAAAAGAGATGGTATGGATGGGGTAAGAAGCCTTCTTTGAGCTGTTACTAATGTGTGGAAATTAAGCAGCATATTCTTAAGAAATTAGAAAATGCTTTGAGATTAATGAAAATGAAGACATATTATACCAAAACTTGTGAGATACAGTAAAACTGTTCTTAGAGAGAAATTTATAGGTCTATTAAATTTATAGCTCTATTAAAAATTAAGAAATTTAAAGCTCTATTATAGATCTTAAATTAGTAACCTAATCTTACACCTTAAGACACTGGAAAAAGAAGAGCAAACTAAACCTAAAGTAAACAGAAGGAATGAAATAATAAATATCAGAGTGGAAATAAATGATATAGGAATAGAAAGATGATAGGGAGAATCAACAAAAACAAAAGTTGGTTCTTTTAAAGGATTAACACAACTGACAAATCCTTAGGTGGATTGCACAAAGAAAAAAGATGACTCAAATTATTAGAATCAGAAATAAAAGAGATGACATTATTAACAACCTTACAGAAATAAAAAAGGATTATAAAGGAATGCTATGAACAATTATATGCCAATAAATTCGATAACATAGGTGAAATAGACAAATTTATTTTCCTTCCAACTTTTGTTTTAGCTTCATGGGTACATGTGCAGGTTTGTTATATGAGTAAATTGTGTATTGCTGGGGTTTGGTGTACAACTTATTTTGTTACTCCAGTAGTGAGCATAGTATCTAATAAGTAGTTTATTGATCCTCACACTTCTCCCACCTCCCACCCTCAAGTAGTCCCTGGTGTCTCTTGTTCCCTTCTTTGTGTCCATGTGTATTCAGTGTTTAGCTCCCACTTATAAGTAAGAACATGTAGTATTTGGTTTTCTTTTCCTGCATTAATTCATTTAGGATAGTGGCCTCTAGCTGCATCTGTGATGCCGCAAGGGACATAATTTCATTCTTGTTAATGGCTGCATAGTATTTCACAGTGTGTATGTCCTAAATTTTCTTTATCCAGTTCACCACTGATGGGCATCTAGGTAGCCACATATCCCTGTTTCTCCAGGATTGGTACTTTGTTTAGTTCATTTGGTGAAGTCATATTTTCCTGGATTGTCTTAATACCTGTAGATGTTTGTCTGTGTCTGGGCATTGAATAGTTAGGTATTTATTATAGTCTTTGTAGTCTGGGCTTGTTTGTACCCATCCTCCTTGGGAAAGCTTTCCAGATATTTGAAAGGACTTGGGTGTTGTGATCTAAGCTATATCTGGTTTAGGGGTAACCCCAAGCCCAGTAATGCTGTGGTTCTTGCAGACTTGTAGAGGTATTGCCTGGATGGTCTTGGACAAGATCTGGGAGAATTCTCTGGATTACCAGGCAGAGACTCTTGTTCTCTTCCCTTACTTTCTCCCAAATGAACAAAATCTCTCTCTCTGTTCTGAGCCACCTGAAGCTGGGGGTGGAGTGACACAAGCACCCCTGTGGCCACCACCACTAGGACTGCACTGAGTCAGACCTGAAGCCAGTGCCGCACTAGGTCTTGTCCAAGAACTGCTGTAACCAATCCCTGGCTACTGCCTATGTTCACTCAAAGCCCTGGGGCCCTACAATCAGCAGGTGACAAAGCCAGCTAGGCCTGTGTCCTTCCCTTCAGGGTGGTGAGTTCCCCCAGGCCTGGGTCCTGAGATGCTGTCTGGGAGCCATGGACTAGAGTAGAAAACCTTGGAAGTCTACTTGCTGTTGTATCATACTGCAGCTGAGCTGGCACTCAAACCACAAGGCACAGTCCTTCCCACGCTTCCCTCCCACTTTCACAGGAGGAGGAGCCTCACCCTGTGGCCACCGCCACCACTGGCCCACAGGGCGTACTGCCAGACTACCACTGATATTCCCCTAAGGCCCAAGGGCTCTTCAGTCAGCTTGTGGTAAATGCTGCCTGGCCTGGGACTCATCCTTCAGGGCAGTGGGATCCCCTCTGAACCAGGGCAGGTCCAGAAATGTCGTCCAAGAGCCATGTCCTAGAATCAGGGACCTCAAGAGCCTGCTTGCTGCTCTACCCCACTGTGGCTGAGCTGGTACCTAAGGTGCAAGACAAAGTCTCATTTACTTTACCCTCTGCTTTTCTCAAGCAGAAGGAGTCTTGGACAGGCCTCTAGATTGATTCCACGTCTTTGTTATGGTGAATGGTGCTATGATAAACATATGTGTGTATGTATCTTTATGGTAGAATGATTTATATTTATTTGGGTATATACCCAGTAATGGAATTGCTGGTTGAATGGTAATTCTAAATCTTTTGAGAAACCTCCAAACTGCTTTCCACAGTGGCCGAACTAATTTACATTCCCATCAACAGTGTGTAAGCATTCCCCTTTCTCTGTAAACTTGCCAGTATTTGTTATTTTTTGACTTTTTAATAATAGCCATTCTGACTGGTGTGGGATGGTATCTCATCGCAGTTTTGATTTGCATTTCTCTGATGATTAATGATGATGAGCACTTTTTCATATGCTTGTTGGTCTCATGTATGTCTTCTTTTGAGAAGTATCTGTTCATATCTTTTGCACATTTTTAATGGGCTTGTTTGTTGTTTTGCTTGTTGGTTTAAGTTCCTTATAGATTCTGGATATTAGGCCTTTGTCAGATGCATAGTTTGCAAATATTTTCTCCCATTTGTCTGTTTACTCTGTTTATTCCTTCTTTTGCTGTGCAGAAGCTCTTTACTTTAATTAGGTCCGACTTTTCAATTTTTGTTATTGTTGCAATTGCTTTTGGAGTCTTTGTCTTGAAGTCTTTTCCAGGGTCTATGTCCAGAATGGAATTTCCTTGGTTTTATGATAGGATTTTTATAGTTTTAGGTTTTACATTTAAGTCTTTAATCCATCTTGCATTGATCTGTTTATATGGTGAAAAGAAGGAATTCAGTTTCAATCTTCTGCATATGGCTAGCCAGTTACCCCAGCACCATTTATCAAATAGGAAGTCATTTCCCCATTGCTTGTTATTTTCAACTTTGTCAAAGACAGGTGGTTTTAGGTGTGTGGCTTTATTCCTGGGTTCTCTAACCTGTTCCATTGTTCTATTAGTCTGTTTTTGTACCAGTACCATGCTGTTTTTGTTACCATAGCATGTAATGTAGCTTGAAGTTGGGTAGTTTGGTGCCTCCGATTTTCTTCTTTTTGCTTAGGATTGGTTTTCCTATTTGGGCTCTTTTTTTCATTCCACATGAATTTTAGAATAGTTTTTTTTTTTTTCAAATTCTGTGATAGACATTGTTGGTAGTTTGATAGGAGTAGCACTGAATCTGGACATTGCTTTGGGCAGTATGGCCATTTTAACAATATTGATTTTTCCTATCAATGAGCATGGAATGTTTTTCCATTTGTTTGTGTAATCTCTGATTTCTTTCAGCAGTGTTTTGTAATTCTTGTTGTAGAGCTCTTTCACATCCCTGGTTAGCTGTATTCCTAGGTACGTTGTCCTGTTTGTCGCTATTGTGAATGGCAGTGTGGTCTTGATTTGGGTTTCAGCTTGGTCATTATTGGTGTATAGAAATGCTACCAATTTTTGTACATTGGTTTTGTATCCTGAAACTTTTCTGAAGTGGTTTATCAGATCTAAGAGCCATTGCGTAGAGATTTTGTGGTTTTCTAGGTATATAGTCATATCATCTGTGAAGAGAGATAGTTTGACTTCCTCTGTACCTATCAGGATGCATTTTATTTCTTTCTCTTGCCTCATTGCTCTGACTAGGACTTCACTTTGTCCTTTTTGATCATTGTTGGTTTACAGTCTTTTCTGTCCAAAATAAGAATAGCAACACCTGCTCTTTTTTGTTTTCCATTTGCCTGATAAATTTTTCTCCATCCCTTTACTTTGAGCCTATGGGTGTCATTGCATGTGAGATGGGTGTCTTGAAGACACTATACAGTTGGGTATTGATTCTTTATCCAACTTGCCACTCTGTGACTTTTAAGTGGGGCATTTAGCCCCTTTACATACAAGGTTAATATTGATACATGTGGATCTGATCCTGTCATGGTGTTGTTAGCTGGTTGTTATGTAGACTTGATTGTGTAGTTGTTTTATAGTGTCAGTGGTTTTTGTATATAAGTTGTTTTACGGTGGCCAGTTGGGCATCTGAGGGTGAGCTGCAAGTGGATGTGGCCAGACAGGGACCCTGGGACAGGCCGGCATAGGGTGCTCAGATTAGACTGGCCTCATTCCACAGGGAAGATAGCCCTGTTCTGTTCAAGTCCAACAGTCACCAAAGGCCAAAGCCACCTAGAGGGCATGGCAAGACTTCGGGGCTGGGTGTCCCCGTCTGTGCTCCCCTGCAGCTGTTCCTGCACCAAACCCTCTGGGCTCCATGCAGGCTGTAGTCCTGTCCCTGCCAACTCTCCAAGTAGCTCTCTCTGCCAGCTCAAATGTCTCAAATGTCAGGTTCTCATGCCACCCCCACAAGAACCCTGGTCCCTTGTGACTTGCCTTGCATAGTTTGAGACTAGGTTGCTTCTTTTTAAAACTAACTACCAACTAGGGTGATCGACTGTGCAGGTTTGTGCAAAACTAAGGAATTTTAGGGATACTAGAATTTCAGTCCTGAAGGCAGGACTATCTCTGAAAACCTGAACTGGCTCATCACCCTTATCCTAATCCACATCTTGGCTATTGGAGGCTTGCAGCAAATATCTTAACTGCTGCCTTGCAACTTGCATGATGCAGGGTTTTCCTGCCTTTTTCTGAATACTGTGCCTCTCTTACAGGTTTCTCTTCCTCCTATCATTCATCCACCAGTCAGATAAATGTACAAAACATTTATTTTCATTCTTTAAGCAAATATTCATTGTGTACCTCCTATATTCTATGCATTATAAAAGATACTGGTGATACAGAGATCAATAAATCAGACAAATTTTCTCCTTTGTGGAGCTTACATTGTAGCCTGGAGGAACTGGTAATAGACAAACAAATGTGTTATATGGACTGCACATACAGCAAGGAAGAAAAATAATACAGGGTTAGGGAATAGAGAGTTATGGGATAGGGAAAATGATATTATAGATGTGATGCTTTTATTTATAAGGTGACATTTAAGCAGACCCCTGAGTAAAATGATAGTATGAACAATGTAGTTAGTTGGCAGTGGGGAAGTTAGGCTGAGGGAGCAGCAAGTGCAAAGTTCCTGAGGTAGGAGCATACTTGGTTTCTTTCAGGAGCAGAAGAAAGACTGATCTTATCTTTTGCCCTCTGTTGTTACTGACTCAGGGGTTCATTCACTCTCAAGATTTTAACTACTAGCACTACAGTACTCCTTACTACTCCCTTGCTACACTACCTTCATGTTCCAATTAATTCAGAAAATTTTTCCTGAAACAAGGCTACAGTAACCAAAACAGCATGGTACTGGTACAAAAACAGACACATAGACCAATGGAACACAATAAAGAACTCAGAAATAACACTGCACATTTACAACCATCTGGTCTTCGACAAACCTGACAAAAACAAGCAATGCAGAAAGGATTCCCTATTTAATAAATGGTGCTGGCAGAACTGGCTAGCCATATGCAGAAAATTGAAACTGGACTCCTTTCTTATACCTAATACAAAAATTAACTCAAGATGGAATAAAGACTTAAATGTAAAACCCAAATCTATAAAAGCCTTAGAAGAAAATCTAGGCAATACCACTCAGGACACAGGCATGGGCAAAGATTTCATGATGAAAACACCAAAAGCAATTACAACAAAAGCAAAAATTGAGAAATGGGATCTAAAACTAAAGAGCTTCTGCACAGAAAAAGAAACTCTCATCAGAGTGAACAGGCAACCTACAGAATGGGAGAAAATTTTTGCAATCTATCCATCTGACAAAGGGCTAATATCCAGAATCTACAAGGAACTTAAACAAATTTACAAGACAAAAAACAACCCCATCAAAAAGTGGGTGAAGAATATGAACAGACACTTCTTAAAAGAAGACACCTATGTGGCCAACAAACATGAAAAAAAGCTCATCATCACTGGTCATTTGAGAACTGCAAATCAAAACCACAATGAGATACTATCTCATGCCAATTAGAATGGTGATCATTAAAAAGTCAGGAAATGGCCGGGCGCTGTGGCTGAGGCCTGTAATCCCAGCACTTTGGGAGGTTGAGGCGGGCAGATCACAAGGTCAGGAGACCGAGACCATCCTGGCTAACAGGGGGAAACCACGTCTCTACTAAAAAAATACAAAAAATTAGCCGGGTGTGGTGGTGAGCGCCTATAGTCCCAGCTACTTGGGAGGCTGAGGCAGGAGAATGGTGTGAACCCAGGAGGCAGAGCTTGCAGTGAGCTGAGATTGGGCCACTGCACTCCAGCATGAGCTGGGCAACACAGCGAGACTCCATCTCAAAAAAAAAAAAAAAAAGGGCCAGGCTCAGTGGCTCACGCCTGTAATCCCAGCACTTTGGGAGGCCGAGGTGGGCAGATCACGAAGTCAGGAGATCGAGACCATCCTGGCTAACATGGTGAAACCCCGTCTCTACTAAAAAATACAAAAAATTAGCCAGGCGTGGTGGTGGGCGCCTGTAGTCCCAGCTACTCGGGAGGCTGAGGCAGGAGAATGGCGTGAACCTGGGAGGTGGAGCTTGCAGTGAGCTGAGATTGCGCCACTGCACTCCAGCCTGGGTGACAGAGCAAGACTCCATCTCAAAAAAAATAAATAAAAAGGTCAGGAAAAAACAGATGCTGGAGAGGATGTGGAAAAATAGGAACGCTTTTACACTGTTGGTGAGAGTGTAAATTAGTTCAACCATTGTGGAAGACAGTGTGACAATTCCTCAAGGATCTAGAACCAGAACTACCATTTGACCCAGCAATCCCATTACTGGGTTTATACCCCAAGGATTATAAGTCATTCTACTGTAAAGACACACACACACGTATGTTTATTGCAGCACTGCTCACCATAGCAAAGACTTGGAACCAATCCAAATACCCATCAATGATAGACTGGATAAAGAAAATGTGGCACATATACACCATGGAATACTATGCAGCTGTAAAAAAGGATGAGTTCATGTCCTTTGCAGGAACATGGATGAAGCTGGAAACCATCATTCTCAGGAAACACACAGGAACAGAAAACCAAACATCACATGTTCTCACTCATAAGTGGGAGTTGAACAACGAGAACACATGGACACAGGGAGGGGAACATCACACACTGCGGCCTGTCGGTGGGTGGGGAACTGGGGAGGGATAGCACTAGGAGAAATACCTAATGTAGATGACGGGTTAATGAGTGCATCAAACCACCATGGCACAGGTATACTTATGTAACAAACCTGCACGTTCTGCACATGTGCCCCTGAACTTAAAGTATAATAAAAAAAAGCAAACAACCTGATAAAAAAGTGGGCAAAGGACATGAATAGACACTTTTCAAAAGAAGACATTCATATAGCCAACAAATATATGAAAACAATCTCAACATCATTGATCATTAGAGAAATGCAAATCAAAACCACAGTGAGACACCATCTCACACCAGTCAGAATGGAGAGTATTAAAAAGTCAAGAAAGAACAGATGCTGGAGGGGTAGTGGAGAAAAAGGAATGCTTTTACACTGTTGATGGGAATGTAAACTAGTTCAACCATTGTGGAAGACAGTGTGGTGGTCCCTCAAAGATCTAGAAGCAGAAAAACCATTTGACCCAGTAATCCCATTACTGGGTATATACCCAAAGGAATATAAGTCCTTCTATTATAAAGATATATGCATGCATATGTTCATTGCAGCACTATTCACAATAGCAAAGACATGGAATCAACCCAAATGCCCCTCAATGATAGACTGGATAAAGAAAATGTGGTACATATACACCATGGAATACTATGCAGCCATAAAAAGGAACAAGATCATGTCCTTTGCAGGGACATGGATGGAGCTGGAAATGGTATCCTCAGCAAGCTAACCCAGAAACAGAAAACCAAACACCACATGTTCTCACTTATAAGTGGGAGCTAAACAATGAGAACACATGGACACATGTGGGGTGGGGGGGACAACACACACTGAGATCTGTCAGGGGTGTAGCGGGGAGGGAGAGCATCAGGAAGAACAGCCAATGGGTGCTGGGCTTAATACCTAGGTGATGAGTTCATCTGTGCAGCAAACTACCATGGCACACATTTACCTATGTAACAAACCTGTGCATCCCACACATATACCTTGGAATTTAAATAAAAGTTGATTAAAAAACATTTATTCTGATTATATCTCGGTCTATTAGTTCTCTGCTTGAAAACTGCTAGTTGATTCTGATTTGCCTAAATAAAAATCCAAACTCTTCCCCTAGTCTCCAACTCTATCTCTTATGCTGTTTCACAAATTTTGATTCCTATCACCCTTTTACTGGTCTATTTCAGCTCAGCTCGTATCTCGTTACTGAATGTTTTTATTCTGGTAAAAATGTACATAACAAGATTTGCCATTCTTGTCATTTTAAGTGTATACTTCAGTGGTATTAAATACATTTATATTATTGTTCAACAATCATCACCATCCATCTCCAGAAATGTCTCATCTTCCCAAACTGAAATTCTGTAGCCATTAAAACGCGAACTACCCAGTTCTCCCTTTCCCCATCTTCTGACAACCACCACCAATTTTCTGTCTCTATAAATGTGAATCCTCTAGATCCCTCATATAAGTGAAATCATACAATGCTTCTATAAATATTGGTGTACAAATATCTTATTAGTCCATGCTTTTAATTATTTTGGAGATATATCCAGAAGTGGAATTGCTGAATCATATGGTAATTCTATGTTTAACTTTTTGAGGAAACACCATGCTGGTTTCCATAGTGGATACACCATTCTACATTCCCACCAGCAATGCACAAGGATTTCAATTTTTTCACATCATTACCAACACTTGTTATTTTCTTTTTTTTTTTTAAATAGCCATCCTAATGTATATGAAATGGTACCTTCATATCATTTCAATTTACAATTTTCTAATAATTACTGGTGTTGAGTATATTTTCATGGTTCACTGACCATCTGTATAACTTCTTTGGAGAAATATCTATTCAAATCCTTTGCCTAGTTTTAAATTGGGTTGTCTTTTGTTGTTGTTGAATTTCAGGTTTCTTTACATATTCTGGATATTAACTTCTTATCAGACATGTGATTTGCAAATATTTTCTTCCATTCACTGGTTTGTGTTTTCATTCTGTTGATAATGACATTTGAGGCACAAACGTTTTTAATTTTAATAAAGTCTGATTTATTAATTTTTTGTTTTGTTGCCTGTGTTTTTGGTGTCATAGCCAATAAATCATTACCAATCCAATGTCATGTAGCTTTTCCCCTGTGTTTTCTTCTAACTTTTGTAAGGTAAGTGTCTAACTTTGTTCTTTCATATGTAGATATCCAAATTTCCAATACCATTTGTTGAAGAAACTTTCCTTTCCCCCATTGAATGATCCTGGCACTTTTCTAGAAAATCTTTTGATCATATATTCTAGGACTTATTTCTGGGGACTCTATTTTATTCCACTGGTCTATATGTCTGTCTTTGTTCCAATACCACATTATTTTTATTATTATAGCTTTGTAGTAAGTTTTTAAATCAGGAAATATGAGACCTCCAACTTTGTTCTTCTTTTTCAAGATTGTCTTGACTATTCAGGGTTTCTTGAGATACCATATAAAAATTTTAGAATGGGTTTTTCTATTTCCGCAAAAAAAAATACTTGGGATATTTATAGGGATGGCATTGAATGTATAGGTTGCTTTGGGAAGCATTAATATCTTTTTTTTTTTTTTTTGAGACAGAGTCTCGCTCTTTTGCCCAGGGTGGAGTGCAGTGGCGCAATGTTGGCTCACTGCAACCTCCACTTCCCTGCATCCCAGGTTCAAGAGATTCTTTTGCCTCAGCCTCCTGAATAGCTGGGATTACAGGCACACACCACCATACACGGTGAATTTTTGTATTATTAGTAGAGATGGGGTTTCACCATGTTGGCCAGGCTGGTCTCGAGCTCCTAACCTCAGGTAATCCTCCTGCCATGGCCTCCCAAAAGTGTTGGGATTACAGGCATGTGCAAGTATGTTTTTCGTACAATGACTTATTTTCTTCTGGGTGGATACCTAGTAGTGGGATTGCTGGATTAAATGGTAGATCTACTTTTAGTTCTTTAAGGAATCTCCACATTGTTTTCCATAGTGCTTGTACTAGTTTACCTTCCCACGAACAGTATAAAAGTGTTCCCTTTTCACCACATCCACACCAACATCTATTATTTTTTTATTTTTTTGATTATGGCCATTCTTGCAGGAGGGAGGTGGTGTGGCATTGTGGTTTTGATTTGCATTTCCCTGATAATTAGTTGAGCATTTTCCCATATGCATGTTGACCATTTGTATATCTTCTTTTGAGAATTGGCTATCCATGTCCTTAGACTATTTTTTAATTGGAATTTTTGATTTGTTTTGTTTTTGCTGATTTGTTTGAGTTCTTTGTAGATTCTGGATATTAGTCCTTTGTTGGATATGTAGATTGTGAAGATTTTCTCCCATTCTGTGGGCTGTCTGTTAACTCTGTTGATTATTTATTTTGCTGTGCAGAAACTTTTTAGTTTAATCGAGTCCCATCTATTTATCTTCGTTTTTGTTGCATTTGCTTTTGGGTTCTTGGTCATGAAGTCTTTGTCTAAGCGAATGTCTAGAAGGGTTTTGCTGATGTTATCTTCTGGTATGGTTTCAGGTCTTATATTTGAGTCTTTGATCCATCTTGGGTTGATTTTTCTATAAAGTAAGAGAGGATGATCCAGTTTCATTCTCCTACATGTGGCTTGCCAGTTATCCCAGTACCATTTGTTGAATAGAGTGTCCTTTCCCCACTTCATGTTTTTGTTTGCTTTGTCGAAGATCAGTTGGCTGTAAGTATTTAGCTTTGTTTCTGGGTTCTGTATTATGTTCCATTGGGCTATGTGCCTATTTTTATACCAGTACTATGCTGTTTTGGTGACTATGGCCTTATAATATAGTTTGAAGTTGGGTAATGTGATACCTCTCGATTTGTTCCTTTGCTTAGTCTTGCTTCAGGTATGCAGGCTCTTTTTTGGTTCCATATGAATTTTAGGATTGCTTCTTCTAGTTCTGTGAAGAATGATGGTATTTTGATGGGAACTGCATTGAATTTGTATATTGCTTTTGGCAGTATAGTCATTTTCACAATATTGATTCTACTCATCCATGGGATGTGTTTCCATTTGTTTGCGTCGTCCATGATTTCTTTCAGCAGAGTTTTTTAGTTTTCCTTGTAGAGATCTTTCACCTCCTTGGTTAGGCATATTCCTAAGTATTTTCTTTTCTTTTTGCAACTATTGGGAAAGGGGTTGACTTCTTGCTTGATTCTCAGCTTGGTCGCTGTTGGTGTGTAGTAGAGCTACTGATTTGTGTACATTAACTTTGTATCCTGAAACTTTGCTGAATTCATTGACCAGCTCTAGGAGCTTTTTGGATGAGTCTTTAGGGTTTTCTAGGTATACAATCATGTCATCAGCAAACAGTGACAGTTTGACTTCCTCTTTACTGATTTGGATGGCCTTTATTTCTTTCTGTTGTCTGACTGCTCTGGTTAGGACTTACAGTACTATTTTGAATGGAAGTGGTGAAAGTGGGCATCCTTGTCTTGCTTCATTTCTCAGGGGCAATTCTTTCAACTTTTTCCCATTCAGTATAATGTTGGCTGTGGGTTTGTCATAGATGGCTTTTATTACCTTAAGATAAGTCCCTTCTATGCTAATTTTGCTGACTGTTTTCATCATAAAGGGATGCTGGATTTTGTCAAATGTCTTTTCTGTGTCTATGGAATGATCATGTGATTTTTGTTTTTAATTCTGCTTATGTGATGTATCACATTTATTGACTTACATATGTTAAATCATCCCTGCATCCCTGGTATGAAACCCACTTGATGATGGCGGGTTATCTTTTTGATATGCTGTTGGACTCGGCTCACTAGTATTTTGTTGTGCATTTTTGCATCTTTATTCGTCAGGTATATTGGTCTGTAGTTTCCTTTTTTTGTCACATCCTCCCCTGGTTTTGGTGTTAGGGTGATACTGGCTTCATAGAATGATTTAGGGAGGATTCCCTATTTCTCTATCTTTTAGAATAGTTGTCAATAAGATTGGTATCAATACTTATTTGAATGTCTGATAGAATTCAGCTGTAAATCCATCTGGTCCTGGACTTTTTGTTGTTGGCAATTTTTAAATTACCATTTCAATCTTGTTGCTTGTTATTGGTCTGTTCAGAGATTCTATATCTTCCTGGATTAATCTAGGAAGATTGTATATTTCCAGGAGTTTATCCATCTCCTCTAGGTTTTCTAGTTTATGAGCATCCAGGTGTTCACAGTAGCCTCGAATAATCTTCTGTATTTCTGTGGTATCAGTTGTAATATCTCCTGTTTCATTTCTAATCCAGTTTATGTGGATCTTCAATCTTCTTTTCTTGGTTAATCTCGCTAATGGTCCATCAATTTTGTTCATCTTTTCAAAGAACCATCTTTTTGTTTCATTTATCTTTTGTATTTTTTTGTTTCAATTTCATTTAGTTCTGCTCTGATCTTTGTTATTTCTTTTCTTCCGCTGGGTTTGAGTTTGGATTGTTCTTGTTTCTCCAGTTCCATGAGATATGACCTTAGATTGTCTATTTGTGCTTTCAGACTTTTTGATGAAGGCGTTTAATGCTATAAACTACACTTTTAGCACCGCTTTTGCTGTATCCCAGAGTTTTGATACGTTGTGTCACTATTATCATTCAGTTCAAAGAATTTTTTAAATTTCCATCTTGATTTTATTGTTGACCCAGTGATCATTCAGGAGCAGGTTACTTAATTTCCATGTATTTGCATGGTTTTGAGGCTTCCTTCTGGAGTTGATATCAAATTTTATTCCACCGTGGTCTGAGTATTTGATATAATTTTGATTTTCTTAAATTTACTGAGACTTGTTTTGTGGCCTATCATATGGTCTATCTTGGAGAATGTTCCATGTGCTGATGAATAGAATGTATATTTTGCAGTTGTTGGATAGAATGTTCTGTAAATATCTGTTAAGTCAATTTGTTCTAGGGTATATTTTAAATCCATAGTTTCTTTGTTTACTTTATGTCTTGATAACCTGTCTAGTGCTGTCAGTGGAGTATTGAAGTCCCCCACTATTATTGTGTTGTCATCAATTTCATTTCTTAGGTCTAGTGGTAATTGTTTTATAAATTCGGGAGCTCCAGCGTTAGGTGCATATATATTTAGAACTGTGATATTTTCCTGTTGGAATAGTCCTTTTATCATTATATAATGCCCCTCTTTGTCTTTTTAAACTGCCATTGCTTTAAAGTTTGTTTTGTCTGATGTAAGAATAGCTACTCCTGCTCGCTTTTGGTGTCCCCTTTACCTTAAGTTTATATGAGTTCTTATGTGTTAGGTGAGTCTCCTGAAGACAGTAGAAACTTGGTTGGTGAATTCTTACCCATTCTGCCAATCTGTATTTTTAAAGTGAAGCATTTAGGCTGTTTATATTCAATGTTAGTATTACTTTTTTTTTATTGAGATGGAGTCTTGCTCTGTTGCCCAGGTTGGAGTGCAGTGGTGTAATCTTGGCTCACTGCCAACCTCTGCCACCCGGGTTCAAACAATTCTCGTGCCTCAGCCTCCCAAGTAGCTGGGACTACAGGCACGTGCCACCATACCAGGCTAATTTTTTTTGTATTTTTATTAGAGACGGGGGTTTCACCATGTTGGCCAGGCTGATCTTGAACTCTTGACTTCAGGTGATCTGCCTGCCTCGGCCTCCCAAAGTTCTGGGATTACAGGCATGAGCCTCAATGTTAGTATTGAGATGTGAGGTACTATTCTATTCATCATGTTAGTCATTGCCTGAATACCTTGGTGGTTTTTTTTTTTTTCAGCTAGTCCTGCCTCCTATCTGCCATCTTAATCCCCTCTGATATCTTAATGATATTGAGTCTTCCAATTGTGAACATGGGATGGGATGGGATGGGATATCTTTCCAATTTTGGTGTTTTTTTTCATTGTTTTTGTTTTATAGGTCCTGTGAGATTTATGCTTTAAGGAGGTTCTATTTTGGTGTATTTCGAGGAATTCTTTCAAGATTTAGAGCTCCTTTTAGCAGTTCTTGTAGTGCTGGCCTGGTATTGGTGAATTTGCTCAGCATTTGTTTGTCTGGAAAAGACTATCTTTCCTTCATTTATGAAGCTTAGTTTCGCTGGATACAGAATTCTTGGCTGATAGTTGTTTTGTTTAAGGAGGCTAAAAACAGGACCCCAATCTTTTCTAGCTTGAATGGTTTCTGCTGAGAAATCTGTTAATCTGATAGGTTTTCCTTTATAGGTTATGTGATGCTTTTGCCTCACAGCCCTTAAGATTCTTTCCTTTGTCTTGACTTTAGATAACCTGATGTGCCTAGGTGTGCCTAGGTGATGATCTTTTTGTGATTAATTTCTCAGGTGTTCTTTGAACTTCTTGTATTTGGATGTCTAGATCTCTAGCAAGGCTGGGGAAGTTTTCCTCAATTATTCCCTCAAATATGTTTTTCAAACTTTTATATTTCTCTTCTTCTTTGGGAACACCAATTATTCTTAATTTTGGATATTTAAGATAGTCCCAAACTTCTTTAAGGTTTCATTCTTTTTAAAAAATTCTTTTCTCTTCATCTTTGATGGATTGGGTTAATTCAAAAGCCTTGTCTTTGAGCTCTGAAGTTTTTCTTCTGCTTGTTCCATTCTATTGCTGAGACTTTCCAGTGCATTTTGCATTTCTCTAAGTGTGTCCTTGATTTCCAGAAGTTGTGATTGTGTTTTATTTATGCCACCTACTTCACTGAATAATTTTCCTTTCATATTCTGTATCATATTTTTTATTTCTTTAGGTTGGACTTTACGTTTCTCTGGTGCCTCCTAGATTAGCTTAATAATCAACCTTCTGATTTCTTTTTCTGGCAATTCAGAGATTTTGTCTTGGTTTGGGTCCATTGCTGGTGAGCTGATATGATCTTTTGGGTTGGAGGGGGCGGTTTAAAGAATCTCGTTTTGTTATATTACCAGAATTGTTTTTCTGGTTCCTTTTCATTTGGGTAGACTATGTCAGAGGGAAGAGCTAGGATTCAAGGGGTGCTATTCAGATTCTTTTGTCCCACGGGGTGCTCCATTGATGTAGTGCTAACCCCCTTCCCCTAGGGATGTGGCTTCCTGAGAGCTGAACTGTAGTGATTGTTTTGCTCTTCTGGGTCTAGCCACCCAGCAGAGCTCCTGGGCTCCAGGCTGGTACTGGGGAGTGTCTGCAAAGAGTCCTGTGATGTGATCCATCTTCAGGTCTTGCAGCCATGGATACCAGCACCTGCTCCACTGGAGGTAGCAGGGGAGTGAAGTGGACTCTGTGAGGGTCCTTGCTTGTGTTTTTGTTCAGTGCACTGGTTTTGTGTAGGTTGGCCTCCAGCCAGGAGGTAGGCATTTCAAGAGTGCATCAGTTGTGGTCCTATAGGGAGGAGGCAAACTTGCCCTAGGGATACCTGGTTAAGCATTCAGGTTTCTCAGGTGGTGGGCAGGGTCAAAGAGCTCCCAAGAGATTATGACTTTTGTCTTTGGCTACCAGGGCAGGTATAGAAAGACCACCAGGTGGGGGCAGGGATAGGCATGTCTGAACTCAGCCTCTCTTTGGGCTGGGCTTCCTGCAGCTGCTGTGGGGCTGGGCTTCCTGCAGCTGCTGTGGAGAATGGGGGTGAGTTTCCTAATCCAATGGAGTTATGCTCCCAGGGGGATTATGGCTGTCTCTGCCGAGTCATACAGGTTGCCAGGGAAGTGGGGGAAAGCCGGCAGTCACAGTCCTCATCCCACTCCCATGCAGCTCACAGTCCTAAAGTCCAGTCTCACTCCTACTGTGCCCCCTCAACAGCACTGAGTTTATTTCCAGGCAGCTGGTGACCAGGGCTGAGAACTTGCCCCAGACCACCAGCCTGCCCGCTGAGAAAGCAAGCAGATTTACAGGTTTTTGGCATCTCAGGGAGCCTGCAGCGGTGATCCTGTCCTTAAAAGGGTCTGTGGATTATCTCGGCTTTTCTGGTATGTTCCTGTGGTAGTTCTTGGAGCAAAAGTTAATGATGTTAGTCTGCACACACTGCTCTCTCTGTCCAGGTGGGGGCTGCAAGCTAGTCCTGCCTCCTATCCGCCATCTTAATCCCCCTGATATCTTAACGATATTGAGTCTTCCAATTGTGACCATGGGATGGGATGTCTTTCCGATTTTGGGGGTTTTAAAAATTATTTTTCAGCAATATTTTGCAGTTTTCACTGAACAAGTGTTTCACCTCTTTGGTTAAGTTTATTCCTAAGTATTTTATTCTTTTTGATGCAATTGTAAATGAATTGTTTTCTTAATTTTCTTTTCTAATCTTTTCTTTTCTAATCGTTCATTGTTAAAGCAACTAATTTTTCTGTGTTGATTTTGTGTCCTGCAACTTTGTTGAATTAGTTTATTAGTTCTAACAGTTTCCTTGTGAAATCTTTAGTATTTTCTGCACATAAGATCATGTTATTTTAGAAAAAAATAATTTTATTTTTCTCTTTTCAATTTGGATAGCTTTCATTTCTCCCTTTTCTTTTCTTCTTTCTTTCTTGCTTTCTCTCTTTCTTGCTCTTTCTTTCTTTCTTTTCTCTCTTTCTTTCTTTCTTTTCTTTCTTTCTTTCTTTTCTTTCTTTCTTTCTTTCTTTCTTTCTTTCTTTCTTTCTTTCTTTCTTTCTTTCTTTCTTTCTTTCTTCCTTCCTTCCTTCCTTCCTTCCTTCCTTCCTTCCTTCCTTTCTTTTCTTTCTTTCTCTCTCTCTCTCTCTCTCTCTCTTTCTTTCTTTCTTTCTCTCTTTCTTCCTTGCTTAATTGCTCTGGCTGGGACTTTCAATACTATGTTAAATAAAAGTGATGAGAAAGGGCACCATTGTCTTGTTGCTGATCTTAGAAGAAAAGCTTTGTCTTTCACCGAAGAGCATGATTTTAGCTGTGGGTTTTGCATATATGGCCTTTCGTATGTTGAAGTAGTTTTATTTTATTCCTAGTTAGTCCAGAGTTTTCTTTTTATTATGAAAAAATATTGAATATTTGTGAAATGCTTCTACTGCATCAATTGAGATGATCATATACCTTCTTGCCCTTCATTCTATTTATGTCATATATTGCATTGATTTTAGTATGCTGAACCATCCTTGTATTGCAGGCATAAATCCCATGTTGTCATGGTCTAAAATCCTTTTTATATGTTGTTGAATTCTGTTTGCTAGTATTTTATTGAGGACTTCTGCATCAATATCCATGAAGTATATTGGTTTGTAGTTTCCTTTTCTTGCAGTCTTTCTCTGGCTTTGGTATCAGGGTAATGCTGGCCTCATAGAATGAGTTAGAAAGCATCTTCTCATATTGAAGTTTTTGGAAGAGTTTGAGAAAAATTTGTGTTAATTATTCTTTAATGTTGGTAGAATTCACCTGTGAAGCCATCTGGTCTTGAGCTTTTCTTCATTTGGAGATTTTTGATTACTGATTCAATCTGCTTACCAGTTATAGGTCTATTCAGATTATCTATTTCTTCATGATTCAGTCTTTGTTGGTTGTGTTTCTAAGAATTTGTCCATTATATCTTTGTTATCTAGTTGGGTTGTTCTAGCAGAATTTTTCTTATAGTTATTCACAATATTCTCTTATAACCCTTTTTTGAAAAACAGTTTTCATTTATTTATTTTTATTTATATATTTATTTTAGTTGGAACCTGGGTCTTGAGGGGGTTGTCCTGGAACTTCAGTCTGCAGGGACCTGCCTGGCACCAGAGTCTACTGAGGTAACTCTTGACTCTGTATCTGCTGTATCAAGCCTGAACTTTAAGACCACTGACTATATAGCAGTACTTTTTTCTTTTGCCCTTGGTTTTGATACTCTTTGATTTATTTCATCATAGTTATAAAGTCTATTAACTTTTTATGATTTGTCATTGTTAACTTATATGCATCATTCTTTCATGTATATAATACTGTAGATGTGGTATTGCTCTGCGGTTTTTTACTATTTTGTTATGACACTTAAGACTAAAGATCACTACTCTAATTGAATAGTTATTCTGCTCATCTCTGAGAGATTGAGCAGGCAAAGTATCATATTTAGAGAGGACACAAGAGTCTCCCCAAAGTGACCATATTGTCTTAAGTGATGAAATCCTGAACTATGATGTTGGTGTGATAAATAGAAAGTAGGAGTAAGGAGTGTATATCAGAGGTATCAACAAAATTAACACGTGGGGCTAAATGTGGTCATACTGATGAATTTGCTTACATGGGACATGGAAGTTGAAGGGGCCATTCACTAAATCGTATGGTCAATAGTAGGAACTAAGACTAGAGGACTTGAATGCTGCTTGACTATGGCACAAGAAGATGAAGAAAGAGTCAAAAATGACTCACTCCAAGATTTCGAGCTTTGATGACTGGGGAGACAAAAAAAAGGGAACAATTTTGGGAGAAAATCATGAGTTTATATTGAAATAAGCTTGATTTTGAGGTGACCAAGGACCACTGACATGGGTGATACAGAGCTGGAGAAATAGCACTGTAGTCCCAGGGAGAGATTTCTGCTAGAGCCAGAGTTGGGAGTCATGTATATGGGCAAATATGAAGAGAAGAAAAGCTGATGGCTAGGAGAACCATGATGAGGGATTAGATACTTGGGAGAAGAGCTTCTTGAAGAAGAATAATACAGATACCAAGAGTGGGCAGATTGGGGAAAGGAATATATGTAGTAAGACACCATGGTGTAGACAAGAAATCTAACACAGAATGAAAACCACATGAAAACACAAAGATTATACTATTTTCTTCATAAGTATTATTGCCTTCCAACTATTCCTCTGTGGATGACTGGGACTGAAGCAAGCCAAGGAAAATCAAGATTCTGCTGGAAGAATCTAAGGAAGACAAATTACCACAAGTATCTCAGAAGAAGAGAAGACTCAAATGGTAGAAGGACAATGAAATGTTTATGCTTCATGAAAGGAATGCTAAAGAACAAGGCTTTTTGTTGGCTTTTTTTCTCATTTCCTAGAAGAATGCAGTAATTAGGATATAGTCTGACCTTTCAGTATGTATATATACTTAACGTTGGTGAAGAGTAGCTGAATTGGGCAAGGCCAGGATTCAATGTCTAGGTCCATTTCTTTCTTTCCTCTGCCAACTTTTAAAAAATCCTCTTGAAAAACATTTTAGCAGTGTGGCAAATATGTAAAAGATTTATGGAAACGCAGGACTCAAATCACATTAATTTGGGATTATGCATTTGCTCAGTGTTAAGAGTGTGTCAATATTTCTGTTCTGTACTTCTATCTTAATAGGTTTATTATTTGGCTTAAAAACTAGACTTTAGGGCTGGGCGTGGTGGCTCACACCTGTAATCCCAGCAATTTGGGAGGCCGAGGCAGGCAGATCATGAGATCTAGGAGTTCGAGACCAGCCTGGCCAATATGGTGACACCCCGTCCCTACTAAAAATACAAAAATTAGCTGGGTGTGGTGGCTCGCGCCTGTAGTTCCAGCTACTCGGGAGGCTGAGGCAGAAGAATCGCTTGAACCCAGGAGGCAGAGGTTGCAGTCAGCTGAGATGGTGCCACTGCATTCCAGCCTGGGTGACAGAGCTAGACTCTGTCTCAAAAAAAACCCAAAAAAAACAAAACAACAACAACAACAACAAAACTAGACTTTAGGCTGTAATGTAGAATATTAGGTGTTGACTCCAAAACAAATTTGTTTTCATTGAACTTCAAAACGTATTTGTTATATGTTTGAAATTAAGTTATGTCTCTTGTTACCTAGCTCAAACACATATTTTTGATGCATTTTCTGCCCACAAATAATTGTCAGCAAAACAGAAAAGTTATATTCAAGTTAAATAGGCAATGCATCTTTATTGATTCAGAATACCTCTGGCATTAAGTCATATGCTGAAATGGCTCTCACTTCCAGCTTTGCTGAAGGCTTGCTCTTCTCCCTTAAGAGTATCTGTTCATATTAGTAAATAGCTATTGAAGCAACATTCTCAGTTGCAGCAGTTTGTTATTGTAATTCCCCCAGCTGCCTTATTGATTTGTTTTTCTACAATTGTTTGCCACTGCCACATACAGTTGAACATGCAAAATAACTATTTTAAAATCCACTTTCAACATGGAACCACATTTGAACTAATTTTCCTGGTGGAGGCTGAAAAATCAACTGTTTAGAAGTGGATGTTAGGTGGGTCATTTCTGGTCTTTACATGAATTGTGTCAAACATGATCTTCTCAGTGAGGTTTACCTTACCCACTCTATTAAAAATTGCAACCCTTACCCTTACAAAACACCCCATACTACGTTTCTCTCTTTATTCTTCTCCTTAGCACTCATTGCTATCTAACATACTATAACATTTACCTATTTATTTTGTTCATTGCCTCCCCAACCAGAATGTGAGCCCACCAAGGCAAGAATTGCTCACTGTGGTATCCTCAAAGCCTAAAATTATGTCTCATATATAGTATAGACTCCTAGTAAATATTTGTTGAGTGAATGAAGTCAGAGTTATTCTTAACCTAGAGGCCAAGGGCAGGGCAGGACAGCTCTTTGAATAGCATTGTGAACTGGTTGGTGATGTTTTAATGCTCCTACATTTCTTAATAGATTTTCTAGGCTAAATAGTGGAGATGGAGTTGATTAATGTAAGCCTTCCTAGAGGTGTGTTTGGAAATGTGCTTTGAAAAGGAAGAAGGCCAGAGAATAGGGGAAAATAAAAGAAAGACCTCCCAAATTGAAGAAATACTATTCTCCAGAGTGGGGATAATTAGCTTAGCTAAAGGGGACAGTCCTTATTCAGCAGTACTCAGAAATTAGAATAGGAGGATTGTTGTTAGTCAAGGGCCCTGAAGGCCAGAGAAAGGGGTTTGAAGTTGACATCCCAGGAAGCAATAACTATAGGAATACAATCAGCAGATGCCAAGGTTCCTGCTACTTTGTAGCTGTGTGACATTTTACAAGTTACTAACAATCTCTGTGTGCTTCAATTCTCTCATCTGTAAAATGGAGACAAAAATAGTATAGTGTCTACCTCCTAGCATTGTAAGAATCGAGATGATACTGGCAAAGTACTTGACACAGTGCCTGGCATATACTGAACACTTAATGGATTTTACCTACTATTATCATCATCATTATAATGTTGTGAGTCTTCTCATAATTTATTATATTATGAGTATTTTATATTTTCTAGTCAAAACTGTTGTTGCTTTAGAGTCACTCTTTAGAGAGTTGCTTTGGTTGAAAATATTGTTGGGTGGAATTGGGGTGAGTGTTAGTTCATGAGCAACAATCATGAATCACTTTTATGGGGCTACCCATATGAATTCTGACATCAGTAACTATAGGATGCAGTGGATTCTGAATAGCTTCCTGGATTCTGGACAGCCTGGGCAATGGGCGGAATCGGGAGGCGAAGGCAGATTATCTGAAATTTTTAAATTTTGGCACTGAAGATGAGCTCTGCATATAGACTACTATATTATCACCTTTTTATAGAGAGAATTACCTGAGTGTAATCCTCACACGTAATGATTTTAGCAAGTAGCCAATGAAGGAAAAGTTGTGGAGTTGGTAGATGAAGTGAAACCATCATTGTCATTTGAGGTCTTGGTCACAAGATATGAAGTTTCTTAGTACTACATGTCTTAATCCATTTGAACTGCTACAACAAAATATCTTAGACAGAGTAACTTATAAACAACAGAAATTATTTTTTACAGCTTTGAGTCTGGGGAGTCCAAGATCAAGGTGCCGGTGGTGTCTTTGGAGGGCCCACTTTCTCATAGATGACACCTTCTCGCTGTGTCCTCCCATGGTGGAAGTGGTGAGGGGTTGCCTCTCAGGTCTCTTTTACAAGAGCACTCATCCCATTCGTGAGAGTACCACTCTGATGGGGTCCGAAAGACCCTACCACCTGCTAATAACATCACCTTGGGGGCTAGGAGTTCAACAGATGAATTTCAAGGGGACACAAACATTGAGAACGTAGCGCCACGTGTGGCAGACAAGGAAGAGGGAGCCAGAACCCAGGACAAGTCTGTTCACCAGGACAGTGCAGGATACCTAGGGCAGGCAGCACTTAATTACATTACTCAACTCAATCAGTTAGGTCATCATGGAGTAGTTCTGTCCACATGCTGTAAGGGCCCTGGCTCCTGGACTAGGATTTGATTCTTGGGAGAAAGCTGGGCAAAAGCAAGCTGAGAAAATCACTCTATGGATCAGGAGGTCATATGACTGAGAAGGAGAGCACATATACAGATTGTTGGTGATTATCCACTTTAAGTTGCCAGATGGACTGTGAAAGACAAGTATGATTTGGACATGTGGGATTGTTTGTGGGGAGAACAGAATTCAAGTCAAAGGGAATAAGGTAGGGAAATAAATGAAGCTGAGAAGGTATAGAGTAGCTGAAATGAAGGGGTAGGTTAGTGGTGTGATATAAGGCTGGAAAGGTAGTTTGGGGCCATTTTGTGAATGGCCCCAAATGCCAAATTAAAGAGTTTTAGGATTAATTCAAAATAATGGGAAACTATTGAAAGTTCTGGAGCAGGAGAGTAATATACTTAAAGATGTGCGTTGGAAGAATTAATTTGTTGGCAATTAGGTGGATGGGTTTCAGGGATGTTAACTTGGAGATGAGGAAACTAGTTAGGAGGTGATCGCTAATTGGACAGGAGGAAATTTAGGACAAAACTGGGGTTGTGGTAGTGGGAATGGAGATGAAAGGACAAAGCCAAAGCATTTAGATGCTCAATTTGGCAGAAAGTGACATCTGAATGGCATTAGAATGAAAGCTCTAGTACAGCAGGGATTTTTGTCTGTCATATTCACTGCTGTATCCCAAGCACCTGGAATAGTCCTTGGTACATAGTTGGTGCTCAATAAATAGTTTTTGAATGGTGCCTAGACATTGTGCAACTTCTATACACTAACCTGTGGTGTGTGTTTGCACACCTGACTCCTGAAACCCAGCTCATCTTTCACACTAGCTCCAAGCCCTACCTCCCATGGTAATGCACCCAATTCCTGCTCCTCTATTCATACTCATGACCCACTAATACTTACAGTCTTAATGATGATAGCATCTTGAGTTCAGCTTTTCTCCATTCTTCCCTTTCCAATGTTTTAGCTATATAGTTTAGATAACAAAAATATTTGTTTAGGACCCAGAGAAGACACTGTGCAAGGACTGCCAAAGAAAGAGTTGTGTTGTTTCCATGGATCAAGTTGAAAAGAGAGCAAGAGTATATTTGGAGGGTCTGCACTATAGGAATGAAATGGGCAAGGTTTTCGCTGTGTAATGACTTGGACAACAGCTAACAATTTGGTGTTAAACACTAATTTAATAAAAATTCCCTCTAATAGGTAGACTCCATTTTAAAAATTAATTTTTAAAAGTCCACTTTTGCTTATTTGGATACTCTGTAAACTTGAAATAAGTTCAGTTATTTACACAGCTTTTGAAAATATTACCACATTCTGGTTTCATAACAGTAGAATAGAAAAACAGTTTTAGATCTTAGTTTTGAAAAATACCTGATTTTCCAGGCAGCCAAATGCAACCAAAGAAAGAGATACCAGTAAGTTCAATTACATTGCATGTTTGAGACCACTGAGAAACTCGGAGCAACCGAAGTGAATTAAAAGAAACCAAGAGAGCCAAACAAAATGCTTACCAGTTCGGTATCAAGAAAAGCTTTACAATCATGCTTGTAATTCTAGCTTTTAGAGTCAGAAGGAATTACAGGTAAAATTTCAGGTAGCTTTGAGACTTTTAGAAATAGCTTGTGTTATTTTAAAGACCATACTCATATAACATCCTTGTATAAGACCTTTCATCTTGAGGAAGCTTAAGAAATGCTGGGCTCCAGTTTCCCACAGTGCCTTTTTAGTAGTAAGTTAGATACATCAGAAAGCGAAGATATACAGTCAGCCTACTAGGGACAATTTATTGCATAGCTGTAGAGAAATAAGATTCATCTAATTCACTCAAAACCTTCTTCCAGGTAGATAGATTTTGCCAATTTGGTTGAGTACATTTTTGAACTTTTCAAGTGTCACTTTTGGTCCTATTCCTTAAACCCAAACACTCTCCTTGGGATTTTAGGGGCTGAGGGCCTGGCCTCACAGAGTTATGAGAAAGGCCATTTAGCTTGGGCTTACTCAATGTTAAAAGAAGATTTGCAGTTAGTTAGCTGAGATTGTGTCTAATGTGAAGACAAGTAAAGCAAATAACTCTAGCCTCTTAAAGTCCACTTGGATGCACCAATCTATGTGGGTTGATTGCCTACACTGATCAAATATACCAGAAAATTGCCAGTTCCCTTTTGTCACTTCTAAATTGGAAAGGCCATTTGACATAGTCTAATCTAGTTAGTAGGTTCCTATTAGGTAGGATCTCAAAGGAATATCGTAACCAGCCTTAATTGCAGTGAACTTCAAGAATGACAGGGTGATGGAAAAGCTTGGGCCTGTGTCTTCACTTATGGTGGCATTTTTTTTTTCTCAAATATATCAGTGAGGCACAGTAAATAATCCTGCCATGTTCTTGTGATTATTCCACCTTTTAGATGAGCCACAGTTGGTGGTTTCACTGAAAGGTAATTAGATTGGTCTCAGGTATCACCATAGTAAGTGAATTCTGAATTTATTCTCACCAGTCATTTCTTGGAAGGCAATAACCATATAGGTCATGACTAGTAAATTACTGTCAGATAAACAAAAGTGACTAATTATCCAGGTTTCCTCAGGACTCAGGGGTTTCCTAGGATGTAGAACTCACAGTGCTAAAACCAGGACAGTTCTGGGCATAGTTGGTCACCCTAAAAGTTCAATCTTGAGCATTCACTAATTAAGACCATATAGCATAGTTGTTGTAGGCACATACTTAAATCTGGTTCTACCACTTAATACCTGTATAAGGTTCAGAATATCTTTGATGTTTAAATTCCTCGTGTATAAAATTTGCATAGTATTAGAACCTACCTCAAGGAGTAGCTGTGATGATTAACTGAACTAATAATATTGCATCAAGCTCAATGCTTGGCACACATAGGTGCTTAATACATGTTAGAAATTATTTAAATTAGGCTGGGTGTGGTGGCTCGCGCCTGTAATCCCAGCACTTTGGGAGGCTGAGGTGGGCAGATCACGAGGTCAGGAGTTCGAGACCAGCCTGACCAACATGGTGAAACCCCGTCTCTACTAAAAATACAAAAATTAGCCGGGCGTGCTGGCATGCACCTGTAATCTCAGCTACTCAGGAGGCTGAGGCAGGAGAATTGCGTGAACCTGGGAGGTGGAGTTTGCAGTGAGCCAAGATTGCGCCACTGCACTCTAGCCTGGGCAACAGAGCTAGTCTCCATCTCAAAAAAAAAAAAAAAGAAGAAATTATTTAAATTAGCTATTATTAGGCTTGCAGGCAAGATGTTGCAGTTGTGAAGGGCAGAGGTAGGGGCCAGACAATATCCTGTGTATAGGCAGCTCAAGTAAAGGATTAAAACTGATGGTCTGCCACTTTTATTCTAAGCATATAGAATTACAGCAATAAATATTAAAAATACATAGCTAAGTTTAAAAACAACAAAGTGATCTTCTAAGTATCATAAAGAAAGAGAAATCACAGAGCCATAAGGGAAGCTGTGGGGGCTAAAGGAATGAATATAGGCCTAAAGGGCTGAGATTTTAAATATTCAAATGGGAGTACAGGGTGTGCAGTACATGCCAGAGAGCTAAAACTGGCCTTCTTGCTTAGAACTTGGTGCTGAAAAAGCTTTGCACCATCCATGAATGGTATTTGGGCCTACATGGGTGTGAGATCCTAATTGGCACTGCACACATAATGGGGAATCACTGAATCAAAAGTTAACCTAAAATCTAGTTTGAAACTATGAATTTCATATATTCTTGGCAGAGGCAAACAAAATGGTCCCATTGGGAGCCTAGCACAGAGGCACATGAAGGACTTCTAAAAATATAACTTCTACTAAAGATGACCTTGCAAACAAAAATTATAAAACATATGGAAATATCTGAGGCCAAAACACTCCAGACACTGATCAAATGGAAATTCATACCTGAGTAAATAGAGATAGTAGGGTATTCTAAATGAGGATGTAAAATAAGAACTTTTATAATGTTAAAATTGAGGAAGGAATAGAGTCCATTAAATAGGAATGGATACTATTAATGAATATTGGTAAGATTTTTTGTTAAGGATCAAGTAGAAATATTGGAAATGAAAACAAGTCATTGAGTATTTTTGCTTCTAGGCATTGTAGAGAAACTAGTAGCAGACTTGTGCATCTACTGTACACAGCTAGGAAAGTGGACAAATATACGAGGCAATTGTTTCCAGGTATCAGCTAATAAGGAGTGTAAGAGAGTGATCTCCAAGAACACTGAAACTTATAATAGGGTGAGTCCCATGGTCACTCTGGTTACTTATCTGGGGACAATTTCCTGAACACAGCACAGGGAAGAGGATCCCAAATGGAATATGACAATACTCTTGAGCTGATGAGGTAGAGATTAAATTTTGGGGCTATTGAGGCAGATGAAAATTGCAGAGTAGAGTACCAAAGAGGAATGAGCTGCACAGAAAGAGTTCCCATAAATTTATTGAGAGGTGTTTCTACGTATGTCTTTGGCAAAAGTTTTGTTTTTACATGTATAGAGTGAGACTCCATAAGACTGAGCTACAGCAAGTTTGAGAGTTGAATGAAGATACTAGAGGTAGCACAGTCCTGGGGAGTGTTGAAGAATTGGACCAGTCAGGGTGAAGAGACCTCATTGATATCCTAGGCATTTAGCTGGGGCTCAAGAAAAAACAAAACTTAGGAGTAAGGACCACATTTTAGAGTAATCGCCAATCTAGCATCACCCTAATAAAGCCTAAAACCAATCCTTGACAGGGTCAAGAATAGCTGACAATGAATTAACTGCTTGCTAGAGCAAAACCCAAGAAGAGCCAATTAAACTTGAACTAAGTAAAATTTAAAAAATAATAAAGATTAGAGCAGAAACCAATGATGTAGAAATTAGATAAATAATAAAAAATTAATAAAGCAAAATGTTTGCTCCTTGAAATGATTAATAAAATTGATAAACCCATAGCAAGACCAATTAGGAAAACAGAAAATACAAATTGGAGCAATCTTTGTCACTAAAGAATCTACAAACATTAAAATGATAATAAGGGAATATTACAAACAAGTTTAGGCCAATATATTTGACAAAATAGATTAAATGGGCAAATTCCTTGAAATAAGCAACTTGCTAAAACTAACCCAAGGATGAATAGAAAAATCCAAATAGATATCTATTAAATACATTGAATTCATAATGAAAAACCTTTCTTCAAAGAGAACCCCAAGCCAAGATAGTGAATTTTATTAAATATTTATGGGAGAAATCATATCACTCTCATTCAAACACTGTCAGAAAACAGAGACCATCATAACCCTGACATCAAAATTAGATTAATATGTGAAGAAAATTACAAACCAATATCCCTCATAATCATAGGCACAAAAATCCTTAAGACAATATTAGCAAATCAGATGCAGCAATATATAAAATGGATAACACATCATCACCAAGTGGGGTTTACCCCAGAAATGTGAAATTGCTTTAACATTAAAAAAATCAATATAACTTAGTACATTAAAGACCAAAGGATAAAAAACCTACAATAATCTCAATGAAGAATAATCATTTGGTAAAAACCAATATTTATTTATGAATATATATATTATCTATATACACACACACAAATTATGAAAAGGAAGTAAATTCCTCAATTTGATAAAGGCCTTCTACACAAAAAAGACAGTTAATGTCCTACAAAATGGTGATATAGTAAATGCTTTCCCACTAAATTTATGAATAAGGTAAGGATTTTATTATTGGTTATAGACAGTGCAATGAGGCAAAATAGAAATAAAAGCAATACATATTAAGGAGAAAGATATGAAAATATCTTTATTCCTAGGCAACATGATTATGTACATAGGGAATCCTAAAGAATCTATAGAAAGACTACGAAAATTAATAGATGCATTTTACAGGGATGCAAGATACAAAGTCAATATATGAAAATCAATTGTATGCTATGAACAAAATTTGGAAATTGTAATTAAATAAAATAGTACCATTTATGATAGTAACAAAATTATGAAATACTTAGGGATAAATTTAACAAAATATGTGCAAGATCTGGACAATGAAAACTAGAAAACATAGCTGAGACAAACCAAAGAGGACTTAAATAAACAGAGGGACATATTATTTGAATGCATCAGAAGAGTCAATATTGCTAAGATGTTCATTTTCCCTAATAGAACCATAGATTCAATGCAATCTCAAGAAAAAATTCAGCAGTGTTTTGGAGAAAATGGCAAAGTGATTTTGAAATTCATATGGAAATGCAAAGAACCTAGAATATCCAAAATAATTTTGAATAAGAACAAAGTTTGGTGATTGCTAGTGTTTCAAGACTATATTATAATGTTATAGTAGTCAAGTAAACATGATATCAGTATAAACATAGGCACACAGATTAATGAAACTGACTAGAGTCCAGAAATGGAGCCACACAATAAATGGGGCTGAGACAAATGAATATCCAATGATGAAAGAAAAATAAAATTAACCTCAACTCATATCTCGTTCCTTTTCTTTTCTTTCTCCTTTCCTTTCCTCTTTCCTTTCCTTTCCCCTTCCCTTCCCTTTTCCCTTCCCCCTTCCCCCTTTTCCTTTTCCTTTTCCCTTTCCCTTTCCCTTCTCCTTCTCCTTTTCCTTTTCCGTTTCCTTTTCCTTTTCCTTTTCCTTTCCTTTCCTTTCCTTTCTGTACAGAGTCTTACTCCATCGCCTTCAGGCTAGAGTGCAGTGGTGTGATCTCGGCTCACTGTAACCTCTGCCTCAGAGGTTCAAGCGGTTCTCCTGCCTCAGCCTCCCGAGTATCTGGGATTATAGGCACGCATCACCACTCCTGGCAAATTTTTGTATTTTTAGTAGAGATGGAGTTTCGCCATGTTGGCCAAGCTGGTCTTGAACTCCTGACCTCTTGAATGCCTGCCTCGGCCTCCCAAAGTGTTGGGATTACAGGCGTTAGCCACTGCACCAGGCTTCATACCTCATTTCATACAAAAAATTAACTTAAAGTGAATCATGGACCCAAATATAAAATATAAAAGCTAAATATAAAAATTCTAGCAGGAAATATAAAAGAAATTCTTCATTATCTTGGGGTAGGCAAAGAAGGTAGAAGCAGAAGGAATATTTCTAACACATTCTATAAGGCTAGCATTACCCTAGAACCAAAAGCAGACAAAAACATTACAAGAAATGAAAACTACAGACTAATACTTTTCAAGGATATAGTTGCAAACATCCTCAACAAAATATTAGCAAATAAAATACAACAGTATATAAAAAGAATTATATACCATGACCAACAGTGGTTGATTCCAGTTATGAAAGGCTAGTTCAACATTCAAAAAGAAATTAAGGTAATTCAACAATTCACATCAACAAGCTAAAGAAGAAAAATCTCATGATCATATCAATAGATACAGAAAATGCATTTGATAATCTAACTTCAATTCATGATAAAACTCTCAGAAAACTAGGAAGAAAAGAGAACTTCCCCAATTTGATAAAGATTAGCTATAAAAAACCTACAGCTAACATCATACTTAGTCATGAGAAACTGGATGCTTTCCCTCTAAGATCAGGATCAAGGCAAAAATGTCCCATCTCACCACTCCTGTTCAACACTGTATTGAAAGTCCTAACTAATGCAATAAGAAAAGAAATGATATACAGATTGAGAAGAAAGAAATAAAACTGTCAGTATTCACAGATGACATGATTGTCTATGTAGAAAATCTCAAAGAATTGACAAAAACAAACAAATAAACCTCCCATAACTAATAAATGATTATAGCAAGGTTGCAGGATACAAGGTTAATATAGAAAATTCAATTGCTTTCCTATATACTAGCAATGAACAATTGGGATTTGAAATTAGAAACACTAGACCATTTAATTAACTGAGAAAAATAAAATACTTAGGAATAAATCTAACAAAAATATGTACAAGGTCTATGAAAAAATTAGAAAACTCTGATGAAAGAAATCAAAGAAGATATAAATAACTGGAAAGGTATTTCATGTTCATAAAAAGGAGGACTCAATATTAGTTAGATGTCAACTTTCCCAAACTTGACTATAGATTCAGTGCAATCCCAGTCAAATCCCAGTGTTATTTTGTGGGTATTGATAAACTGATTCTAATGTTTCTACGGAAAGGCAAAAAGATCTATATTGGCCAACACAATATTGAAGCAGAAGAACAAAGTTGGAGGGCTGGCACTACCCAACTTCAAGACTTACTGTAAAGCTACAGCAATAAGACAGTGGCTTATTGGTGAAAGAATAGACAAATGGACCAATGGAACAGAATAGAAAGCCCACACAGAGACTTACACAAATACAGTCAACAAATCTTTGACAAAGGAGTGAAGGCAATCTAATGGGGGAAAGGATAGTCCAAAGAGACTAAATGGTTCTGGAACAACTGGATATCAAACATGCACACGAAAAAATCCAGATATAGACCTTACACCCTTCAGAAAAATTAACTCAAAATGAATCATAGATTTAAATGTAAAACACAAAACTGTAAAACTCCTAGAAGATAACATAGAAGAAAATCTAGATAACCTTGGGTCTGGCGATGACTCTCATTGATTGTGCCTTTGATAAAATATCTGAAAAAAGTTGATAAGTTAGACTTTCATTAAAATTAAAAAGTTCTACTCTGTGAAAGAAGCTAGGAAGAGAGTTAGAAGATAAGGCACAGACTGAAAAAAAATTTGCAAATATATATTTGATAAAGGACTGTTACTTTAAATGTACAAAGAACCCACAAAACTAAACAATAAGAAAATGAAAAACCCAATTAAAAAATGGGCAAAAGGTCTAAACAGACACCTCATCAAAGAAGATATACAGATGGCAAATTAAACTTATGAAAAGGTGCTCAAAATCAAATTTTACTAGGAAACTGCAAATTAAAACAATAGTGAGATACTACTACATGCATATTAGAGTGGTCAAAATCCCAAACACTGACACCACCAAATGCTGGTGAACATGTGGGGTAACAGGAATTCTCATTCACTGCTGGTGGGCATGCAAAATGGTACCCTCACTTTGGAAGGCAGTTTGGAAGTATCATACAAAGTTAAATACAAAAGTTGAAAATTTATGTGCATACAACAATCTGCACACAAATATTTGTAGCAGTTTTATTCATAATTACCAAAACTTCAGTAGGTGAATGGATTAAGTAAACTGTGATACTTCCAGACCATAGAATATTAGTTAACACTTAAAATAAATGAGCCGCCCAGCCATCAAAAGACATGGAAAAAACTTAAATCGATATTACTAAGTGAAAGAAGCCAATCTGAAAAGGCTACATACATATTCTATGAGTCTAACTATATGACATTCTGGAAAAGTCAGAACTATAAGGACAGTAAAAAGATTGGTGGTTGCCAGTGACTTGAGGGAATGAAGGGATAAAAAGTGGGGCACAAGGAAGTTTTAGGGCAATGAAACTATTCTGTATGATGCCATAATGATAGATATATGTCAATATACATTTGTCAAAACTCATACACTACAACACAAAGAGTGAAACAATGTAAACTATGGATTTGTGTTGATAGTATGGTCTCAGTGTAGGTTCATTGATTGTAGCAAGTGATATTGATGCTGGGGAGGTTAGAGAAGGGAGTGAGATATCTGTGTACTTTTCACTCAATTTTCTTCTTTTATTTTATTTTATTTTATTTTATTTTATTTTATTATTTTATTTTATTTTTGAGACAGAGTCTCACTCTGTCACCCAGGCTGGAGCACAGTGGTGTGATCTTGGCTCACTGCAACCTCCGCCTCCCGGGTTCAAACGATTCTCCTGCCTCAGCCTCCTGAGTAGCTGGGATTACAGGCACACACCACCACGCTCAGCTAATTTTTGTATTTTTAGTAGAGACAGGGTTTTGCCATGTTGGCCAGGCTGGTCTTGAGCTCCTGACCTAAGGTGATCCACCCGCTTCGGCCTCCTAGTATTTCTATGTGAACCTAAAATTGCTCTAAAAAATGAAGTTTATTATTTTTTTGAAAAAGGATTTGAGGCACAACTACTTTAAAGAGAGAAAGAGAACTTCAATTCATACCTCACTTCATACACAAAATTAACTTAAAGTGGATCATGGACCTAAATGTAAAAGCTAAATGTAGAAATTATAGAATAAAATATACAAGAAAGTCTTCAAGATCTTGCAGATGATAAAGGTTTCTTTAGATACACAAAAAGCAATAACCATAAATTTTTTTAAATGATAAGTTGCACTTGTTAAATTAGTCAGGGTTATCCAGAGAAATAGACCAATAGGATGGGTAGGATGAGTGGATTACACACACACACACACACACACACACACACACACACATTGAATTAATTCACACAATTATGGAGGCTGACAAGTTCCAAGATCTGTAGTTGGCAAGCTGGAGATACTGAGTCATTCCAGTCCAAAGGCTGGCAGGCTTGGGATCCAGGAAGAACCCATGTTTCAGTTTTTAGTCTGAAGGCAGGGAAAAAACTGATGTCTCAACTCAAACAGTCAGGCAGAGGAGTTCCCTCTTGCTCAGCCTTTTTGTTCTATTCAGGGCCACAAATGATTGGATGAACTCACTCACATTAAGGAGGGCAATCTGCTTTACTGAATTCGCCTATTCTAATATTAACCCCATCCAGAAACACCGGGAACGATGTTTGGCCAAATGTTTGGGCAAGCATCAGTGCCCCAGGCACCCTGATGAGATTAATATTTTCATTTTATTTCAATTTGTGAAAGAAAGAGCTTTGGTTTTCTTCATAATGGCCACTTGTTCTGCCTAAGCACAAGACTGGCTGCTGGACTGGTTCCTCTGCACTGTACAATATCTTAAGGCCCTTTTTCATTTACATTGAAATGGTGAAGAGGCTGTGCTAGAGGAAGTGTAGCCAGTCAGCAGAGCCCCATATTCAGTGAATTCTGTCAGATAGTTTATTTGAATTTCCTCTGATCTGCATTGTATGGTAGCTGTGGTAATCTCTCCATGATGTAGGGCTTTTACTAGGCTTTGAGCTCCTCTTCCTTCTATTTTAGATCTACAACCCTTTCACTGCTAATTAATATATCTTAAGGAAAGGCCAGGAAAAGGAGCTGCAATTTGCAGGAGCTAGTATTGCTTCTTGTGAGCAACTCTTGGGTGGTACATGGGGAGGTTGAAAGTTTGGCAGGCTAATTTTAAATTTTTAAAGCAACTGCAACCTTCAATTATCCAAGCTCTGAATGGAGCCTCCATAGATTTTGTGCCATGTCCTCAGTGGCAGCCCACAGTAGCTGCTGCTTTATTTATTTTAAAACTTACTATGGCCTTTTCTTAATCTAAAGAGGAAAGACAAACATCACATATTCACATCATTAGAAGTGTAACTTTTCCTCCAATAAAACATGAGATTGGCATGTCAGGAATGCAGATGTTTGTCAGTATCTGTGGATTCCAGCCTTTCTCACGGTCTCCTTGCTAATTGTTCTGCCAGGCAGCTTTGACTTTTACAAACGAAACCTGATCTGTGTTTCACTGCTCTTTTTCACAAAATTCAATCTCAAAGAATAAAATAACTAAGGTGCCCTTAAAGGATATATGGAAGGAAAAAAGAAAAACCCTAAATCAATAGAAATTGAATTAGAGGTTGAAATCTTGGGGGTAAAATTACATTTAAATGATTGGAATTCTTTTCTTTTTATGAGATAATAAAATTAGGCTCCTTAGTAACTATTTCTTGGGATTAAATGAATGGCCTTAGAATACTAAGGGGGCTAATCTGTAGTGATTATGGGACTCAAGGCTGTTGCTACAGCTACAGAAAAAATCCTTGACTATATTTTCTGAGTAAACAAATAAGTTACTGGTAGCTTAACAAAACTGATGGATCAATCTTAGTCAGAAAGAAAATTATGTGAATTTGTGTAGAAAGCCTGCAAACATCTAGATGAAAAAAAAGAATTAGTTAAATCAACCATTCGTATGTTTATATTTCCATGGTACCAAGCATCAGGAACTGGAAAACAACTGAATAATTGATTCAGTTTTAGATGTTTTACCTGGGTGCCTCTGCAAACATTGTAAATCTTTTAAGGATAGTTATTATGCTTGGATACTTCCTTTCTCTTCCACAAAATGCCTACCATTATCGCGTCCTGCAATAACTGCTTGATTAAATGGTTGGTAGGATGTTGTTAGTCTGTATAAATAATTTACATTTATATCAGTCTGAAAAGCTACCTGTGACAAAGATGCCTAACTGACCCCAAAGATTCCTGCTGCCATTTCACATTGGAGGGTTGCTGTTGAATAGCAGCTATCTAGCCAGGAACTGCATATCCCCACCCCCTTCACATTTAGATGGGGCTATATGACTAATTCTAATCGAACTTTAGAGGAATTGCTTTGTGTTGTTTTATGCCTAAGTAGTTAAGAAGCAGTGACTTTAGTCTATTTCTTCATCTACTGGCTGAATAGAGAAAATTCCAAGCTCCCCCAGGAGGGCAGAGGCATGAGATGGAAGGATTTGGGTTCTTGATGTCGATGCGGAAGCCCTTCATATCCAGAAACATTCACATTGAACTGTGAAATACTTTTACTGCGTTATGACACTGAGAGTTTTGAGCTTATTAGAGCAACTAGTGATATCTTAACACACTGTGAATTTTAGTGTCTGTGGGCTGGAATGATCACGTGGAGGCCACTTATATTGAGTCTCCATGGTATCAACAGACTGAGAAAGTGGTAACTACATTTTGATAGGTCTCACAGCCTCACAAGGGAACTGTGTTGGATATCTTCTATTTGCCATTTCCAAATCCAGTCTTTTCCCCATTCTTTCCTGCTCTCTGGCCTTCATAATCTGAACTATACTGATTACATCAACCAGCTCCTTTGCCCTCTGGCATCTGGCTGAGTTTGGCTAATGGGACGCTCCCACAGGAGGTCAGAGGGAAGGATGAGAATGAGTTCAGGGTATTGATTCCTTTGGTTCTCTTGCTATGAGTTTTCCTTGGGATGGCTGTGTCCCTCAACCAAAGGTCACTGCTTCTCTCAAGGCAGCCTTCTCTGAACCACTTTCTTCTAACTTTAGTAACCATTCTTCCCTGTTGTCTCTTCAGATCTAAGTCTGATAACAGCTTTGCTGCTAATAGCTCTGAGTTATTGCACTGTCCATTGTGTGTCCCCTATGTTTCATTTACTTTCATATAGTCTCTTATCGCAACTCCCCTGAAATTCTCCTAACTTGAATGTGTCATCGGTTTCTTTTTGGGACCCTAACTAATACAGGGAACCAGAATTTGATGCTCACAAGACAGTTTTTGGTAGTCAATATGAATGGGGCCCTTTGAATCTGCCAGTCCCACCCAATTCTGGTTATGTGCACATTTTTGTAGGGCTTCTCATTTTTTCTCGTCTCAGTAGCTATAGTGATTGAAGATAGTATTTTTGCTCTATCGTTGGGATCTGAGGTTATAGCTTAAACAAGTTGGCTACAAGTTGGACATTTCTTCAAAATGTTATGTATGTGCATTTTGTTTTCTGCTATCTATCTATGCTTTAAAGATATGGAGCATAGTAGTTAAGAATATTTGGCATCAGTTGCCAGGCTTCAAGTTAGGATTCAAGTTAGGCTACCTCTATTGTTTATTAGCTATGTTACCTTGGACAAGTTACTTAGTCTCTGTAAGTCTCAGTTTCTCACCATTAAAGTGGAAATAATCATATTACCTACTTCATGGGGTTGTATTGAAGCCTAAATGACTGATTTATAGTAGATATTCAGTAAATTTTAGCTCCATTATATGCTTCACTAAAATCGATGTTCCATGAAGAGGAGCCTTGTTTAGTCTCTGACTTTATATACTGTCATCATACAATCACACAAGTCACAGTTTGAGAAGCATGAATACATTTTCATGATGTCTAAAGTTGTTTAAGAAAAGCAGCTGTAAGGGCCAAATTGCTGATATTTGATTTCTCAGAAGACAGGAAGGAAGGAAGGGAAGGAAGGTAGGCAGGCAAGCAGGAAGGAAGGAAGGAAGGAAGGAAGGGAGGGAGGGAGGGAGAGAGGAGGGTGAGAGAGGAGACAGAGAGAGAGAGAGAGAGAGAGAAATCTCAAAGTGGCTGAATAACATAGCAATTAAGAACATAAACTTGGTTCAAATCCTGTCTCTGATGCTTATCAAAAATGTGACCTTGGGAAAGTTAATTGACCTCTATGTAACCCCTGTTTTCATCTGTAAAATGGGGGATAGTAATGATATCTGTCTCATAGAATTGCTATAAAGATAAGACGAGTTAGCAAATGTAAAATGCCTACAACAATGCCTGGAACGCTGTAAGCATTATATAATTGTTGATTATTTCCTTGGATAAATTCAGAACCTAGTTGTAGTTCCTTATACTTAATTTCTATTTTGAATTACTTATGGAGTGGGGGCATTATGGGCACTGTATGTTTTTCAAGTGCTTTGTGTCATTGAAGAAAATTTTATTTAGACATTGCCCTGCTTCACAGTGTGTTGCTTGTTTGGAATACACTCCCTAGACAACCTCCGCCCTCTTAAGAGTAGCCCACCACATGCTTCTTCCTATTTAGAGGCAAAATTATCAAAGCCAACCTCAAACTTTCCCACACGTTAGTTGCTCTTTCTTCCTGGGCTTTCACGGCACTCTATTTACCACATTGTGTATGTGGATATTTCATTCACTAACCCAAGAGCTCTTGTCTACATCTTTGTAACTCCCAGTGTCTTGTACATGGTAGCCTTTCAATAAACATTGGTTGAATTGAAGCATGCATTCAGTTACAGTCAATGCAATGGTCTCATTTCACTTTAATTTTTGCCACAACCATGCAAAATAGGTATTAGTATTCCACTTTATAGATGAGGAACTGCAGATCAGAGGGCTAAGTGACATGCCTAGATTTACATAAGAAAACAAGTAGTAGATCTGGGGTAGAACTCAAGTATGCCCATCCATTTTCAAGTCAATGGCTAACCTATTTTAAAAAGTAAACACTATGGCAGTGTATTAGTCCGTTCTCACACTGCTATAGACACTACCTGAGACTGGGTAATTAATAAACAAAAGAGGTTTAATTGACTCACAGTTCCATATGGCTGGGGAGGCCTCAGGAAACTTACAATCACAGTGGAAGGTGAAGTGGAAGCAGGTACCTCTTCATAAGGTGGCAGGAGAGAGAAGCAAGCAAAAGAGGAACTTGCCAAACACTTACAAAACCATCAGATCTCATGAGAACTCACTCACTATCATGAGAACAGCATGGGGGAAACCGCCTCCACGATCTAATCACCTCTCTCCCTTGAGATGTGGGGATTACAGGTCCCTGCTTCCACGCATGGGGATTACAAGTCAAGATGAGATTTGGGTGGGGACACAGAGCTGAACCATATCAGGTAATGCAGAAGGACTTTTTGTTGTCAAGACCAGATCTCTGTTGCCACAAATTAGGCTCATTTTCTCTCATAGAATAATGAGAAATTTAATGTATAATAAATCATATAGTCTTTATAGTAATTTCCAAGTGTTCTACTAGTTAATTCCTGGCTAGCAGGTAGAATAAATCCTAAATCGTTTCTGGTCTATTCAGCCAAAATAGTTGACTATTTTTTGTGAACATGGTCTTGGTATAAGGAGAGCCATATTTGAAACACCGTTCATAACATATATCAGCATGCCTTTGATTGTGCAAATGAGTTTGCAATAGATGGAGTCTCTTTATATTAAGGCCTACTCTACAGGCACATGATTAAACTGAGTGTATTTGAAATGTCTTAGTGTTTCTAAGTTGTCCCAGCTTATGCAGATGGCTCCATAAACCAAGAGAGTTGAATTTCTAGTTCTCTGTCATTGAGGGATCATGGGCTTGGGTTAATGAATTGGAGTCACCAATTTTCCATCATGTCTGATTCATGAGCTCTGTCTAGATTGTTTCAGGCCTTCCTTATTTACCAAGGAGACTGTCTTCTGCTCACACAACAAAAGAGAGAAAACCTAATGAAAACTATGTGGAAAGTGAGGAGTTGTTTCTTCTTCAGATTTATTTTGGCTGTAGAGTACATGCACATGCTTGAGGGTGTGTTTTTGTAAACTTCCCTTCCCCTCCATCCCTAAGTTACTTAGCTGGCTTACCCCATGATTGTGACTAAGTTGGAACAGTCCGCTTGGGTGTGCCTTTCTCTTTCTGGAGAAAGTAAAGTAGTAACAGGATCAGATCATTTTGACTTGAGGGAGACTGCAGTTGGGGTCGTTCTCACATTGTAACTCCTTCTCCTTGGTATAGCAAATCCTTTGTCTCCTAAGAGCCTTCACCTTTGAGTGTTTGCTAGGATATCAGAAGACAGTGAGAAACAGAAGTTTTTGTTTTCACAGGGACTAATGTTGGATTCTACAAACTTTGGCTGCATGTCTAGGATCCAGTTGTTATTTGTAGGGCACAGTTGAAAATATGTCCCAATAGAAAAATCTCTAAGCATATGTACATGTTTCTTCACCCATATACATCTATTTTGTATTTTAAATGTGGTTTGGAGTTGGTCTGCATACTTATTAGTCGCTAAGAACCCTGAAGAAGAAAGTATAACATTTGTACATTCACAGAAGTTTAAGAAAAACTCAACAGTTTAATTCACACCTCAAAAGGAGTTCTTTTAATGACTGTTAGTTACTCCTTTGGCTATTATAACTATAATCTACATTTTCAAATCTCCCTGTAGGCCTCAGTGCCCTGTGCCAGGGTCCCAGATACTCTCAGGTTTTTTCTTGCCCAAGTTCTTTCAATAAGGGGAAGTCAGACTTTGTTTCCAAGCTTCCTTGAGGTAATTTTCCTTCTTTACTTTTCTTTCACCTAAATTTTTTTCCTTCCAGAATTGGACCTATGGATAAGTAAAGGAAGTAGTTTTCTGCTGTGATTTCAGAAGTACCATGTGAGGCACTGACCAGAGAGTCCCACACAAGGATTTCCAACTGATCAATCTCAACCTCCATTGTAAGAGCCAGACCTACTTTCTGAGATTCTTTCTTTCTTTGCAGCAGCAGGGCCCAAAGTTTCTGTCTGCTTCCCTTTCCTCCATAGCTGACTTACTTGGACTCTTTCTGCCCAAACTTGATTGCAGAGTGACTAGCAATCTTCCTGGTGCCTCACCTCTGCTGCTGTTTCTAACGATAAGTCTATAGTCCATTTGGGGGTCCAGAGCAGAGGTCTGTGAACTATGCTTCACTGTCTAAATTTGAGGCCACTACTTATTTTTGCAAATAAAGTTTTATTAGAATACAGTCACACTCACTGGTTTATTTGCTATGATTGCTTTTGCATTATAATGGCAGAGGTGAGCAGTTGTATAAAGACTTTGATAGTCTACAATGTCTGAAATATTTACTGTTTGTCACTTAGAAAGTTTGCTGATCCTCGCTCTAGAGGTTTGAAGGCTAATCGCTACAGGAGAATAAGCAGGGGCATAGGAAGGCTAATCACTGCAGGAGAACAGACATGGGCCAGCACAAATAGCAAACATGGAGCCAAGTTGTAAAATTTAGAATTTCTTATGTCACGGTTTCTGATAAACAGTTTCTGACTCCTAAAATAGCAAATCCAAATCCAGATGGGCTTCAGCTGGCTGCTTTCAATTCTGCAGGTGAGCCTCACCCACTACTCCATATCTTTGTTTTCTCTCAGAGGTTAGGATGAGCAGGCAGATTCAGTTCTATAAAAATCCATATTCCCAGAATATAGTCTCAAATTGCAATCTAGGTAAAACATTCACATTACACAAAGTAGGTAATTTGTGTCTCTGGGACTCCTAGACTTGGTAACACTTAGGCTTTTTCTTACTTTCTGCACCTTCCCCTCAAATCCATCCAGAAATACATTTACATATATTTACATAGTTATTTCTTTTATTAGATTAAAATGTAAGAGTGCTCTGGAAAAGGTTGACATAGTTAGCCAATAATACCTTGGTTTGATTCTTTTTATTAGTTTCCTGTCAGAGGGCAGGACTCTGAGTATCACATGCTGTTTGCTTTCAAGTCTCTGTTGTCTCTCCTTCCCAGAACTGAAGCTGCTTGACTCCTTCCAGCAGGCTTCAGCTCTACCCATTCTCTGGGACCAATCCTGACTATGGTCAGAAAGGACCAACAGTCACCTAGTCTAATGTTCTGGAAAAGGGTATTAGGTTAATCTTGTTTTAGGCGAGACCTGACTTTGTGTTCCAGCTCTGTTATCTTCCCTTCAGCCTTGTTTCCTGATTGTTCATTTTGTCTTAACGATCTAGTGCCCAGTTCCACTTTGTCTATGTCCTCTTGGCATAGGAATCCTGTCACATACACATTGCCCAGTGGTTGGGGCCCTGCTATTTGCCAACATATTGCCTGGATGTTGACTTTCTACTTAGATTTTCAAGTGTCACTCATCTCTGGATAACCAGTTGCTGTATTCTGTTCAGCCATGGGGATACCCATTATTTCATTTTCTATCCCTCAATGCCAACTACTGGAACATTAAACAAATGGTTGTTGAGGCCCTGAAGAATGAGGTTTTTGCTCTCATTTTTGCTCTCTCGTTCTTAGAAGCCAACAATGATTCAATATTTGGGACGTCTGTGTCCCTAATGGATATCTCTGGGCCTCCCCACAGTGGATGAGAGCCTTGGAGATCCAAGAACACCAACCTTGGCTGAGGAAAGAAGTATCATATAGTCCATGAAAGCTCATAGAAACTTTGACTCATCTGACCTTTTTGTGGCTGACTAACGTGATTTTCATGGCTATTTAAAAATTTCTTCTGTTTACATTCTTAGTATAATTTTTGCTTGCCTTTCTCCCTTTCTTTTAACTTTTCTTTTTTTGATATTTGTGCACTTTGACTCTGATAACTGAGAAATACGGTGAAGACTTCTGCATGAGGCTTTACCCTCTCGGATGGGTTAACCCTTGCATGAGTAGTAGGGTTTTAACTTGGAAGCCCAAAGAGGTCAACCTACAGCCCTAATATCTGCAGAATCTTAACCATGGTATCCAGAAAAGGTAGTAGGAACAGGAGACAGAACCCTGGTTGGAGAACAAGAACCATATTTTGTCTTTTAATAAAGCAGTGCTTAACACAATTCCTGGTGTAGATTATGTATTCAGGAAAGCATCTGTTAAATGAATGAATAACTGTATAAAATTTTAAAATACTGGTTTAGCCCGTTCTTCCAGTTAATATCTGTAGGTTGTCGTTAGCAGTGGGTTTTTTTTTTTTAAATCAGGGTAGGGGGAGGTACAATACTCATCTGACCAACATAATTAATCTTTATCCCTGTATTTCCCCAACACAGCCTGTGATAAAACACAGCCTGTGCAATTAAACATTTGAATTTCTTCCTAAAAGAGAGTTGTTTTAAGCCATACCAAACCTGAAAACTTTGACATGAGGTGACAGCTTATATTTATAGCATTCAATAAAATTCCCTGCTCTAGAGGACATCTCTTCCCATAAAGACTCAGATGACATGAGGGTGAACTAAGACAGTAATAAATAAAAACTAGCTTGTGTTTTCAACATAGCTCGAGTTCGTAAGGCACAGTGTGCCTGGCGTTGCCAGATGGATCAACCCTACAGTAGTGCACTGTTTCTGATTCCTATCAGCTACACCTAGTGTGTTGTAGCTGTGGTGCAGCTCAGAGCAGGTGGAAAAAAATTTCCTTCTGTCTGTTCAGACATCATCTCAGCCAGATTTAAGGTGCAGTGACTCTTTATCATCTTGGCTTTTTTGAGCTATTGATCCTTTCTTTATAGATGAGAAAACAGACACAGAGATGTAAAGTGATTAATTAATTAGTCACCTAGCTATATCAGGGACTAAACTTGAATATGACTTTCCTGGTTCTCCAGTTCAGAGTTCTTTTATTCCCCAGGCTGCCATCCTGACTGTGGTGACACCGCTTATATCACTGGGCTAGCTTGGCTCTTATGGCAGGCACTCTCACCACAGAGATTTTATATATGTTTGACATTATAACCACTGGTTGAAAAGAAGGAAATAATGGCCCATAAATCACAGTCACTTAACTGATTGACTATCCAACCAAAATGACTACATGTACATGTGAACAAAGAAAACAGAAATTATCACCCTTCCTCCAAGTAGACACATCTGTACAAATTTTCCATGTAGGATGAATCAATTTAACTAATTGTGCTGGGATATGATTTATCAGTTTGGAAAGCAATACGATATATTTTATGTTTCCTTAAATTTGTTTCAAAATAATTCTGAGGTTTTTGCTCTCATTAAAATCCTATCTACCTACAGAAGAGCCTTCAATGATCTCTTACTGACACATTAGATGATTAACATTTATTGTCACCTATGTGAAGACATTCTTGTGTGCGTGTGTGTGTAGAAGAAAAAGTATTTAATGAGCAACATAACATATATCATTCCTGCCATTGAGCACTTTATAATCAAATTAGGGGGGCAAAGCTAAGACTTAAGAAACCAGCATAGAGCAATACAAGATGTATACAGCTAAATGCTAGTGTGAGTATTATTGATTATGGAGAGAGATGGCCTTAGTCTGAGGCAGTCAAGGAAGGTTTTTCAGGAGACAGAGAACTTGATCTAGGTTTTGAAATGTATTAGGATGTTCATAGGCAAAGGAAACAGAGGAAAATAATTCCAAGTAGAGAAACAGCACAGGAAATATAGGAATTAGAAGCATAAAAGTTAGAAGGGCAACAAGACAATCAGTATAAATGAATCAGAGAGTATGTCTGTGGAGGGGTAAGCTCAGCCCAAACTCCTTTGGCTAGCATTCAAACCCTACTTTACCTGTCTCATAAAGTCATGATACAATCCAGTGACTTTTCTTCTTCCCAAAGAATAGGCCAAAGACCATTATCCTGATTAAGTCCAACATCCTAGTGGGATACCTTCCTTCACACATGTGGGAAATGATCAAAATTAATTGCGTTTCAAAAATTTAGTGGTAACTCTACCAAAGCCTATTAAATCAGTGTGAGTACTCAAAGAGCAGATGGAAAACATTGGTCCTTAAATGACTTTTTTTTTTTTTTTTTTTCTAGAATGAGCAATGTTGTTAGGGATCATAGGGAAGGTCATGGAAACAGTTTTGGAAACTTTGCTTGCAGGAATTAATTGCCTTCAGTTTCGAAAGGGCCTATTTCTTTCTCATTTACAGTCAAAATTTGGTGAAAGGGAAAAGTTGCTACTACATAATGGCAGGAAAATACCCACTATTTCATTCTCTAAAATAGGTGGAATTGATCCATCTCTTTGGCAAGCTGTATGTGCCGTAATGTCTGGGGTAACTTTTTCCCTGGTGCCCCCATTACCACTTCAGATCCTTTGTTAAGCAAACAATATAGGAGCTTTCTTAAAACGGGGCTCTGAGTGCTTATTCTCAAATAAGCCCTGCCTCAGTTGCAAGGTCTTTCATCTGAAGATGACCTATCTTACATGTGTGGGAATACATTTTTCCATGATTACTTCAACAGCTGCATTCTGATAATCTGCCTGGGGAATAACTGTTGATGGATAAAATACAGTCAGCTCATCTCGCCAGTGAATAATGTGCTTTCTGGTTCTACCACGTGAAAATGAACTGCTCAGATCCTCTTCATCTGGAATAATTTCCAGGGAAGAATGAGTGACTGAAACTGCTGACACTTTCAGAATAAACCCTTGATGTCTTTGACAATTGCTCCAAGTGATTTGTTTTGGGATAAGCTTGCGCGCCATGTAAGGTAAAGTGACTGATTCTATAGCAATCCAATTGTTCCTTTGTCTGCCCGTTTACATATAACAATGTTGTCAATGTTTGATTGAAAATACCTAGCAGGCGACACACACACCTAGCTCCTCAGGCGGAGAGCACCCCTTTCTTGGCCACCCGGGTATCCCCCAGGGGGAGTACGGGGCTCAAAACACCCTTTTGGAGAAACAAAGGTGGAAGCAAATTTCAGGAAGTAAAACTTCCTGAAATAAAATAAAATATCGAATGCCTTGAGACCCATACATTTTCAGGTTTTCCTAATTAAAGCAATTACTTTCCACCACCCCTCCAACCTGGAATCACCAACTTGGTTAGAGAAACTGATTTTTCTTTTTTCTTTTTTTTTTTCCCAAAAGAGTACATCTGATCATTTTAGCCTGCAACTAATGATAGAGATATTAGGGCTAGTTAACCACAGTTTTACAAGACTCCTCTCCCCGCGTGTGGGCCATTGTCATGCTGGTGGGCGTCCCGCCCACCTGAAAGGTCTCCCCGCCCCGACTGGGGTTTGTTGTTGAAGAAGGAGAATCCCCGGAAAGGCTGAGTCTCCAGCTCAAGGTCAAAACGTCCAAGGCCGAAAGCCCTCCAGTTTCCCCTGGACACCTTGCTCCTGCTTCTGCTACGACCTTCTGGGGAACGCGAATTTCTCATTTTCTTCTTAAATTGCCATTTTCGCTTTAGGAGATGAATGTTTTCCTTTGGCTGTTTTGGCAATGACTCTGAATTAAAGCGATGCTAACGCCTCTTTTCCCCCTAATTGTTAAAAGCTATGGACTGCAGGAAGATGGTCCGCTTCTCTTACAGTGTGATTTGGATCATGGCCATTTCTAAAGCCTTTGAACTGGGATTAGTTGCCGGGCTGGGCCATCAGGAATTTGCTCGTCCATCTCGGGGAGACCTGGCCTTCAGAGATGACAGCATTTGGCCCCAGGAGGAGCCTGCAATTCGGCCTCGGTCTTCCCAGCGTGTGCTGCCCATGGGAATACAGCACAGTAAGGAGCTAAACAGAACCTGCTGCCTGAATGGGGGAACCTGCATGCTGGAGTCCTTTTGTGCCTGCCCTCCCTCCTTCTACGGACGGAACTGTGAGCACGATGTGCGCAAAGAGAACTGTGGGTCTGTGCCCCATGACACCTGGCTGCCCAAGAAGTGTTCCCTGTGTAAATGCTGGCACGGTCAGCTCCGCTGCTTTCCTCAGGCATTTCTACCCGGCTGTGATGGCCTTGTGATGGATGAGCACCTCGTGGCTTCCAGGACTCCAGAACTACCACCGTCTGCACGTACTACCACTTTTATGCTAGCTGGCATCTGCCTTTCTATACAAAGCTACTATTAATCGACATTGACCTATTTCCAGAAATACAATTTTAGATATTATGCAAATTTCATGACCCGTAAAGGCTGCTGCTACAATGTCCTAACTGAAAGATGATCATTTGTTAGTTGCCTTAAAATAATGAATACATTTCCAAAACGGTCTCTAACATTTCCTTACAGAACTAACTACTTCTTACCTCTTTGCCCTGCCCTCTCCCAAAAAACTACTTCTTTTTTCAAAAGAAAGTCAGCCATATCTCCATTGTGCCCAAGTCCAGTGTTTCTTTTTTTTTTTTGAGACGGAGTCTCACTCTGTCACCCAGGCTGGACTGCAATGACGCGATCTCGGTTCACTGCAACCTCCGCATCCGGGGTTCAAGCCATTCTCCTGCCTCAGCCTCCCAAGTAGCTGGGATTACAGGCATGTGTCACCATGCCCGGCTAATTTTTTTTGTATTTTTAGTAGAGACGGGGGTTTCACCATATTGGCCAGCCTGGTCTCGAACTCCTGACCTTGTGATCCACTCGCCTCGGCCTCTCGAAGTGCTGAGATTACACACGTGAGCAACTGTGCAAGGCCTGGTGTTTCTTGGTACATGTAATTCTACCAAGGTCTTCTTAATATGTTCTTTTAAATGATTGAATTACATCTTCAGATTATTAAAGACTAATTCTAATGTGGACCTTAGAATACAGTTTTGAGTAGAGTTGATCAAAATCAATTAAAATAGTCTCTTTTAAAAGGAAAGAAAACATCTTTAAGGGGAGGAACCAGAGTGCTGAAGGAATGGAAGTCCATCTGCGTGTGTGCAGGGAGACTGGGTAGGAAAGAGGAAGCAAATAGAAGAGAGAGGTTGAAAAACAAAATGGGTTACTTGATTGGTGATTAGGTGGTGGTAGAGAAGCAAGTAAAAAGGCTAAATGGAAGGGCAAGTTTCCATCATCTATAGAAAGCTATGTAAGACAAGGACTCCCCTTTTTTTCCCAAAGGCATTGTAAAAAGAATGAAGTCTCCTTAGAAAAAAAATTATACCTCAATGTCCCCAACAAGATTGCTTAATAAATTGTGTTTCCTCCAAGCTATTCAATTCTTTTAACTGTTGTAGAAGAGAAAATGTTCACAATATATTTAGTTGTAAACCAAGTGATCAAACTACATATTGTAAAGCCCATTTTTAAAATACATTGTATATACGTGTATGCACAGTAAAAATGGAAACTATATTGACCTAAAAAAAAAAAAAAAAAGAAAACACCTAGCAGGCAAGGAACATGCTCTTCAGAACTCTGCTCTTCAGAGTTCCAAAGAAGGGATAAAACATCTTTTATCACCATCAAAATAGCCATAGAGTTGCTTGAAGACACATTTGGGGCAATGTGATTCACTGTATCTGGTTCCAAATTCCAGATAGATATGGGAGTTAAATAGGAAATTAGGAGTTAAATAGGAATTAACTAAATAGGAGATGAGGTTAGAAGGAGGAGAAAATATTTAGATATTTCTTTTATTGGTTTATATGTCAAATTCTACCTGGAACCAATTAAGAAAAAGGTAAGTCCCTTTGTTTATGCAACTGGATGCAGATTTGGAGAGCGGTTGAGTTTCAAACAGAAGTAGTCCTTACATCCAATGGTGAAATGGTATTTATATATTTAGTGGTACGAGTTAAGGTTGCTTTTCCTCTAAAACAAGGATTCTCAACCTAGTGGAGAGGAGGAATTGCAATAGGTAGAATCCCTAAGCCCTTCTGTGATGTATGCCCTGTGGGAGTGTTGGAGATGTCCTTCTCAGGGTTCTGGCCAGGTAGTTATTTAGGGAAAAATTCACACATGAGACAGGTTCTTTGAAAATCCATGTGTGAACCTCTGAGGGATATATATGCAACATCAATCCAACTTCATTTCTTCAGTGAGGAAGTTCCTTCTTGTGTGGCTGATGCAGTCTGGAGAAAATTCTTCTCTGTTCCTCTCTTGATTAAAATTTAGTTCTTTATTCGGTTGATGCATTCACCACAGCCATTCTTTTCTATTTTTGTAATTCACCTTTGGGCCTTGTAGTAGATTGGTATAGCAACGACTACAAATTTGTTCATATTTCCCTGCTCCATGTCCTTGTATAGTCCCTATCCCCACTGAATCTGGGTTTGGCTATGTGACTTTCCTTGACCATGGGACTACAGAACATGTAATGCAAACAGACATTTGAAAATTATTTACACGTTGGGACTTGTTCTCTTTCATTGTTTATAGGAATCCTGTGAAGGACACAAGTGAAGAAGCCCGTGATAACCTGCTGAATAAAGAGAGATCTGTGGTCCAGTCACCCCTACTGCTTCCGCCAATAGCCTAAGAAATGCTGGATAAGTGAGTGAGGCTATCCTTGGTCATCTCTGCTAGCTGACTGGCAAGCTGACTACAACAGCATAAAAGAACCCAATGGAATTGGAGAGCTAATGACCCATAAAACTCAGAGTTGATATTTTAAAGTGCTTTATAGTTTTCTTTTTATATATGCACCACTATAGTGTCCATTTTCAAATTATTCATCTGTTGATTCCTAGGGAAAATTAATAGTCTATAACATAAAGTTCCTTTAAAACTTGGATATGAAGTCTTTGTAGTGTTACCTTTTTTTAGCAGTGGAGTGAATAACATCAATATATCTAATTAATACCAATAGAGATTTTCCCCCATTTGACCAATTATAAAAATATCATTAATATTTTTCAGGATACATTGTGTTTGCATAAGGGCTTTATTATAAAATCATTACTTTTTCCAGGAGGATATGTGAACATGAAAGAACTGTCAAGTAGTTCCAATGTTCCTCCAGACATGGGGTAGATTACATTGTAGTTTAAACTGTACCAATTCTTTTAACAAATAAATCAAATAGACACTCTAAAGTACTGCCTAATTTCTATCATTTCAACTGGGTTTATAACTCACTTCACTTATAAAAGAAAATGAAATTGTTAAAAATCAGAATACAGTCGACCATTGGATAACACGAGTTTGAACTGAGTAGGTTTACTCATACACAAGTTGTCTTCTGCCTCTGCCACCCCTGAGATATTAAGACCAACTCCTCCTTTTCCTCAGCCTACTCAGCATGAACATGATAAAGATGAAGACCTTTATGATGAGCAACTTCCACTTAATGAATAGTAAATATATTTTATCTTCCTTATGATTTTCTTAATAGCAATCTCTTTTCCAGCTTACTTTATTATAAGGATACAGTATATACTAGGTATAACATACAAAATATATGTTAATCAACTGTTTATATTATTGGTAAGGCTTCCAGTCAACAGTAGGCTATTAGAAGTTAAGCTTTTGGGGAGTCAAAAGTTATACACAAGTCTTTCACTGCTTGTGGGTGGAGGTCAGCACCTGTGTTGTTCAAGGGTCAACTGTATTACAAATAACCCATAGGCAAATAGAGTCTTTGTATGGCCTGCAAAACACATAGAGTGAGTAGGGCTAAAATTACTTGGAAAAAGCAAGCAAAAAAAGATTTTTCAGGGTGAAAAAATAAATTTCTTTCAAGAGAAAAGAGAAAAAGAGACTCCAGCAGTGATTACTCCACCTGGCTTAGACCAGAAGAACCATCAGGGCTGGGACTACGGTGAGACAAGTGAGGCATTCAAAGCAAAAAATGAGAAGAGGCACTCACTTTGAGGGTCATGCAAGTACAGGGTTGCCAGCATGACCCTAAGAGTAAATGCCTCCTTCAGTTTTGTGCCCTAGGAAGCTCACTTCAGCTCACTCTAATCCTGGCCCTGGGTGACCACAGAACGATGAGCCAAATAACTGGTGGTTGTTTTAAATCACTAAATTTGGGGGTGCTTTGTAACACAGCAACAGATAACTGGTACATGTTGGCTATTTCCTCCATTCTTGTTTCAGAATGGCAAAATGAGCCCTGCGAGAATGGAGCTGTAAATCCAATTAAATTAATGAGCTCCCCAAGTGTAGATCCCCTGATGCATTCGATAAACAAAAAATTTTCCATGTCAACCGTGGATTCCAAGTCATTGTTTGTTTTTGGTTTGCTTTATTTTAGGGGTGGATGGTGTCTCATTCTTCACAGATAAAGCTGGTGCCAACTGACTTACTGCTGGCAGAATGTAGCTGGTTCCTTTTTTACCATTCAGCACAGGTGAAAAATTTTAATTGCTGCTCTCTTAGGTAGTACTTTTCCGAGGGAGGTGATCATAATCTTGAAAGACACAATCCCAAACACCATAATCCTAAATGTTGAAATCCAAAAAGTTAAAAATTCTTGAATTCTAGAATTCCAAAAATCAAAATCCTGAAAATATAATTCTAGAAAAAATAAGTTGATATACTTTAAAAGATATTTACTTACATTTTAAAAAGAGAGATTTATTGAGAAACATACAAACATGATAGAATACCTCATAGGCCACTTCATACAACAAAATAGGCATAACAACATACATATTTTTGCAAGCATGAACACTCAGGTATACGATGACAGTCCACAGGTATAACAGTTATGAGCAGATGAACCATTTTAATAAAGAAATAGCTCAAAGAGAGAAATGTATAAATATATATCACTATGGTTGGTGATTGTGTGCACCCAGCTTTAGAACTGTAGTCATCTGAAGTACCATGATCTTGTCAAAAGATCTTGGATAGAGAATATTTCTCACACACATCAGATGTTAAAAAGCTGACACACCATTCCATCTGCATACGTCAAGCAACTTAAGCAACTTCCATTCTCTTATCGCCTTGGCCTAGTTGCAATATCAAGTGCTTTGCTTTTATTTCTAATTGCATTAGTGAAATTATCTAACAAGTAACCATGACATAGTAATTTTAGCAACTTAAAAATTTTTCACCTTTTTTGTTTAGAAAAATAAAAAAGGAAGATTGTGGTTTTTTTTTCATGTGGCTCTTCTCACCCTCTTTTTTAAAATAAAGGGGGCTTCTTATATCTCATACTTTCTACATCCTAACAAAAATAACAAAGCAAAGTCAGGATCAGTGATTTGACCTTTAGACACCTTGAGATGGTCTCTTTTTGACAAAGCTATCCCTGAATCAGAAACAGCTGTCTTCTTCTTGCTGCCAGGCAGAGCTGGCTGTTCCTCATATAGTATCCCAAACATCCCTAGAAAACCTGGAGGAGATGGATAAATTCCTGGAAAGATACAACCCTGCTAGCTTAAATCAGAAAGAATTAGAAACCCTGAACAGACCAATAACAAGCAGCAAGATTGAAATGGTAATAAAAATATTACCAATGAAAAAGTCCAGGACCAGACAGATTCAGAGCTGAACTCTACCAGACATTCAAAGAAGAATTGGTACCAATCCTTTTGACACTATTCCACAAGATGGAGAAAGAGGGAATCCTCCTTAAATCATTTTATGAAGCCAATATCATGCTAATACCAAAACCAGGATAGGACATAACAACAAAAGGAAATATCTCTGATGAACATAGATGCAAAATTTCTTAACAAAATACTAGCTAACTGAAACCAACAGCATATCAAAAAGATAATACACCTTGATCAGGTGGGTTTTATACCAAGAATGCAAGGATGGTTCAACATATGCAAATCAGTTATGTGATACATTATATAAACAGAACCAAGGACAAAAATCATATGATCGTTTCAATAGATGCAAAAAAAATTTGATAAAATTCAATATAACTTCATAATAAAAACTCTCAACAAACTAGGTACAGAATGAATGTACCTCAAAATAATAAAGACCATATACAAGAAATGCACAGCTAACATTATACTGAATGGGGAAATGTTGAAAGCCTTTCCTCTAATAACTGGAACAGGACAAGGATGCCCACTTTCATCACTTCTATTCCTAGCCAGAATAATTAGGTAAGAGAAATAAATAAAAGGCATTCAAATTGGAAAAGAGGAAGTCAAATTATCCTTGTTTGTCAATGATACAATTTTATATCTAGAAAAACCTAAAGATTCCACCAAAAAAACTTATATTTAATAAACAAATTCATTGAAGTTGCAGGATGCAAAATCAATGTACAAAATTTAGTAGTGTTATACACCAATAACGATCTAGCTGAGAAAGAAATCTAGGAGGCAATCTCATTTACAACAGCTACCCAAAAAATGTCTAGGAATAAATTTAACCAAGGAGTTGAGAGATGTCTACAAGGAAAACTACACAATACTGATTAAAGAAATCAGAGATGATGCAAACAAATGGAAAAAAATTCCGTGCTTATAGATTGGATTAATATCTAACTAGTATCAATTAATATTTGGTTAATATCTGATCGATATGAGGATCAGCCAGACTTGTCTGGCAGCAAGAAGACAGCTTTATCAGGATCCAGAATGGCTTTGTTAGAAAGACATCATCTCAGGCTGGGCGCGGTGGCTCACACCTGTAATCCCAGCACTTTGGGAGGCCGAGGCAGGTGGATCATGAGGCCAGGAGATTGAGACCATCCTGGCCAACATGGTGAAACCCCGTCTCTGTGAAAAATACAAAAAATTAGCCGGGTGTGGTGGTGGGTGCCTGTAGTCCCAGCTACTCGGGAGGCTGAGGCAGGAGAATGGTGTGAACCCAGGAGGCGGAGTTTGCAGCTCAGTGAGCTGAGATCCAAAAAAAAAAAAAAAAAAAAAAGAGATCATCTCAACATGCCTAAAAGTCAAGACACTGATCCTAACTTTGCTTTATTATTTTTGTTAAAATGACCACACTGTCTAAAGCAATCTACACATGTAATGTAATCCCTATAAAAATACCAATGTTAACTTTTCATTGAATTAGAAAAACTAATTCTAAAATTCATATGCAACCAAAAAAAAAGCCCAAATAACCAAAGCAATCCTGAGTAAAAAGAATAAAGCTGGAGGCATCACATTACCTGACTTCAAATTATATTACAAGGCTGTAGTAACCAAAACAGCATGGTACTGGTATAAAAAGACACATAGATCAATGGAACAGGACAGAGAACCCAGAAATAAAGCCATATATTTACAGGCCATTGATCTTTGACAAAGCCATCAAAAGCATATACTGGGAAAAGGACACTCTCTTCAATAAATGGTGCTGGGAATATTATATTGCCATATGCAGAACAATGAAGGTGGAACCCTACCTCTTACCATGTACAAAAATGAACACAAGATGGACTAAAGACTTAAACATAAGACTCAAAACCATAAAAAACTAGAAGAAAACCTAGGGAAAACTCTTCTGGACATTGGTCTTGGCAAAGAACCTCAAAAGCACAGGCAACAGAAACAAAAAAATAGACAAATGAGACTTTGTTAAACTAAGAAGCTTCTGCACAGCAAAGGAAATTATCAACAGAATGAACAGACAGCCTGCAGAATTTGAGAAAATATTTGCAAACTATTCATTCAACAGGAGATTAATATCCAGAATATACAAGGAACTCAAACAACTCAACAACAACAACAAAAACCACAGAGATAATCCCATTTAAAAGTGGGCAAAGGACATGAACAGATATTTTTCAGAAGAAGACAAATTACCAACGCATATATGAAAAAATGCTGAACATCACTAATCACCAGAGAAATGCAAATCAAAACCACAATGAGATATTATCTTACTCCAGTCAGAACAGCTATTATTAAAAAGACAAAAAACAAACCCAACAGATGTTGGTGAGGATGCAGAGTAAAGGAAATTTTTTGTACACTGTTGGTGGAAATGTAAATTAGTATAACCTTTATGAAAAACAGTATGGAAATTTATCAAATAACTAAAAATAGAACTACCAATGAATTCAGCAGTCCCACGGGGTATCAATCCAAAAGGAAAGATATCAATATATTAAAAAGACACCTGCACTCATATGTTTATTGTAATACTATTCATAACAGATAAAATATGGAATCAAAGTAAGTGTCCATCAATTGTTGATTAAAGAAAATGTGGTATATATACGCAATGAAATACTATTTCAGCCATAAAAAGAATAAAATTATGTCTTTTGCAGCAAAATGGATGGAACTGAAGGTTATTACCTTAAGTGAAACAAGGCAGGCACAGACAGAGAAGTATAGCTTGTTCTCACTCATAAGTGTGTCAAAAAGCTTTTTCTTACATTTAACTTAAATATTTTGTGTTGCAATTCACCTTTTGCCCTCTGAGTTCTATGCCTCATTATCTCTCTCCATATGCCCAAAGACAACTGAGCTGTGTCTTTTGGAGCTTTTCTGATGACTGAGTGAGTGGGTTGAATTGACAGACCAGTTTAGTCAGGCATTTACTTTGACTTACTACTTTTTTTCTATCCACTAAATTGACTAGTTGTTTGACTGAATCCACCTCACCAGCCAGTCTTCTTGGCACTGTGAATTTCTGTGTGTTTGTGTGTGTGCGTGTGCCCACGCCCAGTGGTGGGATCATTATACAGTAGTTTCAATCACTACTTTCGATTGAACCAATCAACCTTGGTCCATTCACCTGGCATTGCAATCAGCAGCAGACATTGCAGTAGATATATATCACCCCAGTTACTGTGATGAGTAGAGAGAAGATGGGTTTGATAGATTCAACTGGAAATTCTGTTCTGATTTGGCCTCTGAACATATAGAACAAACAAAACTGTGAAACAGGCATGTTTGATTGATGATGCCCTCCTGTCTCATCTTTCAGGGCCTCAGTCTTTGGCTACTTTCCTGGCACAGTGCTCATGCTCTCCCTACCTTTTGTTTCCCCCAGTAGCCAAATATCTGTCTTATGTTCCAGCCTGTGGGTTCACTGCTCAGTGGCTGAAAGTAACATCATTTATGGGTGACTCTGGGTGTTGAAAGATGAGGCAGTAGGAACAAGTCAAGGTTGTAGGTAAGAAGTTGGTGAAAGCGGGACTGTATTTCTCAAAATTGCCTTTGCAAGAGGCTAATTCTGAGGGATGTAAACAGAGTTTATGGGTAGAAAGTTTCTGTGGCTAAATATTATAATAGTCTGCTGGTTTTGGGAACCCTTCTTGTCTTGTTCTTACTGTGCAAACTTGGAAAAATCACCTTATCTCTGAGAGCCTCAGTTTCATTATTGGTAAAATGGGGATAAACACAGTATGAAGATCATAAGATTGTGTGGAGAATAGAATAAGCTAATGCAAGTAAAATTCTTAGCATAGGGCCTGGCATAGTAACTGCCTGATTAATGTGAGTTTTTTTATTCATAAGTACCTTTTGAACACTCTAGATTATACAGGTTACTTCTCGGATCCTCTGATATGCTGATGTGCCTAGTGTATCAACACAAAGAGATTAGAAAAAGAAGCAAATGCTTATTAGATCATGAAACCTCTCTTTCTGCCAATATAATTCTCAATAAACTTGTGCTCTGTGAAGAACACTTTGGGAGATTCTGGTGTAGAGAAAGAAGATGTGATTTGGAGACAGAAAGAACACTTAGGTTCCAGGTTGACTTGACAATGACTTCTATTTCTTTTTTGACTTTGTTAAAGTCACATAATCTCTCTGAGCCACAGGTTTCCTATTTGTAAAATTATGAGCACGAGATTACCTGTGTTACCTCCCTTGTAAGATACAGGGAGAGAGAATTTTATAAGCTATCACCCACTATACTAACATCAGGGATCAGAAGTAGGAATGATCATGGTGAATCCAGGTGCAAGAAGAGGCGAAAAAAGGACTCCTTGTGTGGTGAATTCAAGGGTGTGGTCAGTGAGACCTCAGGATGACAGTGAATACAACTGAAATGTGCACAAAGCAGAGCTCCCTGGGACTTGCAGTATGAGGCTGTCTGGATTTCTAGGCCCCATCCAGGTCTCTACGCTCTTTTCTCACTGCAGTTAGTCTCCAAAGCAGGCACTTTCTCTAGATGGACAGGAGAGTTCTAAGGAAATCCAAGCACTCCATGATCTATTGGTCAGATTCCTGGCTTATACCATTTGCTACTTTCCTCAGTGTGGACTTATAGAATCCCTGAAAATCAAATAAAGACCTAATTCACAAGATTTTAGTCGCTGAAAACAGCATTCAGTTTTTTCTTTCCAAGGCTCTTTTAAAGGCAGCCTATAGGAGAGGTAATGCATACCTGAAATAGTAGGTTGATGGGGAAGACCATCTGGGCCAGGAGAGGCTCATCAGCACCCCTCAAGTTATATCAGAGAGATGACTGTCTCCTTCCTCTACAAAGTAGACCAGGCACAGGCTTGAATTAATTTTTCCTCTGCCTGTTGTTCTCAGACACACACAGCCCAGTGGAAAGACTATAAACAGAAAGCATGTGACTGACTCTTTTCTGTAACATTTTGGCTGGATGTTAAACTTTCCTGCCTTGGAACCACCCACTATTTCCTTCATCAGTAGCTTTCAGCATGCTTCTTCCAACCGGTCTAGATGCTTGATTAGTATAGTGGAAAGAGTACTGGGCTGGGAATTGAGACCTGGAGGCCCAGTCTGTGCTACTGACTCACTCTGACATAAGACAAGCTATGACCCCTTCCTGAACCTCAGTTTTCTCATCTGTTACACAAGGCATTTCAACTGGGGTGATCTCAAAGTTCCCTTCCAGTTCAGTCTATGGTTTTACTTATTTATTTTCATCCCTGAGATTGGAGTCACCTTCATTCCATCTTCCTGCATGGAGCATATCCATTTAGGTTAATTGCAGGATGTTGGAGAGCTGTCCAGGAACATCTGAAGCATTGAAATATTTGTTTGAAATTAATCAGACACAACAAGACATGCAGGTGGCTGCTCTTTTCCTTCGACTTCTTGCCTCCTAGGATTCTGCCTCCTGGAAGGTGTTCACAGGCTACAGCTGCAGAGCACAGCCTGTGGATTGTTGCCTAGAAGAACATTCTCTGTAAATGGGAGTGGTTAGGGAAAGACCACTAATTGAACTCCTTTCCCAGTAAAAATAGGGGTGAGAGTGTTGAGGGAAAGGGTACAGGGTAGGGGTCAGAAAATCCAGACTCACCAACAGCAAGAACCGAGGTCACAGCCTTTATTTCTTGGCCCCTGGTCTTCTTGTCTGGGGATTGGCTTGGATTGACATCATGAAAGAGACTGTCTCATGCTGGCCTCCACCCAGCCTCCAGATGTTTCTAAATACACTGATGCCTGGGGTCACTTAGGCATATATCCCCACAGTGGCCTGGCAGTTTTTCATTTCTCATCAGTGCTTGAACACTGATGGGCCTCCCTCAACCCCACTGCCTTCTGCTCTTCAGCCATAGTCTCACTGAGCTCTCTAATCTTGGAGCCCTTGCATATGCTGCCCTCAGCCTGACTTACTATCTTTTATGGGGAATCTTTTTCTCCTTTAAGACTTATCTCAAATGTTACAGTCTATGAGAAGTCTTCTGCTATTGCCCTATGCCAAGTTGATCGCTTTCTCCTTTATGTTTCCACAGGACTCTAGAAACTCCTCTACTTTATACCCACTATATGGCAAGATCCACGAGAGCAAGGACCACTGATTTTGGAGTTAAGATATTGTTAGCAATAATGTGTCATATAGTTTCAAGTAGCTAGAAGGAGGATATTGAATGTTTCTAACAAAGAAATGATAAATATTTAAGATGATGGATATACTAATGACCCTGATCTTATTATGATACATTATATGTATTAAAACACAACTATGTACTCCATAAATATTTACAATTATTATTTGTCAATTAAAAAACTTTTAAAAACTTACACTTAAAAAGATAATGCTAGCTCCAGGAAGAGAAAAATCCCTCACATATAGTTGGTGATAGCAAGGATAGGTGGCAGTGTTATGTTTTCCGCTCTGTGAAGTCATTTAGGACCGAGGTGATGGGGAGCTGGCATCTTTCACATGTGGCTTCCAAAGTCCCCTTCCATTAGCCCACTAATGGGAGAAAGTAGAGAAGATCATGCACCTTAGGTGTTTTTATGGGCAAGGTCTATAAGTGGCACACATCACCTCTGTTCTTTTCTGTTTGCTGGAACGCAATCACATAACCACATCTAACTTCAAAAAAAGGCTGGGGAATGTAGTCTAGTCATGTGCTTGGGAAAAAGAAGAAAAAGATTTTGGTAAACAAGGCTGTCTCTAGAGGCCACACTGCTTTGTTCACTGCTGAATCCCCAAGAGAGAGCCCAGCAATCAGGAGGTGGTGAGCACCTTGGATTGTGATGGAAATTCCACCACTGGTCTGTGAACTCATGGTCTAGTATCTTATACCCTGATCAAGCACGGGTGCATACCATGGGCTCAATAAATGTTGATTGGTCATTATTACAATTGGTGTATGCAGGAGGTGTTCCTATTCCAGAAAAAAATTTGGTGTAACACCTCCTAAGGGCAACTCATTCCCTAGTAAGTAGCCCCTGGTTGGGCTGGCTTTTCTAACCACCAGAACACTCCTGATCCCTTGGTCTTTGACCTAACTTTATCCAATCACCAGAATTATCTGCTCCTCAGACTTCTTGAAACCTAACTGCCAATTCCCGCCTAGCCAGAGAGTTCTGAGCTTCTTTCTATGCAAAGGCTTATCTTATTCCATCTCCTTTCTGCAATTTTTGTTTTTACACTGTCCTTAGCTACCTTCTGCCCCATTATTTTTTATAATTAGAGGGATGGAGGTGATGAGGTAGAGGAGATGCTTATATCCCAGCCAACGTCAGTATTATGAATATCTCACAATGCTTGCCTCTGCTCTAACTTGGTCCAGTCCAGCCCAGGCCAAACTAACTTCTGTGGTTTAGCCAATCAGCATATATATTTTTGGAGATACATTGCTGAAGCCACAAACACATACATTATTGGTGGCCAAGAAATGTGTTCTTGTCCTGCAGCTGTCAGAATCCAGAATATCTTGCCAGCTAAAGGTTCACTCAACCACACATTACTATTCCTTATGGAATTCTTCTCTGTGAGAGAAATAGAATTTGGAGGCCAGGCATGGTGGCTCTTACCTGTAATCCAAGCACTTTGGGAAGCCAGGGTGGGAGGATCACATGAGCCCAGGAGTTCAAGACCAGCCTGGGCAACATAGTGAGACTCTGTCTCTACAAAGCATTTTTAAAAATTAGCCAGGCATGGTGGCATGCATATGTAGTCTCAGCTTCTTGGGAGTCTGAGGCAGGAGGATGTCTTGAGTTCAGAAGTTAAAGGTTACAGTGAAGTTAAAGGTTGATATGATTACAGCCAGAAGTTAAAGGTTACAGAATTTAAAGGTTATGATTGTGCCACTGCACTCCAGCCTGGGTGACAGAGTGAGACCTTGTCTCAAAAAAAAAAAAAAAATGCAGCAGGTCGGATGGCCAGGACACAGAAATACTTCTGAAGAGGCCTGGGGAATCACCTGGACATGACAGGGAACATTATTTAGCCAAGGAAAACACAAGATTTGGGGTTAGACCTTGGCTACAGTAAGCCAAAAGCAAGTTTGCAATATTGCTACTGTTAGCTTAGAGAAACCTCAGTTCAGTCTCCTGAGGCCTTCCTCTTGCTGCAGTGTGATTTTTCATCCACTGCCTACAAGGGCCTGGGACACTGTACCCCTCAGCTCTCTCTCCTACTTCCTATGGCTGCACCTGCTCAGGTAATTTCCCTGTCTAGGAAGATGACAGCCAATGTGCCTCTACTCTTCCTTATACCTCCCCTGTCAGCCCCTGTGATTGGGACAGAAAGAGATCTAAAGGTCTGAATCTGAGTAAGTAGGGAAGTTGGTTATTAGTCCTCAGGGGGCAGCTGTCCACTTTGCCAGTACTAAATGGCAGCCCTTGGCTGGCCCAATTATTTTTCCAGAAAGGGGTTCTTTTACCTCCACAGAATTTGGATCACAGACAACTGGAGGCAGTGGTTTATTTTACTTTTTTTTTTCTTTACTTCTGCTTTAGATGAACATATGAGAGCTTGTTCAATTGACTAAGGTTCTCAGACAGAGATGGAAAATGAGCAGATAGTATAAATGAGCCTAGGAAACCAAATAAAAGAAACCCCTCGGGCTTTGGACTCACTGGAGGGAAGTCAAGAAGTGAGCCCCTTCTCTGATACCTTGAGGGTGAAATGGCCTCCGACTGCCCATGGACTGGTGGGGGTCATAACTTTTTTTTTCTTTTGAGACAAGAGTCTTGCTCTGTTGCCCATCCTGGAGTGCAGTGGCGCGATCTCGGCTCACTGCAAGCTCCGCCTCCCGGGTTCACGCCATTCTCCTGCCTCAGCCTCCCGAGTAGCTGGGACCATAGGCTCCTGCCATCATGCCCAGCTAATTTTTTGTATTTTAGTAGAGACGGGGTTTCACCGTGTTAGCCAGGATGGTCTCGATCTCCTGACTTCGTGATCCGCGGTGGGGGTCATAGCTTTTAAGGGGAAGGGAGGTAAGTGCAAAACTCGAGTCCACTGAGCAAAATACTATGAGACATAGTCATTGAAGCCATTTTTGGGGGAATAAAAACTAAAGAAGCTGGGACACATGTCTTTCTTTGAAATTTTTATGTGAAAGTAAAAGAATAAAACTGAGTTAGGGAGGAGAGCTTGTGAAGAAAGAGATACATGTGAGATACAGAGGGTGGGGTCATGGGTTACAAAGAAACAGAGAGTGAGAGAGAACAAGAGCAAGAGTGAGAGCAAGGGCAAGAGCGAAAGCCAGAGAGAAATGATCTCAAAGAGTTGGCCCCAAATACTTTTTTCCTTTAAAAGAGGAGGGAAATGTTTATTTGGATTAATCAAGAAAACAAAGGGAAATCTAATAAACACTGTAAATTCTGCTACCAAAGTGTTTATGTCAAACATCTCCTTTGTCTGTAAGTATACTATTCAGCAAACTAGAGGAAAAAAAATCCTGCGGTTGTTTATTTGAAAAAATGAAGAAAATTCCATCAACAGAGAAATAAGCTTAATTTAATCATTTGGGGAAAATAATTGCATGAAGTAGCTTTTCCTACTCTGCTTTGAAAGCCCCTTCTGAGTCATCAGAGGGTCCATAATTCCAGTATGTCGCTAAAGGAGAATGACGGATTTTGCACACACATGAATCCTTTTAAGGGCAGCTCGATAAGACAGTATTATCTCTAGGATGGGGGGCTCAGTCAGCCACTCAAGCTAATCCTGAAATTGGAATAACTGAGTTTAATCATCACTGCCTCTGTGACCCCTACCCACCCACAGTTCTCAAGAAGACATTTTCAAGAGCTGTGGCTCTGACTCAACAACAGTTTTAATGATTTCCAGGAAACAGATTGTTGTTCAAGTTCAAGAACAAGAAAGGAGAGGCTCCTAATCTTTGTGAAGAGCCTAAATTAGTATAGTCAAGTTCCTCGTTTTTTTTACGCAATAGTAGAAGCCCCCATACTAAAGAATTTCTGATAAGCACTTGAAGGGAGGCTAACAGGATGGGAAGGCAAAGTAAATGATGTAAACCAGTCCAGGGTTCACTTCCCAAATTTGCCCTTTATTGACTGATGTTATGCAAGTTCCCTAAACTGAGTTTATTTTTTTTCCTTTGTACAATTGGGCTGATAATAATAGTACCCATCTCACATGACTATTGTTAGGTTTAAATGAGATAAGACTATAAGTGTTTGGTAGTTACTACTTATAATAATTATAAAAATTACATTAAAAATTCAGTCAATGTAATCCAACATGTCAACCACTAGTTCACCTTCCACAGTATAAAGCTTTTGCTGGTTGCAGTGGTTCGCACCTATAATCCCTGCTACTCAGGAGGCTAAGATGGGAGGATCGCTTGAGACCTGGAGTTCCAGACCAGCCTGGGAAACATAGCAAGTTCCCATCTTTTTTTTAAAAAAAAAGAAAGTAAAACTCTTGAAAATATATCTGATATAGATCTTTAGGTCTTCTCCTTACTGAAAAGACCTGTTAAAGAAAGCTTTACTTTTTCATTACATTTCACTCAAAATGGGATAATTAGTATTTTTACTGTAAGAGTAATGTGAATACTCCTTCTGTTGACACCCGGTTCATTTTTCTGTCTCTCTGCAACTTACACATACAGTCTATTGCAGGCACCAGTTACTACCTCTTCAAAAACAATTTTAAAAAAGGAAAATGTTATAGCTTTCACATTAACACAAAAGATGGGGAAAGAAATTGAAAACAGGGCTGGGCGTGGTGGTTCACACCTGTAATCCCAGCACTTTGGGAGGCTGAGGTGGGCGGATCACCTGAGGTGAGAGTTTGAGACCAGCCTGACCAACATGGAGAAACCCCGTCTCTACTAAAAATACAAAATTAAAGAAGGAGAATCATATGATCATATCAATTGATGTGCAAAAAGCATTTGGCAAAAATCTAGCACCAATTCATGATAAAAACTCTCAGCAACTTAGGACAAAGAATAATTACCTACACCTGATAAAGAGCATCTACAAAAAAAGTACAGCTAACATCATATTTAATAGTGAAATTTTGAATGCTCTTTTTTCCGAAGATTGAGAAAAAGGCCAGGATTTTCATCTCATTACTCTTATTTAACATCATACTGGAATTTCTAGCCACTGCAATAAGGCAAGAACAAGAAATAAAAGGCATACCTGTTGGAAAAGAAGAAATAAAATGTTCTCATTTACAGATGGCAGAACTGTCTAGGTAGAAAACCCCAAATAATCTACAAACAATTTCCTTAGAACTAACAAATTAATTTAGCAAGGTCACAGTACATAGATCAACACTCAAAAATAAATTACATTTCTATATACTAAAAAATGAACATGCAGCAAGTAAAATTAAAAACACAAACTATTTACAGTCACTTTGAAATAAATGAAATATGTAAGTATGAACTTAACAAAACACATAGGTTCTGAATGCTTAAATTAGAAAACACTGATTAAAGAAATCAGGGAAGACCTAATTAAGTGGAAAGACGTAGTGTCTTCATGGATCAGAAGACTCAGTATAGTAACAATGTCAATTATCGTCAAATTAATCTTTAGGTTTAATACAATTCTTATCACAATCCTAGCAAGGTATTTATTTTGTAGACATTGACAAGTTTATTCTAAAATTTATATAGAAAGGCACAGGTCCTAGAATAGCTAAAACAATCTTGTAAAATAGAATAAAGTGGGATAAATTACTGTACCCAATATGAACTCCTTCTCTATGGTTAAAATAATCAAGATAGTGTGGTATTGATACATAGGTAGGTGGCATATAGATAATGGAATAGGATAGAAACACACACAATTATATTGTTGACGAAGTTGCAAAAGCAGTTCAATAGAAGTAGGATAGCCTTTTCCATAAAAAGAGTCGGAGCAACTAGACATCCATAAGCAAAAAATAAAAACCTCATCCTCAAAAAGTTACAAAAATTGATATGTTTTTAAAATTGTTTATTTTAAATTCATTTCTATTTTTATTTTTTAATTTAGATTCAGGGTATGCATGTGCAGGTTGCTTCATGGGTATATTGCATGATGCTGAGGTTTGGGCTTCTATTTATCTTATCACCCAAATAGTGTACACAGTACCCAATAGGTAGTTATTCAACCCGTAGCCCCCTCGATCCTTCCTTTTGGAATCTCCAGTGCCTGTTGATCCCATCTTTATATCTGTGGGTATCCAATATAAAAAATGGTTAATATATTAAAAATTAACTCAAAATGGATCATAGATTATAAATGTAAAACATAAACCTATACAACTTCTATTTTTTAACTTTTAAGTTCAGGGGTACAAGTTCAGGATTGTTACATAGGTAAACTTGTGTCATGGGAGTTTGATGCACAGATTATTTCATCACCCAGGTAATAAGCCTAGTATTCATTAGTTATTTTTCCTGATCCTCTCCCTCCTCCCACTCACAATGCTGATAGGCCCCAGTGTGTGTTGTTCCCCTCTATGTGTCCATGTGTTCTCATCATTTAGCTTCCACTTATAAGGGAGAACATTAAGGTTTTCTGTTCCTGCATTAGTTCACTAAGGATAATGGCCTCCAGCTCCATCCATGTCCCTGCAAAAGACATGATCTCATTTTTTATGGCTGCATACTATTCCATGGTGTATATGTACTATATTTTCTTTATCCAATCTATCACTGATGGGCCTTTAGGTTGATTCCATGTCTTTGCTATTGTGAACACTGCTGCAATGAACATGTGCATGCATGTGTCTTTACAATAGAACGATTTATATTCCTTTGGGTATATACCCAGTAATGGCATTGCTGGGTCAAATGGTAGCTCTGTCTTTAGGTCTTTGGGGAATCACCACACTATCTTCCACAATGGTTGAACTAATTTACACTCCCACCAACTGTGTATAAGAGTTCCTTTTTCTCCACAACCTCACTAGCATGTGTTATTTTTTGACTTCTTAATAATAGTCATTCTGACTGGTGTGAGATGGTATCTCAATGTGGTTTTGAATTATCTTTCTCTTATCAGTGATATTGAGCTTTTTTTTTCATATGATTGCTGGCTGCATGTATGTCTTCTTTTGAAAAGTGTCTGTTCATGTCATTTGCCCATTTTTTAATGGGGTTGTTTGTTTTCTTATAAATTTGTTAAAGTTCCTTATAGATAATGGATATTAGGCCTTTGTCAGATGTATAGATTGTACATATTTTCTCCCATTCTGTAGGCTGCCTGTTTACTCTGTTGATAGTTTCTTTTGCTGCACAGAAGCTGTTTAGTTTAATTAGATTCTATTTGTCAATTTTTGCTTTTGTTGCAATTGCTTTTGCTGTCTTCGTCATGAAATCTTAGCCTGTGCCTATCTCCTGAATGGGGTTGCCCAGTTGTCTTCCAGGGTTTAAAACTATAAAACTTTTAGAGAAAAACAGAGAAGAAAATTTTTGGGATCTGTTGCTGGGCAGAGAGTTTTTAGACTTCACACCAAAACATAATCCATAAAATAAAAACTGATGAATTGGACCTCATCAAAATTAAAAGCAATTGTTATGTGAAGTCCACCTGAAGAGGATGAAAAGGCAAGCTACAGACTGGTAGAAGATATTTCTAAACTATGTGTGCCAAAAAGAACTAGTATCTAGAATATATAAAGAACTCTTAAAACTCAACGGTAAAAAAATCAAACAATGTAATTAGAAATGAGTTGGTTCTAAGTCTTTGCTATTGTGAACAGTGCTGCAATAAACATATGTGTGCATGTGTCTTTATAGTAGAGTGATTTATAATCCTTTGGTTATATACCCAGTAATGGGATTGCTTGGTCAAATGGTATTTCTAGTTCTAGATCCTTGAGGGATGGCCACACTGTCTTCCACTAATTTACATTCCCACCAGCAGTGTAAAAGCATTCCTATTTCTCCACATTCTCTCCAGCACCTGTTGTTTCCTGACTTTTTAAAAATCACCATTCTAACTGGCATGAGGTGGTATCTAATGGTGGTTTTGATTTGCATTTCTCTAATGACCAGTGATGTTAAGCTTTTTTTCATATGCTTGTTGGCTGCATAAATGTCTTCTTTGTTCTTTTCATACCCTTTGTCCACTTTTTGATGAGCTGCTGTTTCTGAAAGTTCCTGAAAACCCCTTGAAATCAATTCCTCCCTACACCTAGGCCCAGACAAAAAAAAAAAGAAATGGGGAAAAGTCAAAAGAAATATTTTAGAATAAAGGAAATACAGATGTCAACTAAATGCATAAAAAGATGTTCCAACATCAATAGTTATTGGAAAATGCAAACTAAAACTAAGATATCATTATAAAATATACAAGAATGGCTAAAATAAAAAGTAGTGAAATAAACAAATGTTGGTGATGATGTAGAAAAACTGAGTCACTCATACTTTGCTGATGAGAATGTAAAATGGTACAGTCTGGAAAACATTTTGGCAGTTTCTTACAAAACCCAACATGCAATTACTATATGACACAGCAATTGTGATATCAGGCACTTATCCCAGGGAAATAAAAACGTATGTTCACACAAAAACCTGTACATAAATGTTTACAGCAGAATTTGTTCTTAATAGATCAAAACTAGAACCATCCAAGAGACCTTTAAATGGGTGAATGGTTAAACAAACTGTGGTATATTTATGCTGTGGACTACTACACGGCAACAAAAAGGAAGAAATTATTGATATATACTAAATTTTATTATTTTTTTATCATATATATATATATATATATATATACATATATATATATATATATATATATTGAGATGGAGTCTTGCCCTGTCACCCAGGCTGGAGTGCAGTGGCACAATCTTGGCTCACTGCAACCTCCACCTCCTGGGTTCAAGCCATTCTCCTGGCTCAGCTGCCCCAGTAGCTGGGATTACAGGTGCGCACCACCATGCCCAGCTAATTTTTGTATTTTTAATAGAGATGGGGTTTCACCATATTGGCCAGGCTGGTCTCAAACTCCTGACCTCGTGATCTGCCTGCCTTGGCCTCCCAAAGTGCTGGGATTACAGGTGTGAGCCACTGCACCTGGCCTTTTTTTTTTTTTTTTTTTTTTTTTTTTTTTTTTTTTTTAACTGATGCAGGTTTATCATGTAGGTAAACTTGTGTCATGGGGGTTTGTTGTACAGATTATTTCATCACCCAGGTACTAATCAGTTATTTTTCCTGACCCTCTCCATCCTCCCTAATACTTGTAAGTTATTTTTCCTGATCCTCTCCATCCTCCCTCCCTCCATCCTCTGAAAGGCCCCGTGTGTTTTGTTCCCCTCTATGTGTCCATGTGTTCTCATCATTTAGCTCCCACTTGTAAGCAAAAACATACAGTATTGGGTTTTCTGTTCCCGTGTGTTAGTTTGCTAAGTATAATGGCCTCCTTCCCTGCAAAAGATATTATCTTGTTTTTTTATGGCTGCATGGTATTCCATGGTGTGTATGTATCACATTTTCTTTATCCAGTCTATCACTGATGGGCATTTAGGTTGATCCCATGTCTTTGCTTTTGTGAATAGTGGCACAATGAACATGCACATACGTGTGTCTTTATAATAGAATGATTTACATTGCTTTGAGTATATACCCAGTAATGGGTTGTTGGGTAAAATGGCATTTCTGTCTTTAGGTCTTTGAGGAATTGCCACACTGTCTTCCACAATGCTTGAACTAATTTACACTCCCACCAACAGTGTATAAGCATTCCTTTTTCTCTGCAACCTTGTCATATATGCTGAATTTTAAAGGCCGCTTCCAGAAGGCTACATACTGTATGATTCCATCTATATGATATTTTTATATGATGAAGTTTAGAAATAGAGGACAAATTAGGGGTTTCACGGGTTTAGGGACAAGAAGGCATAGTTGGGGGGGGCTAGTGAGTGTGGTTGCAAATGGGTAACAAGAGAGATCCTTGTGTTGGCATTATTTGGTATCTTGACTGTGATGATGGATACACAAACCCCTATATGTGCTAAAATTGTATAGAACTTAACACACATACACGAATAAAGGAAAATATGAATAATATGGGTGGATTATGTCAATGTCGATATCCTGGTTGTGAGTTTTGTACTATAGTTTTCTAAGATGCTACCTTTGGGGAAAATTGGGTAAAGGGTACATGGGATCTTTCTGCATTACTTCTTATAACTGTATGCAAGTCTACAATTATCTCAAAAATTTCAATTAAAAACTAAAATTTATGAATCTTGAATATTATTTCTTTTATAAGGAACACTGTCACCCAAATCCACATTTCTGGTCTGCTCCAGAGTGGAGAGTTGAGTTGAGAGCTGACTTGTATTGGAAGTTTAAGCATAAAAGTTTCTCTTTTATGGTTGTTCATTAGGGAACTCCATGAAATCCTCAGAGGGAATTGTGGAGTCAAGCCATTGGGTCCCAGCTTTGCCACTTGTTAACTGTTCTGACCTCTGGCCAGTCTATCTTTTTCCTCATCTTTAGAATGGAAGTTATAATTCATTCTTCCCAAGGAAATAATAAGGAGGAAGGGTGTAAGCAGAAGGGTGTCAGTTGCGCTCTGGTAGCAGCTAACTCTTGAGGCAGGGATAGGGTATGTCCTCCTCACATTGGGTTACTCACTGTGCCTCAGTCTGGCACAGTGTTTCTCCATAAGAGTACTATGGACATTTTATGAAGGGCACTTCTAGTATGTGTAGATTGCCTCACACATTGCAGAATGCTTAGCTTTCCTGCTTCCCACCCACAAAATTATAGGAGCATCATCACCACTTCTTCATTAAACAACAACAAAAAAAGCCTCTATAAATTTCCAGCTGTCTTTTGAGGGAAGTATTGAATATTGCCCATTTTTAAGAACCATAACTATGTGTCTTGCTAGTATGTAGGAGGTATTCAACAAATATTTATTAATGTTTGACTGATGGATTTTTTTCTCCTGGGCTAAGGCTCTGGTCCATCTAACCATTGGTCCCTGGATTTGGCCTCTTTGCAAGTTTGTTTGCTGCAGCCAGTACGGCACCCAGAAAACCATTTGCATGGGCATAATTTCACCAGGATTCTGACTGTAGCAGTGAATAGGTGATTGCTTGTAGGACTGACACCAGCCTGGCTACCTTGGGAGATATAAAAGGAGGACAAAGGGAATACTTTTTCCTTTATGCATTTCGGAGGCTGCTTGGCTAAGGCTTGAAGGGCTACAAGGGCCCCTTCACCACATTATTGAGCTAATGTATTCATTGCAGGTACAGTCAACTCTCGGTTATCCTCAGATGGAATATCCAAATTACAGTGAAATAATTAGGCTTAGTTAGTAGATAATGGAGCACTTCATGAGCACTGTTTACTAGTTTTTGCTTCCTTTTAGTCCCTTATGGGGCCTGCAATCCAGCCAAAATGCTTATTTACCTCCTTCAACCCAACAAAAATATAAACTAGATATTCAAATTCAATAGGTTGAGAGTAAGAAAAGGGGCTTTTTAAAAAGTTCCTGACATAGTCAATCCAACCTCTCCCTACAGCCCCAGATGCTATCAAACTTCCTTAGTTGCTCTGCAGGAAAGGGGGCATATCTATGTGCACAACAAATTTATCTCTGCTATGGTCTGAATGTGTCCCTCCCAATTCTTGTGTTGAAAACTTAATCCCAAATGTAACAGTGTTTGGAAGTGTTGGTGGTTAGGTCATGAGGGCTCTGTCCTCACGAGTAAATGACACTATCAAAAAGGCTTTCTGTGGTGGGTTTGCTCTCTTCCACTCTTCTGCCATGTGAGGACACAGCTTTCATCCTCTTTTGCATTTCACCTTTCATCATGTGAGGATGGAGCAAGAAGGCTCTCATCAGATGCTGGTGACTTGAACTTGGACTTTACAATCTCCAGAACTGTGAGAAATACATTTCTGTTCTTCATAAATCGCCCAGGCTCATGTATTCTGTTATACCAGTACAAAACAGGTTAAGATGACCTCCAAAATCACTCACAAATCCCTCCCCTTCTCTCTCTTCCCATTTTCTCTCATCTTTACCCTAACTCAAGTCACTGTTATCTATCTCTATCTTGTCTGGACCATTGCAGTAGCCTCCAGACAGGTAAACAAATATTTTGCTCAGTGCTTTTTATTGTTCTTGCTTCTGTTTGGCATTACAATTGCAACCTTATTATTCTTGTCTAATAATTGGAGTTTTACAAATTAAAAAGTTTTAAAAAGTATGGGTAAGAAGAGGTTAATATTTGGGAAAACTTTAGGGAGTATCCTCCCTAAAGTTAGTTTACTTACTTTAGGGAGTATCCTCTAAGGTGCATTTGTTATTAGTATAAAAATAGTTGCCGTCAAGATGCTTTGTTTCCTTAGAAGTTGAATTGCCTTCTTAAATCTTCTGCATACTATTCATTGGTTTAGATAGGTCTGTGATTCTTAGATGGGGAAAGGATTACCTACAATTCCTTCCAAAAATTTGTATTTTTTTTTCTTTTCGTACAGAGCATCTTTTAAGAGTACAAATCCAAATCATATCACCCCCATTCTGCCTGCTGTGCACTCTGCCTGCAATTCACTGTTCTGGGTGCTAAGGATGCAGTGATGGTCCAGGCTGACAAAGCCCTCAGGAAGCTCACAGTCTTCTATGGGAGTTGACAAATAAGCAATCAATCATAATAATAAATCTCTAATTACAAATTATCTTAAGTGCCCTAAAGGTAAAGGAAAGATGTTATAAGGGAGAAGGCCCCTTAACCCCACTTGTCACATTTTTGGCTTCTCTCTCTCTCTCTTTAGCTTTTAATTTGAAAATAATTTCAAATTCATAAAATGGCATACCTTTTATCCAGATTCATCTGGTATTGACATTTCACCTCCCTATTTGTTTTATTATTTGCTTTCTTTATATATACATTTTAAAAATCAGTGGAGAATAAGTTGCATACGCCATAGGTCTTTATTCCTAAACTTTAGCATGTATTTTCTATATATAGAGATACTCTCCAACATAATCACAGTACAGTTATCCATCACAAGAATTTGACATTGATGCAACCATTTCATTCAACCTGCTGTTTGTACATGAATTTGTCAGTTGACCCAACATCCTTTATAGCATTTTCCTTCTTCAGTAGAAAATTCAATCTATAATCACATATCAATTCACTGCCATGTCCCTTTAGCCTTCTTTACTCTGGAACAGTTTCCCAGCCTTTCCTTGTCTTTAGTGATACTGACAACTTTGAACAATAGAGTCCTCTTGTTATGAACTCAATTGTGTCTTCCCCCTCAAAATTCCTAAGTTAAATTCTTAACCCCTATGTGGTTATATTGGAGATAAGGCCTTCAGGAAGTCAATTAAGATTAAAGGAGGTCTTAAGGGTAATGCATTAATCCAAGAAGAGCAAGATACACCAGATCTCTCTCTTGGTAGAGAACATAGGAAAGGCATAAGAGGACACAGAAAGAAGGTGGCCATCTACTAGCAAGGAAAAGAGGCCTCACTAAGAACCAACCCTGATGGCACCTTGATCTTGGACTTTCAGCCTTCAGAATTGCGAGAAATAAACATCTGTTATTCAACCCACCCAGTCTCTGGTATTTTGTTATGATACCTAAGCAGACTAATACCTCCTCTGGCACCCACTTTAAAAATAAAATGCTTCGGGGGGTGGAGCCAAGATGGCCGAATAGGAGCAGCTCCAGTCTACAACTCCCAGTGTGAGCAACGCAGAAGATGGGTGATTTCTGCATTTCCAACTGAGGTACCAGGTTCATTTCACTGGGGAGCATTGGACAGTGGGTGCAGGACAGTGGGTGCAGCACACCGAGCAGACCCGCAGCTGAGGGTCCTGACTGTTAGAAGGAAAACTAACAAACAGAAAGGACACCCACACCAAAACCCCATCTGTATGTCACCATCATCAAAGACCAAAGGTAGACAAAACCACAAAGATGGGGAAAAAACAGAGCAGAAAAACTGGAAACTCTAAAAATCAGAGGGCAGAGGAACGCAGCTCCTCACCAGCAACAGAACAAAGCTGGATGGAGAATGACTTTGACGAGTTGAGAGAAGAAGGCTTCAGAAGATAAACTACTCTGAGCTAAAGGAGGAAGTTCAAACCCATGGTAAAGAAGTTAAAAACCTTGAAAAAAGATTAGACAAATGGCTAACTAGAATAACCAATGCAGAGAAGTCCTTAAAGAACCTGATGGAGCTGAAAACCATGGCACGAGAACTACATGACGAATGCACAAGCCTCAGTAGCTGATTTGATCAACTGAAAGAAAGGGTATCAGTGATGGAAGATCAAATGAATGAAATGAAGCGAGAAGAGAAGTTTAGAGAAAAAAGAATAAAAAGAAATGAACAAAGCCTCCAAGAAATATGGGACTATGTGAAAAGACCAAAACTATGTCTGATTGGTGTACCTGAAAATGATGGGGAGAATGCAACCAAGTTGGAAAACACTCTGCAGGATATTATCCAGGAGAACTTCCCCAATCTAGCAAGGCAGGCCAACATTCAAATTCAGGAAATACAGAGAATGCCACAAAGATACTCCTCGAGAAGAGCAACTCCAAGACACATAATTGTCAGATTCACCAAAGTTGAAATGGAGGAAAAAATGTTAAGGGCAGCCAGAGAGAAAGGTCGGGTTACCCACAAAGGGAAGCCCATCAGACTAACAGCGGATCTCTCGGCAGAAACTCTACAAGTTAGAAGAAAGTGGGGGCCAATATTCAACATTCTTAAAGAAAAGAACTTTCAACCCAGAATTTCATATCCAACCAAACTAAGCTTCATAATTGAAGGAGAAATAAAATACTTTACAGACAAGCAAATGCTGAGAAATTTTGTCACCACCAGGCCTGCCCTAAAAGAGCTCCTGAAGGAAGCACTAAACATAGAAAGGAACAACCGGTACCAGCCACTGCAAAAACATGCCAAATTGTAAAGACCATCAAGACTAGGAAGAAACTGCATCAACTAATGAGCAAAATAACCAGCTAACATCATAATGACAGGATCAAATTCACACATAACAATATTAACCTTGAATGTAAATGGACTAAATGCTCCAATTAAAAGACACAGACTGGAAAATTGGATAAAGAGTCAAGACCCATCAGTGTGCTGTATTCAGGAAACCCATCTCATGTGCAGAGACACACATAGGCTCAAGATAAAGGGATGGAGGAAGATCTATCAAGCAAATGAAAAACAAAAAAAGGCAGGGGTTGCAATCCTAGTCTCTGATAAAACAGACTTTAAACCAACAAAGATCAAAAGAGACAAAGAAGGCCATTACATAATGGTAAAGGGATCAATTCAACAAGAAGAGCTAACTATCCTAAATATATATGCACCCAATACAGGAGCACCCAGATTCATAAAGCAAGTCCTTAGTGACCTACAAAGAGACTTAGACTCCAACACAATAATAATGGGAGACTTTAACACCCCACTGTCAACATTAGACAGATCAACGAGACAGAAAGTTAACAAGGATATCCAGGAACAAACTGCTCCTGAATGACTACTAGGTACATAACAAAATGAAGGCAGAAATAAAGATGTTCTTTGAAACCAACAAGAACAAAGACACAACATACCAGAATCTCTGGGACACATTTAAAGCAGTGTGTAGAGGGAAATTTATAGCACTAAATGCCCACAAGAGAAAGTAGGAAAGATCTAAAGTTGACACCCTAACATCACAATTAAAAGAACTAGACAAGCAAGAGCAAACACATTCAAAAGCTAGCAGAAGGCAAGAAATAACTAAAATCAGAGCAGAACTGAAGGAAATAGAGACACAAAAAACCCTTCAAAAAATCAATGAATCCAGAAGCTGGTTTTTTGAAACGATCAACAAAATTGATAGACCGCTAGCAAGACTAATAGAGAAGAAAAGAGAGAATAATCAAATAGACGCAATGAAAAATGATAAAGGGGATATCACCACCGATCCCACAGAAATACAAACTACCATCAGAGAATACTATGAACCCCCCTATGCAAATAAACTAGAAAATCTGGAAGAAATGGATAAATTCCTCGACACATACATTCTCCCAAGACTAAACCAGGAAGAAGTTGAATCTCTGAATAGACCAATAACAGGCTCTCAAATTGAGGCAATAATTAATAGCTTACCAACCAAAAAAAGTCCAGGACCAGGATTCACATCCGTATTCTACCAGAGGTACAAGGAGGAGTTGGTACCATTCCTTCTGAAACTATTCCAATCAATAGAAAAAGAGGGAATCCTCCCTAACTCATTTTATGAGGCCAGCATCATCCTGATACAAAAGACTGGCAGAGACAAAACAAAAAAAGAGAATTTTAGACCAATATCCCTGATGAACACCGATACAAAAATCCTCAATAAAAAACTGGCAAACCAAATCCAGCAGCACATCAAAAAGCTTATCCACCATGATCAAGTGGGCTTCATCCCTGGGATGCAAGGCTCGTTCAACATATGCAAATCAATAAACGTAATCCAGCATATAAACAGAACCAATGACAAAAACCACATGATTATCTCAAAAGATGCACAAAAGGCCTTTGACAGAATTCCACAACCCTTCATGCTAAAAGCGCTCGATAAATTAGGTATTGATGGGATGTATCTCAAAATAATAAGAGCTATTTATGACAAACCCACAGCCAATATCATAATGAATGGGCAAAAACTGGAAGCATTCCCTTTGAAAACTGGCACAAGACAGGGATGCCCTCTCTCACCACTCCTATTCAACATAGTGTTGGAAGTTCTGGCCAGGGCAATCAAGCAGGAGAAAGAAATAAAGGGTATTCAATTAGGAAAAGAGGAAGTCAAATTGTCCCTCTTTGCAGATGACATGATTGTATATTTAGAAAACCCCATCGTCTCAGCCCAAAATCTCCTTAAACTGATAAGCAACTTCAGCAAAGTCTCAGGATACAAAATCAATGTGCAAAAATCCCAAGCATTTTTATACACCAATAACAGACAAACAGAGAGCCAAATCATGAGTGAACTCCCATTCACAATTGCTTCAAAGAGAATAAAACACCTAGGAATCCAACTTACAAGGGATGTGAAGGACCTCTTCAAGGAGAACTACAAACCACTGCTCAATGAAATAAAAGAGGATACAAACAAATGGAAGAACATTCCATGCTCATGGATAGGAAGAATCAATATCATGAAAATGGCCATACTGCCCAAGGTAATTTATAGATTCAATGCCATCCCCATCAAGCTACCAATGACTTTCTTCACAGAATTGGAAAAAACTAGTTTACATTTCACATGGAACCAAAAAAGAACCCGCATTGCCAAGTCAATCCTAAGCCAAAAGAACAAAGCTGGAGGCATCACTCTACCTGACTTCAAACTATACTACAAGGCTACAGTAACCAAAACAGCATGGTATTGGTACCAAAACAGAGAAATAGACCAATGGAACTGAACAGAGCCCTCAGAAATAATGCCACATATCTACAACTATCTGATCTTTGACAAACCTGACAAAAACAAGAAATGGGGAAAGGATTCCCTATGTAATAAATGGTTCTGGGAAAACGGGCTAGCCATACATAGAAAGCTGAAACTGTATCCCTTCCTTACACCTTACACAAAAATTAATTCATGATGGATTAAAGACTTAAACGTTAGACCTAAAACAATAAAAACCCTAGACGAAAACCTAGGCAATACCATTCAGGACATAGGTATGGGCAAGGACTTCATGTCTAAAACACCAAAAGCAATGGCAACAAACGCCGAAATACACAAATGGGATCTAATTTAACTAAAGAGCTTCTGCACAGCAAAAGAAACCACCATCAGAGTGAACAGGCAACCTACAGAATGGGAGAAAATTTTTGCAATCTACTCATCTGACAAAGGGCTAATATCCAGAATGTACAATGAACTCAAACAAATTTACAAGAAAAAGTCAAACAACCCCATCAACAAGTGGGCGAAGGATATGAACAGACACTTCCCAAAAGAAGACATTTATGCAGCCAAAAAACACATGAAAAAATGCTCATCATCACTGGCCATCAGAGAAATGCAAATCAAAACCACAATGAGATACCATCTCACACCAGTTAGAATGGCGATCATTAAAAAGTCAAGGAACAACAGGTGCTGGAGAGGATGTGGAGAAATAGGAACATGTTTACACCGTTGGTGGGACTGTAAACTAGTTCAACCATTGTGGAAGTCAGTGTGGCGATTCCTCAGGGATCTAGAAGTAGAAATGCCATTTGACCCAGCCATCCCATTACTGGATATATACCCAAAGGATTATAAAGCATGATGCTATAAAGGCACATGCACACATATGTTTATTGCAGCACTATTCACAATAGCAAAGACTTGGAACCAACCCAAATGTCCAACAATGGTAGACTGGATTAAGAAAATGTGGCACATATACACCATGGAATACTATGCAGCCTTAAAAAATGATGAGTTCATGTCCTTTGTAGGGACATGGATGAAGCTGGAAACCATCATTCTCAGCAAACTATCGCAAGGACAAAAAACCAAACACCACATGTTCTCACTCATAGGTGGGAATTGAACAATGAGAACACATGGACACAGGAAGGGGAACATCACACACCAGTGTCTGTTGGGGGGTGGGGGGCGGGGGGAGGGATAGCATTAGGAGATATACCTAATGTTAAATGATGAGTTAATGGGTGCAGCACACCAACATGGCACATGTATATATATGTAACAAACTTGCTCGTTGTGCACATGTACCCTAAAACCTAAAGTATAATTAAAAAAAAAGAAAAAAAAAGAAAAAGGTACATAAAGAATGTCAAAAAATCACACTGGGGCTATAACCATCTTTTCATATATGCAGTATGAACTTGATGAATATGAGTTAGGTCAAGGTGTGATTATCAGGTATTTTTTAGGTTGCTTGACTTAGATTTATAAAGTACAAGATTCATTACTTTACTCAATGAATGTTCATTGAGCATATAATATGTCAGACATTGTGCTAGGTAATGGGGATATGATGGTGATCAAAACAGCATAGCATAATACTTAAGAGTATGGACTCTGAGACCAGACTTCCTAAATTTGAACCCTGGCTCTGGGAGTCATTAGTTTTGTGGGCTTGTCCAAGTTACTCTGCCTCTCTGGGACTCAGTTCCCTCCATATGAATGACAATAATAATTCCTCATGAAATCACTATAAGAATTAAATGAGGTAATTGTAAACTACTGAAAAATTGCCTGACACATAGTAAAACTTGCATAAGTGTTTGTTAAACAATAAAGTCTTAGGCAATCTCTGCCTCCTAGGAACATAGAGTCTTGTGGGAGAGACTGACTTTAATTTGTTAAAAAAAGCTCACAAGCAAATATAAAATTCAAGTGTAGCATTCAAGTAATGCTACAAAGGAGATTTACATGGGACTATAAGAGTTTGTGTTACAGGGATTTGACCAGGGAAGGCATCTCTGAGGAAGTGATATTTGAGCTGAGGATAAGTAGGAGTGTATTAGGCAAAAACATGTTTGGGGAAGAAGCAGGAAGGATGACAGTATTTCCTGTCTTCCTAACTAAGCACTCTGTTTAATGATGGCATGGCCCAAGCTTCTGTCTTCTCCATCATACCCGGTAGACATGGGGAGGACCCACACTAAGTGTCCCAGGCAAATCTGATGATGTTTGTAGCAAGAAAGAGCTGCCATTCTGGAGGATTATTCTCCTCTTGCCTGGCTACTCCAAATCTGGGGAAAATCTTCACAAACCAACTGTACAAAGAATGCTTTGGGGTACTAAAGCATTTGGTCTAGAAGGCAAGGCCACTGAAGAAGTCCAGCAGTTTGGATGATGAATGTAACTCTCCCTGTTAGCACTTTGGCTGTTGTATTGTTTCAAAGGCATTTGCTCCAGAGATTCAGCCTTGGGAATCAAAGGAACTGTGCTGAGAAGACACTGTGGGCTGAGGCTCCTCGTGCTTCTTCGTGGTGTTCAATTCCTAAGCTCACGATCCTCTGGAGGGGCATTCTTTACAAACCAAGGTCTCTATTTCATCACATGTGGCTAACGGATCGGAATCATCAGCCACCTGCAACAATTTTATTTCCAGGGTTCTTTCTCTTGTCAACTACAGATCAGGAAACAAATGCATGAAAGTGGATATCTTTTTTCCTCTTTCAAAATAGAAGCAGGTGACATCATTCGCAGTAAGGAACTGCTGAAAACCTTAAACAATTCATTTCAGGGCACTTTCTGGGGAACATTTCCATCTGGTGTAGTGATGTGGACCAATCCAACCCACCCATTTTGTTTAGTGCACTGCTATATTTTAAAATGTTTCTTGTTCATTTTGAAAAACCAGATAAAAATTATAACAATACTTTCTCTACGATAGAATTCTTTGTTTGCAATTCACTGAAAACCTGCCCAAGTAGTATTAACCAAACATAAGAGGAACTTACCGAACAATGTAACTGTATAGTTTGGCAAAAACTGAAAATCTAGCCTTGGGTGAGCCTTATGCTGCTCATTCAGTCTCTTGCTCTCTTTCTCTATTTCTCGGCTCGACATCCTCAATGAGGACTCCATTCTCAGGTCCACTCTCTCTTCTTGGTCTAAAAGAGGGACATGGCTGCTACTTCCAGGGGTACACACTACCCCATTCGTGTCAAAGAAAAGCATTTCCCCCCAGTATTCCCAAGCCAAAGTATTAAGATTCAGTCTGATTTCAACATTTTGGGTTATATGGCCACCCCCAACCAAACACTATGTCCAGGGGATGAAACGAGTGTCTGGCTTATACTAGTTTGTGTTCCATAAGTCCATTGGTCAACTGCTTCAAAACTACATGTATCCCCAAATGGGAATCAGGATTTTTGGGAAGGAAGAAAGTAGAAGTGAGTGATGGAAAGGCAAACAACAAATGTCCACTCTGTGCGACACAAATTGTTGCTTATATTAGGTAATTGTTTTAACTTTAAACTTGTCCAAACCCCTTCACACCCATTAGCACACTAGAGCCTTGCAACAACCCTAACAGGTAATCAATACTGGAAATATTGTTCCCACTTCATAGATGAGGAAACTGAAGCCCAGATGAATCAAGTGAATTCAATAAAGCTGCACTGTTGCATAGTGTTAGAGAAAATTGACCCTTGGGTTGTAGAAATCTGATCCTCTAACACCAAATCCATATATTTATATGAATTATGTTCACTGTATCTTATTTTTTAATCCCATAACCCACTCCCATTCCCCTCCTTCCTACTCTCACAACCTTCCTAAGATATTAATATTTAACATGTAGTTTTTGTGTTAGATTATGTTCTTTCAAACTGTATATTGTTGTTTTGTGTGCATATCTTCTTAATCTATATAAGTAGTACGACCTTATATTGCTCTTTCTGTTTCTCAGTTTTTTTCCTTTTTAAAAAATTTTTAGGTAACTTTAAGTTCTGGGATACATGTGCAAAATGTACAGGTTTGTTACATAGGTATACGCATGTCATGGTGGTTTGCTGCACCTATCAACCTTTCATTTAGGTTTTTAGCCCTGCAGGCATTAGCTATTTGTCCTGATGCTCTCCCTTCCCTCCCCCCACCAACAGGCCCTGGTGTGTGTTGTTCCCCTCCCTGTGTCCATGTGTTCTCATTGTTCAACTCCCACTTATGAGTGAGAACATGCAGTATTTAGTTTTCTTTTCCTGTGTTAGCTTGCTGAGGATGATGGCTTCCAGTTTCATCCATGTCCCTTGCAAAGGACATGATCTCATTCCTTTTTATGGGTGTGTAGTATTCAATAGTGTATACATACCACATATTCTTTATCCAGTCTATCATTAATGGGCATTTGGGTTGGTTCCATGTCTTTGCTATTGTAAATAGTGCTGCCAAAAACATATGTGAGCATGTATCTTTATAGTAGAATGATTTATATTCCTTTGGGTATATACCCATTAGTGGGATTGCTGGGTCAAATGCTATTTCTGGTTCTAGACCCTTGAGAAATCACCACACTCTCTTCAACAATGATTGAACTAGTTTATATTCCCACCAGCAGTGTAAAAGCGTTTCTACTTCTCCACAGCCTCAGCAGCATCTGTTGTTTCTTGAATTTTTAATAATTGCCATTCTGCCTGGTGTGAGATGGTATCTCATTGTGGTTTTGATTTGCATTTCTCTAACGATCAGTGATATTGAGCTTTTTTCATATGTTTTTTGGCAATATAAATGTCTTCTTTTGAGACATGTCTGTTCATGTCCTTTGCCCACTTTTTGATGGGGTTGTTTGCTTTTTGTTTTGTAAATTTGTTTAAGCTCCTTGTAGATTCTGGATATTAGACCTTTGTCAGACAGGTAGATTGAAAACATTTTCTCCACTCTGTAGATTACCTGTTCACTCTGATGATAGTTTCTTACACTGTGCAGAAGCTCTTTAGTTTAATTAGATCTCATTTGTCTATTTTACCTTTTGTTGCAGTTGCTTTTGGCGATTTCATCATGAAGTCTTTGCCCATGCCTATGTCCTGATGGTATTGCCTAGGTTTTCTTCCAGAGTTTTTATGGTTTTGCATTTTACATATAAGTATTTAATCCATCTTGAGTTAATTTTTGTATAAGGCATAAGGAAGGAGTCCAGTTTCAGTTTTCTGCACATGGCTAGCCAGTTTTCCCAGCATTGTTTACTGAATAGGAGATCCTTTCCCTTTTGCTTGATTTTGTCAGGTTTGTCAAAGATCAGATGGTTCTACATGTGTGGTGTTATTTCTGAGGTCTCTGTTCTGTTCCATTGGTCTGTATGTCTGTTTTGGTACCAGTACCATGCTGTTTTAGTTACTGTAGCCTGGTAGTATAGTTTGAAGTCAGGTAGCGTGATACCTCCAGCTTTGTTCTTTTTGCTTAGGATTGTCTTAGCTATATGGGCTCTTTTTTGATTCATATGAAATTTAAAGTATTTTTTTCTAATTCTGTGATGAATGTCCATGGTAGTTTGATAGGAATACCACTGAATCTATAAATTACTTTGGGCAGTATGGCCATTTTCACAATATTGATTCTTCCTATCCACGGTTATGGAATGTTTTTCCATTTCTTTGTATCCTCTCTTATTTCCTTGAGCAGTGGTTTGTAGTTCTCCTTGAAGAGGTCCTTCATATGTCTTGTTAGCTGTATTCCTAGGTATTGTATTCTCTTCATAGCAATTGTGAAAGGGAGTTCATTCATGATTTGGCACTCTGCTTGTCTATTTTTGGTGTACAGGAATGCTTGAGATTTCTGCATGTTGATTTTGTATCCTGAGACTTTACTGAAGTTGTTTATCAGCTTAAGAAATTTGGGGACTGAGAAAATGGGGTTTTGTAAATATAGAATCATGTTGTCTGCAATCAGAGATGATTTGACTTTCTCTTTTCCTATCTGAACACCCTTTATATCTTTCTCTTTCCTGGCTGCCCTGGCCAGAACTTCCAATATTATGTCAAATAGTAGTGATAAGAGAGGGTATCCTTGTCATGCACTGGTTTTCAAAGGGAAAGCTTCTAGCTTTTGCCCATTCAATATGATATTGTCTATGTTGTGTCATAAATAGCTCTGTTATTTTGAGATATGTTCCATCAATACCTAGTTTATTGAGAGTTTTTAACATGAAGGGATGTTGAGTTTTATTGAAGGCTTTTTCTGCATTTATTGAGATAAGCATGTGTTTTTGTCAGTGGTTCTGTTTAAGTGATGGATTACATTTATTGACTTGCATATGTTGAACCAGCCTTGTATCTCAGGGATGGAACCGACTTAATCGTGGTGGATAAGCTTTTTGATGTGCTGCTGGATTCGCTTTGCCAGTATTTTATTGAGGATTTTTGCATCAATGTTCATCAGGGATATTATCCTGAAGTTTTCCTTTTTTGTTTTGTCACCTCCCAGTTTTGGTATCAAGATGTCTGGTCCTTGGCTTTTTTTGGTTGGTACGCTATTAATTAATGCCTCAATTTCATAACTTGTTATTGGTCTATTCAGGGACTGAACTTCTTTCTGGTTTAGTCTTGGGAGGGTGTATGTGTCCAGGAATTTATCCATTTCTTCTAGATTTTCTAGTTTATTTGCGTAGAGGTGTTCATAGTGTTCTCTGATAGTAGTTTGTATTTCTGTGGGGTCAGTGGTGATCTCCCCTTTATCATTTTTTATTGTGTCTATTTGATTCTTCTCTCTTATTAGTCTAGTTAGCGGTCTATTTTGTTAGTGTTTTCAAGAAACTAGCTACTGGATTCACTGATTTTTTGAAGGGTTTTTCATTTCATTATCTCCTTCAGTTCTGCACTGACCTTAGTTATTTCTTCTTTTCTGCTAGCTTTTGGGTTTGTTTGCTCTTGCTTTTCTAGCTCTTTTAATTGTGATATTAGGGTGTTGATTTAAGATCTTTCTAGCTTTCTGATATGGACATTTAGTGCTATAAATTTCCCTCTTAACACTGCTTTAGCTGTGTCCAAGAGATTCTGGTACATTGTCTCTTTGTTCTCATTGGTTTCAAAGAACTTCTTGATTTCTGCCTTAATTTCATTATTTACCCAAGAGTCATTCAGGAATGGGTTGTTCAATTTCCATGTAGTTGTGTGGTTTTGAGTGAATTTCTTAATCCTGAGTTCTAATTTGATTGCGCTATGGTCTGAGAGACTGTTGATTTCAGTTCTTTTGCATTTGCTGAGGGGTGTTTTACTTCCATTTATGTGGTCAATTTTACAATAAGGGCTATGTGGCACTGAGAAGAATGTATATTCTGTTGATTTGGGGTGGAGAGTTCTTTTTATTTTTATTAAAAAGTAAACTTTAATATCAAAAATGCAAACTTGGGGAAGACAAAAGATCACACACAAGGCTGTCACTTCACACTTGGAAGGTTGCACAGCGGCTGGGCAGAGGCGCTCCTCACATCCCAGATGGCGAAGCAGCTGGGCAGAGGCACTCCTCACTTCCCAGGCAGGGCAGGTTGCGCAGAGGCGCTCCTCACTTTCCAGACAGTGGGCAGCTGGGCAGAGGCGCTCCTCACTTCCCAGATGGGGTGGCAGCCGGTCAGAGATGCTCCTCAATTCCCAGACAGGGTGGAAGCTGGGCAGAGGTGCTCCTCACTTCCCAGACAGTGGGAAGCTGGGCAGCAGGGCAGCAGAGTTCCTCACATCCCAGATGGTGGGGCGGCCGGGCAGAGGCGCTCCTCACTTCCCAGACGGGGCATCCAGGCAGAGGCGCTCCTCACTTCCCAGATGGTTGGCAGCTGGGCAGAGGTGCTCTTCAATTCCCAGAGGGTGTGGCGGGCGGGCACAGGCGCTCCTCACTCCCCAGTCAGCTGGGCGGCTGGGCAGAGGTGCTCCTCACTTCCCAGAAGAGGTGGCTGGGCAGAGACACTACTCACTTCGCAGTCAGTTGGGTGGCGGGGCAGAGGCGCTCCTCACTTCCCAGATGGGGTGGTGGCTGGGCAGAGATGCTCTTCACTTGCTAGATGGGGCAGTGGCCGGGCAGAGGCTCTCCTCACTTCCCAGACACTGGGCAGCTGGGCAGAGGCGCTTCTCACTTCCTGCACGGTGGGCAGCTGGGCAGAGATGCTCCTCACATCCCAGATGGGGCGGCGGCGGGCAGAGGCCCTCCTCACATTCCAGATGGGGCGGCCGCCGGGAAGAGGGGCACCTCACTTCCTAGATGGGGTGGCAGCCCGGCAGAGGCACTACTCACTTCCCAGACGGGGCTGCAGCTGGGCAGAAACGCTCCTCACTTCCCAGATGGTGGGGCGGCTGGGCAGAGGTTCTTCTCACTTCCCAGACAGTGTGGGGGGGAGGGGAAGGGCAGAGGCGCTCCCTCACATCCCAGATGGTGGGGCGGCTGGGCAGAGGCACTCCTCTCTTCAATTTGGGGTGGAGAGTTCTGTAGATGTCTATTAGGTCCCCTTGGCCCAGAGCTGAGTTCAAGTCCTGAATATCCTTGTTAATTTTCCATCTCATTGATCCGTCTAATATTGAGAGTAGGGTGTTACAGTCTCCCACTATTATTGTGTGGGAGTCTAAGTCTCTCTGTAGGTCTCTAAGAACTTGTTTTTATGAATCTGGGTGCTCCTATATTGGGTGCATATATATTTATGATAGTTAGCTCTTCTTGTTGAATTGATATCTTTAGCATTATGTAATGCCCTTCTTTGTCTTTTTTTTATCTTTATTGGTTTAAACTCTGTTTTATCAGAGACTAGGATTGCAACCTCTGCATTTTTTTTTTCACTTTCCATTTGCTTGGTAAATTTTTTTCTCCATCCCTTTATTTTGAGCCTATGTGTTTCTTTGCACATGAGATGGGACTCCTGAATACAGCACACCAATGGGTCTTCACTCTTTATCCAATTTGCCAGTCTGTGTCTTTTAATTGGGACATTTAGCCCATTTATATTTAAGGTTCATGTTATGTGGAATTTGATCCCATCATCCTGATGCTAGCTGGTTATTTTGCACACTAGTTGATGCAGTTTCTTCATAGTGTCATTGGTCTTTATATTTTGGTGTGTTTTTGCAGTGGCTGGTACCAGGTTTTCCTTTCCATATTTAGTGATTCCTTCAGGAGCTCTTGCCAGGTAGGCCTGGTGGTGACAAAATCCCTCAGCATTTGCTTGTCTGTAAAGGATTTTATTTCTCCTTCATTTATGAAGCTTAGTTTGGCTGGTTATGAAATTCCAGGTTGAAAATTCTTTTCTTTAAGAATGTTGAATATTGGCCCCCACTCTCTTCTGGCTTATAGGGTTTTTGATGAGAGGTCCACTGTTAGTCTGATGGGATTCCCTTTGTAAATGACTTGGCCTTTCTCTCTGGCTGCCCTTAACATTTTTTCCTTCATTTCAACTTGGAGAATCTGATAATTATGTTTCTTTGGGTTGATCTTCTCACGGAGTATCTTAGTGGTGTTCTCTGTATTTCTTGAATTTGAATGTTGGTCTGTCTTGCTAGGTTGGGGAAGTTCTCCTGGATAATATCCTGAAGTGTGATTTCCAACTTGGTTCCATTCTCCCTGTCTCTTTCAGGTACTCCAATCAATCATAAGTTTGGTGTTTTTACACTGTCCCATATTTCTCAGAGTTTTAGTTCATTCCTTTTCATTCTTTTTTCTCTAATCTTGTCTGAATGCCTTATTTCAGCAAGATGGTCTTGAAACTCCAATTTTCTTCCGCTTGGTCAGTTTGGCTATTGATATTTGTGTATGCTTCACGAAGTTCTCATGCTGTGTTTTTCAGCTCCATCAAGCCATTTATGTTTCCCTCTAAACTGGTTAATCTAGTTAGCAGCTCCTATAACCTTTTATCAAGGTTCTGAGCTTCTTTGCATTGGATTAGAACATGCTCCTTTAGCTCAGTGGAGTTTGTTATTACACACCTTCTGAAGCCTACTTCTTTCAATTCATCCATCTCACCCTCCATCCAGTTCTGCGTGATTATTTGGAGAAGAGGCACTCTGGTCTTTTGGGTTTTCAGCATTTTTTCGTTTATTCTTTCTCATCTTCATGAGTTTGTCTAGTTTTGATCTTTGAGGCTGTTGACCCTTGGTTGGGATTTTTGTGGGGACTTTTTTTGTTTATGCTGTTGTTGCTTTCTGCTTGTTTGTTTGTTCGTTTTTCTTTAAATGGTCAGGTCCCTCTTCTGTAGGGCTGCTGCAGTTTGCTGGGGGTTCACTTCAGGCCTTCTTCATCTGGTTCGCTGTCATGCCTGAAGATGCCATTTGAGGAGGCTGGAGAACAGCAAAGATGGGTGCCTTCTCCTTCCTCCGGGATCTCTGACCTTGAGGGGCACCAACCTGATGCCAGTAGGAACACCACTGTATAGGGTGTCTGACAGCTCCTGTTGAAGGATCTCCCCCAATTGAATGGCACTGGGTGCAGGACCCATTTAATGAAGCACTTTGACTATCTCATGGTGCAGGGGGTGTGCCATGTTAGGGGGAAACCCACTAGTCTGGGCTGCCCAGATTCCTCAGAACTAGCAGGAGGAAAGACTAAGTCTGCTGGTCTGTGGAGACTATGGCCATCCTCTCCCCCTAGGGTCTCAGGCCCAGGGAGATCAGAGTTCTGTCCCTAAGCCCCTAGCTGGAGTTGTTGGAGTTCCTGCAGGGAGGCCCCACCCAGTGAGGAAGGATGAGTCAGGGTCAGGCCTGAGGAAGCATTCTGGTGGCAATCTGCCACAGCCAGTGTGTTGGGCTGCAGGGAATATCTCTTGGGACCAAGCAGTCCAGCCTCCTTGGCTTTTGCAGGGGAAAAGCACGGCCTGGAGCCATAGAGATGGCTGCCACCCTTCCCCTGCCCTGGAAGCTTAGTGTGTTAGGCAGCTAGCAGTCCCAGCGTTGGCTGCCAACCCTCCCCCAAGGAGCTCAGATGGTTTAGACAGCAGGCAGCCACAGCTGTGGTGATGCTGCCCCCCACCAAGGAACTCAGCAGGCTTAGGCAGATTGTAGCTGAGTGGCTGTTGAGAATCTGCGCAGCTCCATGGTTGGGACCCTAGGCCCTGGTGGCATGCGCTCACGAGTGGGATCTTCTGATCTGTGGGTTGCACAGTTCTGTGGAAAAAGCACGGTTTCCCAGACTGGGTAGCATGCTCTCTCACCGCCTCCCTTGGCGGGGGACTGGGGGCTCCCCTGCCCCGTGTGGCTCTCAGGTGGGCTGCCACACCACACTGGTCTTCTTTCCTCTCTGTGGGTCACACGAGCCACCTAGTCAGGCCTGATGACAGAACCTGGATACCTAGGTTGCCAGTGGGGAATTTGCACACTGTTTCGGTTCTTTTCAATGGGAGCCTACAATCGCTGCTTCTTCTAGTTGGCCATCTTGGCCCCGCACCTCCACCCCCCAACCCCCATTTGTTAGTTTTTTCATTCAACATCATGTTTCTACATCAATCCATGTTGCTGTGCATACACTTAATCTGTTATTATAAGCATTGCATAATACTTCATGGCATGCCTCTACCACATTTTACCTATCCACTGGCTCAGTCAAGTGCTCCCCACTGGGATTCTGCTACCTTCGGCCACCACAAATAGCACTCTCATGAACATCCTCACACATGTCTCCCCATGGTCTTATGTGAGGATTTTCCTGGATAATATACTCAAGAGCAGCATTGTTGGGTCATAGGATATATGTATATTAATATTTTAATGTGACTACATTAGTTATATGACCCTCAAGCCAGTGCAGCCTTTCTTGGCCACTGTTTCTTCAATTGCAACTCCCATGTAACATTTAAAATTCCCCCTTTCTTTTATATAGGCATACTATTTTTTAGCTTTTATACCACATTTTTACTCTGCCTTTTCTATGTTTAGCTACACAAATACTTACAACTTTGTTACAGTTACCTACAGTATTCAATATGACGATATGCTGTACAGGTTTGTAGCCTAGGAGTAATAGTTTATACCATAGAGCTTAGGTGTGTAGTAGGATATACCATCCAGGGTTGTGTAAGTACACTCTATGATGTTCACAGAAAAACTAAATCACCTAATGACACATTTCTCTGAACATATCCCTGTCATTAAGTGATGCATGACTGTATGACTGTGTATTTTATATGTATATAGGTGTTTAAAGCATTAATGTTTATAAAACTGCTTTACAACCAACAACACAAATGAACAAAAATCCCAAAAGAAATATGATCAGACATGATTTTAGAAAGATTGCTCTGGATATTCCATGAAAATGCCTTATAAAGAGACAAGATGACTTAGGAAGCTACTGCAGGAGTTCTGATGAGAGAAAATGGTGGATTGGACTAGGGAGGTGGCAATGAGGATGGAGAGAAGTGAATGAATTAAGAAAAAGAAGATTTACAAAATAGAATTCACAGACTTGATGAGAGGATTGGCTGTGGGGAATGAAGGAGAGGAGGGCATCAATAATAACTCCAAGGTTTCTGCCTTGGATAGAATATCTGTGTCATTCACTAAGATGAGAAGCACAGGAGAAGCAAGTTGGGAAGAGCTGATGTGATATGCTCAATTTTGAACATGTTGATTGCCACATGCCTATGAGATAACCAAATAGGAAGGGATGTCAGAATAGAGGCCGGGGCTCAAGAAGTCCCAGTTTTACTGCTTAGTGACTATGATAACCTGGACAAGTCATATTGAGAACTGGAGCCTCAGTTTCCTCATCTGTAAAATGGAGTAACAAAACATTCATCTTTATTAGTGTTATTAAAGTTATCAAATGTAAAAGTTTATGTGAGAAGGTGCTTTGTAAATTCTAAAATCCATATAAGTGGTAATAATAAATATTTTCAAGGGGTATGAAATGGATGTGGGGAGAAAGGGAGATTTTCCAGGGACATTCAGGAATTCTTTGGCCTGCAGAGAGACTACAAAGCTCTGTCTGATTCATGGTGGCATCATCAGGCACATTCCAATCTCTGGGAAACTTATTCCTACAAAGAAATTATTTCCAGTGACTTGGTGTCATGGCAATTTAGCTGACTTGGGCCAGGATTGGAAGAATTGGAGGGAGGCTTCTAAATCCTGGCAGCAGGAAATTGGGATGAGGCCAATGCAAATGTGGCAGGCTGGGAAACATTTTTGCAGACAGAAAGCATTTTTTAAGATTTTTATTGTGGTAAAATATACATAATATAAAATTTACCATTGTAATTATTTTAAAGTGTACAGTTCAGCGGCATTAAGTACATACACATTGTTATGCAACCATCACTGCCATCCATCACCAGAACATTTTCATCATCCCAAATTGAATCTCTGTACCTGTCAAACAATAACTCCCCACTTTCCCCTACTCTTGACTCCTGACAGCCATAATTCTACTTTCTGTCTCTATGAGTTTGACTATTCTCAGTACCTCATATAAATGGAATCATATATTTGTGCCATTTCATTTGGCTTATTTCACTTAGCATAATGTTTTCAAGGTTCACCCATGTTGTAGCATGTATCAGGATTTCATTCCACAGAATTGCCATTCAACCCAGCAATCCCATCATTGGGTATATACCCAAAGGAATATAAATCATTCTGTCAAAAAGATACATGCACACATATGTTCATCACAGCACTATTCACAATAGCAAAGACATGGAATCAACCTAGGTACCCATCAGTGGTGGACTGGATAAAGAAAATATGGCATATATATACCATGGAGTACTATGCAGCCATAGAAAACAATGGAGTTATGTCCTTTGCAGGAACTGGAGGCCATAATCCTAAGCAAACCAACACAGGAACAGAAAACCAAATACCACATGTTCTCACTTATGAGTGGGTGCTAAACACTGAGTACACATGGACACAAAGAAGAGAATAATAGACACTAGGGCCTACTTGAGGGTGGAGGGTGGGAGGAGGGTGAGGATCTATAAACTACCTACCGGGTACTATGCTCCCTACCTGGGTGACAAAATAATACGTACACCAAACACCTGTGACACACAATTTACCCAGATAACAAACCTTCACATGTACCCTGGAACCTAAAAGTTTAAAAATAAATAAATAAATATGGTTTTATTATACACAGTTAATCAACATGGCAATATTTAGTGATTTATAGAAGGTGAGTTAAATCTTACCACTTTATTAGCTCATGGGAGGCCCTTTTACTTTTCCATACAATTCTGTTGCTGACTTTTTATTAATGAATTATTTGAATTTAATCGTAGGAGTGCTATTTTAACATATTCCTCTGGCCCTCAACACAATAAAGAAAAGTATTACCACAAAAAAGAATCTCATGCCTTATTAAGGCTAAACAATATTCCCTTGTATGTATGTACCACTGTTTATTATCTATTTGTCGATTGATGGACATTTGAGTTATTTGTACCTTTTAGCTATTGTGAATAATGCTCCTATGAGTAATGATGTACAGATATCTATTAAAGTCTCTGCTTTCAATTCTTTTGGATATGTACCTAGAAATGGAGTTGCTCGATCATATAATAATTATATGTTTCATTTTTTTTGAGGAACCACTGTACTGTTTTCCACAGTGGCTACACCATTTTACACTCCCACCAACATGTGCAAGGGTTCCACTTTCTCTATATCCTTCCCAACACTTGTTATCATCTGGATTTTTGTTTGTTTGTTTTAATAATTATAATAGCTAAATTAATGGGTATGAGGTGATGTCTCATTTTGGTTTTGATCTGCATTTCCCTAATGATTAGTGATGTTGAGCATTTTTTTCATGTGTTTTTTGGCCATCTGTATATCTTTTTTGGAGAAATGCCAATTCAAATTATTTGCCCATTTTTGAACTGGGTTGCTTGTTTCTTAGTTGTTGAATTGTAGGAGTTCCTTATATATCCTGGATACTAAACCCTTATCAGATATATGATTTACAAATATTTTCTTTCATTCCATGGAATGACTTTTCACTGTGTTAATAGTGTCCTTTGATTCACAAAATTTTTAGTTTTGAGGAAGTTCAATTTCTTTCTTTTTTCTTTTGTTGTCTGTGCTTTTGATGTATACACAAGAAGTCACTGCAAAATCCCATGTCATGAAACTTTTCCTCTATATTTTCTTCTGAGTTGTATAATTTTAGCTCTTATGTTTAGATCTTTAATCCATTTTAAGTTAATGTTTATATGCAGTATAAAATAAGCTCCATCTTTATTCTTTTGCATGTGAATATCCAGTTTTCCCACCACCAGTTGTTAAAGAGACTGTCCTTTTCCCATTGAGTGGTCTTGGCACCCTTGTTGAAATCATTTGACCATAGATGCATGAGTTTGTTTTTGGCCTCTTGATTCTATTCCAATGAATATGTCCATATGTCTGTCTTTATGCCAGTACCATACTGTTTTGATTACTATAGCTCTGTAGTAAACTTTGAAATCAGAAAGTCTGAGTCTTCCAATGTTGTTCCTCTTTTTCAAGGTTGTTTTGGCTATTCTAGGTCTCTAGAGATTCTACATAAATTTTAGGAGTGATTTTTCTATTTCTGTAAAATTATTGAGTTGCATTGAACCTGTAGATTGCTTTGGGAGAAAGAATTTTTGAGTCATTTTCAAAAGTGATGTTTCAGTTAAATCAACACTTGTGTTTCATTTGTTGCTTATAAAAAGCACACTCATGAGTAAAGAATTTAGGAAAGGCAAAATGATAATAATAATAATAAGTATCTGGAGAACAATGTTCTGGATGGAGAGTCAGAGATTTTGGGCTATGCAATATGGTTATAGACACAGCCTGTGTCCTTTTGCAAATCAGTAGCATATACTATGCCTTGGTTTCTATCCACCCTGAGACCCAAAGGGCCTTTGAGGTAGCTCAAATTGGCCTATTGCAGAGCTGTAAAGCTACAGTGATATACAAAGTGACTTCACAGGGAGGCTTTATTATTGGCTCATAGCTGTTAAATCAATCACTCTAATTGAACCCAAAGGAAATAAAATCACCATCTGTTTATTGACATGATGGATATATCTGCCTTATCTAATGATGTCATCTACAAGTCTTGAAAACTATCCAGAAGGAATAATTTGGAAGGATGTGAAGAACTTTGGAAAATGTGTGCCCCCACCCCAAGCCTAACTCACCCATTCTAAACTTTCTGTCCCTGCACAAGCTATATCCCCTTGACCATATTACTATTAACAATATGAACATTTATAAAACCAACTTAAAGCCAAGTGGAGCCAAAATGCAGATGATACCCCCTTCAAGTTTGGGCCTTCCCTACTCTGAGATAAGAGGCAGTACCTACAACCTCACCTCTAGAGTATTTCTTTTTATTATGACCTATAATACCTTACCTGTATAGCTCCTGTATTAGTTATATATTGCTGTATAACAAGTTACCCCAAAACTTAGTGGTTGCAAACAACAAGCATTGGCTACCTTAAAATTTCTAGAGACCAGGAATCCAAGAACAGCTTAACTGAGTGTTTTGGTTTCAGAGACTCTCATGAGGCTGCAATCAAGGCCTCAGCTGGGATTGCAGTCATCCGAAGGCACAACCAGGGAGGATCTGCTACCAAGCTCACACACGTGGCTATTAGCAGGCCTCAGAAGATCTTCCAAGCTCACTCACGTGTGCCTCCCCATAGAGCTGCCTCATAAATGGCAGTGGCTTACCCCAGAATGAGTGATCCAAAAAAGAGTGAGGGGGAGCCCCCAAAATGGAAGCCACACAATCTTTGTATAGCCTAACCTCAGAAGTAACATGCCATCACTTCTGCCATATTCTATTTGTTAGAAGTGAATCATTAAGTGTGGCCTAAAAAGTAAAGAATTACATGGGGGTTCAAATCCCAAAGGGTGGAAATCATTGGACGCCATCTGAGAGGCTGAGTACCACAACCCCTCACCCTGCCCCATATTTCTGCAGCCTTATTTTGGGGTCCATTAATCCCATGGCTCTAAGGACTCCCAGCATATAGGCTATTTCCACTTTCTCATACTTGCCATGCTCCCTTTCCCCCATCCCCATGACAGGACCTCTGTTCAGGTTGTTTTCTCTACTTGGAATACTCTTCCTATTCTCTTCATTTACTTAATGTGTGCTTATCTTTCAGGATTCAGCTCAAGAATTAGTTTCTTTAACACCTCTTTTTCATTGATCACAGTGGTATATTTATAATTTGGGTATGATTGAGGAACATCTGTCTTCCTCAATAAACAACATGAGAATAAGAACCATGTCTGTTTGTCTTTACCATTGAACTATCAGTACCTATCAATACCCCTGACATATAGTAGGTGCTTAATAAATATTTGTTGAGTGAAGTAATGAATGAATAAATAAATAAAATACCATCATCTGAGTAATATGAAAATAAGGGCTCCAAATATCTGCCAAAGTAATAATATACACAAGGAAATACCCATGGCCCCCTGACTTTGTGATATGATTGTCATCAACAGGGCTCAGTCTTCAGGCCTTTAGTTGAGATATTCACATGCTTGGAGGTGACCTTATGTTGACTTTGAGAAGAGTAGCGAGTGGAGCTGCCAGACATATCTCTAATGAGGTTGAAATTCTTATTCTTAGAGGAAAGCAACACTTTAATTCTCAACACAGGGAGGGATAGAGCAGGTTGCACAATCACTATTGCCAAAAAGTTTTTTTTAATAGCAAAAATAGCAGAATTTTTTACCTATCTAGTCTTGCCCCCACCTGGAAGCAGGAGAATGGCATGGCATATTGATGGGCTTTCTGGTTCCTAGGGTTCTAAGGCATTCAGCCCCTTAACCAATCTCCTCAGTAAGTGGTAGAGATGAGCTTGGTACTAGAAAACCTCAGTGAGAGGAAGAGATCCAGTGCCTCTGGAGCTTCTCCTGAGAAGAGCTTCTGGATTTGAAATCAAACATTCCTGAAAAGCAAGGCCTGCTCTGAAGTGGAAAAGAGTGAGCAGACCCTTTGTGCCCATATAACTCACTCATTCTCCCAAGAGCCTTTTAAGGGAAGGAAATGGTGAAAGGCACCACTTACCACAGCATAATTATTCAGGTTGATAAGCGGAACAAAGAGACCACTGTCTCGATGGGGTTTGCAACCAAAGAGGGGGGTCTTTGAGCTAGATTTGCTCCAGCATCCCAGGGCTGTTGAAAGATTGGATCATTAAAAGTTTATGGCCTCATGGAGCTATTTTAAGCCTGTTCCATCCCTCAATGCTGGCCTCAAAGCTGCCACAAATTCTTTCATCCCCATGAACTGTGGCTTGGAGTGAACAAAAGTGAGACTGCTCCTTTGGAGGGAGAGAAGCCTGGGGCTGCAAGATGGGGTTGCAGGGAAAAGGGTTTGTTATAACTAATGAGCTGCCTGTCAGCACTGTTGTCACTGCCATTGCCACCACGCTACTCAAATATTCTCAGGAAGCTCAGTAGATGGGGCATGCTCACATGGAATCAAAAAAGAAAGCAACTGCCCTGCCCACTCTGAATAAAGCAGAGTGTAGCAAGTAAGAAAACTGAGTCCTAACCTCCTTGCTTGGAGGAAAAGAGAGTGGAGAGGGAGGAAGGTAGGGCCTCTCCAGGGATGAATTGGTTATTCTGGAAGCAATGCAAAATGTTAAATCTGAGCTGAGGTATCTAATGCCAGAAGATCATGCCTTATGTCCACAGACCTACAGTCCTGGGCTTTTCTTATCAGATGTTCCCTTTAGAGGTGTACAAAATAAGTAACTATTTTGAAAAATACATAGTAATTATATTAGTGAGTGTTCCAAAAGATTTTTAAAATCCATAGGGCTCCCACTAAAAATTTGTTCCCAATAACTCATTCAACAAATAGATTTGAATGCCTACTATATGACAGAAAGTGTCCTAGGCCAGTTGAATATAACAGCGGACAAAGTAGACAAACGTCACTACCCTCATGGAGCTCATACGTTAGTAGGGGGTGACAGACCACAAGTAAGATAATTTAGTAAATAAATACTGTGTCAAATGCTGATGGATACTATGAAGAAAAATGAAGCAGAGCTAGGAAGGATACTAAATACTGTGCTTGGTGGTGGGGGTTCATGATTTTAGATAGGTCAGGGAAAATGTCATGGAGAAGGTGATATTTGAGCAGAGATTTGAAGGCAGTGAAGGAAGGAGTCATGTGAATATCTGGAGGAAGATTTTTCCTGACAAAGAGGAGGTCATGTGGTAAGACCTGGCATGGTTGAAAAACAGCAAGGAGACTAATGTGGTTGAAATGATGTAAGGGGAAGAGGTGTGGCAGGAATTGAGATTGAAGAGATAACAGGGGACCAGATGGTGTAGTGCCTTAAAAGCTAAGGATTTGAACTTTATGATGAGTTAGATGGGAAGCCTTTTAGTAAAGGAGTAACACGATCTTACTTACATTTTAAATAGATCACTCTGGCTGCTACTTGGAGGATAGATTATAGGGAAGTGGGAATACCATTAGAAGAAAACTGCAGAAATTCAGACAAGTGAGTATGGTGATTTGAGCCAGTAAGGTGTTAGTGGAGAGAAGAGAAATACTGATATATAGAATTTGATATACAAATTACAATATACATGGAAAGTAGAGTTGACTGAAATTGCTAATGAATTAGGATGTATATAATATAAAGTTAGAAATCAATAGATCACTAAAAGTTATTCCTCCAGTATAACTGAAAGTCTGTAGCCTTTGATCAACATCTCCCTTTTCCCCATCCTTCCTCCTCCCCCCACCCCAGTCTCTGGTAACCACCTTTCTATTACAGTGACATTGATGGTTTTTTTTTTTTTGTTTTGTTTTTTTTTTTTTTTTGAGATGGAGTCTTGCTCTGTCACCCAGGCTGGAGTGCAGTGGCAGGATCTCGGCTCACTGCAACTTCTGCTTCTTCCCGGGTTCAAGCAATTCTCCTGCCTCAGCCTCCCGAGTAGCTGGGACTACAGGCACCTACCACCATGCACTGCTAATTTTTGTATTTTTAGTAGAGACGGGGTTTCACCATATTGGCCAGGCTGGTCTTGAACTCCTGACCTTGTGATCTGCCCGCCTCGGCCTCCTAAAGTGCTGGGATTACAGGTGTGAGTGACTGCACCTGGCGACATTGGTGTTTTTGTATTCTGCATGTAAGTGAGAAGATGTGGTTTTTGTCTTTCTGTGCCTGGTTTACTTCACTTAGCAAAACGTCCTCCAGGTTCATTCATATTGTTGTGAATGACAGAATTTCCTTCTTTTTAAAGCTATATAGTATTCCATTGTGTATATACATCACATTTTCTTTATTCATTCATCAACTGACGGACACTTAGGTTGTTTCCATATCTTGGCTATTGGATGATGGTTAAAAAGTACAAAGCCCCAATTAGACAGGAAAAGTAAGGTTATTTTCTTCTTTAGGATATACTGAATTACATGGTGAATATACTAAATAATAATGTATTGTACATTTCAAAATTGCTAACAGAGTAAATTGCAAATGTTCTCAACACAAAAAAAGTATTTTATGTTATCAGTGTGTTACTTAGCTTGATTTAATTCTTACACATTGTGCTCATAAATCATAAGATTACTTTGTCAAATTAAATTGCATAATTTGTCAATATGCAATTTAAAGAAAGGATGTTTGAATTCAAGAATGACTATAAAGCTTTTGGCCAAAGCAATTGGAAGGATCAACTTGCCCGCAACTGAGATGATGAAGATAAGTAAAGGAGGAGATTTGCGAGGTGGACATCGAAGTTTGGTGACTATTAGATTTGTGTTTTCCCAGGCCTGGAGGGACTAGAAAAAAAATGGCAGCTGCTGGTGGCTACCTTTAATGGGTCATGGAAGAAAATGGATTAGAATAACCTCACCATAGTTGCAGAAAGAGCTGGTTGGTGGTAGATTGAGAAAATAGACCAACTTGGACCTGAGCCTTCCTCTGCCTCTCCCTTCTCCTGCCTGGATTCCAGTGCCTCCACTGCCTCACACTCATCCTGCTGGTCATTCCCTTATGTTCTATTCCAGGGGTTGGTAAATTTTCTGTAAAGAGCCAGATCATAAATATTTTAGGCTTTGTGGGCCAGTTGGTCTCTCTCACAGCTAATCAACTCTGTCATTGTAGTGCAAAAGCAATCATAGACAACACATAAATGAATGAACATGCTTGTGTTCCAATAAAACTCTATTTTCAAAACTAGACCATGACCCGATTTGGCCTATGAGCTGTAGTTTTTCTTCCCCTGCTCTAGACCTCTGTTGACCTGTCCACCAAAACACAGTCTTCATGTGTCCACTCAACCTTGTGACACAATTACAATCTAATTTCAACATGAAATTTTAAATGGGCACCTCCAGTAGCTATCCCTCAAATATGGCTGGATATTAATGTTTTAGTGGCAGAACAAATGCTCTCATTGGCATTATTTTACTCTATAAAGTAAATAATCTCAATCAGAACCCAAAGAAGATCTTTTCATTTCAAATACAGGGAAGAAAGGTATCTCATAAACATTTAAATTTTTCCTGAATTGGCCCTTATTTTTTAGAAAAAAGTTACTGGCCGCTGCTCTAGAACTATCTCTGTCTTCTCCAAGCCAACCAACATGTCCTCTCAAGGCCCTCACAGGTGACTTTGTAATCCAGTTGTAAGGTGTTAATGGCTGCCACCTCCCAGAAAGATTACCATCCAAAGCTTACTTTTGAGGGTGCAGCACTAAATGGCCTGCTCTTTCTGAGGTCAGCACAAATTGGTTGACCTGTACAACTTCCAGCTACAAGTGTAAGGAACAGCTCAGTTCACATGCGTGATCATTGGAACTCGGTGGACCTTTGCAAGATGGACTGTTACAATGAGCAAATTTGGATAATGCTCTTAATTTATGAAAAATATTAGATATTTTTAAAAGATGTACAGAAAAATATAATGAACACCTCTATACCCAAAACCCAGATTAATAAATCAAATATTATAGATATAGTCAAAGCATTTTTTATACCCCTCTCTGATCTCTTATTCTTATTTTCCTCTTATTCACACAGAGGTAACCTCTATCTTGAAGATGCATGTGTCCCTTCTTTGTAATTTTTCTACTTACAAATGTATGCATATGAATGTATCCCTAAATAATACACAGTATTGTTTTTCATGTTGTTAACCTTTGTATCAATGATATAATAACTATAAATATGTTTTCAAGTTGGATCTATAATTGACACATATACTTCAAGTTTACTCATTTGCACCACTACAGCCTTCCATTGTAAGAATAACCTCATTTTATTTATCTATTATTCCATCAATGATTTCTTAGGCTGACACCAATTTTACATTATTTCACACAACGCTGCAAGGAACATTCTGATTCATTCTCCTGGTGCCATATATGAGAAGTTGAATGCTGCTTTTTTGCTGAGCTTCTCAACCAATGTTCATAGAACACCCACTCTATATAAGAGTGGCACATGTGGGAAGACAAAGTTCTCTCCTGGAGGATCTGGTGACCAAAATGCTAAAAGGTCTTCAGAATTCTTTTATTTCATTGTGGTTGGCCAAATAGTTTTGACTTAAACCAAGCAAACAAGCCAGGAGAAGCTGAAATGACAAGGTCAAAATTACCTCCTTTCTTGATTCTCATTTCAGTATCTTGGTCCCTGAGAGTCAAAGCAATATATTCTTGTTTGGCCACAGACTCTTCTTGCTTGGCCTGATGGATCTGCATGCATCAGCGATGGAGAGAGGCTTAAGTAGTCAATAATAATCAGGTTCTAATGTCATTTCAGTAAATGCCACATATGACAAGAGACTTCCAGATGGTAGAGTCAAACCCAGGCTGTCTTGCAGTGCAAAGGCAGAAGGTAACTGAATAACTAGCCAACTCCCAGATTTCCGAATTGTTCCCCAGGCGTTTCCTGCTGTTGCTGTGTTATAGAGCTAGACAAAAGGGCATCTGATGTTTACAAATTTTTACTAAGGAAGACTCATGCTGTAAAGTCAGTGAGAAAGTTGACAGTTTGGACATTAATGTGGACTGGCGCTTTTTCTTAAAACATTTCCCAAAGATTTTCTGTTCCTCATTGTGTTCACATTTGCCGCCTTTATAGTTTCCCCTAGAGACTGTCAATTGTCTAGGTCTGCCAGAAACGGAAAAAAATTTGAAGCATCAGTAGATATTATCATTTAAGTCAAGTTATAGTGGAAGTATTTTCTCCCCTTTTGCTCCCCACTATTCATTGCATACTTTATCTCAAAAATATCCGATGCTACTCACTGTTTTTAAGAACCTGAGGAACAATGCAACTCTATTATCTACAGATGGCAGCGCTGCATTTTGGCTAGTCTGAAAAAAACTACTGTTTAAATCCTCACAGACACATTTACTTTCTTATATTAACCCCTTTACAGCTGCCATATTTCTCATGATCTCCCTTTAGGTATGTAGCCTGAAGCCTAGTAGGGAGCTCTGAGTTACCTTAATAACTCTCATGCCCCATTCCACACATGAAATCTATTTTCCTCTTCCATACGCTAATGCTTTTTCAGGAAAAGACTGAATAAAATATAGCAATGTTAGGCTGTTTCAATCTGATACTTAATCAAGGTATTAATTAGAGTAATTCCTATTACATAATCATATGAAAAACACAGTAAAATAGATCCCTTGGGATTGTGGTCAATCATTTCTGTAAGTGTAGTATTTATTACCACCAGCAAACGTAAAATGAAAGCTGGTAAACAGAATAAGTTTATTTTTTAAAATTTATAATGTGTTTTGACATGTACTAGAAAAATACAACTACAGTATTATATCAAGCCCATTATTTCAAAAATATTGCTGCTTAGGATGAAGCTACATTTTTTAATTGACAAAAATTGTATATATTTATGATTTACAACATGATGCTTTCATATATATAATATTTATCTATATATAATATTTATATGTATGTAGTGTCATGGCTAAATCAAGCTAATTATCATATGCTCACATATTTATCATTTTTGTGGTGAGAATACTTAAAATTTACTCTTTCAGCAATTTCCAAGTATATAGTACATTATTACTAACTATAGTCACCATGTTGTACAATGGCTCTCTTGAGAGGCTACATTTTTTTAAAGTGAGTCAATTTGATAAAAAATATTAAGTGAATAAAAGCACATGTATTTTACAGATATAGCAAAAATAATAAAGGTGGTATGTAAATGAGTGATGCTTAGAAAACACTGATGTAGGTAAATGTTTTTGTTGCCTTCCAAGGATTCTGAAAAAATGGCCCAGGAGTTCTAAAATCTATTTAGATATAATTTAAAGATATTTGAAAACAACTTAAAAATTTTAATTAAAGAAAATTAAACTAAAAGCAATGCATTCGCTCAAAAATGTTATAGATGCCAAATTTTAACACATTGAAGACCAACGGTGCATTAACTTGAGCTCCTCAATAGACTCATTTTTGTGCAGAATTCAGAATAAACTTTACTTGTCATTCAATTTAATTAAAGTATATACCATAATTCTACAGCACACTGTTGGATAAGGGAATAGAATGCCGTTTGCAAATACTTACCTGTGTGGGTCAGAATATTAGAATATTCTATATATAAAGTATAGAATACTGTGCAACCAAAACAAATTACAGAGATGAATGGCTACAACTGCTTCATAACTTCCTATTTCAAATGTTTGTGTTTATCAAAATAGTCATATTTATTAATTTTTATAATTATATATTTGGGTTATCAAATAAGCATCTTAGTAAATTACTGCTTTTATCTGATTTATATATTCAGGTCATGTATAGAATTTTATTTGAAAAAGGGGTTTCATTAATTAACAGGTGTGAAAAGCATTGGTGGAGATGAAGCAGCCAGTTGAATTACTAGAATTTTCACTACCATAATGCATTAGGATTTTATAGAATGAGAGAGGAAGATTCTGCTTAGTAATAAGAGTTAACATCCATTTAGCCCTTCTTATATTTGTCAGGATAGATGAGGTTATGTTGCAGTTACGAATTACTTCAAAATTTCAGTTGTGAACCACAAGAGTTTATTTCTCACTTATGCTACATGTCTCTCATGGCTTGGTTAAGCCTCTATTTCATACTGTCTTTACTCCAGGACTCAGACTAAAAGATCACCCTCTATCTGGAACATCGCAGTCATATCGCAGAGGAAAATAAGGAATATGACAAACCACATACTGGTTCTTAAAGCCCCTGCTTGAAAATAACCTGTCATTTTTGCTCATATTTCATTGGCCAAACTGAGTCACATGACCACGCCTGCATTCTACAGGGCAGAGATGTATAACCATTCCACCGGGAGGAGCACTGCCAGAAGGGGCACAGAATATAAGTAAACAGCTCTATAATCTACCTTGCTTATTATGTGCCAGGCCCTCTTCATTTATGACTTAAAGCAACCTGGTAGGGTAATTACTATAATTACCCCATTTTAGAGATAAAGAAATGGAGGCTCAGAGAGTTTAGATGACTTGCTGAAGGTCACACAGCTGAGTAGTAGCCAAGTTGGGATTTACAACTCAGCCAGTCTGGCTCCAGAGCCTGTGCACTATTCTATAATGCTTAGGTTGGGCTTCCCACCAAACTGACAGGTATTGCCCTTCAGCACTAGCCCACAGTGGGTATGTTAAATAGATTATAAAATTATAGTGAAGACTATAACTCCACAGGAGCCTTCAGTATAATTCCATAGTGTATTTAATGGATTAATGTATGAATTCCACAAAGATGACAGTTTCAGACATCTTCAAATACAAAAATCAGACACACTCAAAATAGTGATAGTTCATTGCAGCTCAGATATTTTGTTACCAAAAGGTACTTATTTTGGTAACAAAAAAGTTGGTATATTTATAAACATTACTGCTAGCCTTAGAATTAAGCATGGCATGTAATCTAATTGCCTTCCTTCCTCCATAAATTAGAAATAAGTCACCAAAGGCAGAGGCTCACCCAAGCCTGCTTTTGGGGTATTCCTTAATTTATACTTAAGAAAAAAAGGATCCTGAAACAAAAAGCCTCGTTAGGCAGACTTTGACTAAGGAAGGACCCATGGGCCTTAGGGTCAGAGGATCTCTATTTTGGGGAACAATACCACTAATATAGCAGCTTCTGAGTAGAGCCAGCACCTGAGTTTTTGTATAGATATGATGCCCCTGGGGACCAGTCTATCAGGAAACAAATCACTAACTGAGCTGGAATTTCATCAGGGCAAAAGGCAGATGGAGTTGTGAAACTGAGGACCCCTAACAAACTGGGGCAATAAATCCCTGACCACAGACTGAGCAAATTCAAAGGTTGAAGTCTAGAGGCAAATTCCTATGGGTAGATTTCATTGCCATAGTAGCAATCTCTGGACTTCTCCATCCTCATTTCCTAATAATCCTGTCTTTGCCTGGAACATTTATAAGCTTTTAAGCAGATAAGTGAGTAGAGAAAAATTTGTTTTTTAATATAAAATCTGCAAAATGTCCCAGCTGAGCATACCTGTGTTTTAACTCATTCTGTCCCCATAACAACCCCATGAGAAAGATACTCATAGTAACCTGATTTTATAATGAGGTTGCTAACACTTATAGACATAGGTTAACTCATCTGTGCTCCAGGAAGGCAGAGAATGTGACTATGTCCCCTATACTTCCAGCACCTCACAAAGTGCCTGACACATAGCTGATGCTCAGGAAATATTAATAATTGAATGAATGAGTAAGCAATTGATTCCTTTTGCACTATGCGCAAGCCATTGGGCCTCATTTATATTATGTCTTCATGTAGTTCACTCCTCATAATTCTGCCTGGGCCACCATCACTGTCTGACCTTTATTAAGGCTTGAGGTGGGGTGACAGTGGAAGAAACGTGGTGGCTTAACCAATCAAATTCAAATTATTTCTTTCCACATTTGCTTTTAACAGCAAACAAAGTAATGCAGTCCTGGAGAAGGCAAATCTTGGGGAAAATGTTTTCCCAAGACTACGTGCCTCATCTGTTTCCAAACACAGTCCCCACAGGCCCCATATATATTTTTAATGTAATTTACACTCCCCATCTAAACAAGGCAGTGTAAAAAGGGCACTATTCTGCATTATAGATTTTGGTCTTGATTTCCAGTTGTCAATGGAATTAACCACATTTTGGCCTTGGAGAGGTTGCATTCCTGATTCTCTCTGCCATCTCACTTATAAAGGCAGAAGAGGGAAGCACGGTGCCAGGGAGAAGGCATCAGCTTGGCGTCTGTGGCATAACCACTCAGAAATTCCATTCTCTGCAAAATCCACATCTCCTTCCTGTAGGTCTTGTGGCTGGGGCCCACAACTAGGACAAAAGGACCCTCTCCTTTTCCTACCCCCATCAAGGGCAGAAAGATGCTGATGCCCAGACATCCAAGGGGACAGGGACTTTGTCCTCTTGAATCTCCTTCCCTGAGGACTTTAAGAATAAGAAAAACTTTTCTTTGTTGGGACTAAATCCTGAATACATAAGCTCTTCTTTGCCATTCCAAGAAGGTGGTTTTTAAGAGGTTGAGCTTAGAGCCACTTCAGTTGCCAGGGTCTTCCACTGGGGCAGTGGTATTTAAATATTTCTTAGCTATGAAACACTTTCTAAAAATGAAACAATATATAAAATAGACAAAAAGTGTTGCTACTCTGGTAAAGTAAGGGAGATTACCTAGACCTCTGACAGCTTTCTCTCCTTATATCAGCCTCTGAACACTCTCCATGTCTGGCTTACTGGCCTCTGTATTCCCGCTCTGTATTCAAAGCCTAGTACATAGGGGGAAATCATGGTCATGTATTGAATGAATAGGGGGTGTCAGCGATTTGTGGCAGCTGATGTTGTTACATGACTTGTCCTCCTGTCATGTGTGCCTGCCTGTGTATGTGTATTGAAAGAAAGAGGCACTAAAAGCTGAAGACTGGAGTGCATTGGAGCTGAGTGGACAAGTCTTTGATGATGAGCTTGCAACAGTTGGAGTCTGAACAGGAGCTGAATGGTGAATGGCTCAGCAGGCTGCTAAATCCTGCAGATTTGCAGGCAAAGCTGGTTCATTTGCTTCATTCACTTGTTAAACCATTTCTGAGTAGCTGCCATGTGGTAGGCTAGCTCCTAAGAGATAAAGATGACTAAAACACAATCCCAATCCCTGCTCTCAAGAGGCTCATGGTCTAGTGCAGGAGATGGATATGAAAACAAACCAATGCCAATAAGCAGTGTAATGGCCATAATCCATTTTTAAACAATTAAATTGACATATTGTTTATTCCCTGGAAGTCTTGATGTCCTAGGTTTCACAGAATCTGTAGGTTTCTACTCTTCAGGGGAGGGTGGATACCAAAAAGTCATTTTTTAGCTATGACTGACAGATTAAATTTTGCTTTTTTAATCTATAGCTGAGGGTTTTTTTTTTTTTAAAAAAATCAAAAGTTAAAGTACACAAAGTATGTGATGCATCTTAATTTTCACTAATTTTTCACCAAAAGTTAGCATTTATGTTCATTATGAATGTAGGCAACAACAAAGTAATATTACCCATACCCGTAACTTTGTCACCAATAGAAATGATGACGGATATTTTATATCAAACTAATATTCCTATAGTTATCTCAAAATGTTATTTACTCTCATCATTACTTCAAAATTATAGTGGTTACTAGTCCTGCCACTAGATCTTATCACTTAATGCATTAATTAACCACAGGTATTATTCTATCATGATATTGTTTTCATATTTTGATAACTGTATTTCAATATAATTGGCTTTCCTTACAATCCTATGTACTTTTTAATCTATTTAAAAACAATATTCTGAGAAGGGGTCCAGAGATACCATCAGACTGCTAAAGGAGACTACTATGTCACAAAATGACTATGAACCCTTGTTAAACAGGTTTTAAGAGTGAGGTTTTATCAATGAAGAGAAGAATTTTCAAATGCCAAAAGCTTCCCTTATATATTCTAAGCAAAGCACAGGGTTTTACTCTAAGCCATGAGAGAAAAGAACTTAGTCAAAGATGCAAAGGAAGTTCCCACCTGCCTAGGGAGTAAAGACCACTTTTAGGATCTGGGATATGGAACTGTGGAAGAAAGAAGAAAATGAGAGGGGCAAGTAGACAGATACCAGACGGGCCTGATAAAAACCACACAAGCAGTGAGGCATGTTCCTCACAGACTAGGAAGAAGTGATGCCTCCTTGGAGAAGTCCTGCATTCATCCTGGTGTTGAAGCAATCTGACACATCCAGGTGGTAAAACAGCAATAGGGGAGGGAGTTATCTAAGAGCATGAATCTGATGTAGCCCTTCTGTTTCTTCATAGCCTGCCTCTGGCATGTGGAAAATCCAGAGCTTGAAGGAGTAGAAAGGACCAGTGGGTCACTAGAAGCCTAGGTTTGGAATAACAAAACTACAAAATCAGGGAGCTTTGCAACCAGAAACAAATAGCTAAAACCAGAGATTTCAACAACAGGTGCAACCAATGAAGCCCCTAAAAGACTGAAGGGACCTACTGCACATCACTCTTTATGTAGCTGTAAGGATTGTTCCAAACCAGCCCCTCCATAGCAGAGAATAGTGAGCATCCAGAAAAATTAGCATGGATCCAAGGCTCCATCCTCTGTAACCCCACTTCCCCCAGGTACATTATTTTATAGGAGGGGAAATGAAGTTAAAACATGAAAGACTCAACATTTATCCAAAAAGGCAGCTCTTTCCTTTGGCACAATGAATTATGTGTCTGCACTCCCTCCCTTCTACTCACATGGGTGGTAAGTTCCTAAGGTAGCTTAGTTCAATTCTAGGTAATATTTTTGCACATCTGAATTGCTGGGTATACATTCCAATCCTGCTGTACATATTTTTGTGTCATGATGTAAAAGTCAGTTCAGATTCAAGAGGAAGGCAAAGGGAGAAGTGTTCAGTTCCATGAGAATGTGCATGGTGAGATAGGTGTGTCAGAAAAGGCAGTACTGAGGAGAGAATGCTTGAGATGAGCCTTGAAAGATGAATATGTTCTCTGGAGGCAGTCAGGTACTTTACTTGCAAAATCAACCTTCTTAGTCAAGAAAGTAACTGTTTACATGACATGATTTGATGGGTATCATAAAGGAAGGACTTCTAATGCCCCCAAAATAGCACCCAGAACACTATCACTCAAGATCTATTCTTTTGATCTTGAATGGTTTCTAAACCAGTGCTTCTCAAACTATAAAGTGCATATGAATAACTTGCAGATCTTGGTAAGTTGTGGGTTCTGATTCAGTAAATCTGGGTTGGGACCTGAGAGTCTGCATTTCTAACAAGCTCCCAGGGGATGCTGGTGCTGCTGGTCCATGGACTACACTTTGAGTAGCAAGGTACTAGAGTACCTTAATATGTGTAGCTAATAATAGCTAACATTTACTGTGCTTTTATTATATGGCAGGCATTGTACAAAGCCCTTCAAACACTATCACCTCACTTGATCCTCACCACAACCCTATGAGGAAACAGAATTTACAGTAATCAATTTCAAAAATTTTTCAATAATTTGCAGGTCACTGCTGAGGTGAACCTGGGATGGAATACTGGCCACCCACCTGTCTTAGACCCTAACACTTAGCTATCACATCCCAGAAGGTGTAACAACTTACAGTGACAGTTTTTGTTTCACTTTGGTGTTTTTTTCTAAAGAAGCTAGATCTTTTTATGGCAGCCAGCATGTATAGCAGATATAAATATTATTGATTTGGTTAACAGGGCTAAGAAAGCCAAAGCCCAGTTGCTCAGCCACCCACTCATCTCCCATTGTGGCCTTCAAAGCACCACCTCAGACCCCTGGGGCTCTAGTTTACAACCTAGTGATTTGAAATCTTATGAGTTACCCTTCCTGGGGAGATTAGTGGACAATTCATCGAGAGTCAACTCAGGGTCTGGATGGAGTTGCAATAAGGGGCACTGGAAACAGAGAGGGCACCAAAAGGAGAGAGGGGCTGTTACAAACACAGTCACATCCCTGTTTGCTCAGAATTTGTTCTATCTTGGTAATGTCTTCTCTGAAGCTTGTCTGAGTTTACCTGGCTTCTCCATTTCTCCCCACCATTGGCTTGTGCCCCTGAGCCCAAGAACAGAAATGGCTTCCTGGTTTACACCTCCTAGAATCTCAGCTAATTGCTATCCCAAAGCCCTGGCAACCAGGGCTTATGCCCTCCTGGGTCAAGCTTTAGAGCATCTAGTCCCAGGGTTTTAAAACTTTGCTCTGTGAAATGTGGAGCTCCTCTAGACCCTTCAGTCACACTACTGGGTGGATGAGAGTAGGAAGGATGAGTAGAGGGGGTTGACAAGGACAAGCGATTTATCCATCACAGAAGCAGATAATCTGAGAGCCTAAAGAGTTGGGAGTTCCAAAACTGCTGATTTTTGTTTCTGATACAGACCATTGTTGCAGGAAGTCAGGGACCCTGAACAGAGGGACTGGCTGGAGCCGCAGCAGAGGAACAAAAATTGTGAAGATTTCATGGACATGTATCAGTTCCCAAAATTAATACTTTTATAATTTCTTATGCCTGTCTTTACTGCAATCTCTGAACATAAATTGTGAAGATTTCATGGACATTTATCAGTTCCCAAATAATATTCTTATAATTTCTTATGCCTGTCTTTACTTTAATCTCTTAATCCTGTTATCTTCATAAGCTGAGAATGTACATCACCTCAGGACCACTATTGTACAAATTTATTGTAAAACATGTGTGTTTGAACAATATGAAATCAGTGTACCTTGAAAAAGAACAGAGTTAACAGCGATTTTCAGGGAACAAGGAAAGACAACCATAAGGTCTGACTGCCTGCGGGGTCGGGCGGAATAGAGCCATATTTTTCTTCTTGCAGAGAGCCTATAAATGGATGTGCAAGTAGGAGAGATATCGCTGAATTCTTTCCACAGTAAGGAATATTAATAATTAATATCCTGTGGAAGGAACGCATTCCTGGTGGGAGGTCTATAAACGGCCGCCCTGGGAGTGTCTATGTTATGCGGTTGAGATAAGGACTGAAATACGCCCTGGTCTCCTGCAGTACCCTCAGGCTTATTAGGGTAGGGAAAAGATCCTGCCCTGGTAAATTTGAGGTCAGACTAGTTCTCTGCTCTCAAACCCTGTTTTCTGTTGTTTAAGATGTGTATCAAGACAATACGTGCACAGCCGAACATAGACCCTCATCAGTAATTCTAATTTTGCCCTTTGCCTTGTGATCTTTGCTTTGCCTTTGTCTTGTGATCTTTGTTGCCCTTTAAAGCATGTGATCTTTGTGACCTACTCCCTGTTCATACACCCCTTCCCCTTTTGAAATCCCTAATAAAAACTTGCTGGTTTTGTGGTTCAGGAGACATCACGGACCTACCGATATGTGATGTCAACCCTGGCAGCCCAGCTGTAAAATTCCTCTCTTTGTACTCTTTCTCTTTATTTCTTAGAATGGCCGACACTTAGGGAAAATAGAAAGAACCTACATTGAAATGTTGGGGATGGGTTCCCCCAGTAGACCATCCTGATATAGGCATTCTGAGTCCTCCTCTGCTAACTGTGACCTGATTAATGCTGTGTCTCTTGGTTTCCAATGTGGGCTATGGAATGCTTCCCACTGCTTACCTGTCCCCAGTCATCTCTCCTTCTGAAGTCAGGGGAGACTTTCTGCCATGAGTCTCAACAGATTCTGAAAATAAACACTAGATAACTGTTTTAAATGCATTTCAACCCTAGGATTGTCTCTGATTATGTTCTCATCTCATTCAGCTATCTCTTTCAAATGTCATCTCCTTGGAGGCTTCCTTGATCATCCTATCTAAAGAAACACTCCCATGCCCTGATTTGCTTTCTCATAGCACTTATCACTACTTGACTTTGAATTATATTTACTGTCTCTCTCCCCACTAAAATGTAAACTCCAGCTCACTACTGTTTCCTGCAAAATGTAAATTATTGCCTGAGACATAATGGATGCTCAATAAACATATGTTCAATGAATGGATAGATGGATGGATGGATGGATGGATGGATGATTGAATGAATCCAACTCACACTTAACCATAGACTTATTGATTAGATCTGTGGAGCTTTGCTTTTCACAGGAGGCATATAACATGAGTTACACATTCCCTAGAATGTAGCAGTGGCTTAATAACTAACTGAATGAAAGAGAGAAATGCCTATAAGGAGAGGAGCTTTGCTTAAACTAATGATTTTTGCACTTGTGAGGGCATTGTGAACACCCACCCTAGGAGGGTATAATATCACAATCAGAACCATTTAAAAAGCACTAAGGCACTTTCTAGTATTAAAAATGTGTTGTTCAAATTTTAAAATGATTTATAAATTTAAAATATTATAAAGGGAAAATGTGAAAAAGGAAGATTGTTTTCATGATAAAAACTACAAAAAGGACATGAGCTTTTTGTTCATCAAAAGCTCAGCATATCCTATAATGATTGCAGGCAACACTGGACTGGCAGTCTCTAGGGGCACCTCTCACTTGAAAATTCTGTGATTCTAAGCCTAGGCACATCTCATGGCATATGATCCTGCTGTACAACATCTCTTTCCTAAGGAGTGCCTCTCACGAAGAAGATGTTGCTCAAATTGTTTTCCCCATAGGAAAAAATAAAAATAAAAAATTACCAAACCACAACTGACCTGTGGTTAAAGCAGTCTTGAATGAATATTAACAAGAAGACGATGAAACAAAGACAAATTTTCCCTCTCCTTCCCTCCCCCATGCTGATCACATTCCATTTTTCAAGACAATGGCAGCTATCCAGCAGCGTTTAATTTATGCAAATCCACAGCAGCTCATAGGTGGAACTGACATAGCAAGGGGCCACAGAAGGCAGACCTTGATGTTCTAATTGAGATTCTATCCTCGGATGGCTGTGGAGAATGTAAAATACCTCATATATAATCTGGGCTGCTTCCACTAGTGTCCAAACTTGCTGCCAGATGAGGGGAATCAGACACTGGCAGGCTTTGACTCTTAAAAATGACTGTTTAAAATTACACAAATAATACCTGGTCATTGAGGGAAAAAAGTAGAGTATAAATAAATCAAGAAGTCATAAAAATGATCAAAAACTCAGGGATAGCTACTGTTAATATCAATATTCTAGACCTTTTTCCAAGCATATATATACATGTATTTTTCAAATCTTGAAATTATAATGTACTTTTTTTCACTTAGCAATATATTATAAAGATTCTTTCAAGACATGCAGGTCTACGTTATAGTTGCAGTGAACAGACAGTGAATATGTAATTATTGGGATAATTATTCTAAAAGTGGGATTCTAGGGTCAAGGAGTATGTTCATTTTAAGATTTATGATATTACCTTTTCCTGACAACGTTTAGTATTATCATACAAAAATAACAATAATTATTATTACTACTATGAGCAGCAATTATTGAGATCTTACAATATGCCAAACATTATTTTAAGCATTTTATACATATTATCTCCATTTAATCCTGTAAACTAAAAATAAAATTGTAAGCCCCCCAACAAATGAACAGATGCCTTCTTGGTCAAGGGGACCCCAGAGAAATCTGAAAAATTGAGTTTTTGATTATGATGGGAAGGAAGGTCAAACACACCTCGTTATAACCCTCCCTTTTGGAGTCTAGGCACAACTGAGCAGTATTAATGTTAAAATGGAGATGATAAGACTGACAAGACAGAGTCTTCGTGGCAATAAGATACTTAATTATAAACAAGACCTAAGGCCATGCAAGGGAAGAGTTAAGTCAGACTTGCCAGCTATCAATCTTACTAGATAGCATTTTTATCTTAACTTAAAACATTTCTATCTGCTGACTCCAAGTTTTAGACAGAGCCTTACTCCTTTAACCAACTGCAAATTAAAGAATCTCTGAATCCACCTATAATCTGTAAGCCCCCACTTCAAGACAGCCCCATCATTCTAAGCCTGTGCACATCCTATGGCATGTGATCCCACTGTACAACATCTCTTTCCTAAGGAGTGCCTCTCAGAAAAGAAAATGCTGCTCGAATTGTTTTCCCCATAGAGCCAAACCAATATATACCTTCCATGTATTCATTTATGTCTTTGCCTATAACTCCTTCCTCCCTAAAATTTATAAAACCAAACTGTAATCTGACCAATTAGGGACTGCTTACTCAAGGCTTCTCCGGTCTGTGTTTTCCTCCGGGCCATGAGCACTCATATTGCCTCAGAATTTACTTCTAAAATACTTTTCAGAGTTTGTTTTTTCCGTTAACAATCTTCACCACAATTCTATGTGATAGGTACTATAATGCCCATTTTACAGATGGGGAAACCAGGTAGAGAGATGTTAAGTAACTTGATTAAAAGTTACACAGCTAGCAAGTACCAGAGTCCAGAATATAACTCAGAAAGACAGTAGCCTAAAATCTCAACAACCATACTGCCATTGCCAACTTGATAATGAAAACAATCAACTTTAAGCTTTTAAGGTCTAGCCCATAGCCTGAATTATAGTTATTTCCCAATGTTTTCATAATTTATCCTCTTCCTGACATCCATCTTCTTTGATTCTTCAAAGCAAGCACTTTATCCAAAGAGTTTGCCACTGGATTCTTAGCCCAAAAAGACAAAATACCAAATGTAAACTTCTAATTTTTTTAAACAAAAGTGCTATGAAAAGCATTGTGAAGGAAAGCCATTTCCAATGGCTGGCAACAATCTAGAGGAAACGCATTCTAATTTGGACAACATGTCTCTTATTTACCAAAAACGTCCTCCATGGAAATGAGTCTTACCTGAATCTCCAAGCTAACTTTGCATTCAATTTTAATTGCAAATGTTTGCAAGCAGGTGTGATTGGGGGTTCACTGGTTTTGAGGTTACCCTGTTACCTGTAGCTTTTACCCGTTAGGGTGGTGATTCCTTATGGGTACTATCTTTCCTTCCACTTTTACCTCTGAAGCAGCTTGAGCTTCAGCTCTTTTCAAAAGAGTAGAGAAACTAAGCATGCTTGACCTGGGTTTGCATCTTGGTTTCACAAATACAAACCATGTGACCTCGAGTAAGTTACTTAACAGCTGTATGGCTTATCCAGTTCATTTATAAGATGGGGGTGATAAAATCACACCCAATTCACTGGTATTTTGTAAAATGGGTTTCTATGAAGATTGAACGAGTTTATGTAAAGTGCTTAGGAGAATGCCTGACACATAGTAAGTATTGGCTGTTAATATTGTTGTTACCATTATTATTATTAAAGCACTGCAAGGCCTACTTTAAAGAGACTTATAAAATGTTGGTGAGGATGTGGAGAAAGTGGAACCTTCATACATTGCTGATGGAAATGTAAAATGGCACAGCCACTGTGGGAAAACCATTTGTTGGTATTTCAGTAAGTTGAGCATAGAATTACCATAGGACCCAGCAATACCACTCCTAGGTATATACTCAAAAGAATTATAAACAGATGTTCAAAGGCTTGTACACAAATGTTCACAGTAGCATTATTCACAAAAGTAGAAACAACCCAAATATCTACCAACTGAAGAATGCATAAATAAAATGTGGCATATCCATACAATGAAATTTTAGTTGGCCATAAAAAGGAACGAAGTACTGAAACATATTATAATACAACATAGACAAACCTTGAAAACATTATGCTAAGTAAAAGAAGCCAGTCACAAAAGATGATATATTGCATGATTCCATTTATGTGAAATGTCCAGAATAGATATATCCATAGAAACAGAAAGTAGATTAGTGTTTTCCTGGGTCTGGAGCAGGGAGAGAGGAAGAACAAGAATGGGATGACTACTAATGCTTATGCAGTTTCTTTTTGGAGATGATGAAAGTGTTCTAAAATTAAACTGTGGTGATGGTTGCATAACTTGGTGAATATGTTTTAAAAACCCTATTGGATTATATAATTAGAATGGGTTAATTTTATGGCATATATCTTATAGCTCAGTAATGTTGTTTTTGTAAAAGCTTATATACATAAAAGGGGTTAAGTTCCCCTCACACCACTTTGCCAGCAGTTTAGTCTTTTTGTGGTCTTAAGTAGATGACAATCAGATCAAAGATCAGTCCCTCTCCTGAGTCG